>NC_000004.12:16197916-16822916 GCF_000001405.40 Homo sapiens
AGAAACTATTTCAGTGAAGTATTCTTGAGATCACTGAGGACAGACATTAACTTTTAGGGAGGGAGTGCATCCTTGGCAAACACCACACACAAATATGACTGCAGATAATTACCCTGCCAACATCTCATAATGAACAGTACTTAAACAACAGGGTCAAAGCCAGCAAAACACCCTGCTGGATGAGCCATCATGATGAAGGCTGGGTTTACTTAAGGCACTGTAGAACCACCCTTGTCCTCAGCCTTAGTGAAGGGACAGGGTCTTTATTTTACTTAAGTCAAAAACCATGGCAAGTTTGCAGAAGAACTAGAAATAGGTTCAAATATTAAGTTATGAAGCAGAGAACACGGGGGTCTATGTGCTTTAAAAAGCTTCTCACAAATGCTGTACAAGATGTAAATCTGCAAACAGATGAGGTGAGAACACTGATCTCAAATATAAAAAGAAGGCAATAATTTACATTATTGATGTGATACTGAACCAAACAGTTCTAGAGTCTGCAAAGAGTTACTGTTTTCACGTCAGCATTGTGATTAATTTGACAAATGGACTGTTTCCTCCCTTTTGTGAAAACAATTTCAAAGAACAAAGAGACTAGGAAGACAGTAAGTTTTTACAGAAAGAAGATTGAAATACAGGAGAGTGAAAAAAAAAAATTATTTAAAAAATTGCAATCAACTTCTTTGCCAGTCTATTTCACTTCTTCTTATTTCTTTGAAAAAAATAAAGTCAGACTGAAGGAAAGAGCACTTTTTGCTTGCTGAAAAGGATGGAACATGACATCACTACAGGCAAGACAAATCGAATAATCTTTAATGGAAGTAGAAAACACAGGAATAAAAGCTATCAGAAGGCAAAATCTGGCTATTTCTAAATAATCATTTGGTAAACCTAAAAAGTATTTTTATATTCCAAAATATTTGAAAGGTCTTAGACTTAATATTAACAATAGCTTTGTTTATGTAACTTTTACCTTATCAAATATTTCAAGTTTCGTGACTTTAAAAATAATGCTCAAAGAGATATTTTCTAAATTGCTCAAAGAAACAAAAATTGCAGCCTATATTACTGTAAGCACAAATTACTCAATTTTGATAAACCATACTTAAGGCACTAAGACATTAGGCAGGATTTTCATATTCTGTGTAACCTGGCCTATCCTCAAAGCATTTATAATTGCCTGAACTCCGTTTCATTTAAAATTTAAATGAAAATTTAAGTTTCATTTAAACTCCTATCATTTAAAATTGCTGAAACAGTTATATAATTTTAACTGCATTTCATGTTTTTATACATATAAGTATTTATTAGTGATAGCATGAAATTAATTTTTCAGTTAATCCAAAGCAGAAATAGTAAGAAGTGTTTGCAGGGGAAATCCTCAATGGAGTCTTAAATGTCATGTGTAACAGGCTGCCCTCTAGTGTCATTTTAGCTATAAAACTTTGAAAAAAGAAAACATCTTATTTTCAAATGATACTCAAATTAATTTAGATTCAAAGTATTTCAAACTAATGTAAGAAAGCAATCATCTTATGCACTACAAAAAATCTTAAAATATCTAAAAAAGGTTAGAGGTAGGGATCATTAACCACTAGTAAAAGTAAATACTGGCAGAGGATTTAAGATTTCCCAGTTCCCTGTAACATCTTTTAGTTTTTAGAACAAACACTTTAAGAATTTTTTTTTTTTAAAGAGACAGTCTTGCTCTGTCAACCAGGATGGAATGCAGTGGTGCAATCACAGCTTACTGCAGCCTCGAATTCCTGGGCTCAAGGAATCCTCCTACCTCAGCCTCCCAAGTAGCTGGGACTACATGTATGTGCCACCACAACTGGCTAATTTTTTATTTTTTGTAGAGACAGGGTCTCGCTATGTTGCCCAGGCTAGTCTTAACTCCTGGCCTCAAGCTACCCTCCCACCTTGGCCTCCCAAAGTTCTAAGATGACAGGTGTGTACCACCGTGCTGGTCTAGAAAAGACTCTTCTAATGCTATTTTATGTGCCCTGTACCCCCACGTAACAGGGGCTACACAGAAATGAACTTGAGTGCAACACAGTTTTAGATGCCTGTACAATATAACAAGGTGGAACTTCAAACAACTGTCCCCGAAGAGAGACCCTTGGGATCACTGGCAAATCACCACTGTTACTTAGTATACCTCATACGTGTGCTAACCAATGCCCAAGGAAGGGACCACTCCAGAAGGAATACAGTCATTAGCTTATCTATCATTTTAATGTTTTACCACATTGTGCCAACAGCCACTAAGAACATGACATGTCTTTAAAAGCCGTCCACATAAAGATGGCTAGAACATGAACTTGACGCACACTGTTGATCAAAGAATAACTAAAAAGTAATGTAGCTCATAATGTAGATGTGAAAAGCCCTACATAGTATTAGTTATTTTCTTTCTTTACTTGAGACAGGGTCTCACTCATCACCCAGGCTGGAGTGCAGTGGCATAATCATGGCTCACTGCAGCCTTGACTTCTCAGGGTCAAGTGATTTTCCAACCTCTCAGCCTCTGGTGTAGCTGGGACCACAGACATGTGCCACCATGTCTGGCTAATTTTTTAAATTTTTTGTAGAGACAAGTTCTTACTATGTTGCCCAGGCTGGTCTTGAACTCCTGGCCTCTAGCGATCCTCCTACCTTGGCCTCCCAAAGTGCTGAGATTACAGGCATGAGCCACCACATCCAGCAATATTAGTAATTTTATGTCATGTGTTTCACCTGACTTTATCTAAATTTCCATGTTTCTATTCGCTTTATCCCGTTCCAAATAAAGATGTATATTTGGTAATGTTCTATTAGATTGTATTTGGGTCTTCTGAAAATGAACTAAAATGCCATGATATCATGAAGCTCCCAGGAGTGATAAAAGAAAATAGTTTATTGTGGTTAGGTTTTGTTAGTATTAATGCACCACGCTACAAATGCCTTTAAAAAGGCTTGTTAATAATAAGGCCTTCTTAAAACTTCTCCCAAAAGAAAAAAGGATGTACTAGAAATGCCTTAAAGCAAATAACTAAATTTCTAAAACTACCTTCCCATTTGATTAACTTGTGATTAATAAAATATGTAACACTAATTCACTGTTATCCTGGAAGGCAAGTAAGTTACAGAATATAGCATATAACAATGACAGGAGCTGAATTTTTATAATTGTTTTACTCCATGTAATCTTGCAAAACAAGCATTTTAAATCCTTTTATAATGTGATCATCATAATAATTATTCCAATTTATACTGGGAGGAATTTCTATCAAAACTGATTGTCTTATTTTTAAAAAGACTGTATGTGTTACTAAATATCAAGTATACGCTCATTTACTACTTTAAAAAAGAACCTTTCATGGCTTCAGTCTTTTAAAAAAACAAACCATATAAATGTGTATATCGACCACTAATTTTTAACTCAACTGCTATGGTTAAATTATTTTATTAATTATATATTTTATACACCACGGAACAGTCACCATAGTTCAATGAAGTCTCACAAATTATTGTCCATTTTAGCATTTTAGAACTTTTCCAGCATGAAATGTATGTAGAAAAGTGATGCATGTCAGAAATGTAACCTCGACATCTATGCTAAGAACTCAATAAAAATGCTGTGAAGAGTGACTATATACAGAGTGGAGACACACCGGCATAATTGTACAAAGAAAGAAAACCGTAAAAGCCAAACTCGCTTTTAACCTCAAGACCAATAAAGCATTAAGCTTCATGTAAGCTTAACATCTTCACCTTACTATTCTGAGTTTTGGTAGAGAAGAAAAAGAAGAAAACAGATTATCTGTTCTGGTCTACTATGAGCCAGGTACTATGCTGGGTATTTTTTTTACATCTTCCAATCTTTGTGGTAAAAGATGCTGAGCTCTCAATACCCCCTTTTTGCTGATGGGGAAGCACACTTAGAGAAGTCAGGCTGTTGTGCACAGCTCACAAGCTAATCAATGTCGGGTCGGGCTCTCTGATCTTCCCCGTGGGGACAATGGTCTTCCAGAGTTTTTCCACTCTCACAAATCAGTCTCGTCCATAACCAGTAACTAAGGCTCCACAGATCATTACAATGATTCTCAAATGAAATGGAGGAGGAACACTTGCAGTAAGAGCTCCTGAGGAGATTCCTTTTCCACTCCAGCCTAGAACCCTGTCCTTTCCACAGATGATGCCTACGAGGCCCAAGGACTTTGGGGAAATAAAGGCCCAGGTGAGTTAAGAACGTGATAAGTAGGTCTTTGACTTTCAGACCCGGGTCCTTTCTACACTGCTACAAAGCCTCCAGCATTAACATTATTTTACCGGCTAAAGCAAAGTTTCGGTTCAAAACAATTCTGGAAAAAAATAAGCATATAAAAAGCTTAATATTATATAAACATATTATATAATATCCATTAAAAAGGTAAACAGTTTATGCATGAAGGGCCAAAGTGTGGATGAAACTGTATGAATTATCCTTACTCTGCAACCACTACAAGTATTAAAAATAATGAAATACTATACATTTACAATAGTTAACGATCTTAAACTTACCTTAAGCCATAGCAAGGCAAAGTGAGGAGCCTGAATAGTGCCAGGAAAACTCTTAAAGGAAGCAGGGTGAACACATACAAAAACGCATCCAGGCACAGAAAGATTCCAAAAACCATCAGCTGAATTTTAACAAGGAGAGAAGAAAAAAAAAAAGTATTTTAAAAATACTTGTAGATGAAAATTCCAAACAACCAGAATTTCTAAACATTATAAAAAATTAATTTCTTAAAACTTAGCCCTGGGAATAACAAATTAACAGTTCTTCTCTTCAAAGAGTGAGTCTGTGCTTCCTCAGAGCCTTTGGTTTACGACTCACAAAAGAAATTACTCAAAAACAAGTTGCCCTTGACCATAGTTAATGGCACATCATCTGATGCGGCTTTCTGAGTACTTCCTCAAGCTCTAGATATTATGGAAAATCTTTATTCCTCATAATTTTGCTATTCCTGTTTATTAGAATGCTTCATTGATGGGAAAGACTGGAATATATATTGAGTTACAATATTGTTTATGTTAAAAATATGCAAACTGATCACTAACTTTAACACAATTTCATGTGCACTGAAACTTGCTGCACTCAGAAGGCCTTATTCTTAATTCCAGGACCAGCCTCCTAGTGTTTATATTTCTCCTCCTTTCTTGAGTACTTGCCATACCCTTTCTTTTTGTGGTATCATTAGACACTCTTACTTGTTAAGTTTAGGACTATATTTCACAGAAAGAGGGTGAAGTCTTTCGAGGACTTGGCCAAGTAGCCACCACTAGGCTAACAAACTCAGCTACTCATTTTAAGAGTGGCAACTTTCTGTATGTCTGACACACAATTATGGTATGATACATATGCCCTCACCACAGCATCCATGTATCTTTAGTCAATAAATTGCCCTGCCTCCACAGATTAAAATTCATAGTTACAGGCTGAACTGTGTCCTCTCTATCAAGTTCCTATGTTGGAACCTCAGAATGTAACCGTGCTTGGACATAGGGTCTTTAAAGAGGTAATTTAAGTTCCTATGTTGGTACCTTAGAATGTAACCGTGCTTGGACATAGGGTCTTTAAAGAGGTAATTTAAGTTTAGGTCATTAGGGTGGGCCCTAATCCAGTGTGACTGGAGTCCTTATAAAAGAGGAAATTTGGACACAGGCACAGACAGAGGAGAGATAATATGAAGACCGAAGAGGAAGGCAGCCATCTGCAAGCCAAGAAGAGGCCTCAGAAGAAACTACCCCACTGACACTCGATTGCACACTTCCAGCTTCCAGAACTGCAAGATAATAAATGTCTGTTGTTTAAACCACCCAGTCTATGGTACTTTGTTATGGCAGCCCTAGCAAACAAATTCACATGTCTTTAAATGAAAGAATACACTTTATTAATTTTTGATAAAAATATCTCAAAAATATGCTACACATAATATTTGCCAGATTTCTTAATCTGAATATATAGGCCCTTTTTTTGTTTTTAACAATTTAGACTCATTATGAACAGCAGTGAAAATACGATGCTAGATTAGCATAGAGTCACGTGTGGTAGATTAGCGTAGAGTCCCAGTGTTGCATGTTTTCTTGTCTTACACACAAAGCAGTACAGCAGGAGGCTGAGCAAGGTCCATATAGATAGAGTTCATGGTCCTTTTCTATTACTCTCCTATCACTGAGAAGCCTTTCCGTCCTTGCGAGTGGACTGCTGGTTCAGTACTGAGGGCAGAAACTGCCAGAAACCTGATGTTCCCAGGAGCGTTTGTGATCCACTAAAAAGTTGCAACTCAGTCTGAAAATCAGGTCCCGGATAGGCAGCCAGGCTGAAATTTAGTTCCTTCCTAGGCAGCTTCCAAAGCACTGAAGACAGTTCAGCTCAAACTGACTACAGAAAGCTTTGCAGAAGAGTATACGAGTGGGAACACACTGGGAAGTTCTTTGTGCAAAACTGAATTAAAAGTACTGAGTTACAAACTGCAGACATATAATTTTAAAATATTTTCTAAAATTCATTCTCAGCAGCGATTTATCAAAATGTACATGTTTCAAAATAATCTTTTGCTTAATTAATATCTTCAGGTACTTCTTTAAAATAAAAAGAGTTATAAGTGAAAACAATAAAAGGACAGAAATGTTCACCAGGCTCTCTGTCTCTGAGAGATCTTTTCTGGAAGGACTTCAGAAGCCTTCTACAGGTTCTGGGCAACGCAACCGGGCACTGGCCAGGTGCTGGGCTTGGGCCCTGCCTGTGCATGGCCGCAGTCTAGTACCACCCACACTCTGCAGTGAGACAAGGAGTTGGCCTGGGTTCTTGAGTGGTGGAGGCAGAGCCAGGACTTCACTCAGTCTGCAGAAAACTGAAGCACTATTTCTACTAATGACACTTTCACTCATCCTTCTGGCCTCACTCACCACTGGATTTACCATTATACACATTTTAAAATAAAGTTTAACATAAGTTTTTAACATCTGAACTTTAATGCTAAGGAAATTACAAAATGAAAATTATCCTGTGACATTGTAAGTAAACAAAATATTCACTTGTGAAAATTTCTACAACCTGCTCTTATCATATTTATTTTGAACCTAATAGTACTGCACTTAGCATCTGAAAAATACCTGCCTCAAGAGAAATAAACAAGTAAAAACGCCAGCCTCTTTCTGTGGGGAATGAAGCAGGGTTTCTTCACCTTTTAAAAAATCTACGTGTCCCTTTATGACAAAAATCTCCTGCCCTTCTTTTAGCACCATTTGAAATTTCAAAATAAACAAAATGTTATGGCTAAAATGAAAGAAGCATAATGATTTTGCAATATATCTCCTTGAATTACACTAACCATCTTCTGGAAATTCTGAATACCATCTCCTCCACCACAACCACCAAATACCACCTGCTAGTCGAGGATCGCTGGTCTAGGGTGTTAGAAAGTAGGAGTAAAGAGGCTTAGTCTCACTTTTATAAAGCTTGTGCTAAAGCTCTGGGTCTACTCCTGTAAAAGCAGAGACCATATCTTGCTTAATACTGCACTGGGAGGAAAGACATCCTCTCCAGGGAATTCACAACCCAGTGAGCTTGACACAAACCGCATGCTAAGTGCCAGATGAATGATGTGCTCTGGAAACACAGGTGAAGAGCCTGGGTCTGTAAAGCGTGTGTATTTGGGGGCAGGTGAGAGTGGCATGCACACCACAGGGAAGGAGGTGCAAGAGATAGCAGAGATGTCCCACAGAGGAGAGAAGACAGGCACTAGATTTTGCCAGGCAGTAAAGAGGACCGAATTTCAAACCAAGGAAAGAGCATGCACAGGTACAATGTGAGTAGCCTCCTAGTGGTGAGGTTAGGATATAATCATTATGCAAGAGGCATAAAAATCACGTTCAGTTCATTGCTAAGGAGCTCAAATTTTCATTCTTAGGTTCCAAGGTATCCTTGTCTTTTGACTGTTTTCACTTATAGCTCTTTTATTTTAAAGAGGTACCTGAAGATGATTAGGTTATTTTGAAACATGTACATTTTGATAAATCTCTGCTGAGAATGAAGATGTTCTCAATAAACTCACATATAGGGATCAACAATCAGCAGAATGTTAAGGGGAACAGGATATCAATAAGAAAACTATAAATGACTGACTTTGAAAGCAATTACTGCAGATTCAAGGTCATCCCTACAATAAAATCATTTTAATCATCCGAATTAAAAAATTCATGCCCCAGAAAGTCTATACTCTAGGAGATGGCCAACAAAGGGATTATCATGAGCCAAGTTCTCTTACGATAGGCAAGCTATGTAAGCATATGCAGCCATGGAAAACAAGTCAATTGATTTTAATTTGTAGGACTATGCACATAGAATGATCCTGAGACTTTCTTGCTTCTCTTACTTCCAATCCATGTTGAATACTGTTATATTTTAAGCACGTGACCCACATTAACTTGATCCTCACAACAACCCACCAGGCAGGAACTATTACTTGGTATTTTGCTTGCTACAGACAGGGCTTAGACAGGGCTGTGGTGCTCCTGCTGAGAGGCTGGAATGATGCAGCAAGGCAGGAGTGCCCTCAGGGTCCCAGGGCAAGACTGAGTGTCACCTAAGGAACAGAGGTCTTAGCTGCGGCTCTAGGCTCTGATCCTACACCTTCTATCTAGGATGAGATCGACTTTCTAGGGAGTGGTCAGCACGAAGCACCACAGCAGGCTGCAGTGAGCAGAGAGGACAGTACGGAAGGAGAAGAGCCATCAGTGTGAATGATCACAGCAGCCTGACATAGGACAATGGAAAGACAGAGAAGAGAAATTTAAGACTGTTTCCAAAGCTGAAATGAGAGAAATAAGTGATTGATTCACAAAGATAAACATGGCCCCATGGTGCCAAGTTCAAAAATTATCTTTTAAATACATTAATAAATGTGCTAGAGGCCTAAAGGCTTTGCTGGCTTGTCTTAGAACTATCTGATGAGTCTCATATGCCCAACCTCCCCTGAGAAAATTAAGAATGGTAAGACAGTTGCAGAAAGAACGTGGAAGCTGTGGTCACTACCACCACAAGCAGGGTGTGACAAGCCTCGGAGAGAAGGGGAGAAGCACCAGCCAAGGCTGCTGAGATTCTGAGACATGTGGATCCCTACTGGCTTTCCTGCTTCTCAGCAGCCACACAGCAGGGGCTGGGGGACAAGGAGGGGGAACATCTGCACAAGGGTGTGTCACCAGCAAGAGCTGCATTATGAGAAGAATTTAGAGGGATGATTCTCTGAACATGTTTTTATGAAATCAGAAACTGACTAGGATGCCCAAGAAAACACTGCCATAAATATGGGTCTGAGTAAATACTCTCTATTAGTTTCACAATGAAATCCCAGGACTGTTTTACTGAAATAAAGGGGAAACAATAGTCATTACGTTTTCTTAACATATCCTCACACTGACATAAAACAAAAAGGCTTTATATGACATTTGAAGTCCGTTCGTTTGAAATGAACTTTTGGATTATTTTTTCCTAAATGTTAACCCCACCACGACCTTCAAAAAGGCAAAATTAAGTTACTCCACTAGACATTTAAATCTTTCCATCTACCCTCACCATTCCTCACAGGCAAACTCATTCAATGAATCATGCACTATTAGACCTCTTGAGATGACCTAGGTACAACCTTCTAATCATAGAAGAAAGTAAAACCCAAGAGAGATCTGATGCCTTGATCAGGCCTCAGCTATTACAAACAGACTCAAGAAGCTAAGGTTGTTGATGCTTGATTACAAATAATTCCCCTGTATGACAGTAACCCTTCCCCCTTTCAACAATAATAGTCTATGCCTAGTAATAACAATATATCAATACTTACACCTTCAATCTGACAAATTTAAGGCTTATAAAAATTTGCTACATTGGTAAGAAAACTAAGTCATTCTATTTAAGCAGTTGAATTTAATTTTTAGAAAAATGTATTAAATAGCTATAATGTACAAGGCATGGTAACAATGAAATAATGAATTGCCAAAAAGCACAGAATTACAAGGTAAAGAAAAGTCAACAGAATATTTTCATTTTAGTTTAACCAGATATGCAAGCTTACATGAACATATATAAACACGGAAAAGAATATTGCTAAAAGGCTTCATGATAATCCACAACATACATCTGACATATTTAACCCAAGAAATAAATACCATGAGAGGGGAATAAGTAAATCAAATGAAGATTTTAATTTGTAGAATTAAATTATGTAATTGTAGAATTAAATTAGAATTTTAATTGTAGAATTAAATTATATATTAACTATATTCATGGAAGGATCTTGAGCTCTCCCTGCTTGTCTCATTTCCAGTCCATGTTGAATATGACTATACTAATTTTCCAGAAAGAAAGCTCTGACGGATGGCTAACCCAATAACCATTCTCAGTTCTTTTCTGTTTGTTGGAAAAGCCTAACATTCACTGTCCTAGCCTCCTTTGCAGCTGGGAATGGCTATGTAGCTCAGTTTGGACAATAAGACAGAAGTGGAAGTATTCCAGGCCACGTCTGGGAAATCTTTCAATCTTTATAAAAGGCATAGTCAAAAAAGTGGCAATGCCCACCCCATTTCTTTGTTTATAATGCAGATGTAATGCCGAGGTTGCAGCCGTCATCTTTCTACTAGAAGACAACAAGCAAGAGGACCCAAAGCCAATTTGCCAAGGATGGCAAAATAGAAAGATGAAAAGGACTTGGGTCCGTGACAGCTTCATTAATCTGCTGCAACAACTGAGACCTCTTTTCTTCTAGATTTGTTGAAAAAAATAATTTCCTACTTGTTTAAATGACTGTTAGCCAGCTTTTCCATTCTATACAGCTAAAAGCATTCCTAAGAAATATATATTTAATAGTCTCCTTCCATAGACTCAACTCTAAACTCTCCAGCCTGACCATTCAACATAACTGGATCTAGCCTATCTCTTTTTTTGAGATAGGGTCTCACTCTGTTGCCCAGGCTGGAGTACAGTTGCATGATCTTAGCTCAGAGCAACCTCTGCCTCTGGGGCTCAAGCAATCCTTCTGCCTCAGTCTCTCGAGTAGCTAGGACTACAGGCGTGCACTACCACTCCTGGCTAATTTTTGTATTTTTTGTAGAGACAGCGTTTTGCCACATTGCCTAGGTTGGCCAGTCTATCTTTCTTTCCAGCATGTGTCGGTGGTTTCCTGTTCACACCTAACAATTTTCCACCTCTGGATCTTCCTAGCATAGCCACCCCATCCTACAAAGCATATACGACAAAATCTCTCTCTTTTTCCTTCCTGGATCCTCGTCCCAGGTCTGTTGTCTAGGCACACTTCCCCTTCTCTAAATTCTTCATATTTTATTTGTACTATTTAAAAGCACTTGTCACGTTGTATCCTGTATTATAATAACTTATGGATCTGATATCTCCTAAGCTAGGTGTGAGTCTTATCTCTGTATTTTGCACTGCAAAAGTGCCTTCTTGGAACATAGAAAGTACTCAAAATATAGATGGAGCAAATTAATAATTAAGTGTGTAAGTGATCTTTATCTTTCTAAATTTGAATTTAAACATAACAGGAAATTTTAGAAGATCCTATAATGTGTATTTCTTTACTATTTACTGTAGCTTTAGATTCACAAAGATGACAAAATTAGTCCTTAGACAAGGGACAATTTTGTACCTGATGCATGGTAAACTGTTCCTAGGGGACCTAAATGGAGAGCATATACTACTAGCACATACCTCCACCAAACAATGGTGGAAGGAGAGATCTGTCTGGAAGTCAATGAAGAACTGCCACCGTGGGGTGGACAAAGGAATTGGAGCTTTAATAGTATATATATCTTGTGAGGCTGTTGAATGGATTGAACGCAAACACATGTAAAATGCCTAGGACAGTATCTGACACCTAATCCTTACATAACAAACATTATTTATTATTCACACAGAAATGGATACAAGAGGTGGGATGTAAGTGTCCAAGTCAAGGTGGGGTATGGGACAGTGAGAACTCACTCACCAGGAATTTCCTCTTTAGGAAACTGGTGCTCCCTGCCCTTGATTTCACCAAGCCTCTGGTTAAAGCACCCTGTTTCTGTTATAACTGTAGGCTTCAGGCATGTGCCCATTGAGGCCAGACTCTATAGGGCTTGGCAGAAAATGTCAGGGTGTGTTATCATCTCTCATGGCCATTGGTTATGTTCTTCATGAAAGAGATCAGCTTTACCCCCAGACAGCCTAGGTAAAAGGAAAGAGGAAAGAAGACAGCTTTCCCTAGAGGTTTTTTCTGCCTATGGTCAGCAACCCAAGAGGGCCAAGAGCCAGAAAATCATGCCCCTTGCAGGGTTAGCAAAGTCGAATTTAGTGGCAAGCAAAGCAGGGAGATTAAAAGTATAATGTGAGATAAAACTGGGACACAGGGAAATCCTAAAAACCACACCTCTCCCAATCACCTCCTGCTGTGCACATCCCAAAGATGAAAGCTATCCCTACTGCAAAGAAAAATATTACATCCACCAGAATGTAATCGGGGACAAGCAACCTTTAAATTCCTCTCACTCTAGCAGAGTAGTGCATTCCCCCTGAGTTGCTGATGTGAAGGTTGTGAAAAATTTTACATGCTTACCATATAATTAATATATAGATGAGACAACTTAGGCAGAGAATGATTAAGTGAATTGCTCAAGGACTCACAGCCAATCAACTGTGAAGCCAAGACTCAGAGTTAGACAGTTCGGCTTTAGAGATGATCCCCTTAAACACTTTGCTATCTTGCCTCTCAATTTAGAAGGCAGAGAAAGTATAGTTTAATCTCCTTGGTTGTATAAAAAAGAAAAATAAAGTTCCCAAAGTGGACTACATAAACAGCAGAAGATCTGGTACATAGAACCCAAGGGGTTGTAGGGTCAGGGGAGGACATTTATGGTGGAAGAGAAGAAATGTCTCTCAAAAGCCAATAAAACACTCCAAAATTATATACCCTTAGCTTAAAATAAGAAGTTTAAGAGTGAAAATAATGTGCTAATAATTGGAAATACTATGTAAAATATATAAGCAATTCATTTTTACTAAATGTCAAGTATAAGGTATTTATCCAATGACAATACAACACAAAAATTGGGGTGTTTTTTTTTTCACATTAGTAAACAGGTTTGATAAGACATATTAAGTTGACCTTTATCTTAAAATATAAAAATTAATTACATGTTTTATGGTGTTTGCAACCTTTGTAGAAGCAAAGTGCGCTTTAATTTTCAAGTTTCTCTTCCTGAAAAGGTTAGGTGAAAATATCATAGCATTCATCGAAAAAAGAAAAAAAATGAGTAAGATATTATATATTAGAATAGACAATGTAAACAAAAAAAGCCAATAAAAAATTATTTAGGTTATCTTGCATGTCTAGATAGGCTCTCAACTCATAATAAAAACTTTAAGTGAAATCCTACTTATAAAAAATAAAGGCCTTAAAGATAGCAGAGTGAATTCATGCAGTTATGAGAGATATTTAAGCCTGGAATTAAACTGAAACCTAAATTGGCTTTCCTCTACATCCCACTTGGTTTTAGAAGTTAAGAAAAAATGCTCCAAACAGAAAATCATGATGTTCTTTTGTACATTTAGGCTACAAAGCTTCTTAAGTATTGTTCTAAGAGACTACATCAAATTTTCCCAAACAGGCCTAAAGCCTCTCTCAGGGAAAACAAAAATCATTAGAAAATTATTACAATTGTGTATGAGCAGTGTTGATGCAACTTTTCTGACATTATACATTTACATTCATACAAATGGAACCAAAGTTTCATGAAACAATACTTATTCTTAGTATAGGCAATGTTCTCTAATACTTCTTCTATTTTCTTAAAAAAAAAATTCTGATGGCAACTTATACTGATTACTTGACCCATTAGTGGTTCTATAGTGGACCACAATTTAGAATCACTGGTTTATACTTTAGTCTCATCAAGACATAAGTATAAGCTATTTTCTCCAGAAAACAATTTATACTCATAATTACAACCATGAAATGCTTATTAGTTTCTGTGAGAAATCTACCCCAAAACATTGCTTGCTATTTCAGTGTTGCCTTAAGAGAAAGAAAGAAGGAAGCGTGAAACCAGCCTGTCTCTGCTGAGGTAACAAAATCAGGAGTGGATGTTGCCACTGCTCATTAGTTTTGCCACAGGAGGGGTAATAAAAGGGGTGAGACAGATACCAACCCACTTTGAAGCAGTCCCCTGGTTGTGTTCATAAAGTTTGGTGGGAGTTGCAGGCAAATCCCTCTGTGTTCTCCCCAGAGAAAAATGGGAGTTCATAACTACTCAGAAAGACAGGAAACAAATTCCCCTGTAGAGGGCTGAGGCCAGGTGGGCAAAAGCTGATTGTGGCTGGCACTATCCTGTCCAAATACAGGCCCTGGCAGGCTGTCCTTCCCACTTCCCCTGCACTGTGTCCTCACACTTCCATCTCATGGCTTATTGCTGGAAGAAAGCTGCAAAGCAAGCTAACAGTCTTTTAAGACACAAGAACTGGTTTAATCTTTTATTTTTTTCCAAGTAAAAGAAACATCCGCCTACCCTACTCCTTTCCCCAAACAAAATCTTCGATAAATCTCAATGTATAAGACAGAGCTGTTGCTGCGCTGGAGAGGAGTGCTGTGGAGAGCCCTGCCCACTCCTCCTCCCTCCTTATCTGTAAGTCCCTCAGGCCCCCCCAGGGAACTCTAGTCCTCTAGAAATGCAGGAATACAGTAATAGTTGAGCATATTTAATGATCCTTGCCAAAGGCAATCAAACCACTGCCATATTTGTTCTCTAATCTTTGCTTGCTCACCAGCTCTCTAAATCCCACCCTAATACAGAACTCCCTAAAACTTCAGCAAGTGACGCTTCACCAAGAACCTACATAAAGCAACATTTCTGAAACTGTCACTCTACATTTCGCTCTTTTTCTTCTATTAAACTGATAGACTATCAGAAATAGAACATCAGCCAAACCAGCTGGGTCCTTACTCCTCATTGCCTGCAGTACCTCTTGTTACTACAATGTACCAATAAATCCAGCCAACCAAACTCTTCTGATAGCCACTCCAACAGAAAGTATGATTCTAAGAAGACGACTGGACTATTACAAGATTTACGTTACTACAGAAGTATGAAAACATGTTTCAATATAGCTGAAGCTGAATTATTTCTTCTTTTCTTTTAGCAAGAAATTTTGGAATTGCTTAGACTCACCAACTCTAGCATCGCCTAGGGGAGAAGGGGCTGCTTTCCCAGCCTATTTTATTGGTCTTGATAGGATAAGGCACAGCCAAGGAATAAGACACGTGAAGATGTAGTGCTGCTGTTACTACACTCACCCTGTAATGTGATGCTTCCTGTGATAAAGATTAAACAAACCATCTTTTTCTTTGAAGAGACTGTCCTGTATGTTTATAAACATGTGGGCTTTCTGAGAAACTGAAACCTTTAAAAAGGCTGAAATTAAATAATTTATCATGCTGAATGGGGGAAAAAAAACCTGTTTCTAGTAAAAGAGAACTGAAGGGAACTAAAAGGGTACAGAAGTAGAGATTAATTCCTTACAAAAGTTATTTTGATGTAGCACACAATGATAATGATAGGCAGAAAAGTTCAGATTTTGATAGATCTATTAATATCCTATCACTGGGTCTTACACTAAAAAATGTAACTTTAAAGCTTCTTCCTGTAAGGAAATTTCTACTCCCCCAATAACATTATTTCAATTATTTAAAAAACTCAACTCTAGCTGTTGACCATTTTTTTGCATAATTAATACTTTGACATAACTTTCAAAATGATGTCTGGTAATGAAGAAAAAATAGTACCTTTTCCAATTCTCTTGGTATTCGCAAACAAGTGTATACTCTTTCTCTTCTTTCTGTATACTTGGCCTCATTATGTTCAAGGAAGTACCCTCTTGTTAGTTCAGCACTGAGGAACCTCAACAATGAAAGCTCTACAGAAAAGAAAATGACAGAAAACAAAAAGAACAGTATTTATCAAGGAACTTCCACGCTAGCTGGGGCCACAGGTAATATACATATAAAACAAAGAGACCAAAATAAATGTTATCTATAATTCTATGCCTAGAACTGCACACAATGATCAGCAAGTATTTTTGAGAAAAGTATTCTTCTTTGTGGTATAACCTGAAAATGCCACAGGAATATGGAAAGGAATAATTATTAAGGGCTAGAATAGTCAGAAAAGTATTTTTCAAGAGCTCAGTCTTGGTTCTTACAGGTGATACAGTACCTGGACTGACAGACATGGAAGGAAAATCAGTAGGTGTCAAGAATATATAAAATAGAGCAATATATAGAGTCAAAAGGGAGCAAAGTCACACAACGGGCACCACTTTAGTCCAAGAACCATCCTGGATGAACTACATGGATACTGGTGCCCCAGCTCCCTTCTTAGTTTAGCCTCAGAGATCCTGCACAAACATCTAAATAATGCCATTTCCCTACATGAAGACTTACCAACATGATACTCACAATAGTTATTACGCGAAGTGCAACCTCAACCGGATCAGAAAAACCTCCCTTTCCTTGGATCTTTCCATTCACCCGTGTTTTTCCTCTGTTCCTCTAAAGCAAATTACTCCATAGTTATCTCATCTCAGGTGAGAAAAACAAGGTCAAAGGAAGTTATTTATATACTTTCCACTCACTACAACTGGAAGCTTGAGGTGAGAAGCGAAGGCTCTGGATGCTCGACCCCACCTCTTCCCAGTGCATTACACTTCCCTGATAGCCCATCCCCTCAATGACCCTCAGCACCCCTTACTTCATCTACAGCTTCCTACTTTTACTCTGCAGGAGGTAAACTCTCTTCCAGAACGCAGGTTACCAAAAGGTTTCCAACTGTCCACTGTTCTCTTTGCTCTGAGCTGGCCTTGTGGTCCTTTCTACCAAATGTGGTCTTAATGTTCCCTCCAAAAAATGACAAGGGAGGAAGGTTGATTTCATTTATGCAGATCTACTTAAGGAGTTGCACCTTCTAGGAGTACTATGATCTAAAGCCTACATGTGAGGGGGGAAGCGTTTATAGTAAAAAATATCCTTGGCCAGGCACGGTGGCTCACGCCTGTAATCCCAACACTTTGGGAGGCCGAGGTGGGCAGATCACGAGGTCAGGAGTTCAAGACCAGCCTGGCCAACATAGTGAAACCTATCTACTAAAAGTACAAAAAAAAATTAGCCGGGCGTGCCGGTGGGCGCCTGTAGTCCCAGCTGCTTGGGAGGCTGAGGCAAGAGAATCGCTTGAACCCAGGAGGCAGAGGTTGCAGTAAGCCGAGATCACGCCACTGCACTCCAGCGTAGGTGACACAGCAGGACTGTGTCTCAAAACAACAACAACAAAATATATATATATATCTCCTTAAAAGCCCTTGGAAAGACTTAGAAGCCAACTTGACTATGGTTTTAAACAATAGGTCTACAACAGCTTACTTCCTCCAGCATTAAAACGGATTCCTGGTTCTTTGAGTATTATGTCAAGTGGCTTGCTTATGTTAGGGTTTATTCCATATATATGTGTATGTACACACATACACATACACACTTCTTTAAATACCAGATTCATAATCTGTCTGGGGAGTCAGTGTTACCATGAGAGATACCTGGAGTTGAAACAGAAGAAGAAAGCAGACTTCTTTCCACCTTTGCCAGCCTCACGCAACAGGAGGCGGAATCTATCTACATGTGTCGTACTTTCTCTTTTCAATACATTTACAGTTGAAGTCACATGGGTTAAGTGCACGCAATATGTAAACTCTATTGTATAAATTAACAGATGTTTGGATTTAAAGGACTTAGTCTAACCAAATCCACATAGAGTAGAACTTCTGGTTAGGAACTTTCTAATATGTTCTACGCTGGCTAGAACCAGAACAAGATCTGCTCTTTCAAGGTGAGAAAAAGAAAACCTTTTGAGTTGCAAACAAAAACAGCCAAGACTAATGAAAGATAAACAAATCATACTCAGTTCAGTCAGTTTTCCAATCAGGAAAAAAAGTATGTTTTGATTAGTTAGTATCTACAAGTATCAGTTCTTTCATGTAAAAATCGAGAAGCAACAGGACTTTCAGAAAGCAGAGGAGATTCCACATATATAATTTTTCACTGACCTTAGTGAACTCTGAATTTTGAACCCCAGAGGCCACTTCACCACACTCTCCGGACAGCAGCTTCCCTGTCCCTCCATGTCACCTAAACCTGATTCAGTGGTGCTCTTCTGTCTTGAATGGCTGATTTTTCTCATCTGAGTCTCTTTGGTAGCCCTTCCTCCTGTACCCGATCCTTAAGTGTTTGCTGGTTCAGTGCTCTATTCACTACAGTAACATGTCAGCCATCCTTTAATGATGGTATTCTCCAATATGTCCTCATCATTCTTTCTTGTATTTATTCCCTATACCTACTCTGTTTCCTACACATGCTTTGTTTCCTATAGATTCCTAACTAAAATTAAAACCATCATCAAAATCCTAAAATCACATCTTCAGCTCTGGCTATTGAGTCATATTTCCAACAGCCTCCTCTACCTGGACATCCCATAGACACGGAAATTACCTAAAAAACGAAACCAGTATCTTGCCCACTGATTCAGCACCTCTCCTGGAGTCCTGACTTCAGTTCCTGGCATTACCAGTGACATACTTGCTGCCCTAGAAGCCCAGGGCCAATCTTGACAATCCCCTCTCTCTTCTTACCAAGGTCTACCAATTCTTCCTTTAAAACATTAACTTTTTTCCCCTTTTTCCTATACTCCACCCTGGTTTAGTCCTCTCCATCTCTCTCCAGGTTATTGCAAAAGCTTCTTGATTGAGTACCATTCTTCCCATCTTTCCTCCCTTCAATGCTAACTCCACCTGGCAGCCAGTCAGCAGCTCACACAGATCAGATATGGTTCTGCTGAAACCCTTCAGTGGTTCTTCATTACCTCCAGAATAAAGTCCTACCTTCTCAGTGCGGGCCATCCCAGAACCTCTACAACTGGACACAGGCCATCTCTTTAGTCATGCTTCACACCTGCCTCCCCTGAATCTCTAGGTCACAATTTTCTTTTTATACTACTTTTCATTTCTCCCAAACACGTCAATGGGTTCACACTGCTCCTTGGTCTGAGAATCCCCTACCAATTTTCCAGGAGTGAACATGCCCAGACGGTACCCTCTCTGTGAAGACTTCCCTAAGTTTCTCAGGCAGAGTCTGTCCTTTCCCCTACTCGGCTTCCACAGTACCTGCACCTGCCTATGATTTTCTGCAGTATACTACATTCATTTTCTTGTCTGGTTTTCTCATTCACCTTTGCATCACTGGGACCCAGCACATAACAGGTACTCAACAAATCTTTGCTAAAACAATATACAGGTCAGAGGAGAAGAAGAAAAATCATAGAGAACAAAAACAGAATCAGACAGTGAGAAGCTAAAAATGAAATGGAAAGGGAAGTGACTAAGAAAAGAAAGAATTAGACATAAAACGGAGTGGCCAAATTAGTCTCTTTAGGAGTCAGGCAGCAAAGAACAGAACCGACAAAGAATTGAGGAAGTGATGTGAACAGCAAACTGAGCTAAACTTTCATGTGGGTGATTTGTCCCTTCTGATATGATAATTTCTGGTATTTTCTCATTTTTCTTTACCGCTGAATTTCTCTATTGAAAGATGATCTATATGAAAACAAAACTGGAATTAATCAAAATGTTCAATAGTAATGGAATTGCTTAATAAATAACAACGTACCAATATAAAACAAAAATCAGACATGACAAAAGAAGAGCATTCCAGATACTTGAGAAAAGAACTTGTGATTGTGACAGAATTGTTCTGAGACTTGGGGAGTTAGCAGGGAAGGAGTGAAAAGCTTCACTCAAGGTAGCAGCTGCTGCTGATTCAGGAGCCTCTACTCTGTATGTGTAGCTAAGTGACTGTAAAGGTAACCCAACGGGTACCTGAACCTCAAACCCCCTGAGGGAACAGGGTACCATGATGCAGTCACAGCCAGTGAGTGCCCTGGGTTTGGGAATAAGGAGATCCTCATTGTCCACACTAAGTGCAAGGAAAGAAATTACGCAGCCCACAAGAATGCCATCTGGGTTAAAGAGATACAGAAACACATTACTGCACAATCATTTTCAATTTTAAAAAGCAAATTAAATAAAAAGGTTTATTTGGGGCCGGGCATAGTGGCTCACGCCCGTAATCCCATCAATTTTGGGAGGCCAAGGTGGGAGGATCACCTGAGGTCAGGAGTTTGAGACCAGCCTGTCCAAAATGGCGAAACCCCGTCTCTACTAAAAATACAAAAAATTAGCCAGGTGTGGTGGCAGGTGCCTGTAATCCCAGCTACTTGGGAGGCTGAGGCAGGAGAATCACTTGAAACCCAGAGGCAGAGGCTGCAGTGAGCCGAGATCGTGTACTGTACTCCAGCCTGGGTGACAAGAGTGAAACTCCATCTCAAGAAAAAGAGGTTTATTTGGAAAATTATTCTCCACAATGGTGTCTTCTCTGGTGACTGGAGATGACAGCTTTGACCATAATGAGAGTTGTGTTATGATCCACAGAAGAGCATGGGATTAGCAACCAGAGGAAGGCTGTCCTGGTACCAGCTGTCTTAAACATTAGTCCTGTGACCCTGCTCCAGTCACAGATGTCAATTTCACCGAAAAGAAAATGGAAGCTTAGAGCAGTTTTTTAATACCTGTCAGCTGTTTGCCTTATCCACAGAATCATCAAAGGACTAAGACAGTATTTGTATGAAAGTATATAAAAACTGCAAAGCATGACGCAGTGTCTTCAACTACTTCATATTAACTTCACAAGTACTGTAGTATTAATCAGTTCTGGTTTGGTGGTTATCTAATGTTTATTTCTGCAATCCTAGCTCTATCATTAAAAGGTAATATGACAAATAAGTATATTTAACAACATATATCATCTAAGTAATTTTCTGTAAACATGTTATCATACAACATAAATACTGAGTGTTTTAATTACAAGTACAAAACAATACAATGTCTGGATTCTACCTCTAGATATCCAAGAATTTTAATTATAAACACTAGTTTAGATTCTACAATGGAGAATATAAAAAGTCAAATAAAAACATAACCTATTTTGAGTGTACAGCTCTCACAACTATGAAACAGGTTCTACTGTTATGCCCATTTTGCAGATGAAGAAACCAAGGCCCAGAGAGGCTAAGGAGATCTCCAAGGTCACACAGGAAGCAAGCAGAAAAGCCAGAATTCAAAGTCAAGCAGTCTATGGCTAGAGAGTGTGCTTTTCACCATTAGATAGCTTTGCCTATTATTGCCTCAAGTGCCTTTGTAAACAGGCCACTGTGTTACTTCTGGAAAATTAGGAGCCCTCTGTCCCTCCCCTTTACCTGTGCTCCCACTGCAGCTTGGGCTGACTTCTGTGAAGCTACACTCTTTACTAGTTGCTCCCTTACAAGACCATGAACTTTCTAAGAGCAGGCCCCATGTATCCCTATATTCTCGAAGTCCAGCCCTGCCGGTGAGTTCTGAATGTAAGGGTAAACTTTGCGTACAATTAGCGCGATGCTAATAGGCTGGGGAATGGTTTTAAATGATACACTAAAGAAATACTAACCACAACAACAAAGTTTCATAAGGTAAATATCTTGAAAGCTTTGTCTTACCTCCTTCTCACCTACTCCTGCGTAAGTGGCTTTATTTTAGGGATTAGGATCCTTCTACTTTATAGTATAAGGCAGTTTACAAAGGTCTTGCACACATTACTTCATACAATTCTTGCAACAATCATGAGAGTTAAACAGAGCAATTAATGGTGTCCATATTTTGTCCATTTTCATATTATGAAAAAACTGAGGTTCACAGAAGTTGAGAGACTTGTCCAAAGTCATTGAAAAGCTAAGTGACAAATTGGGAATAGTACCTAGTCCAGCGTGCTCTCTCCCCTACATCAAAATGATCAACCATCTCTCTGACAATTATAATTTGGCTGTGATTCATGGTGAAGGAGGTAGGAGGGTACAGTGCCTCACTGCCAGAGCCATCGAGTTAGCCTCGCTGCTTCTGCTCTGCCAGGACCATTCCCACCTTTTCCTGGAGAAGGCTGCATTTCCCAGAGCGCCACTCAATCTCCAGTGCCGAGGTATACCTGCGTTTCAGTGTTTCGCTTGTTTTTATTTTGTTAAACATTGCTCTCTAGAATTCTATAGACCTATCTGAACTTATCTGTCCTATAATTTTGGCTACAGTTGACTGGTTAATTATTTAGCAAAGCCACTGTTCTTTACCTATGGGTATCACCAAGAACTCTGACAGCTAAGTACATCTTAACTTCTGTCAGACTTTTGCAGTATTTCATTCCTTCTAAGCAAAACAGTCACTCTCATTTGTTATGCCAAACATCTACCTCTACGTTTTAAAAATAAGTATTTTTCCAATAATCCAAATATTTACTTTCTGAACACTGATTTCAGTTTTTAAGATGTCAATTAATCTTAGTTCATTTATCCCAATCTTACCAGGAAGAAATATCATTCAGTAAAAGTTTTTTAAAAATAGACACTTTGGGAGGCCAAGGCGGGTGGATCCCAATGTCAAGAGATGGAGACCATCCTGGCCAACATGGTGAAACCCCGTCTCTACTAAAAATACCAAAATTTGCTGGGCATGGTGGTGCACGCCTGCAGTCCCAGCTACTTGGGAGGCTGAAGTAGGAGAATTGCTTGAACCCAGGAGGCGGAGGTTGCAGTGAGCCAAGATCGCACCACTGTACTCCAGCCTGGTGACAGAGCGAGACTCTATCTCAAAAAAAAAAAAAAAGAAACATTTTACTATTATAGCATAAACAAGTGCTTAACATTAGAAGAACTATGTTTTGACAACTGTGAATTTTCTTTTTTTTTTGAGACAGGGTCTCACTCTGTTGCCCAGGCTGCAGCCCAGTGGCACAATCTTGGCTCACTGTATTTTTTATAGAGACAGGGTTTCACTATGTTGCCTAGGCTGGTCTTGAACTCCTAGGCTCAAGCAATCCACCCGCCTTGGCCTCTCCAAGTGCTACGATTATAGGTGTGAGCTACCGTGCCCAGCCGTCAACTGTGAATATGTAATATGAGGAAAATAATACCAATCATAAATCCAAATCAATTCCTCCAGCACATACGTACATATATATATACTTTTTTTTTGGAGACACAGTCTTGCTCTGTCACCTGTTGCCCAGGCGTGAGTGCAGTGGCACGATCTCGTCTCACTGCAACCTCCACCTCCACCTCCTGGGTTCCAGCAATTCCCCTGGCTCAGCCTCCAAGTAGCTGGGATTACAGGCGCACACCTCCACGCCCAGCTAATTTTTTGTATTTTAGTAGAGACAGGGTTTCACCGTGTTGCCCATACTGGTCTCGAACTACTGAGCTCAGGCAATCCACCCGCCTCAGCCTCCCAAAGTGCTGGGATTACAGGAGTGAGCCACCGCGCCCAGCCCCTCCAGCATATTTTTACATGATATCATCTCCTACCACAGAATTGCTCTGTGATCCAGAACTTAAATTCAGAAAAAGCATAGTATAAATTGCTTTTTCTTCACCCCTAAAAGAAAAAACACAATGTTTAATTATCTTCTAAGAAAGCTTATTTTAGAAATAAGAACCAAAGATTAAAAAGTATTAATTAAAAGTAATGAGTAATCATAAATATATTTATATGTTCAGTAATATGTCTAAATATATCTTTCTTAAAATAGCATTGAGCATTTAAAAATTTGGAAAGTAATACTGGTTAACTGTTAGGAAAATATGAAACATGCATATCTCCATAGTCTTAAATAACATAAAACTTTAGTAAACTTTATTAAGGTTACACTAAAATATTAAATAAGCTTATTGAACAGAGACACACTCTTGTACCAGGCCAATTAGTAATCAGCTTTTCTGGGACTCAATCATACAACAGCAATTCTGCCTTCCTAAGTCAAACATTAAGTAAAGAACCATTTCACACAGTATATTCAAGTTTTTAAGATGTTTGAAAAAATGTTTATAGTCTCATTTAGAGGAGTAAAGAGTAGAATATTTACACATGTATAGATGGAAAACAGGTATAAACAAAGGAGTGACTTTTTCCAAGGTCATAAGGTTATAAAGCAAAGGATTACAAATGAGAATAGAATATCATTAATTTGACAGTCAATGCTATATAGGCTTTCCAGAGACTTCTTTTATGCAAGTAGTCCCCAAATTGGAGCACAAATGAGCTGCTAGGATTGAATTTCAGAGCGTAAACTAAGTTAAAGTTAAAAACTGTCAAAAGCCAAGACACTGAACTGATCAAAAACCAAAATAAGTAACTTTTCATTGTTCGTTTGGTCTATATATACTAATTAAGTAAAGCAAGTGAGAATTTTAAAAGCAAAGCAATAGTTTGTCAGAAGTAGCTAATTTTACTTTGTATCTGGTTTGTGGTTACTCCAAGTAATTTCCCGGTTTTATTATTTTTATTTTTCTTTGTGAACAAATTAATTGGCTCTAGATCATAATTTTAGAATCAGTCACCCTTTAATCATCCATTTGGTTAAGTTTGGGGCCACTGGGATAACTATGTGATATAGGTGAAGACTGGTTAAATGAAAACATATTTTAATAAAAATGTATTTGTAAGAAGAAACTGACAAATTTTCAGTTACACAAAGAATAAGACATAGGTAATATGAATAGTTAAAACCTTCGTCCCACTCGAAATCTTTTAAGGGTATTGCTAAAAATTCAGTTGACTTTTCTGGGTTTCATTCTTCCTGCCTCTGCTCAATCTCTAACAGAGGTGAAGCAAGAAGAGGTCTAACCATGGTTAAAGGGAGAGGAGAGAGGCAAAAGAGATGGATAATAAGTTGAAGTTTTAGAAGTCCAGAGTCACTGTTAAAGAAGAAAGAAATGGGTCCATGGCACTGTTACCAGTAGAAACAATATGTTCACCTATACCCGACTTCAGGCTTTCTTGTTTTACAAGCAATACCTATCCCCATGCATCTCCAACACCTGCATTACACAGGTACTGTTTCACCTGTGCTACCCTCACAGGTGCTACCCTTATTTACACCAAGCCTTCTGTTAAGTCTCCATGGTGACTAGAAGCAACCTAGATGCTTCAGATACTGAACTATCTAGTAGTGGCATTATGAAACAGAACCAAACTGATTAGGCAAGCAGTCTAAGCAAGCACAGAGTTTACAAAGCAATTCAACAACCCAACCAAGCCAAAAACACAGATTTCCTAATGCTTAGTCCAAAGTTGATTTGCTGTACTTAGATTCCTAAATAAAAATATGGCTATACAGAAACTCTCCTACCTAGGACTTCTGCAGATGAATCAAGTGGGGAACAAGCACAAAAACATAACATTGATTATTTGGTTTTATGTCAAAAGGAACAACAGAAGTTGGTAGTATTTTCAAGGACAGGAAGAAAATACAGAAGAGATCAATCTGCAGTTCTTGATAACCACTACATCCAGAGTTCAAGGCCAGTAACCACATATGCAACAAGGAAATACACAATGACCATTCTGAGAGAGCAAATAAAAACAGGAATGATGAGTGGGATTCCCAATTCTAACTATGTTAAAAGGTGTAAGTACTCGCATCTGAGACATGCGTCAGCCTATTGCCAGGCTAAATATAAGTCAGAACGGGAGTTCTGAGAACGAAGTGATGAGGAAAAGAAAGCTTAGACTTAATGGAGACACATGTTTAGTATAATACAATATAGAGCATATACAGCTATTCATACAGACAAATATACATATCTAGTTTCTAAACATATAAATCAACAAGGAGAGATATAAAACAAAAAATGAACCTCAGACACCACGTTTTATTTTATTCAGATGGAAAGAGTTTGGATAAGTACCTAATATGTACATTCATTTAGGGAATTCTAGGCTGTTGGGACTGATCAACAAATGTCTTACCTGTAGGAGCCCTAAATTCCTTGTGAGAAATGATAAAGGGAACTTTGGAACTGACTGATGGTTCAGCCACCAAGACACTAAGATTATGACTTTCAAAAAGAAAAGCCAAAGGTTGCCTTAACTTGCAGGGGGATCTAGATCTCAAGGGCAGTGGTGCTAGACTCTCAGAGGCACACAAGAATATAAAAAAATCAACAAGTAATACCTTAAGTCCGAGCATCTAGCCGTGGAGGACTAGTTTGATTCAGGGAGAAATGCTATCCAAATGACTCCAGGTGCTGCCACTCAAAGGCCCTCTGACCCAGGCCAGCTCCTAGGGAATCGTTTTTAAAAATTCTTAAAAGGAGGGGAAGGAAGGATTACAGAGCAGGGGAAGAGGGCAGCGCTAGACTTAGCAGCCTGGGCATTGAAGAA
The DNA here is from genome assembly GCF_000001405.40 of Homo sapiens. Classification (NCBI taxonomy): domain Eukaryota; kingdom Metazoa; phylum Chordata; class Mammalia; order Primates; family Hominidae; genus Homo; species Homo sapiens. Next base: position 16,224,318 of record NC_000004.12, read on the forward strand.
GGACTAAAATAATTGTTTCTAGTGGGGAAACCTCTAACAAATATGGTTATCGGAGCTACAGACTGGGTGCTAGCAGTGGCAGGAGCTATGTGACTAGCAGAGCAGGGACACCAGGGGAAAAGAAGGAGGGGCTTATGTGGAGGCTCAGAGAGAACACTGGCCAGTGGCTCCAGCTGAAATACTCCTGGAATTTGGAATTCTCACCTAAATCCTGATCGCCAAGGCTAGTGTGACTTGGTAAAGCAGGAGTGGCCACTGACATCTCCTCACACAAAATCAATGGAACTGGGGAAAGAACAAGGACTACCCCAACAGCTAAACCTGGAGGCATCTCCCTGATAATGACTTCCTGCAACTATGGGTTAAAAAAAATCCAGCCTTAAACATGGTGAACCATGTTGGTGAAGAATGGATACGTGGTATAATGAAGTCCATGGAAGTCCAGGTATCCAGTCCCAGAAAAAGCCAGGGAAGAAGTGTTAAGTGATACTGCAAGCTCAAGATCTGTGCTCATCAATAGGCTTCAAACAACTTCATTTCCTCTCCACGCAAACAACAAAAAAAGGCTTTTAAAATGGTGGCTTTCCTGCAACTGAGAAATGTTTTAAAGAAAGTATAGTGAAGCCTGGCTACATCTATCTCTATTTACAACAGAGTGCTTTTAATATTCAAGTCTAAGTAAGTAAACAGACAGTTGAGAGATTTGCTATTTTGTCTTACTGAGATCCTGCCAATGAAGAAAGTAAATACTCTTGAAAGCAAATGTTTAACTGAGAACTAAACCAAATAAAGTATGGTTGAGAATTTTTAAGTGGTTAATTGAAAAAGACCAAACAAGACCGTCTGTAATTTTCCAAAAATATAGACTGCTTCAAATAGAACCTACGTCCAGTTCTGGGAATCAGCAAATCAATTAGAATCGCATCTGATCAACTTTATGCCCCTTAAGTAGTTTTAAAATTTCAGTACTCAAGTACAATCAATGATGTAATCAGCCTCACAACTTAGTTATTTGCATGAACTTCAGGAAATAACGGCTAACACAGCCCCTTTTGGACAACAGAAGTAATTTTTTAGTTGGAAGAAATTTAATGGAGTTATGGTTCAGTTGCTGTTTACAGCTTGAGAATTAAAACGTTGGGTTCACTCTATATTCAAGAAGACATCCATCTCAAAACCTTTTTTCATTTAAAACTAATCTGTAACTGCAATATGAATACAAATGCAAGTTTTAAAAATTCTTTTAAAATGAGAATAAAAACCTACAGCTTATAGAAACTGTAACATTGTAACAATACGTTTAAAACTGGTCATTGAATGTAGGATTCATAAGTACACATTTTCTCATCTAGTAATTTTTTTGGCATAAGTTTCAGTTCAGGAAAAGTTCAGATGCAACATTTTATGGAGTGTTAAATATTTCTGTACTGGGCAAAACTACTGAACTTCATGGTCACTACCACACCGTCAGCTGTCTGTGAAAAATCTACTTGCAGGGCAAGTTAACAGGTTTCTATGGCTCAAGTTTGCTTAAAATACAGAACAAAAAAAGTCACCTTGGCATGAATATAATTAAGAAATCAGCCGTGTGCTTCTCACGTTTGGGCTCCGAGACGTGGGAGATGCCCGCTAACCTAAGACCTTCCGAGGGCGATGCAAGGACCCGGACAGAACTTTCCCGGCCGCAGACCCCTTCTAGGGCACACCTGGCCTGGCGCGGCCGCGGGGGCCTCGGGGCTGCGCGCGCAACCCGCCCGAGGAACTGTCAACGGCCGCGGAGCCTCGGCAGCCTCGGCGGCTCCGCGCGCCCACAGCCTGGGGAGCCCCGGGAGGCAACGGCAGCCGCGCGGCTCGGGGGCCGGGGTTCCAAGGCGCCCCCGCCGCCCTCGGTCCCCAGTCCGCCCCTCGGAGCCCGCCACGGCCTAGCGCCGCCCGCCTCACCTGTGCGGCCCCGGCGCCTCTCCCGCCGCCGGTCGCTCTCGTAGAAGCCCAGCGTCTCTGTGAGCTGAGGCGCCGGCGGGGGCCCCTGTCCGCCGCTGCCGCCCGGCTGCTCCGCCTCGCCGCGGCCGTCCCGCTGCGGGCCGTCCACGCCGCCACCGCCGCCTTCTCCCGGAGCGGCCGCGTCGCCGACGCCCGCCATGTTCCGAGCACAACAAACTGTCCCCGCCGCCTCCCTCCAGCCTCTGCCTCCGGCCGGCCCCCTCCCCGCCTCGCCCCGCCCCTCGCCGGAGCCCGAGCCGCCGCCGCCGCCGCCGCCATCCGCGGCCCGCCGACCGGCGCGAGCCATTGGCGTCAGCGACGCGTGTGAGGCCGCTGCCGCCGCCGCCGCCGCCACGGTAGCCGCCATCTTCTTCCTGCCCTCGCCGTGGCGGGCGACGGTTTCTCGCGCCGTGGCTGGCTCGGCCGGCCGGGGCACCGCGCCGGGCTCCATGCAGCCGGGCTGCGCGGTCCCGCAGAGCGGGCGCCTCCGGGGCTCGAGTCGGGGACCCGGCAGGAGCGGGCCGGGGATGGCGGCGGCGGGCGGCGGGTCGGCCGTGGAGCCCCGGAGAGGCGGCCGCCACCACCGCTGCCCGCAGTCTGCGAGGTGTCCGGCGGTCCGCTCAGGGCCTCTTTTGCAGACTCGGTGCCCGGAGTGCGCCGGCGCCGCCCGCCAGGTCTTGGCACTGCTGGCGCGGCCGCGGCGGCGGGGGCCCGGCTCCAGATCACCGACCCCCACGAGCGCCGGCCCTGCCTGCCCGCTATTTTGGTTCCATCTCTTCTGCATATTTATGCTTGCCTGTTACATTCCCTGGCCTCTGAGTGTCCTTTGGCAGTTTCCAAAGCATTTGGGCAAGAAGGAGCTTGGGCAGCTTCACAACAGGTGGGGACGCGCAGGGGAGGGGCCGCGGCCGGACCGGCAGAGTTTCAAGGGCTGGCGCGCCGGCGGACTTTCCACACTGTCTTTCGGGACTGGGGTTAGGAGACAGCCCTTGGCCACCACTGTGTCCTTACTTTGTCGCTTTACTTGGGGCTGGACCTCCCCTTTCCAGCTCTGGCGTGTGACCCCGCAACGAGCGTGGTGTCGAGACCACCACCAGCTGGGGCGGTGGGAGCGAAGGTGCCCCAGGCTCGGGGAAGGTGGAAACCTTTTCCCCGCTCCCCAAGTGATTGTTGCGCGCTCCGGTGAGGGGACAGTGGTACCTCGATTTCCCGTGTGCCAGCTTCGGGACTCAGCTGTGCTTTTGTGTCTCTTTGATTAGCAAAAGCAAAACGAATTCCTCCCCGAACACTAAGCTTCCTGGAAACTTCCCTAGACCTAAACTTGAGAACCGCATATAAATGGGCCTTGAGGGTTCTGTCGTCAGTAGCGGGTTACGTGATTGCAAACGAGCAAGTTTAAAACGGAGTGGGCTTTGGGCTGCAGAGCCGCCTGGCATTCTGACAGCTGAGCAGGAGGCAGAGGTGAGAGTCCAAGATGGACTAAAAATGTCCCAGCAGCTGGGAGCCCAACCTCGGCCCAACCTCGTTGAAAGGAGGAACATTCGGTGCAGCCGTCGGAACCTTATTATTTATGAAAGGGGACAGCTCACAGGATTACATTTTTCTAAGCCAATCCTGTGACCATCCTCCATGAAATTCTCTATTTTGGTTGCATGTGGTCAAAACTGAGCCTCACTGAAACAATTGAAAACAAATACTCCCGACAAATCTTAAGAATCGTTTTGAAAATCAAAAGGTGGGGAAAATGTTGTGGCTTCTGAGCTTTCTTCAGCCCATATTCTATTATTCTCTGATGTTTTATGGTGTAAAATCATACCCATTCCATTATGTATTGATTGTCAAGAAGGAAGTAGGCTTTTATTGCTATTTTTATGTCAGTTTCCATTTACTGTCTCACCACATTTATTGGGTTATTGCCTTTGCCTTTGACTCAACAGGAGCTGGAAGGGTAGGAATCCCAAATTCTGTTGCCTAAGGCAGCCAGTTGTCAGAATGGACTTTCCTCATTTTCTATTATGAGGCCTGAGGAAAGACATTCAGTTCCAAAGGCTGTGCCTATCCTTTTAAATAGAAGAGAGAGGGCCCGGCACGGTGGCTCACGCCTGTAATCCCAGCAGTTTGGGAGGCCGAAGGGGGCGAATCACGAGGTCAGGAGTTCCAGACCAGCCTGGCCAACATAGTGAAACCCCGTGTCTACTAAAGATACAAATATTAGCCGGGCGTAATGGCGGGCGCCTGTATTCCCAGCTACTCGGGAGGCTGAGGCAGGAGAATGGCTTGAATCCGGGAGGCGGAGGTTGCAGTGAACCGAACCGAGATCGCGTCGCTGGACTCCAGCCCGGGCGACAGAGTGAGACTCCGTCCCAAAAAAAAAAAAAAAAAAAAAAAAAAAAAAAAAAAAAAAAAAAAGAAAAGAAGAAGAGGAAGCAGCCGTGCCAAAAAAAAAAAAAAAAAGAAGAGGAAGCAGCCGTGCCGAGGCTAGGTACTGCCTAAAGAAGCGGGGGAACAAATTGGAAATGTGGGAATGCGAATGTGGGCAAGTTGAGGAACTTGTAGCTTCTCGTCGGTTGAATCTTTTCACTGAAGCTGCTTTATTATATCTGACATGTGAAACTACACAATTTCAAACAAACCCATATTGAAGTCAACATACAAAAAAGCATTTAAAAAACAACCATTAGTAAAAATAATTTTTTCAGTTAACGCTATTCTTCCCTTGTATAGGTGTTGATAATCATATAATCAAATAGCTTATTGCATATGGAGAGTTGTTTTCTTTGAGTTAATTCAACGTATTGCAACTTAGTTAGAATCCAGGAAAATAGTATTTTCAAATGTGTATTTGGAATCTTCAAAATACTAGGTTACAAATTACCTTAAGAGATATTTATGCAGCATAGAAGAACCAGCAGTTCTCAGAGGAAGATAAATAGTTAAAATATCATAATGCACTTTATATCAGTTGTAAAAAGAAAAATACAGGCTTAGATTTATGGTATTACCGTTAGAAAAACAATATGAGTATTTAAGAAACATAGCAACCCTAGCCATTAAATAGGCATCAAATAACATTCTGAATTAAGTTATAAGATAAAACCAAGATTTGGATGACAATGACAATATTGTCCATCATTGTTATCCAAATCCTGGTTTTATCTTATAACTGGTTTTAGGGGCAATTGTAGTGAATTGCCCCTAAAAGATGTTTGAAATTCGTTTCATACACTTTTCCTGAATCAACTTAAGTATTGATTTCACAAACAATAAGATGGTGTGCCGTAGCATGTCATCGCACTAGAAAGAAAAAAAGTACTCCACCAGTGGGAAATAATTTCAGCAGAGGAAAGTGATGAATATTGGATGTGTGTTTAGAAATCAGAGGTTGATAAAGTCTTAAGATTGCTATATGCACTATGAGGCTAATGTATTTTGAAAATTGCAAAACAATATTTTTTAAACAACAAAAATTTGGTGAGTAGCATACGCAGACTTCAAAAATAAATTGCGTAACTTCATATTTCAGTAATTAAAGATTTAACAATAGTGATTTTGTGGCTAAACAAAATATACTGAACCCATTATGTATAAACCATGGATTCAGAGCTCCAGAAAATTATCTTAATGAGGCATATAAACTCTTTTTGTTTAATGTCCACACCAAATCATTATGGTCTGCCATTTCATGAAATAACAAGTTTTAAAATAAGTGATGTTTTTTAGTTTGTATATCTATATTCTTTTCTACCAGGTATAGCACAGTGTAGTACAAGGGCCTACAGTTACAAGCCTTGGGAAAGATACTGTTTTGGCCACATATTTCAGCTATGTGACCCTGGAAAGAGGGTCTCAGAGGGCCACTGTGGCCCTCAGTGTCTTTTCATTGGTAAATTGGGGCAACATCTTTTGTATAATGAAAGCTGAAAAAAATAACGATTTTCCTTTTATTCTCCCTTCCTTTCATTTAGGCTGTAGTTTTCACTTTTTAACTACAAAGCAATTTATCTCTTGATAACACTTCTAGTGTATTGTCCCTAAAGTACTTTTGAAAGTAGTTCTGTACACTTTTCCTGAGTAATAAAAACATCACATATTTGCTAACTTGAAAGAATCCCGAGTCAGGAGATGGCCTGGATTCTCTCTGACCCTTCAACTAAAGTCTTTGACCAAAGGAGCACAGGTGACCCCTTTCTGCTTCATTTTCTGACCTGTAGAGTATTGGACTCAATGACCGATCCTCCCTTGTAGCTCCAAAATTCTGGGCTAAACTCCATGCACCTCCCTTCTGAGTTAAAAATAGTAGACAGGCCTGCATTATCAACATTTGTAGAAAAATATGAAATGCTTAGAGTCACTTTGTAATTGAGTCTAAGATTTGAATGCATAGAGTTCAAATGCAATACTTGTGTTGATAACACAACAAAGACATGTAAGTTTTTATGTACCTTTATGTTCTATGCATTAGTCCTTCATTCCTTGGCATGAGGAGAAGTGATGGTTTCTCAGTGACCTTCCAGAACTCTAAGGCTGTGTTTCTCACACCAGGCCTCAGGGTTTCTACATTTTGAACAAATTTCCAGTATTGTACCCATGCACACCTGAGTCTAAGAACTCTGCTGTAAGGTGACATTAAACAGCACCTGAAGTTATATTTGAGATGATTACTCAGTAATCAATGTACAGTTGATTTTCATAGTGTGGATTCAAGCACGGAATAGAGCACAGTTTTAATTAAATCTGTATTTCTCAGTTGAAACTTTATTTTAGCATTACATGACTTCTATTTCATGAATCATAAATGTCATGTTTCTTCACAAACTGTAGTTCTGAATTTAACTCATTCACCATTTTGTCGTCAAAAAGAAGAGTTGATGTTGTTGAAAGATCTAAACAGCTTTGCAGCTGATGTTCTAAAGAAATAAAATATACCACTGAACCCAGATCAAGCCTTTGCACTAAATTAATGTGAGTTTGAATTTCTGAGTTTCAGTAGTAATATTTTCTATCTTTGGCAATCATTTTTGGACTGACGCTCATTACGTTTTATTCTCTTTGGGCTTTATTCCATGGATTTGTAAAGGACACCAGTTCGCTTTATTTCTGGAAGATGTAACACAAATTAAGTAATGTGCCTTTGATTCCAATGTAACTGTTACACCTTAACTAAAACTGTCATGAGCAACATCATTTTTAAAAGCATTTCTTTGACGTGCAAATATATGACAGAAACCATTGTAAATAGGACTTTTTGAAAACAATACTTTGCTAAAAGGGGTGTTTTATGAAGGATATTATGTTCTGAAGACCTAAAGGTAGGTTCTGTTTATGTAATAAAAGTGTATGAACCTATATAATTTCATGGCTTATTGGCTTATAGGGCCTTTTATTCATGATCAGATATAAAATTTATTTTGTGCTGTACTTTAAATTTCTGGAAAATTTCAAAATACTGATGAAAGGGGCCCTGGTAATGACTCAGCAGACTTTCCATTCCAGATTTATCTCTAAGAAAAAAGAAGTGTTTCTCATTATCACGATGAAAATAAATAGAGGTTGTTTCAAACCGTATTAATCATTTAGTCGGTTAATTAACAAGAATCCTTTTGCAGAATAAATTCAGACCTTCTAGTAAATGTGTTGATAACTGTCAAAAATCCTTTTTTATAATTCTAGCTAGCAAAGGCTTTCATTTTGGAATTCAGGAAGCAGGGGAGATTTTATTTATCACCCAGTTCCTGTTGCTAGTCCTTTTGAATTTTGCCTTTCAGAGTTTTTTTTTTTTTTTCTTTTTGTTATTCCCCAGTGGCAAGTTATTTATTGCTTCGTTTGGCCACTCATCAAATAGTAGTTGGTAATCAGAAGATTTTACATGATATTCAGGATAATTTTTTGCTTTTTTCTAGTGTTTCTAGTTGAACTATGATGGATTAAGGTAACTGAGTAATTTTTCTCTTGACATCGATGCCCTTTAAGCTCTTTTGGGCTGTGATCCTGCTCTTGTAATTAGCTTTCATCCTGTTCATTAATCAGTGTTTCCATTCTGACAGTTTTTCCTTTTCTTTCTCCTCTTGTTTCTGAGATATTAAAAAGCGAAAGCAGTCTCTTACAAGGATCTATTGTTTGTTATCTTTTAGGCAAACCCAAGTATTTATCTCTCTCTTTTGCGTTCATACCAAAATTTATTGGAAATGCACGATAAATTTTCAGATTCTCAAAAATCTCAGGGTTTCTGCTTTCCAGGTTTTAGAAATTAGTTTATCTGATTTCAAGGCCTTAGATTTTCAAATTGCTCTTTTATATGCATCTATTCTATTCCGTTTTCTTTTCAGTTCTAAGCCTATGTTTATATGTAAAATGCTTCTCTTGTTTCTGACATTTTCCAATTTAGTATCAATTTCTAATAATGAACCACTGTTACCTGCTTGTCTTCCATGTGGATGCTTAATAAATACTATAACTTAGGTATACAGTTTCATGGAGGAGAATAGAAGAATGTGGTTAATTTTTTGAAATAGCAATAAAAAGAAAACATGTTGTGGCTTTAGCAAGCATTATTTTCTTGTGACAATTTTATCCTCCTAATTATACATTGCCTAAGCTGGTACTAACGTTAATTCATGTTCTCCTAAGCATATGCCCACTCTTGACAGATATACACTGGGGTTACAAATTTGGCGTGTATAATTTACACATAAATATTCAATTGCTAAGAAAACTGAGACTAAATCACATGCTGGTCATTATCATCTTTTAAATTACACTCTGACCTTTCATCCATCTACTTAGCAGTGTAATAACACAATTGTCTTAATATAAATAATTCATTTCTAGTGCTGCAACCCATTTTTAAATACTCAATTTTAATATTTATTATAGTTCTGATATTTATTATCTGACATGTTTGGCTAGATATTCTTTTTCTGAACAGTACTTAGTTTCATGTAATTTGATTTTATTTTTACTAGCTGGATAAACACACAGTTTTACACAGTAAAAATAAAATCAAATTACATGAAATTAAATTAATGTAATTAATTAATGTAATTAATGTAATGTAATTAATGCATCCAACAAAAATCAGTCTTGTATTAAGTAATTAAAGGTCCAAAAATCAGTTGGTTCCATTGACTTTGGGCAATGCAATGTCCACTCCAAATCTGTCGTTTGTTTCGCTCTGATATTTTAATAGTGTTGCACAGAGGATGCCTCATTGGTGGGATTAGCCTTCTTCACTGGTGTTTTATGGACAGTACAACTGGCTTCTCCCTTGAAAGCAAATAATTTTCTTTAATTAGGAGTATTTTTTAAAAATAGCTTATCAGCAAAGGTTTTTCTTCTGAGTGTGTGTTTTTTTAAGCTAAATCTTTTAGAAAGGCAGCAACCGTTAATCCTTCAGGGACATATATAAACACACAGGTGGATTCGCCCATGCGAGCATTTGTTTTTAACTAATGGATGGTTTTCTCAAAACAGTCTGTTCTTTTGCCTGTGTGCCAAAGTGGGTGAAATATTTGTTTGGGACTAGACCATAAAAACTAATCTTGAATGATGGCAGTAGGCTATAAAAGTTCATCACATAGAGAGTAGCAGAATGTAATGGAGAAAGCTATCAACTTGGAATCAGGAGGCTTGCCACTTACTAGTTGTGGAACGTGGATGTGCTCTGGGCCATCATTACCTAATTCATGTAGCAGAAGGTGGGTTAGATTGTCTCAAAGTCTCAGCTGTAGAGTTATGTGATTTTTTAGGTGCCTCTTGGGTTATTTAAGGCTAGCATTAAATGCTGACATTCATTTGTAATATTTTCCTTCTGGTGAGCTCAGGTACCCTGTTGTAAATGATAATGTTTATCTGAAATTGCTTACCTTCAATCAGCAGTCTTTAGTATTTCTTATTCAGCATACATTTGTTGACCAGATTTTATGTGTCCGGTACTGGTACAAAGCCTTAGAGTAACAAAGGTAAATAAGATGAATTTCCCACCCACGAGTAATTACATTGCTATACACTAAGTACCACAATGGAAGACCGAATGAAGTGCCATGGTAGTTCAGAGGAGAGATTAATTCTGCTTTGGGATGACCAGGTCAGCTTAGAAGGAAATGGCATTTGGATGGATCTGGAAAGATGTGTTTGCCAGATGGAAAACTGGGCTGAGGACGGCAACTGAAGGGCCTGACGGGTGGGTGCTGGGGCACGGGCAGAATGAGAGAGGTAGGAAGATGCGTGGTGTTTGAGTAGAACTTCAAGATAGAGTTTCTGTTTCCAAGGCTAAATAGTAGGCCATAAGTGGGGGTGGGATAGGGCATTTTGACTTGAGGAGAGTGGGGAAGAATGGCCTGGAAGTGAAATGAGGAATTAGGGCATTAATAGGTTGCCAACACTTCCGCTCGGCCATCTCCACATGTTGAAGAGTAATTCCGTTTTTTTTGTTTGTTTGTATTTTTAATCTGGTATATATTGTGATCTGCTTGCATTTCTACAAAATTTTCACAAGAACAGTTGGAATAATAATCTGTTTATTGAACATTTACTATGCATTAAGTCTTATTCTCAATGTCCAAGTCCAGTATCTAGTTAAGACATTTTACCATCTTTTTTTTTTCTGAAAAGTTGTTTCAACATAACATTTGTAGAACAAACTTTTTTTTTTAATTTGTTTTGTTTGGCTATAAGACAATAAATCATTAAGGATTAACATTTTTTGACAGCAACTCACAGAATTTTAATGATAGGCAATGTATTCTTCACATATAAAATATCATATTTAGCCTCAAAACCTCAAATCAAATTATTTCCATCTTTTGAAAGGATGAAATGGGATGTTGATGGCTTGGAAGCAGTCTTTTGTAAACTTTAAAGTTCTAGATTATTGTGAGTTAAGTATAAATATCAGGAAGAAGACATTATGTATTCAGTTTTGTGTCTGAGTCTCAGCCTAATCCCCCATAGTTATGGAGTAGGGTAAGAACTGTATGTCAATTTGGAATCAGACTCTCTGTTTTGAGCCATTTAATTTAGACACATTATTTTAATGTAAGCGCTTTTGCTTTTTCTTTGGCAGTCGGTGTGCAATTTTAATTAGCACTTGGAACCCAGTAGAATACATTGATGAGCACAAGACATGAAGAAATACGTTCATAATGGCCTGCCCGAGGTCTCTGGCAGCATCCAAGAAAGATGCTTTCAGTATAATGCTCAATGCTTCTGAGAAATCATCCTAGCTGATGATTTATACTCTTATACATTTAATCACTTTAGAGTTTCAAAATGTTGGCATTAGCAGCTTTGTCATCTATGCTACACTCAGAAGGAATATTAATTTCCTAAGCTTATTCTGATGCAGTAACTGATGTATAAGAAAACAACTTATTTTCTACATCTGCCCAGGACTCTCTTCCCAACTTTGCCAATCAAGCTCTTCCACCTCTTTTAAGCCCCAGCTCTAATATTCCACCTCACAGTCTTTTAACCTCCCATTCCCCCATGGCCATTCTTTTCAGTATACACCCATGGTTCATGCATCTACAACTGCACACCACACTGCGTTGTAACTGTTTTTTAATGCATTACTCCCCCTGTCAGCTCTCGATCCCATATTTGTAGGAACTGTGTCCCCATATCTGTATTTTGGTTGCATCCAGTTGAAAGACAGGGCATGGTAGAATAGAAATAACATGCACCTTATAAACTGATGCAGGTTAAATCCAAACTGCTCCTTACTTGCTGTGGGGACTGGGGCAAGTTACTTCTTTGAGCTTCTTTAAAACAACAATAGTAATACCTGCTATGCAGGATTGTTGTGAAGATTAAATAAGCTGCATTCATTAGTTCAACAAATATATGGAGACGTCCTATTACATGTCAGTAATTGCAAGTGTAACTGTACTTGCTATTAAGAATATAAAGGTGAATAAGTCATGACTTTATCCTAAGAACTTTATAATGTGGTAGTAGAGAAAGACTAGGAAATAGACAGTTGCAACATAATTCTTAAAGGATGAGTAAGGATTCACTAGCACAGGAGTTATCAGGTTTAGGTTGAAAGCAGCAGGATCTGAGGTAGAAGGAGAACTGTGTGCAATGCCTTTAAGCCAGGGAGAGGATGGGAAGTCTAAGGCACAGAGGGAGGTGTAATGTAGCTGTGATGTGATGGTGGGGTTAGGCTGCAAATACAAATATTACAAGGGGCCTTGCAAGCTAGGCACAGGGCAGAGGGAATGTGTGAAGAGTAGATGATTAGATTTGCACTTCAGGAAGATCTCTTTCCTTGCTGGCATGTGGAATAGTTTGGGGGAGTCAAGAGAATCACTATGACCAGTGAAGAGACTGTAGCCCAGAAGTGTTAATGGCCTTAACAGCAGGAGTTACAGTGGAAATGGGGTGGAGAGAATGCATTGAGAGATAATTAGGTGCCAGAAAAGGCAGCAAGTGATATGGTGTACAGGTGGGGGAAAAGTGCGTAAGGAAGAGAGAGGAGATTTCGGGGAAAATGTACAGAATTTTGACTTGAGGATGACGGTGCTATTCTCAGAGATAGGAAATGCAAGAGAAGCAGTTTAGGGTATAGGTAGGGAATGGAAAGTGAGTCCAGTGTGGAAATTGTGGAATTTGAAGTACCCAGAGGGAGCGCAGGACATTTTGACATCATTTTGAGCTCTTGTATGTTTTGACCCTGCTGTTTTTTTTGTTCTTGAATATAAACATTGCCGTCAAGATGATATCAACACTGATGAATTTTGTGGTAAAGATTTATTCCAGGGTTAACTTCGTTAAGCTAGTTTAATTTATTGACCTATTTCCTATATTGCAAATTTAATCTTTTCCAATTTGTTCCCTCCTGTATTGTTTTACTAGCACTGTTTCCATCAGGACAAAATCTTTCTTGTGTACATTTTACAATGAATACTTGATTTATCAACCTCTTTATCATCATCTTTTTCAAATTTTTACAGATACAACTTTTCCATGATAAATGTCGTTTTAGCTCTACTATTTTTACCATGTCAAATTTTGGACAACTACTCTTTTTGATTTTTCATTAATTTGTGAGCAATAATAACTTTTTACCATTTTCTGTTTTTGCTATTTTCAGTTGTATTTTACCTTTTTTTTTGTAACCAGCGAAATAGTTTCATGAGACAATTTTTTCAACTTTAAAAATTACCAATGATCTGTGATTCTCAAGTCAGCTTTTCATCTATAACAAATTTTGCTGTGTATCATTTTGGCCCTTGTCGGTTTCATTTTGGTCCTTAAAACCAAAACTGCCTCAGAATCTAAATGGCATTCTTCTGCCTATGGAAGAGCCAAGGATAGAAGTCCAGAACATAGGTACATGTATATAGGTATGGCGATTTGAAGAGAAGTCTAGGATGAAATGTAGATTTGTAAGCATTTGCATCTGGGTATGGGGGCAAGAGAGTGGATGACATCTCACCAGAGGGTGTATAGCGTAAGAGAAGAGCACCCCAAAAAACTAGGAGAAAGAATCCAGGAAGGAGCGGTAGAAGGTAGGGAGAAACTCACAAGACGGCATTCTTGTGGAAGTCAAGTCAAGAAAGAGGAAGTGGTCAACAATGTTGGATGCTGCAAAGAGGATGCATACTGAAATGTGTGGATTTTGCAACAATAACATCACCCTGTCGTCACTGAAGGCAACCTCATGAACGGAGAAAGATATGCAGCTGGGTATACAGAAGAGGAGCAAGAAGGAAGCGAAGATGTGGAGACAATTACAAGGACAACACTGGGCTGCAAGAAGAAAAATTTGCTTATTGATTGGCTGGTTTGTTTCCTTTTAGTACGGAGAGACTTAAGCATGGTTAGGTGCCGATGGGTTAGAGAGGAGAGGATGAATGTACAGGAGAGTTGGAACAGGATCCCCAAGAAGAAAATTAAGATCCCAGTCCTTTCCAGGGGTAGAATTTAGCATTGCTGCCTAAATCTCCATATCTAATGATTCCTCTGCAGCCGTGCCCAAGACAGAACCATCCTCAATCTGGCCCATCCATTTGGGCTTTTACTTTGGGTTCCCCATTAAACCCCTAATTCCTTCCTGGGCCCAGAACTTTCTCCAGAGCTGCTATCACTTGCTTTCATATCTCAGTCAAGGGGATCTTACTGCCCTTAACCCCACAGTACTATCACTTGCCATGACGCTTGAATATTACTGCTTTTGAGAAAGTCTTGCTACCACGTGTTGGCCACAACATCAGATAAGCTTTGATACTCTTGCTCTCCAGCTGTGAGCTGGGTCTTACCTCATCTACTAGATCTACCACTCACAGGTCAGATGAAACAAAACACTGTGTTGTGACCCTGACCATTCTCTGTTCCTCCCATTTGTCCTGAGACTGAACAAATTACAGCAAAACTTGGGTTGCCTTATGAATAATGGGGCGGTGGCCAATGCACACATCCTTATCTTCATCCACGGAGGGCTCATCTAACCACCCCTGGTGTCTTCACTGCAGGTTTATTGGGCACTTCCTAGCACCAGGCACTGCAATAAGAAATGGAGGTTAAACCATGAAGAAACATGGCTCTAGCCCTTAGGGAGCTCCCGGTCCTGCAGGTAAGTTAATCCTTGTTGCGATACTGTGTACTAGATGGGCAAAGTGAAGAACCAGTTTAGCCTAGGTAAGGAGAAACTGGTAGATTACCCTAATTTTTTTTTTGGTAGAATCTAAACAATCTCATGAGTTCAGTTGAACATGTGAAATACACTCTTCTTTTCCTCACATAATTGTTTCCCCTGCCAGTCTACACAGCTCGCAAGGGTAAGTCTGTTTTATGAGTTGGATAGGTTCCGGGACTGCGATTTATCTTAAAGAAAACTCATTTGCTTATGTAGCAGCCAAGATCAGCTACTAAATTTCCAGGACATTGAAAAAAGTGCATTCTCTTCAAATCCCTTTATATTTTTACCTAGCATCCCCTTGCACCCTGACCCCGTTCTGAACTTTTTGTTTGTTTGTTGATTGGTTGGTTGGTTTTGCCTTCAGGACAAAGTGCAGGACAATTTTGTGTCTGTTCTTGAGTCAAGTATATTTGTTTGATCTCTGTGGAACTTAGTTCTGAGCATATGAATGAAATAAAGGTGAACTGAGAGGTCATAATCTGTATCTTTCTCTGAGAAGTTCTCTAAGGCTCTGCCTTTGCTTGTTTTGCTGTTTCTTGATTCCTTGGCTGTGCCGCTGTCTCTGGGTTCCAGCACTGACACCCCATGTGGGTAGGGTCCTGTGGAGGACAGCACGGGTCTGAGAGAGAGAAAGCCTGGGGAAAGCTGGAGATGCCCTGTTCTTGCTTTCCTGCACCAGGCCTCTATACCCCTTGAGGTCAAAGCATGTCTAATTACGTTGAGAACAAGTCAGAGATATTGGACATAAGTGTCTTCCTAAAAAATAAAATGTGCAGTAAATACTACATTAAAATTATCCGTAAACCACTTTAATATTAACTTTGAACTCTGCATTATGGCAGGCTGTTGGGAAAATAAAATGTTCCCCAGCACTCTCTTTCTCTCTCTGACTTCGTGTCTACCAGTTCCTGATCTTGTCCTTTGCAAGGAATGGGTGGGACTCCACAGGTTCCTGACTGCATAGCTTTTTCAAATCCAGTGGGTCTTTCTCTGTTTCCCTCCAAGTTCCCTTGCTTGGATCACAGATGTGTGCAAGGCTGCCTATGATGCCCTCTGCATCGAGTGTTGCAGCCACTTGCCCATTCCTGGCACAAGTCTCCCCTCCCTGCAGGAATAGTGCTCAGGACCCCAGTGGCTGCTTTCTTCTTCTTTCTCCCCCACTTCCCTAGGGCAGGAAGTGAGAGGAGCAGTGAATGTTAGACAGAGGGGCTTTCATTTTGTATCCTCCACATCTGCTCCCTGAGGTAGTGAACACAGGTGCCTACTTGGTTAGACAGGAGACAGAGGAGCATGGAGCGAAAGGATGAACACGTGTGGAGACAAAATTGCACAGCTTTGTATCTTAAAATAGTGCCCTGCCACACAAACAAAAGATCCCCTAAATTACTAGGACTGTTAGAAAAAATATACTTTTAACTTATTAAAAAAGCCAATATTAGCTAATGACAAAGATCTCTGGCAAGATTGAGAGAGAAGGCTTTTCAGACAGAGGCAGTGGTCTGGAGAAGCAGTGTCTTGTCTGTGCTGCTTCTCACTTCCTGTTCTATTGTCATGTTCTCTTGGCCACACTCTTCTTGACATTGTCTCCCCTTCTCTATCCAATCCTTGTCTTTTCCCTGCTACTGTTCTCCATTCCCATTTTACACTCATCCTCAGCAGGCCATCTAGAGGACTGAGTGGGCACTAAGGTCCATAAACCATGGTTAGGCCTTGGTTTGACTTCTCCCTGTAGATTTGCTTTTGTAAAATATGTCCTCTGAATGTCTACATGAGATGGGTTTATTCCTTTTTAAAATTTCACTTTTTGAATATATATAACACATAATTCCAAAGTCAACATTATTTAGTTATAGGCAACGTTGTATAGTTATACCCAGGTGATGTGGTTTGGCTCCATGTCCCCACCCAAATCTCATCTTGTAGCTCCCATAATTCCCACATGTTGTGGAAGGGACCCAGTGGGAGATAATTGAATCATGGGTATGGGTCTTTCCTATGCTGTTCTCATGATAGCGAGTGGATCTCACGAGATCTGATGGTTTTATAAAACGGGAATTTCTCTGCACAAGCTCTTTTTTTTGCCTGCCACCATCCACGTAAGATGTGACTTGCTCCTCTTTGCCTTCTGCCATGATTGTGAGGCCTCCCCAGCCATGTGGAACTGTGAGTCCAATTAAATCTCTTTCTTTTGTAAAGAGCCCAGTCTCGGGTATGTTTTTATCAGCAGCATGAAAACGGACGAATACGCCAGGATACTCTTACTTCAAGCCACGAGCCCTGTACCCTGTTGCCTCAGTTGGCTACAGGTAACTAATTTTTGTTTCTGGTTTATTCTTCCAGTATTTCTTTTTGCAAATATAAGCATATATATATATTATATATATATATATATATATATAGTCTTGATTACATTATATTATATATATGCTTTGATATAGTAACTTTGGTTAATATTAAGTATAAGCATATATATGCTTATATTAACATATATTAACTTGGATTAATATATATGCTTATATTTGCAAAAATATGTATGCTTATATTTGCAAAAGTATGTTTGCTTATATTTGCAAAAATATGTATGCTTATATTCACAAAAAGAAATACTGGAAGAATTGCATATGCATATATATAAAAGTGGTATACTACTTACCTTGATTTGCACCTTGATTTTTGCACTAACAATTTCTCTTGGAGATCACTCCATATTAGTACATGAGGCTTTTTCTTATTTTTCTTCTTCAAAGCTGAATATACAGCATTTTGGGGACATATCATAGTTTATAGATCCCCTATCAGTAGATATTTGGATTGTTTTCAATCTTCTACTATTATAAATAATGACACAATGAATAGTCTTTTGCATCTATCAATGATACAAGTTTACTGGCACTATGATTAAAATGCTTTTGTTATCAATACCTTTATTAGGCTTTACTAACATTGATTGCAAACACTCCTTGGTGGATATTGTATAAAAAATAGCATCTATAACTAATCAGTCAGAATGCTGGATTTGTGCCCATACAATATATGAAGAACCTGATATATTTTCACAGTTGCATCCAGCCAATAAAACAGCCTGGTACCAACCTAACGGGATGTGGACACATCTCCAAAGCCTAGCTAGTCTTACCCAACTATATTCCCTATTTATCCTCAAATGAAAGAAAATTCCCTGTCTGTATTTTTAGTAATCAGACTTATTCCTCTCTAGAATATATTACTCCTCCATTTTGTGTTGAAACTGTTCAGATTAGCCTTTCCCAATGTAACCACACAAAATCCTCCTCTGCATATACCCATTCTTAATTCTATAATCCAGATAGATTTTCCTGAACTAGGTATTTCCCAATTCTATATCCAACAGCAAACTCTTCTTTTTATCTAAATTCAATAATTGGAAGTCTGCTTACCCCCTACTTCTTAAGGAAACTGGAGGGAACAGAACTGAGAGCCTCAAATTTTAGCATTACCCATGAAAGGAATGGGACTCTATTTCCAACGCACCACAATTTTGTGCAAGAATTGCCTGCAAATTGAATGACCATTTTGGATTAAAGTGGCTCCGAGTGTTCAGAGACAAAAAACCCTCTCTGCAATGAAACCATTAATCTTGGCTCATTTGTCCATAAAATATCTTCTCATAAGAGAAATTCATGCAGTGCTAAGCTTCTCACTACATGCAATTTTGGGTTTCACTCATTCGTCAGAGCATTGATTCCTTCCGTTGATACGTCTGAATTAGGAAAGGCTATTATAAATGTTCCCAGGACTTTAGAAAAAAGCTTTAATGACACTGCCACTTTTGTCTTGGCTTTACAAATGAGGTCTCTCCAACCTTGCTTCATTAGTTTTGCAAAATAGAGAAGTTCTGTATACCCTAACCACTCACTAGGGTGGTGCATGTGCTGTTAGTGTTGAAAACTGTAGCTTCTATGTTAATAAATCACGAATTGTTGCCCCAAATCTAAAAGATCTTAAAAGAAGAGATACAGGTTTTTCATCACAGAGGTGATGCTACACCTACTGATTTGTTTAGTTGACTAAATCGTGGCTCCTGGGAATCTCTGCTCTGGGAGATTTTTCAGTCCTTGGCGATTATTCTCTTTAAAGTCGTTGTATTTACCTTCCTAGTGCATGGTGTCCTATCAGGGGTTTTAAATGCTTTCCAGCAGCTACTCACATATCAAATGATTGCCATCAGGATCAGATAACTTGAGGAGCTCAACCACCTGACCAGTGATGGCTACAGAGGTGCTGATAACAGTGACACCACCACCCTTCCTTCCAGTGCAACTATGGACGATGAGAATGTCTCTATGACTCTGTCCCAGTGTCTACGTCAACTCCCTCAATGGCGATAACCAAGACGAATGCTATACCGTTTAATTACACTGTCAGTTTGCTGAGAGGATAAAGAGGATAACCAAAAAGGGGCAGTTGTAAAAACAAACTAAAATGGAGACTAGACCTGAAAAATCCCTCAGCAGACAAAGTGAGTTAGGCCTTGAAAATAACCTTAACGTTTTTTAAATTGCAAACATAAGCAAAACTTAACTTGGGCCATTACATGTAAATGCTTATATCAGAGGAAAACAAAACTTAAGCTCAATCAATCAGAAGCAGCCAACTAACTTAGGTAACTAGAGACTTTCTAGTGGGACAAACCAAATAAGGAAATTAAATATTCACTCAAACATTTTATTTTTAATTTTAAGAGACAAGGTCTCACTCTGTTGCTCAGGATGGAATGCAGTGGCGTGAGCATAGCTCAATGCAGCCTCAACTTCCTGGGCTCAGGTGATCCTTCTGCCTGAGCTCCCAAGTAGCTAGGATTAAAGTCGTGTGTTACCATACCTGGCTAATTTTTAATTTTTTTGTAGAAAAGGTGGCTGAAAGGGGGACAAAATAGGGGTCTTGCTATGTTGTGCAGGCTAGTCTCAAACTTTTGGCCTTAAGCGTTCCCCTTGTCTCGACATCTTCAGGTGCTGAGCAAATATTTTCTTTATTTCTGCATTCACTCTATAAAAGCCAGTTCCTTGTGCCTCTTTATGGAGCTCCAAACCTCTTCTGGTTTGGTGCTTCCCAACTCATGAATTGTTGTTTGCTCAGATAAACTCTAAGATTTGTATTGTGCCTCAGTTTTTCTTTTAACACTTTCTTTTAACAAAAACAAGTAGGGGTGAGGGCAGAAGGACAGAAGAGAGAGACAGAGAGAGAGGTGAGGGTGGTGGGGGGAGAAGGAAGATGACTGATTTTTAAAAAGATAATCTTTTGAACACGAACTTTCCTTTTGTTTTTTGAGACAGGGTCTCACTCTGTCACCAAGGCTGGAGTGCAGTGGCATGATCATGGCTCACTGCAGCCTTGATCTCCCATGCTTAAGTGATCCTCCCACCTCAGCCACCTGAGTAGCTGGGAACACAGACACACATCATGTCAGGCTAGTTTTTTATGTTTTGTAGAGATGGATCTCCCTACATTGCCCAGGCTGGCCTTAAACTCCTGTGTTCAAGTGATCTTTCTGCCTTGGCCTCCCAAATGAGATTACAGGTGTGAGCCACTGCACCCTGGCCAAGAACATTTTTGAAAGAAGACCTGGATACTTTAGGGAATTGGCTGACATTCCAAAGTGTTCTCTATTCCCTGTGGCTTTTGTGCCTTGTGAGAGGACTCTGAGAACTCACCAAATCCATTCCACAGCTATTGAATTAATGGGAGAACCTGATCAGGTTGAATGTCTGGTTTTGTCTTGGGAGGTGGGGCTGAGTGTCTTACACTTAGGCAGGATAGATTCTCCAGAAATGCCTCTCCATCATAGTCTGTTAATTTTTACTGATTTCGTTAACAAGAGGTAAAGCTCTCATTTAATATCAGGCCCACCTGGGAAGAGAGAATTTGCTGACATTAATGTGTGAATGGCATCTATACTGGACACTGCCTTAAGAACAGACTCTGATTGCACAAAGGAGAGAGCATATGTGATGATACCAAGTTATGGAAGATGGGCGTATCAGTCAGGGTTCTTTAGAGGGACAGAACTAATAGGAGGTATATATAGGAGCTTGTTAAGTAGTAACTAACACGATCACAAAGGTCCCACAGTAGGCTGTCTACAAGCTGAGGAGCAAGGAGAGCCAGTCCGAGTCCCAACACTGAAGAACTTGGAGTTTGATGTTCAAGGGCAGGAAGCATCCAGCAGAAAAGAAAGATGTAGGCCAGGAGGTTAAGCCAGTCTAGCCTTTTCACATTTTTTTCCTGCTTTATATTCTAGCCATGCTGGCAGCTGATTAGATGGAGCCCACCCAGGTTAAGGGTGGGTCTGCCTTTCCCAGCACATTGACTCAAATGTTAATCTCCTTTGGCAACACCCTCACAGACACAACCAGGATCAATAATTTGCATCCTTCAATCCAATCAAGTTGACAATCAGTATTAACCATCACAGTGGGAGAGGATATCTTAAGATAAGGCTGGGAGTAAGACAAACATTTCAGACACTTACCGGAATGTCTCCCAATCTCTGCAAACATAGCATGCCTCAAACCTTGGTATTCTTTTCACCCTGAAGCTGCTGCTCTATCTCTTATTAATTCTAATTCCCTTCTCCTGGGTCACTGAAACTGGAAACCTCAGTTCTTTTTATTTATCTCTTTGCCTTACCTATATTCACCCTCAAAATGTCATTTGTCCTCTGTTTTCTATTTTAGTCATTACTGCCCTAGAATAGTCCCTCAGCATTAGGGGGGCAGAAAAGTAGCCAGATCCCCCTTGGTTTAATTAATTGCCCTGTACTTACTAGCTTTGACTCTCTGGGTAACTTACTTAACCTTCTGTGCCTCAGTTTCCTCATGTCATTTGAGATGCCAAAGAGTATTTGTCACATGCAGTCAGAGTGAGGATAAAATGTGTAAAATGCTAGGGATAGTGCCTGGCTACGTAATAAATATATAATAAGCACTAGGTATCATTTCAAAAGACTACTAACTGGTTTTGCTGCCTTCTCATCTCACCAATCTATTCCCCAGAGAGTGTGCAGATTGGCCTTAACAATACATGTGAACAAAGCACTTCCTGCTGGAACAATTTCCATGATCCTCTGGACCTTCTCAAGCGGCTTTCAGGCTGTCTTCCCAGCCTTATATACTGCCACACCCTAGCAGGTAGTCTGTGCTTGCCTGGTCCCACCACTGCCATCTGCATCCACATCTCTGTGCTGTCCAGACTCTTTGCCTGGGACTTTTTTCTTCTTTTCTACATGGCCATCTACTTATCCTCTCAGGCACAGATCAGACATTCTGCACTCAGTGGAAACTTTGCTGACCTTCCCTGCCTCATCACCAAGTGGTATTGGTTGTTTCTTTTTCTGTAGTCCTGTGGCAATTTGTATATCCCTCAAATTTAGCCCACCCACCAGAATGAACCATGTAGCAGCCCGAATGGACATTAACCTTATGGCATCCACACCTCGTAGGTGGGGAAGCTATGCCCTTCCTGCCCATCTCGGGTCTCACGGACTTCCTTGTGATCACATTGCCTATACCCTCCCTCATGGCATCACAATACCCTCCTGGCAGCTCTTAGCACAATCTCTAAAGGAATTGAGGGAAACATTTTTCAGTTTGTAGATAAGAGTAGGTGAGATAGAAAGTGAGAGGAATGAGTTTGGGGAAGCATGCCTCTATGAGTTGAATTATCTGATTGTATGCCATGTGTCTCTTCCAACAGCTTTCAGAGACCATTTGTTTGTTTGTTTGTTTGTTTGTTTGTTTTTTTGGTTTTTTTGAGATGGAGTCTCGCTCTGTCACCCAGGCTGGAGTACAGTGGCGTGATCTCAGCTCACTGCAACCTCTGCTTCCCGGGTTCAAGTGATTCTCCTGCCTCAGCCTCTTGAGTAGCCGGGACTACAGGCATGCACCATCACACCCAGCTAATTTTTGTATTTTTAGTAGAGACTGGGTTTCACCATATTGGCCAGGCTGGTCTTGAACTCCTGACCTCAGGTGATCCATCCTTCTCAGCCTCCCAAAGAGCTGGGATTACAGATGTGAGCCACTGCGCCAGGCCAGCTTTCAGAAACTTTTTAATACAAGTGTCAAACTCTAGAATGTTTCTACACCAGGGATTTGCTTTCTTATTTTTGTGCTCACTTCCCTCCCTGGGAGGCAGTCAAGAGAGAGTACAGAATAAAAGCCTCTGATACATGAAAATAGAGATGATGTTCTCCACTTGGGTTACAAAACCCTGTATAGAGGAGAGAGCTGTGGACTCTGCAGTTGTTCACTCTGATGCTCCTTCTTTTAGCAATGTAGCATGGATACTCACATCTAAATTGTTACTGTTCTATGTTGAGTTATTATTGTCTTTCAGGAAAAAGCTACTGAATCCAACTGTGTCAGGAAGCGTTCCCAGGAAGTAGAGCCTGAGGCAGGGGTTGTTGTAAAAGTGACTTATTGAGGGAGTGCTCTCAGGACAAGGGGAGTGAGAGAAGAACAGGGTGGGAAAGAAGCCCAAGTGTGGATGTTGTTTTGGCTGGGGATCAAATTAGCCTAGATCCCATGGAGAGCCCTCTGGAGCATGAATTGCATGACAGAGTTGGACTCCTCTTAGGGTAAGGAGTATGGTCTTTAAACCCTTATGTCGGTCAGTCATTGGCCCCAGTCTTCTCTGAAGGAGTTGAGGTGGAAGTGTGATCTGAATGAAGCAGCTCCTTTTTGGTTGAGACAAATCTCTGATGAACGGAGCACCAGTGGCATCTACCGTACCGACCATCTTGGAGCCAAGAAGTGGGGAAAGAAGACAGATTTGAGGATATGCCGACTGCTCAAAACACAATCTTACTGAGGTACCTTCGAGATGCTGACATGGGGATGGGACAAGTGTATGTGCATGTGGTATCTGGATGTGGGAGTCTGTGATGGGAGAAGGAAGCCACAGAATTTTCCAAGATATATGGTATGAGACCCAGGCCCTCTTGGTAGAATGTTTAAGGGATGATGACTTCAGAAGACATGAGGGCCTGACAAAAGTAAGCCTTGGACATTTGATTTTTGATAATCTAGAGTCTATTTAATAAGCCGTAGCCATACTATGTCTGTACCTTGGTCTAGAAATAATTCACTGTGATGATATTATGCTTTCTATTTAATTTAATTTGTTTATTTGGAATTTGTATTTTGGCTTTTAAAATTTAACCCATCTAAACAAGGTAATTCCAAAAGGGAAGTGGATGTGTCCAACCCTTTAATTGGGGAGCTACTGCCAGGAGTTCTGAATTGAGCTCTGTGTTGCCTGAGAGTAAAGCAAAAAGGGACTAAGCATTGGGTTATAAGGTTCTTCTTCTTCTTGTTATTATTTTTAAAGGTGCTGTAATGTGAAGAAGGACCCAAAGCCTTCTTTATCTCTCCCAATAATCTCAAACCAAATAGGTGGAACTCCTCGCATAAGTTGATTTACAAGTACCTCTCTAGATAGCTTTCAACAGTGATTCTTGGGCTCTTCCAGAGGTTCTAGAGCTGCTAATGTCTTTAAAGTAGTTTCTTGTCTGCTTCAACCTGGACTTTTGAGAGTGGATGACCTCAGAAATCTGAAGGAGTTGAAAACATACGTGGAAACATATGTGGGACTGACTTTTATATTTTTACATATTTAAAGATCTTTTTAAAGATCTTTAAATCTGTAGCTTGCTAGTTGATTGTATGACTGTAGGGCCTGTAGATATTTTTATTGCTGTTAGACGGTCCAGCATTTTGCTCCTAAAGTTTTGTTCCATCTGTTCTTCAATGGAAATTCCCATCTCTGCGGTCACCATTTTCTACATGCCTGAGTAAGATCTTCCAGAGGTAGGGTTGCACATGGTGAAAGGGCTTGAATGGGCCAAGTTTGAAGACTTTGTCCTCCAGAATGTCAATAGATCCTAAGAACTGTAGGTATTTGTGTGTGTGTATTTATGAATGAAGTCTATAGATGAAGGCATTGTTTCAACAGCCTGAAAATGGTCTCTGACACATCTGTATTTATTAGCCTCTTTCTTTCTTTCTTTTAGAAGTCTGGTGTAGAAGAAATAATAATCAGTTAATTGAGAGGGTTCATTCATTTGAGTTCTGGTTAAAGTCACAGAAGGCTCTGATCTTAGTCCTATTGACCTCTATAAAACAGCAATAATATTATTAAAGGATGTTGTCAGAAAATTAATTTTCTAAGCTGAGATATAAAGCTTTAAGATATATGTATGTGTTTATAGAGAGTTGAATTTTATACACATCTAATTATATGTGTGTAACAGTGTACCTGGCGTGGTGGAATTTTTTATTTAGAGGTGAACATAGAAAGTCATGTTGGAACAGCATCCTTTAGGTGAAGAATTGGGGCATATTTTGACTTTGGAAAATGGTATACAATTAACTGTAAAAAAAAAAAAAAGTCCTGTGTCTTAGCAAAGGCTTCTCCTCAGTTTGCAGAGGTTTGGGGAGGGAGTGGATGTATTTGAATAAGGATCCTAAAACCCTTCTGAAAGAGAAGGAAGGGAGGCACCAATTCCTACTACCAAATGTTAAAATTAGGAAACCCTGCCACAGTGGATTGTGATGGTCTTGACCAAGGTGCATGAGAGAAGAGGACAGTAAGGTCCCAAAGGCCAACTCACCACAAGGGGAAGTAGAGTCTGGCAGTGATCTGAACTCCACACAACAGCATTAACTCCAGGTTAAAGAGCTCAGTCTGGTGCACTATGAGTCTGAGTGCAGAAGATTTACAGGTAGGAGTCAGGAAACTATCAAGTTTACATGTTGCAATAAGGAGGTTAGACATTCCATGATGCTTTCAGAGCCATTGATGGGTTTTAAGCAAGGCAGTGGCTTGGTTTTTGTATGAGAGAGCTCATTTTAGTGACCAATATGGAGGATATTTTTAAGAGAAACAAGAATAGAGGCTGGGAAGCTATTGCCATGATCCACGAAAGAGGAAAAGACAGCTTGAATGAGTCAGTGGTGAAGGAAAAGATTCAAGAAGTAGGAGGTAAAGTGATCATAGCTTGGTAATTGATTGGCTCAGGGGGAGCAGTCATTAATTTGTTTGCTATTTGTGCTGTTTATTATTATTACAAATGGCAGGGATTAGAATAAGTGGCCAATTATTCTCTTCCTGTCTACTTGTTTTTAGCTGCTGGTCTCTAAAATGAAAATTATGAAGATGGAACTTTGATTAGCTTCTCCTACTTTCATAATGACTGTGGTTATCATTCCCAGTTTATTGAGTGAAGTCATTGTTTAAATTTGCATAAGTGGCTTTTGGATATGCAAAGGTCCAATTACATTAAAAGCTAGATATCAATTGATATAGAAGAACAATTATCTAGATATGTCCATGACATTAAAAAGAACAAAGACTGACTGGAGAATTTGCCAACATTTCCATTGAGTTAATTCTGGCTGCCAAAGAACTATGGGAGGAGAACATGAAGAAAAGAAGAAGAAATATAGACAATCTTAGCCAAATGGTACCTCTGCAGATTAGAAGAATGGAGGGCATGCAAAAAAAAAATTAAATTTGAAAAGCAAAACATTTTTTGTTGTAAAACAACAATAATCACAACAACCTAAAACAATAAGCTTATTTATATGGTAAAAATAAAAAGGCATCCCCCACCACAACCTCCTACTGTCTAAAACCCCTGGGACAACTTCTGTTAACAGACAGGTGGGGATTCTTCCAGTCAGAAATGTCCTTAAAGAGATTCCATTCATTATACAGAATCTATCATGACACATGTTTCACCAAGGTAACCTTTGATCTGTTTTCTTATCTGTTAAAGTCTACTTGGTGATTCAGTTCATAGCTTGCTAGTTGGCTGAATGCTAGAATTGTTGCTGGCAAGGAATGCTGTTACAGGGGGCCAGTAGACAGTGGAAGTAAGAGAGACAGGACAAAATGCCAGGAGAAAAAGGTCAAGTCAAGGTGGAGTACAAAAGGCAAATGCCAGGCAGGAAAATGGGACGGGCTTGGAAAAGAATGCTTAGTAAAGTCCACCTTCCTTGTTTTCACTTTTTGTAACCTAATTACTCCAACATCTTTGCTGCTGACTTTTACCCCTGCTTTCTCCTAAATTACTCTCCCAAAGGTCACCAAAGGACCACGTGGTCATCACATTTGATGACCTTCTCTCCATTTTTACCCTCCTTAACCTCTCTGTGTTTGATATTGTCAACCACTGTCCCTTTCATGAGTCCCTGTTTCCATGGCGATGGTGACATTGTACTCTTCCAGCTCTTAAATCCTCCTGACTGTTCTTTCCCTGAGCTCCATAATGACTCCCCTTCCACTTCTCTAGTCTTCTTTTTTTTTTTTTTTTGTTTTGAGACGGAGTCTCACACTCTCACCCAGGCTGGAGTGCAGTGGCGCATTCTTGGCTCACTGCAAGCTCCGCCTCCTGGGTTCACGCCATTCTCCTGCCTCAGCTTCCCAAGTAGCTGGGACTACAGGCACCCGCCACCACACCTGGCTAATTTTTTGTATTTTTAGTAGAGACGGGGTTTCACCGTGTTAGCCAGGATGGTCTCGATCTCCTGACCTTGTGATCCGCCCGCCTCAGCCTCCCAAAGTGCTGGGATTACAGGCGTGAGGCACCGCGCCCGGCCTTCTCCAGTCTTCTAATTGTGGGGTCTGCCTACAGAACTGTTCTTTTCTTACTTCTCTTTTTTCTGCATTTTCTATTTCTTGGATATTTAATTCACTCCTATGGCTTCAATGATGATTTCTATGACAGAGGTTTTGAAATATGACAGATACAGACATAACTAGAAATATAAATCTGACCCTGACCTCCCCTGGAGTTCTAATCTCCCATTTTCTGTTACCTGCTAGGCAAGTCCCATTTGTATTTTATTTTATTTTTATAGAAAGAAATGAGATAATCATATGTATTGTAAAAATGTGAATCCATACACATATGTACTGTATATATATATGAATGCATATACATATGTAATACATATACATGTATATTGTGCATATACACACAAACACATCTTAATGAGACCAATGTCAGGTCTCTACCCCCGAACAATTATGTTGGAATATGTAGGATGGGGCTGCAGCACTTGTGCCTATTAAAAGCTCCCAGAGTGATTGGAAAAGAACAATTATTTCCATAGGTTTTGGGGAACAGGTGGTGCTTGGTTACATGAGTAAGATCTTTAGTTGTGATTTGTAAGATTTTGGTGCATCTACCACCTGAGCAGCATGCATTTGTATTTTAAACTTAGCATTTCTAAAACAAAACTTGTCTTCTTCACCTTCAGACTCCCCAGTATGGGCTAAAGAGACCTTTCTGGCCTATCCCCTGCTCACCTTTCCTGTTTCATCTCTTACCACTCTTCTACAAGCACTCTTTTTTCCAGTCATGTCAAATAACTGCAGTTTCACGAACATGTCACGTTTCAAATGCCTCTATGCTATTGAAAACTACGTTCTGTCCCCCGAAACATCCTTCTCCTTGGGCCTGAATTTTTTGTCCCAAAACATTCCTTCCTCAACCCTCCAAATTTTTCTTGTGTATCATTTTCCTTAGGAAGGCTTCCTGCATCTGATGCCCTTCTGCTGTCTCTTATAGCACCCCTTGGAAACTTCTGTTATAGATCGTATCATACTAAAGTGTAGCTGGTTGCTTACTTGTTTGTATTCCCAGGTGAACTGTGAGCCCTTGGAAGTGAAGAAGTATGTCTTTGATGTCTGTACACCCAGGCCCTAAAAAAGTGCTTAACACATAGTAAGTGGATTCACACACTTTTTCTGTGCTTAATACATACTGAATGTGAATACATACGGTATGTGAATCTGCTTCTCTCTCCTGGTTTCTCTATTTTTGATGGTGGTAAAGCCATCTCAAATTTATATCTCTAACCCTGACATTCCTCCTAACTCCATGATCACATCCTTCCTTCAAAACATCTCCACTTGAATGTCCAAGAGGTTTATTAAATCTAACAGGGGCTAAGCAAAGCCCCTGCTGTCTTTGCCCACCATACTGCATCTTGGTAAGGGCACCACCATTTACCCAGCTGTTCTAAGTACAAACTCTGGAATCATCCTTTTTCTTCTACTCTACATCAAATCTGATAAAAAAAAAATCCTACAAGCGTTGCCTGATCATAGATCTGGAATCTGGCCATTTTTCATCTCCTCCAGCAGTGCTACATCAGTTCAAGCCACCATTGTCCCTTCCCTGGGCTCCCATGGTGCCTTCTTACTGGTATCTGTTTACTCTTGCTCTCTATAAATGATTCCTCCAAACAAAAGCCAGAGGTACTTACCTTGGCTTACAAGACCATTGAGGATTAGGCCTTTGGCTATCTTTCTGGGCTCATGACCTATCACCTCCTCCTTGTTGACTCTGCTGCCTACACAGGCCCCCTTGTTACTTTCTGAACACACCAGATGGACACTCATTTCAGGGCTTTTTTCATGCTACTCTCTCTGCCCCAGATACTTCTCTCCTAGAACTTCACATGGCTCACTGCCTGGCTTTCTTCTGGTCTCTGCCCAATAGTCACTTCTGGAAAGAGGCCTTCTCTGACCATAATATCTAAAAAAGCACCCCCACAGACTCTATCCTCTTACCCTGATTTGTTTTTTCCTTTGCCATATGATGTTTTATATTTCTTTATATATCTATTGATACTCTCTTTCATTAGTACATTGGCTCCCTGAGAATAGGGTCTTCGTCTACCATGTTCTTTGCTGCAATCCTAGCATCTGGCACTTTTCCTGGCATATAGCAAAAGCTCAACAAATACTTGATGAATGAATAATTCCAGTTATTCAAGACTGTGAGTCATATTTGACTCCTCACTTGCATTCCCTCCTGTGTGCAGTCACCGAGCCCTTTAGAGTCTTATGTTTATTCATTTCACATTTATTGACTGTAAACTGTCTTATGGTCTGTTTTTCTTTGAGCTAACTTACTTTCCACAAGTGCCATATCAAATGAAGTAATTAATGCAACAAGAACTTTGTAAACTCTAAAGCACTATACAAATGTCATTTTCCTTCCAGTCCCACTGCGATGACATGAATTAATGTTACTTCCTCTTCCAATCTATACAGGAGCCTCTAACTGAACTATCTCCTTCCCAAATTCTCCTTAGATTATATATTTTGCACCCTGCTGCCCACTTAGTCTTCTTAAAGCCTTGCTATAATTATGCACCTCTCCTACTCAAAAACTTTGACTGCCTTCCAGTTCTTGACCAAATAGTATACAAAGTCCTTGACTTGTAACCAAGACCTTCCCTGATGTGGCTTCAGATTGCCCTTTCACTGTTTCTCACTCTTCTCCCACCCAAACCCTGGATTTTCAAGTAAGTTTAGCCCACTAACCTTTCCCTGAGCCCAACTGCCTTCCCCCACTTGTCTTTCACTCATGCTTCCCCTCTGAATGGAAAGCTTCCTGCATACCTTCTCCTTAAAAAAAAAACAAGCAAAAAAAATCACACCTTGCAGGCTCAGAACAAGTGAGCATCCATGGATTCTGCCATTCGTGGGTTTTTCTACTTCAAGGTGTTCTTTCTCTACTCTCTATTCTTATAGCATTTCATTCTTCCTGTTGAGGGGTACCCTTATCCTCCAACCTTCCCTTCTCTGGAACAGAAAGGAAGGAAATAGATGCAAGGATTACTTTTAGCATCTGCTTCCATTTTCATTATTCTGATTTAGAAGGCAAGGAAAGTCTTATCTGTTCTTGTCCAAGCTTCTCAGATTATTTGTCCCTCCTTTCTGTCTCTGAGATCTGCCTGCCGCAGTAAGCATGCTTTCATGACTCCCACCTCCATGTGGGAGGGTTTCAAGGACAGGCTTTCATCTTGACAAATATGGCAGCCTGCCTTTCTGAGCTGGTAGTAGAGGGAAGTAGTGGGAAACCTACGAGGTTTTTTGTTGTTGTTGTTGTTGTTGTTGTTTGAGATGGAGTTTCACTCTTGTTGCTCAGGCTGGAATGCAGTGGCACGATCTTGGCTCACTGCAACCACTGCCTCCTGGGTTCAAGCAATTCTCCTGCCTCAGCGTCCTGAGTAGCTGGGATTACAGGTATACACTACCATACCCAGCTAATTTTTTTTTTTTTTTTTTTTTAGAGACAGGGTTTTACCATGTTGGCCAGGCTGGTCTCGAACTCCTGACCTCAGGTGATCCATCCGCCTAGGCCTCCCAAAGTGCTGAGATTACGGGCATGAGCCACCGCACCTGGCCAAGCCTACGTTTTACTACAGGATAAGCTGCCTTCTCCATTCTAGCCATTCTATATTATACGGCCAATGATTTGGCTTCTCTGAATCTGACTCCATTTCTTAATTGGTTTTGAACTCTGGAGAAAAGCATCGATTAATTATCACCTTCCCTTAGACTCAAACATCACCCGGATGACTTTTTTGGCAAACTTCTGTATAATACAGATTTTTGTAAGGCCTTACTCATATTTGTAACCCAATACATAAGCATATAGAAAGGAGAGGCAGTATTATATACCATCATTTGTCTTAAATCTCTTTCGACTTCAGATTCATGTGACAGTATTTATTTGCATGGAGGCTATATGGGCTAATACATTTGATACTGAGAAAAAAATTAAAAATAAAATATATATGGTGGGAAATAGGATGTGTATTAGTCGGTTCTCACAGTGCTACAAAGAACGACCTGAGACTGGGTAACTTATGAAGAAAAGAGGTTTAATTGACTCACAGGTCCACAGGCTGTACAGGAGGCATGGCTGGGAGACCTTAGGAAACTTAAAATCATGGCAGAAGGTGAAGGGGAAGCAAGCATTCCTTACCATGGTGGAACAGGAGAGAGAGAGAACAAAGGAGAAAGTGCTACACACTTTCAAACAACCAGATCTCATGAGAACTCTATTATGAGAAGAGTAAGAGGGAAGTCTGTCCTGTAATTCAGTCACCTCCTACGAGGCCCCTCCTCCAACACTGGGAGTTACAATTTAACATGAGATTTGGGTGGGGACACAGAGCCAAACCACATCAAGATGTTTCTTGTTTCTTGGAATTGTGGCTGAAGCTCAAAGCTGATTATAATGTACAAGTTCTCTACATTATAAATAGTGACATTGGACACATTTTTAGGACTTACTGAGAAATTACAATACAGAACCTGTGGCTATCAACTCCGTCAACCCCCTTCAACTATGTAAGAGAGGGCTTGAGAAGGTGCCTTAAAGGGGATTTATAGGTGTACCAGCGTTTTGACATTTCTTGACTCCTCACTCTGTGGGATGAAAAGAGGGTTTGTCTTTTTTTTTTTTTTTTTTAGGTTTTCACTATTTATTTATGACAAATATTCCACATCCGTGATTCTCTCTAGTCAAAACTTCTTTGAGACGATGCTGTCGGCCTTGGCCAATCGGAGAATCGAATCATCTGACTCACCCATCCTATCGCCCCGCAGATAGCATAAGTTTTAAACTGGCCATTAAACCTGCCCGTGACCTTGTCAGCCTCGGCCACGTTCATCTGGATGGATGCGTGGTCCTTGGCACCGATGATGCGGTTGCTAGCGGAGCATTTCCGCGGAACTTACAGGTCCACGAACTCGCCGGCGTTGTTCTGCATTTCGAGGCTCCGCCTGCTGCCACCACACCGCGCACGCGAGAGAAAGCCGAGGGTTTGTCCTCTTATGCCAAGTTAGGGCAGCCCTCAAAGCAGATCTCGAAGGGAAGACGTCTACCGAGAGCGGATTTTGATGTATCACTCCATGAGACTGGTGCCTTTCTCTAGCCTGGAGAATTCCAAGGGTGCAAAGCTGGCTGAAGCTATTTGAGACGGCTGGTGAGGATTTGGGCCAGCAGAGGGGTAAGCGTTCAGGACTCGCAGAGTTTGAATGAGCAAGCATGTCTGAGTGGACCCCATGGAAAGCATTCAGGCTTTAGTTGTCTTAAAACGGCCATACCCAGAGCAAGTGTAAAGGCAGTTGTGGAAAATAATATAAACCAGTTACAATAGCATTCTTGGAGTGCTTACCCAGGTACTAGGGATTATTTTATTAATCCTCACAACCACCCTAAAAAAGCATTACTTTCATTCCCATTTTTCAGATGAGAAAACGGAGGAGTGAGGTCGTTATTTTCTCAAGATCATAGAATTAGCATGGTTCATAACTGGTATTTAAATAGCAGATCCTTGTATGTATTAGCTTGGTGTTGATCCCATCTATCTGTGGTTGGTTCCCAGATTTACTACCTCCAGCTTTGGTTTCATTCCCTCCTGAACTCAAGACCTGTATATCCAACTGCTTACTTGATATTTCCATTTGGGTATGTCATAGCCAGTGGAAAACACTGGGTAATTTATGAGGATAAGAGGTTTAGTTGACCCACAGGTCCACAGGCTGTACAGGAAGCATGGCTGGGAGACCTCAGGAAACTTAAAATCATGGCAGAAGGTGAAGGGGAAGCACTTGCTCTCCTCTCTGCCTAGAGGGCTAGAGGAAAGTTCCTGATTGCAACTTACCGCTACCTTGCTCTTCCCTATCTTGGTTGCTTGAGTCACGTCTCCTTTCCCTTACCTTCTCCCTTTGTCTGACATACCCAGTTGCTGTAGAACTTGAATCCATTGACTTCTCTCCATTTCCACTGTCATTTTATGAGTGCAACCCACATCACCCCACTGCTTTTATTCTTCCCTCTCAGCCCACTCTCCACAGTAGAGAGAGAATTATTTTCATCTCCCTTTACTGGCTTGTCATTTATCTGGGAATAAAATCCAAACTGCACCACGGAGCCTTGGAAGGCCTGGCTGCTCCTCCCCTCGCAGTTCTCCATGGCTCACTGGACTTTAGCAGCTCTGGCCTCCCTTCTGTTCCCTAGGAACCTTGGCCTTTGCACTTGTTCTCCTCTCTGCCTAGAGGGCTCTTTTTCTCATCTCTTTGCATAGCTGGGTCATCCTCATCCTTTAGGTCTCAACTGAAAGGTCACCTTCTCACTGCTACTCCCAGCTACTCATTCTCTTTCCCATGTTTATCTTTGTCATAGTCCTTCAAACAATTGGTAATTAATTTGCTTATTTTAAAAAACTTGTTTGTTAGATGTGTTTATCCTGTTTCCTCCTCCCAACTATGATCTAAGCTCTCTGAGAAGGGGCCTCACTTACCTTCATGTTCATCACTGTAGTGCCACAATCTAGCAAATTGCCTGGCATATGGAGGTGCTCAGCAAATACCTGTTAAATAAATGAATGAATTTTTTTGTAAGTGTTTGTTGTATAAAAGAATGAAGAGAGAACCAAGTGCCAGATGTCATACACCATATATAGTGGATTTTTAACCTGGTTGGAGTGGGCAGAATGTTGTGGGAGCTAAAACATACAGTTATCATACTTATGACAATCGTATCTCTTATAGACATTTAAAAAGCACCACCCATACTTATTCCAGCATTCAAAAAATATTTATTATTTTCTTATGTTCTAGGCACTAGGTTGGTGGCTGGAGATGCGGTGAAATAGACATAGTCCCTCTCCTCAAAGCTTATGGTCTAGCATTCCTCCCTGGACAAGAGTAGGGAAAAGTTGGGAGAGGAGACAGAATCAGGTCAAGCTTTCCCTTCTTCTCTATAATATCCCTAGCAAGATATATCAATGTAGAAATCTTAAATAAAATTTATAAGAAAAACACAGAAAGAGTCTCCAAAGGCTAGCAAAATGCCCATCCTTTAAACAGAATAATTAGCAAAGAGAAATTGGAGCAGAGCTTCGTTTAGAAAACAGTTGGTTTTTGGTATGAATTTGTCACTTTTCTAATGTGAAAAATATAAGATGCCAACGCCAAAACTGAAAGTCAGGACTCAAGATACTTGTATCCATTTAGAAATTACTATAGCCCTGTTATTCAGTACTTCTGCCAATATCAACTTCTAATGCAAGGGAACTTGGAACAATGGAGAAAACAGTGGAAAAGTTGGAATTGGATAACCTGGATCAGAGTCCTTGCCCTGTTCCTACAGCTCTTTAGCCTTAAGGATGTGTCCTAACCTTTTCCAGTCCCAGTTGACTTGTCCATCTAATGGGGATGAAAAGAGAATATATCTCAAGACATTTTTGTAGATCAAATTGGCAAATCCATGTTATGTGTTTAGCATAGTGCCTGTCATCTAGCATACAGAATAATATATAGTAATAATATAATTATAGTGATATAATTATTATATTAGTGATTATAATTATTATAACTAATAATATAGCACAGTAATAATATATGAATATAATATATAATATTGCTAATATTGTAATTTTTGGTGAAATTTATTATAGTACCACCCAAAGTTAGGGACTGTCATGAGGAATAAATGATGTGTGCATATACTTTTGTGTAAATACCTATCACAGTGATTGGAACATAGCAGGGCTAAATGAATAGTTGTTGAATAAGCTAATGTATTGGGGAAGCTACAAAGGGTAGATTGTTATACAAATGCTTGTACTTCTTATTTTTAACAAAAATAGATTGAGCAATCAGAATCTCTCTATGAGCAAACAAAGGAGGTCAAAAGATGCTCAAAAATGTCCCTATTGATCAAGTATGTTATTAGAATATTTAGCAATCAATAGGGCATGGATGCTGCCCGACTGGAATAAATGCTGGCAGTAGCTCCTGATGAGGGTCCTAAGGGCCCCAACTCTGCCATGCATTATCCCTTTAGTTAGAAATTGTGGAAAGGTCTTGGAGGGGTCCTAAGAGTGTACCAGAGAAGAGGAAGTGGTAGTATGGGGTGAAGGTGTTTGCATAGGATAGCAGCCATGTTCCAACAAGTACAAAGCAATTTCACTATCTTAATATCTGGTTTAGCTGTGCTGGTGCTTCTGATCTAAAGTAGCTCTGCCCCACAAACAAAATCCTACATAACTAGAGTTGAAAAGAGAGACAATATATCCTGTATATACTATGTTCCTCAATTCACTTCCCATCCTAAACACAGGGACAAGGATTTGTTTGCTTGAAAGTAATGATCTGTCAACAAACTGGGTCAAAGAAAAGACCCTGGCAGCTTAGCCTGAGGAGAAGGGTGCTAGTATCACATCACGCATCTATAAAATGTGGGCCGCTTTTGGAAATACGTGGGTGAGTTGCCAATTGCATCAGCCTAGCTGTTGCAGTTCTTGATAATTATTAGTCATCTTTGTTCCAGCAAAATCCTCATCATTCTCAATAGATTAGAGGCTAAATTTCAAATCCACTTTAGTAAAAATCTTTACAATTGGACTGTTAGAAACCTTGCATTATTTGAACAAAAGTGACGTATTTGAAGATCAGTGGGAAAGTTGGAAAATAAACCAATTCCTGCTCACTAATTATTTTTTTAAATGCCATGAATGGAGGCTTGGTTTCACTGAATATGCCTTTAAAGATTTTTAAATGTTTTATATCCAGTCAAGTTGAGATTTTTAAGAACATTTTTAATATGTAATAAAATTTTATAATGACTTTTTTCAAAAAAGTTAACAAACTGCAAGCACTTGTTAATAAATGTCTTAATTTAAAAAACGAACATACAACTGTGTAACTAACTCTTTTCTGATCTCTATTGATATACTAAATATCACACAAAATTTGGTGGTCTCTATGGGGTTTGGTATTTGGAAATTACTGTTAGTGAGAAGAAATGGAGGAAGGATCTTATATGTTATGTTTCCTTCTGAGTGAATGAAATCTGTATGAGCTGATTAGCAAAATGGCTTCCATGATCCACCTACTGGATAGCTTATGTGAAGGCATTTAAAAAAATAAGGTATATTAGCAAGGGTTCTCCAGAGAAATAGAAGCAACAGAATTACATATTGCTATCTTTATATGTCTATGTCTGTGTCTATGTCTATGTCTATGTCTATGTTTATATCTATCTTTGTTGCTATCTATCTATCTATCTATCTATCTATCTATCTATCTGGGTTTATTTTAAGGAATTGGCTCATGTGGTTGTGGAGGGTTAGTGAGTCCAAAACCTGTTTGTGCAGGCCAGCAGACTGGAGACCCACAGGAGAGTTGCACTTCAAGTCCAAGGTCAGTCCACCTGCAGAATTCTTTTTTCTCAGGGGGAAGATCAGTTTTTGTTCTAATAAAGCCTTCAATTGATTGAATGGGGCCCACCCACATTATGGAGGGCAGTCTGCTTTGCCCAAAGTCAGCCAATTTAAATACAAATCTCATTCAAAAACCATATTCACAGAAACATCTAGAATAAAGTTTGATGAAATATCTGGGCATTGTGGCCCAGCCAAGTTGACACATAAAGTTAACCATCACATAAAGTAATGTGAAGAATTATTAACTTTTTGTTGTAATTTATCTTTTTCCAAGAGAAAACTGCCAAGATGGCAAAATGATTGCTTTTTGAGGAATGATTGTAGGTTGAGATGTTAAGCTGGAAAGGAGAAGACTTAGGGACATTTATATTAGGTTGGTGCAAAAATAATTGCAGTTTTCGCCATTGAAAGTAACGATGAAAACCACAATTACTTTTGACCAACCTAATAGTAATACAAAGTAACACCTCCATAGTCTCACTACCCAGAGATGTGTAGTGATATATATATATATACTTCTGCATTTTCAAAATGCTCAAATGCCTGCTTGTGAAAAAAAGAACAGTCCCAAGACTCTCAGAAGAGACAATTTTGCCTGGAGACTGACTGGTGCCATCAGAAACTGAAGGCTTCTGATCAACCTGGCACTGGGCAGTGTCAGTACGGCTCTTTGGTGGTGAACTTAGTTTCCAGTTCTTCACAGTGGCTGTTGCAAACTTTTCTCATTTCCCTCAAGCCCCAACCCCACCCTATCCACTTTTTCTTCCACGATGCAGAGACAAAAGGCTGCCAATTCTGCAGCGTCCCCCTCACAACACCTCTATTTTCAGCCCTTCTTTCCTGTCTCAATGACAGGATTCCTGGATTTTTCCTAAGGCCAGTTCCCCTGCTTGTCTCTTGGCCCTGTCCTTTCCACCTCCCCTGGAGCCTTATTCATTTGGTGAAGTGTGACTCCTTAGAAATAAATATGTGATGGTCTCTGCACTTACTATTTTTTGGCAGGTAGGCTTTATTTTCCCAGTGTCTGTTATGCTGGGCTTAAGACTGGTGGGATTTTATGTAAGGCAGATGACATATATATATGTGTATATATATATATGTGTGTGTTTGTATATATATATGTGTGTGTATATATATATGTATATATATATACACACACACACACAATACTCTTCATTGCTATGTTTGGACTAGTGCAGCAGTCAGGATGACAGAAAGAAAAGCAGATGTACAAAAATGCAGAAAAATAAAGTGTGAAGTGTTTGTAGGTGGAGAGATAGAATTCTTTGCTATTTGTATTGAATCCTTAATATATTCTAGTGCAGAAAGCATGAAGCATGGCTACCGGAAGCACACGTGTCACACATCAAAGGGAAGCTGCAGAAAACAGCAGCGTTGGTGCAATTACTCTTTCTTATATTTCCCCTCCCCACACTGCTGGGCCCACTAATTTGATTATCTTTATTGTGGGATAATTTGTATACTTCCCCCCCTTCTTTTAGATGCACAGTTCGATAAGTTTCAAAATATATATATATATATTCACTTATGTAATTGCCAGCCCAATCAAGACATAAGTTTGATTCCATCACCCTAAAAAGTTACCTCATGCCCCTTTGCATTCAAAGTCCCCCATCTCCAATCTCAAGAAACCATAGATCTGCTTGCTCTTAATCTCTTAATATAGACTAGTTGTGCTTGTTCGAATGCAGAAAGCCACAATAGGGTTTTCTTTTTTTTTTTTTTTTTTTTTTTTTTTGAGACAGAGTCTCTCTCTGTCATCCAGGCTGGAGAGTGCAATGGTGCGATCTCAGCTCACTGCCACCTCTGCCTTCCGAGTTCAAGCGATTCCCCTGCCTCAGCCTCCTGAGTAATTGGGATTACAGGCGCCTGCCACCACGTCATGATGATTTTTGTATTTTCAGTAGAGATGGGTTTTCGCTATGTTGCCAGGCTGGTCTCGAACTCCTGACCTCAAGTGATCCACCCGCCTCAGCCTCCCAGAGTGCTGGGATTACAGGTGTGAGCTGCTGCGCCCAGGCGCCATATTAGTTTTGACTGTTTATATGAATAGTATCAGATAGTATACACTCTTTTGTGTCCGGACTCTTCAACAAAGCATTTTTGAGATTCATTCATGTTGTTATCAGTAATTTGTTCCTTTTTATTTCTGAGTGGTAGTCTATTTATAAATATACCACAATCTGTTTATCCAATCAAACCACACATTTGGGTTGTTTCCAATGGTTGGCTGTTATGAACAAAGCTACTATGGAGATTCATGTGCATATACATATGCTTTGATTTCTTCTGGGTATATACTGAATAGTGAGATGGTAAATATACATTTAACTTTATAAGAAATTGTCAGATGGTTTTTCACCAGCAATGTTGCTTCTTACCTTCATTAATACTAGATATTGCCAGTCTATTAAATTTTATCCATTCTAAACTATAAGTGCAGTTATATTTTATTTTGGTTTAAATTTGCATTGGTCTAAAGACTAAAGATGTTGCCTATCTTTTCATGAGTTTATTAGCCAATAAAGCATCCAAGTCTTTTGTCCATTTTTTACTGGATGTTTGTTTGTCTTCTTGTTATTGAGTTGGAAGAATTCTTTATATATTCTGAATACAAGTGTTTTCTCATATATATGGATTGTGAACATTTTCTCACAATCTGTGGCTTGTCTTTGCATTTTCTTAATAGTGCCTTTTAGAAAGGACAAGTTTTGATAAGGTCAAATCTATCAATTTTTCTTTTATGGTGTGTCCTTTCTATTCTATCTAAGAAATCTTTGCCTGTCCCCAAAGTTGTGAGGATTTTCTTTTGTGCTTTTTAATGTAAATTGTTTTCCGCCTTGTAGAAGCTTTGTAGTTATGGCTTTTTCACTTAGGTCTTACCCATTTTAAATGAATTTTAATGTGTGGTGTGAATTAAAAATTGAGTTTTTTTTTTTGCGTATGGATAGTTCGTTTTTTGCATATGGATAGTTAGTTTTTCAACACCATTTACTAAAAAGACTACTGTATTTCCATTTGTTTATTTTGGCATTTTCAGCAAAAATTAATGGGCCGTATATGTTTGCATATTTCTAAACTCTTCATTGTCTTGTCTTCCACTGATGTGTATGTCTCTCTTTGTATCTCTGTCATACTGTCTTAGTTACTGCAGCTTTCAAATAAGTTTCGAAATGAGGTAGTTTAAGTTCTTAAACTTTATTCTTTTTTTGTTTCAGAATAGTTTTGGCAATTCTATGTCATTTGGATTTGCAAATTATTGAATTAACTTGTCAATCTTTACCAAAAATACTTGCTGGAAATTTGATTGGGTAGAATTGACATCTTAATAATATTGAGTCTTCCAATCTATGAAAGTGACTCTCTATCAACTTAGCTCTTCCTTAATTTATCTCAGTTTTCTGTAAAAAAGTTCAAATTTGAATATGGACAATTCTGCATACACACACGCGCACACACACACACACACACACACACACACAGAGTTCAGGCCAGGCAAAACATGTTCATGCCCTGAATTTGTAGAATGCTACCTATGGCCTTAAATATTTCAGTTGCATTGGTATGTTTTTTTCTGCGTCAAAAATTTTGGCATTCTTTTCTAGATCACTAATTGCCAAATAAAATCCTGACCTTGAGAAAGACTTAATTGTAACTAATTGTTGGTATCTTTTAAAACTTCTTTTGGCTTAGAGGTGAGTTTTCATTTCCTTTATCTAAATATTAATGAAGAAAAGATGTCAAAGAGAATCCTAACCCCTCTAGCCATTAGTTCCATAATTTTTACTTAAAATAGAATGTGTGAATGTGTGGAGAAAAAAAGTCCTCTAAAGGACTTTAGAGTTATGCTGAAAAAGGACTAGAACTCTTTCTATTATTTTAGAATCTTTGTGAGGCTGACATTTGCTATTAAAGTAGCTTGTTACAGTTTCGTTATTTATAACCTTATAATGTCATTATTTGTTATTACATGCTGCCACCTAGTGAAATTCATAGGCTTGACGATAAAGAAGCAGGAGAGCTGTGCCTGGGATCTCAGATTTGTGCTTTTTGTTTCTGAATTTTGATAAGTATCGGGATTTTCCCAAATTATGTAGCACTTTAGGGTGAAAACACTGGTATAGGTAAGATTTCCTAGGAAAAGCTCTCTATAATATCTATATGTTTAGTCTTTTTTCCTTAGGAGAAAGTTACTTTGTTAGATTTTTGGAGGACCAAGATAAAATTCAAAGGGATATTATGTATTAAACATGTTTTAGCCGTACTTACACCTGCTTTGTTTTGAAAATTGTCATTTTCCCCAGATATGTGAAAGTTTAGGAAAAAGGGGAATTTTCTGGAAAAAAAAAGTCATCATTAGTTTGATTTTTTTTAAAGAAAGTTGCTCCTGCTCTACCAGGCTGCAATCTAATAAATATTTCCTATTATTCATGGCTTTTCCTGCCATTCCCCATCACCAAGCCTTCTTGTGCCTAATTCTGAGGATTTGTCTAATTTCTCAGTGAAGCACTTAGGATTTGAAATTCATAATATGTTAAAAACAAGATCACTTACTACAATTAGATAGATTCATAGCATTTCCCTTAGCTAGCCATGACCTCAAACATTAAAAACATGTACCTCCCTTACTTTATAGAAGAAACATACACCCAGACAGGCCAAGTAGATTTACCCGGTCTCCGAGCTTCTTCATGGCAGAGCTGAGCTTAGGCTGAAGTGTCTTGATAGCCATCGAATGTGCTAGATGCTGGGATGTGCTCCTTGTCCTCGGTGAGAGAGCGGGATAAGACTTACCTGGTGTGGAGAGGAGCTGCAGTATGGTAGGAGGAGCAGGATTAGCTGCTCAGAACAGGGCACTTCTGCTTAGCAGCATCTGCAGATGTCAGCAGCCCATGAAGAAGGGCTCATCAGCAAAGTCTTGGCTCCCCTGTCCCTGCCCAGCACATGCAGGGCAAGGAGAGACAAGACAGAGCTTACAGGGCATGCTTCTGCTTTCTCTCGCTGAGGGCTGGCCTAAGCAAAGGGGTCCTGAGCTTGCAGGCTGGCAGCCCAAGCCATGCTCACTGCCTCCAGGAAATGAGTTTTCTATGCAAGCCCTCCTCCCCAAAAAGTTGTGATAGCAATATTAAAAGTAGCATTATTATTGGCCTGGCGTGGTGGCTCACACCTGTAATCCTTTGGGAGGCCAAGGCGGGCAGATCACCTGAGGTCAGAGTTCAAGATGAGCCTGGCCAACATGGCCAAACCCCATTTCTACTAAAAATACAAAAAAAAAAAAAAAATTAGCCAGGGGTGGGGGCACACACCTGTAATCCCAGTTACTTGGGAGGCTGAGGCAGGAGACTTGTTTGAACTTGAGAGGTAAAGGTGGCAATGAGCAGAGATGGCACCACTGCACTCCAGCTTGGGTGACAGAGCCAGACTCCATGTCAAAAACCAAAAAAGTAGCATTATTATTAATATTAATTATCAATATTAGCTTGATACTACCTTTTTCATAGCAGCAAAAGCAATGTTAGGGATAAGAGAGTGACTATATAACAATAAAATAAAAACAGGAAGTTAAAATAGTCTGACCCCACCTGCGGCTAAGAACATCGTCTTTCAAAAAGCTGAAGTAAATACCTAAAGAATTTCATGGGTATATTCTTACTAAATATGGGAGAATTTATCATATGTTCTCAAAATTTGATAAAACAATTTGTTTAAGGATTTAGAAAATTTGAGCAATACAATAAGATGAACATAATAGAGCCCTGATCCCATTAGTTAGAAAATACACATATTACTGAATGACACACAAAAAAATCTGAGCCACAAAAAAGTTATATTACCTAAAAATTAATATGCTGTAGGCCCTGTTGTTTGACTGAAATGCAATTTAAACTAGCAATTGATACTAAAAACAATCCCCATAGTTTTGGAATTTAAAAAATTCATAGCTATCAATTAATAATGTATATCAAGAAGAAATTATAATAAAAATTACAAAATATTAAGAAGAGAATAACAACGAAACACTACATATAAAAGATAATGGGATTTAGCTATTGCAATACTTTAGATTTATGGCTTTAATACATTTATTAGACAAAAGAAGATATAAAATTACAAAAGAAATTATTTAGTCTGAGAAGTTAGGAAAAGAATGGCAGAGTAACCTTAAAGCAAGAGAAAAAGGGAATAATGAAAATAAAAGCAGAAATTAATTAAATGGGAGGCAAAAAAATAGACCATCAGTGAACATTAAAACACTTCTTTGAAGAGGCTAACAAAACAGACAAACTTACAGCAATGATAATTGATATTAAGCATTTATTACTGGCAAATGATTATTAACATTAGGAATGAAAAAGGAATCACAACCAGAGACAGAAGATATTACAGATATTTCCAACTTTATGCCAAAAAGTTTGCAAATAGTTCAGTAAGCTTGTAGAAAAACGTAGAGAACCAGAAATGATTTAAGAAAATATGGAAAATCTGAAAAGTCCTGTTAACACTAGAGAAATTGAATTT
The DNA here is from genome assembly GCF_000001405.40 of Homo sapiens. Classification (NCBI taxonomy): domain Eukaryota; kingdom Metazoa; phylum Chordata; class Mammalia; order Primates; family Hominidae; genus Homo; species Homo sapiens. The sequence continues at coordinate 16,267,560 of NC_000004.12, forward strand.
GTCTTCAAAAACAGACACACACACACACACACACACACACACACACGCTGTCACTCACCTGGATCAGACAACTTTCAACACTAAGCCCATCAAATTGTGAAGAAAGATTCTTCACTAGCTTATGCAGACTGTTCCAGTGACTAGAGAAAGACAAAGTTCTTAAGTTCATTTTATAAGGCTGATCTCCCCTTGAAAACAAAACAAGGACAATATGAGAAATGAAAACAGATGAATCTTCCTTAAGAATATTTATTTGTAGAATTCAAAATAAAGCATTAATACATACAGTCAGCAATTTATATATGTGAACAAGATTTGGTAGTTGAGAAAGGAGAAATTATAAAAAATTGGGTGTTAATTTGAACTAGCTTAAGTTTAGCAACATTGCTGAAGAAATGGTCACTGAGACTGCCAAGATGGTGTTAGGAGCTCGGTGTCAAAATTGTGGCAGGAGACCTATACCAACCTGTTGTCACTGAAACCCACTGGGCTCTGCCTTGTAAGTGCTGCAGGTGTCTCCATGGAGCCTCATGCTGTGGGTCACTAATCCAGAAGGGCCTTGAGAATGGGCCTCCTCTATTGTTTTCCGCCCTCATTTCAGGGACTGTTTCCCTGCACAGGTAGGGAATGACCTCCCTGGAGCCTGTGTCTTCGCAGGAGAGTCCCAACTGTAGCCGTGTTTCTGAACAGCCCTGGCTTTTATTGTAACAGGGAAACAGCAAACGAACTAACATAACTAACTCCATTTTTATTTAAGGAGCATTTACCCATTCCTGCACCTAGGCTAGGATAATTTTAGAGCACTGAGATAATATGCAAAAACAGCAGTCACGGAGTTTCTGTAACTAACTCTGGAATTAGAGGGAAAGTAGGTAAACAATTAACTGTACTTTGTTAAAGATATACGGGTACACTGTGACCTGACTGACGACAAAGAAGTTCCCAACCTCCTCCAACCCTCACTGGTGCTCAGATGTCTGCAGTCATTTGTCACCTCTTGATCACAACTCCCTCTTCTTCCCCCTGCCCTTAACATGAAAAGAACCTGAAATTTGTACCAAGTTAAGATGATACTTTAGGATGTTAGTCCACCATCTTCTTGGTTTGCTGATTCTCCAAATAAACCTGCTTTTCCTCCCACCAACCCTTGTCTCTGGAGTTTAGGCTTCCCAGCGGTGAGCAGCAGAACCACTCATCTATTCCCAAGCCTCTTCTCACTCATTGAGCTGCACTTTGTGTCCATACTGGCTTCAGAGACAATCATCTGTCTCTGTCTCTGAGGCTGTAGGAACTGAAGCAGCTTTCATCTAAGAGCCTGACTGGTTTGGCTCAGAGGCCTCCTAAGGCAGCATCACTGGTGAGCCAGTATCCCTAAAAAGTAGTTACTACTGGAGGACTGTACCACTACTTGTGTTCACCATAGGACTTGGTCACTTGGACCATCTTTTGGGATCATAACAGGATCATCAATGCCTGCTTCTACTCAAACACTGTTTCTTTGATTCACACATACATTGAAATACACCTGTGCCTTGATGATATCTACCACCACTACCCCTCAACCAAGACATCTGTCAGCACTGGGGAGTCCTGAATAAAAAGCACAGCATCAGTTGGCACTGGGATGGGAGCCCATGGGCTTTTTGATTTCCTGCTCTTATTGGCAGTTGGGAGCTAAATTTTCTCACTCTCAATTATCTTCAAATCCTGAACAGTGCAGAGGGTTAAACCTTACTTAATAAGGCATTGGTTGGACCTTCAGCTACCCCATAGATTCAGTTTGCTGGGAACTGATTCAAGTTAACATGTGTCAGGGGCTATGATGAATGGACTGACTCTGGATACCTTTGGAGAGCTTAAGAAAGCACTACAGACAGGACTGGGGAGCAACCCACCCAAGCCTTGGCAAAGGACCAAGAGGCGGTGGTGGTAGTAGCAGCACTCACTGATCAAGACCTTTAGGAGAAGTGAGATGGGACATAGAGCCAAGAAAATTTTCTGGGACTGAGGTTTCCTTGGAAGCCATCTGATACCTTGTCAAGGCAGCTAAGGAGACTTAGAGTCTTTCCAGGCAAGCACTTGGAGTTGTTCCACAGGACTTGGTTTCCCCAAGCCAGTGAGGCTCACAGGGGCAAAGATTCATAGTTCCTCACCTCTGTGGTTACCTGCAGCACAAGGCTTGGGTGACCAGAAGGAAGAATGGTCACACACTGAGCCTACATATTCTAATCATTATTTTCAATGGGATTTTGTAACTAAATCCCTTTTTTGCTGGAACAAGGGCAATCAAACCTATGTATGGCAGATTCTAAATAAAATTCTAAAGGAGAAATTCTGACAAAAAAAACAACCCTTGAATAATGGCAACATCATGAGAATATTTGTAGCCCCAGGGTGACTACTTTGGATGCTATACAATTACCTGTATACGGATGTCAGGTAAGTTTATTGAATCATTATTTTAAAAATCTTATTTGCTTACTCACAGAGCCTATTTTTTCAGAAGTCTTAATAATCACATTTTACATGCTTACAAATGCTTGCTGGTGTCAGGCTCTGCTCTATGAATTCCACATGTACAGCTCATTCATTCTTGTAGCAGTCCCAGGAGGAATGGCTTCTTGCTTTCTCCATTTCACTTTTAAGCAATTTGCCCAAGGTTATACAACTATTCAGTGGAGGAAGTGAGGTTTAAACCCGCAAGGCCTGGCTCCGGAGCTTGGTTCTTAACCACTACCTCCACTGCATCTGATTATGTCATCTACTCACAGGATATTTTCCAATTTAAAATGACCGCAAGCAATCCTTAGAAACAGCCCCAATTTGCCAGATAATCATGACTGTCTTCCCTCCTATCAGGGGAAGCCATGTGGATCTGGCTTAAATTTCTTAGGAGAGGTGTATCAGTTAGGGTTCCTCTTTGGAAAGCCACAAAAATGAACTCTGGCCAAGATCTTATAAAAGGGGAATTTGTTAGAGGGATGTATGGATTAGGTAATAAGAGGGAAACTGGAGAATCAAGCTTAAAAATAGGATGGGAGGAGCCACGAACATAAACTATGTCTACTGTGGAAGTATAAGCAACAGGAACTTCACAAAATTCAGGGCACTGCTGCTGGAGCAAAAAAACCCCAATTCTTCTGAGCCTTGGGAGCCTTGGGAGCCTTGGAAGAATGAATATAAATGGCCAAGTTGGACCATGCACTTCCTAGGGACTGTACAGAATGGTGAGAGGAAGCTTCTTGGGGAAGGAGCCTCTGGGTATTTCAGAACAGAAGTAGAAAGTATTGGGACTTTAGTAGTGGGAGGGAAGAACTTCATGTTTTTCTACTGATATTGCACAGAATGGGGAAGAGGTAAGTATGAATGGGGAAGAGGAGGGAGTGAGCAGGAAACTGACTTGAAAACTATTACAATAGACCAAGTAGGTGGTCATGTAAGATTAAAACTTGGATAATAGAAGAAAGAATGAGAGGAAAAGTAGGATTTAAGAGGATGACTTAACAGCAGTTTTCTTTTTTCTTGTTCTCCCCTATTTTCGGAGTTCTCAACCATCATCTCCTGCCCCCAGGAGGCGACTCTGGGAATTAGAGGTTGTCTATTCCCATGTCTGAATTCTTGCCTAAAGGCCTTCAATTGCTGACCTCTTTTCTCAAATTTTCAATCTCATCTCAGTATCATTTTGCTTCCCAGTATTTTCGATACAAATCATTTTACTTATGATAGAAACCGAAGCAAGTATGGTTTGTCTTTGTAATGTAAACGTAATTTCGGAAGTAGACCATTCCTCTTGATCATAAGCAAAGTCAAACCTAATATTAGTTTGGATTTATATTACTGTTAATATTATTTACTCTCTGAAAACAGACTGCCCCCAATTAACATTGTGAATTGTCTGCCCTGTAATGACCAGATATTCCATTCTATTACATTATTGAAATCATTTGCATGGTAATTATGGTTTAGCTCTATCGGTAATTGGAATTGTTTGCCTTCTGGTAATGTTGTACAATGGTGGCTCATTAATCACATAGAAAACCTTGCCACGTGGCAGAATTAAGGAAGTATAATAATACACTCCCACTAAACTCGTGGTTCTAAACCAGCGTTTCAGTTTGTTCCATTACCTTTCCTGTGATGTAGGTTTTTGTTTGTTTGTTTGTTTAGTTTCTAAGCCACTCATGACAGAAAAACAATATAAACTGCAAATGTGAAAATGTGATTGTTCTAGGAAAATTTTATTTAAAAATTCCACAGCACGAATTACCCATCTCATCTTCCTCTTCTCTTCAATATTTCTCCTTCCTCCAATCTGATAAATGAAGCAAATATCATAGGCTGCCAAGGGAATTGAGATATTTTTGTGTGTGAGTGTGTGTGTGTGTGTGTGTGTGTGTATAATTTAAGTAAACCAAATGTATAGGAAAAATCTGAGTTTGCATTAAAAACAAAACAAAGCAAACAACTGGGGACTTAACCTTTACTTTACAAAAGGATTCTTTTAAAAACGGTCTTTAAATCCCAAAGTGCCCCTGGTGCGGTGAAATTACTATTTAATCTCTAAAATTTATATTTTTTTCAGGAAGTTTAATAGAATCAAATGATCCAAAAATCCATATACACACACACATGTGCATGCAATTAAAATATGGTCATCTTCTTGTCTGATGTGCTGGATCAGTGCCTGACATGTCAAATGCACTCAGAGATGATTTCTTCAATGGTGGTGATGGGGCATTCTGGCAGGTGATCGCCCCTCAGAGCCACATGTGTAAGTGAGGCAAGTGCCGTCTTTCCTTGGCGTCCTATACCTTCTTGGATGCACCCTCCCCTTTCCCATTTTTAGGGATTTTTAGGGATGCACCCTTCCCTATTTCCCAGCCAGAGCCCAGAGAGGGGAAACAAGGACAGGCTGTCTCTTTGGCTGCTGGTCTACTCGCACTTCCACTATATCCCCTTGGGACCAGAAGTGAGGATGGGTTTCTCATTCTTGTCTTTTCCTCTCTCCCAGGACTCCTTCTGGTATCCACAGTCTAGAGGAGGCAGGGACCGGGCATCTGACACCCCTACATAACATTCTCTTTTTTCTTAATTCAGCTCCATCATTAAGTTTTAATAATGGGAAGAGTGGATTACATGTGTTTCAGTTTTTTGATATATGAAATTTGGGCTGACTAAGTACTTAATCTGAAATGACATTGTTTTAAACTGGAAGAGTGTTGCAAATTTAGATTTTTTTCTACTATCCATTGGGTGTAGACAGGTATTAGGTGGAATAGTTATTTTTTTCTGCACATCTGAGTCCAGAGAACAAATTTGCATCTGTCACTACACAGGTCTAAGGGTTCATCTTGGGCATCTGCAGAAAGACTGGGTGAGTGTTTGAATGTGGGATCAGAGATGACTGTGAACTTGGGGCCCCTTCAATGAGCCCAGCCTTTGGGGGTACAGTTTTGGGCCATACTATAGCCTAGTTACTCAAACTAGGGATGCATAATGGAAAGAGAAAAGCTTTTGGAGTCAAATACCTTCAGTTTTCTTTTTTTCTTGTTAGATAGGGACAATTATTCCTATCATAATAATTAAATGAGATAATATATGTAGGGCACACGGTATGGCACCTGGGACATGGTAAGTTCTCAATACGCATCAGCTGCTATCTTTCATGTTATTAATGGGCCTCGGGGCTTTTTGCAACATTGTCCGCATCAGAGCCATAGTCGTGTCGTCCTTGAGTAACACAACTTTTGCAGGAAGCCAACAGAAGGCTTTAGAGAGTTGCCAATTTTGGAAAGATGCATTAGTCAGCTAGGTCTGCCATAACAATATACCCCAGACTGGGTGGCTTAGACAATAGAAGTTTACTTTCTCATCGTTCTGGAGGCTGGAAGTTCAAGATTAAGGTACCAGAAGGGTTGGTTTCTGGTAAGGCCTCTCTTCCTGGCTTGCCATCTTTTCACTGTGTCTTCGCATGGTCTTTCTTCTGTGTGTGCTCATGGAGAGAGAGAGAGCACTCTGGTGTTTCTTCCTCTTCTTATGAGGACACTGGCCCTATCAGATTAGGGCAACATCCTTATGACCTCATTTAACTTTAATTACCCTATCTCGAAATACAGTCACATTGGAGGATGGGGCTTCAACATATAAATTTTGGGCAAAGGGAACACAGTTCGGTCTGGAACATAAGGCCTAATTGGACTTCCAGGTATATTTGCTTCTTGTTCAAAGCAGTGTGAGCTTGGATTTACAGTTATTTGCAGCTTAAATCCTTCTAGTAACCATAATTGTATCTAAGTGATACAACTATCACATCAAAGAGCTTTTACCTGAGGATTCATGGAACTCCCTAAAATTGTATGCAAATTTTTGTATTCACGCCCATTTTCGGAGCTACCAGCAGATTATAAAGTGGACCCCAAAAGGGTAAAAGTCCAATTATTTAAAAGCACTATTTGGGCAAACAAATGGTCATAGTGGTTAAATTTAACCTTTGAGCATCCAAATTTTAACCACTGATGTTAACATTTTTAGAAGTACTTTGGAACCAGGTAAAAACTCCTTAAATAAAAGTCACAGAATATGGCCTTATTAGTGAACCATTATAGAGTTTCTTTGTCTTAATCTTCTTATATCTTAATCTTGTATCCCACCATCTATCACAGTGTTTGACATATACTCTAGTATATGATCAATGAATAAATGAATGAAAGAGTAAATATATCAATACTCAAGAGCCAAGATATTTTGTTTATTCCCTATCCCCAGTGCTGGGTTTTTTTTGTTTTGTTTTGTTTTGTTTTTCTGAGACAGAGTCTTACTCTGTTGCCCAGGCTGGAGTGCAGTGGCACAATCTTGGCTCACTGCAACCTCCGCTTCCCAGGCTCAAGTGATTCTCATGCCTCAGCTTCCTGAGTAGCAGAATTATAAGCATGTGCTAATAATTATAGCAGAATTATAATAGTAGCAGAATTATAAGCACCTGGCTGATTTTTGTATTTTTAGTAGAGACATGGTTTTGCCATGTTTCCCAGGCTGGTCTTGAACTCCTGGCCTCAAGTGATCTGCCTGCCATGGCCTCCCAAAGTGTTGGGATTACAGGCATGAGCCACCATGGCCGGCCAGAATAAAGACTTTAAATCAACAACCCACTGCTGTTTTTTGTTTGTTTGTTAGGGATTTCACAAAATAACAACATAACAATGACAATATAACTCCTTATACTTACCTGCTACTTTACAGTTTACAAAGCACTTCTGGATAAAGTGTTTCTGTTAGGAGAGGTGGTTCCTGCAAGAAAAATTGGCAACATGATACCAGAAGAAAGGGAATAAACCATTAAGACTAAGATGTCACTGTAACCTGCAAAGTAGAGAGGTGGCAAGATTCCTGGTCTTTAATGACATCCCTGAGCCATCAAACTTTGCCTGCCCGTGGACTTCTGTGATTATTCTCTTCTTATTCAAAGCAGTTTGAAGCTGGGTCCTCAGTTTGGAGCTGCCCCTAAAGTCACCCTAAGTGATGCAACTGTGTCATAACGGAGACTTTGCCTGGGGGGAACTTTTACCTGGGGTGAGTTACTAGAATAAGCAGGGAATGGATAATGGGCAGGTGGAAAGCTAGACTATCTTCAGCACATAGTTGAGAAAGAAGTAGAAATGACACTAAAATTAATATCTTCTGACTCCAACCTGGAGTTCTTTCCACTATCACAGGAGGAGACAAATTTTTACATGAAGTTTAAGACAGTAAATATTTTTGGTTTTGTAGGTCATGGGCTTCTGTCATGACTATTCAACTCTGCTGTTTAGTGGAAGCACCCATGGTGGTATGCCAATGAATGGTGTGCTCTAATCCCCACTTATCTTAATGGTACTGGTGAGGGACATGGTACTGCTGAGGGACAGTGGTGGTGCTGGTGAGGAACAATGACCTCAAAACAAAATCAATCTCAGTCCAAATCTGACCGAAGTAGGGGCACCTCTCCACCACCAATATGTCACAAAATGTTAGTAGTTACATAAAAAGACATCCTCCATACACCACCTTCTCCAACGAGTCTCTCTCCTCTCCACTTTCCACTAACCTTAGGAGAACTAGACTCAAAAGAGGAAAGGGATGGATGTTCGTGTGTCGGGAATTACACACCTCTCCTTCTCCTTTAAGGGGTCTGAGACTGATTAGGAAAGAGTCCCCAACTTCTATCCTAATTCTTTATGCCACCAAAACAGCCTGAGGTTGGCAGTGTTGAGGAGGGAACAGAGAGAAGATGAGATTTAAATCATATTTAAGTCTCAAGTTTTAAACTGGTCTGGACTTTTAATTGCAGGATATGTCTGGAAAGTTATAGCACCTGCCCAAGATGTCCCTCAAACATGTTGATATGGTTTGGCTCTGTGTCCGCACCCAAATCTCATGTCAAATTGTAATTCCTAATGTTGAGGGAGGGACCTGATGGAAAATGATTGGATCATAGGGGCAAATTTCCCCCATGCTGTACTCATGATAGTAAGTTCTCATGAAATCTGATTGTTCGAAAATGTGTGGCATTTCTCCCCCACCTTCTGCCACCACGTGAAGAAGGTGCTTACTTCTCCTTCACCTTCTGCCATGATTTTAAGTTTCCCGAGGCCTTCTAGTCATGCTTCCTGTTAAGCCTGCAGAACTGTGAGCCAATTAAACTTCTTTTCTTCATAAATTACCCAGTCTCAGGTAGTATCTTTATGGCAGTATGAAAACAAATTAATACAGAAAATTGGTACCAGGAGTGGGGCACTGCTATAAAGATGCTTGAAAAAGTAGAAGTGACTTTGGAACTGGGTAATGGGCAGAGGTTGGGACAGTTTGGAGAGCTCAAAAGAAGACAGGAATATGTGGGAAAGTTTGTAACTTCCTAGAGACTTGTGAAATGGTTTTGACCAAAATGCTGATAGTGATATGGACAATGAAGTTGAGGCTGAGGTGGCCTCAGATGAATATGAGGAACTTTTTGGGAACTGGAGTAAAAGTCACTCTTGTTATGTTTTAGCAAAGAGACTGGCAGCATTTTGCCTCTGCCCTAGAAATCTGTGGAAATTTGAACTTGAGAGAGATGATTTAGGGTATTTGTTGGATGAAATTTCTAAGGAGCAAAGCATTCAAGAGTTGACTTGGTTTTTCTGAACATGTATGCTCATATGCATGAACAAAGAGATTATCTGAACTGGAACTTACATTTAAAAGGGGAGCAGAGCATAAAAGTTTGGAAAATTTGCGGCCCAGCCATGTGGTATAAAAGAAAAACTCATTTTCTGGGGAGAAATTCAACCTGCTGCAGACATTTGCATAAGTAAAGAGTAGCCAAATGTTAATAACCAAGACAATGGGGAAAATGTCTCCAGGGCATTTCAGAGACCTTTCTGGCAGCCCCTGCCATCACAGGCCTGGAAGCCTAGGAGAAGAAAAATGGTTTCATGGGCCAAGCCCAGGGACCTGCTGCTTTGTGGAGCCTCTGGATATGACATCCTGTGTTCCAGCCATTCCAGCCCCAGCCATGGCTAAAAAGGGCCAAGGTACAGCTCAGGCCATTGGTTCAGATGGTGCAAGCCCCAAGCCTTGTTGACTTCCACATGCTGTGGGGCCTTCAGGTGCCCAAAAGGCAAGAAGTGAAGGTTGGGAACCTCCACCTAGATTTCAGAGGATGCATGGAAAAGCCTGGATGTCCTGGCAGAAGTCTGCTGCAGGGGAAGAGCCCTCATGAAGAACCTCTACTAGGGCAGTGCAGAGGGGAAATCTGGGGTTGCCTAGTGGAACTGTGAGAAGAGGGTCACTATCCTTCAGACCCCAGAGTGGTAGATCCACTGAAAGCTTGCAGCATACACTTGGAAATGCTGCAGGCACTCAATGCCAGTCCATGAAAGCAGCCACAGAGGCCGTACTCTGCAGAACAACAGGGATGGAGCTGCTTAAGATCTTGGGAGCCCATCCTTTGTGTCAGTGGAGCTTGGATATGAGACATACAGTCAAAGGAGATTATTTTTGACCTTTAAGGTTTAATGACTGCTCTGCTGGATTTCAGGCCTGCATAGGGCCTGTAGCCCTTTGTTTTGGCCAATTTCTCCCTTTTGGAATGGGAGCATTTACCCAATGCCTGTACTCCTATTGTACCTTGGAAGTAACTAACTTGGTTTTGATTTTACAGGCACATAGGCAGCAGGGACTTAGCTTGTTTCTGATGAGACTTTGGCCTTGGATTTTTGAGTTAATGCTGGAATGAGTTAAGACTTTGGGGGACTGTTGGGAAGGCATGATTGGTTTTGAAATGTGAGGACATGCAATTTGGGAGGGTCCAGGGGAGGAATGATATGGTTTGGCTCTGTGTCCCCACCCAAATCTCATGTTGAATAATAATTCCCAATGCTGGTGGGAGGTGATTGGATCATGGGGGCAAATTTCCCAAACTTCTCATGATAGTGAGTGATTTCTCCTGAGATCTGATGGTTTAAAAGCGTATGGCACTTCCCCACAGCCGCCATCATGTAAAGAAGGTACTGGCTTCCCCTTCACCTTCTGCCATGATTGTGAGTTTCTTGAGGCTTCCCATTCATGCTTCCCATTAAGCCTGTGCAACTGTGAGTCAATTAAACCTCTTGCTTCACAAATTATCCAGTCTCAGGTAGTTCTTTATAGCAGTGTGAAAACAGCATAATACAGATATCAAAGAGTCTATATGAAGGGAATAATTGTAGAAAAGTTAATGTTTCAGGTCTTCATGTTTACATCCCACTGAAACTATATTCCTGGTGTATATTGAGTTGTTGCAAAACCATGTATCATCTGTAGGTGGAGCTGTAACCTTTTTCAGAACCATAACATTTTGAGTTGGGAGGAACCTTGGAGAAGCTGAGGGTAAATTGGGGTGCCCTCTGAGTCACCTGAAGAGACTTAAAAATTTGGATTCCTGGGCACCAGAATCTTGGAGATTCCAATTCAGGAGGCCTCCAATGAGTCCCAGTGATAGGGATGACGGGGGATGGAATCCTTCCAGCTCACCTTGGGACCACTCTGCACAACATAGACACCAACTCTGCCTGATGAATTTGCAGAGGAGCATTTATCATTTTCCTGGAGAGACAGCACTTGTTACTTGTTTCTCCTCATGAGACCAACGATCTTTCTAAAAAATTTCGTTTGCCCAATTTTACGGTCCTATAAATGGGAGTTATCTCATCTCTTTTGATAAAACCACAATATTGGTGTTTTGGATTATAACAGAAGACCCCAGAGACTGGAGACTGCTTAGGAGTTTTCTTCTCCATTTAGCTCTTTTTAAATAAAACTTCAAATTGTTGATCTGCATGATCCCTGCCTTCTACTAGGAGATGGTGTGGGAAAGTAGAGAAGATATTTTTGTATCTGTATGTATAGGGCTTTCTGAGTGAAGAAATCTGAGGCTTAGGATAAAGAACAAGCCTGAAAGTGAGATGGTGATTTAAATCCAGGAGACCTTAACAGGGATTTAAAGAGTTAGCTACGTATTTACATTTCAAATGGGGGAATAAGGCCCTTGGTTGTAAACTCCAGTTTGTCTTACTTACCCTTGGGGATGTGACATTTATTTACATTCAGAAGGGAAAGAAACCGGAAACTTCCTCTTTCCTTCCCAAAGGGCCTACATGTACAGTAAGACCAGATTTCCCTCCCTCTCTCTGGAGTGGAGAGGGCAACTTGTATATAGGCTTGCAGATTCGTGTTTTCTGGGGTTCCTCTCCCGTGATACAAGAAACTCCTTTGGGTGGGCATGTGTGGCTCTCATTGTGCCACTCCTGAAGGGAAAAGAATTGAGGCATGAGGAATGGATGCAGTTATTGCTATAAATAAGTAATAATTATTGATTTGATCCAGAAACCTCACGTTTGCATTTGGGATAATACAAAGCAACATAGATATTAAAAGCTTATCAGCTGGGAGTCTGAAGAATATTATGGCTCCAGAGATGGTATAGATGGTATGGTTCCATTGATGGGGTCAAACAGCTGAGAGCTTGCCTAGACTTATGGCTGAGCCTCTTCATTGACAATGGCGTAGTGTCTAATGTAGAAGTGAGGTGGCAGGGCACGGACATCTTCTGATTTCTTTTTCTGTTTCAATCAGGAAAGAAAGAAAGGGCCCATGGTGATATCTGTTCACTATCTTCCTTTGCTTTTTTGGCATTTAATATTTTGGTATGTTTATTTGGCATATGTACAATACAGGGGTGTGCTGATAACTTTTACAGCCAGCTCCCTAGGAAAAAAGTCCTAATTTGTAGTGTTTGCCAATATCTATGGTGTAAACACTCCCACCATAGTTGATTTTAGGCTACCAACATGATGTCAACCAGTATGCAAAGTTTCTGAAAATTTAACAATAGGCTCTTTCAAGCTATGAGCCAACTGTGCCACACCATTGATATATGGCTAAAACAAACAAAACAAAATAGAACAAGTGTATCAAAAGGTCAAGCAATATAGGAGAATTTCAAATGACATATGTAGTGGTCTCCCACTCCATTAAGAGTTGGAGTTTAATTCCCCCACTTCTTGTCATTGAGAGTGGACTACATTTAATGACTCCTTCCAAAGAATAACACAGGGACAGGGAAAAACAGTACCTTTGCAGTGGAGAAACCTGGAAAACACTGTCTTAGTCAGGTAATAAAAGTTAAGGTAGTATAGTGGTATCATGCAAATATCATGTATCACCTAATCTGATGTGATGTAATTCACATCAGTAAGGTTTTTGTAAAAAGCCAATAACCCCAGGATAATTGCAAGAAAAACATCAGACAAACTCAAATTACAGGACATTCTACAGGACATCTGGCCAGTATGCCTCAAGACTCCCAAGGTCATGACCATCAAGGATAGACTGAGAAGTAAATTCATTTTTTGAAGTACATTCTTTAAATCAAAGGAACGCTTGTCTGCTTTTGCATATTATATGGCTTTGTTTTGGGTATTTTTAGAAAGTGTTCATTTTCTATCCATTTAGAAATGTAGACATTAGGATCAAATTTTATATTTGTAAATCTCATTTTACCACCAGATTTATAAAATTACTTCAGAATTACTGCAGATAGGTTATATCATCCGTCTGTGAGATAAATCGATACAAAAGAAAATATGTACAAAATTTCTTGGAGGTTTAGCCCCTTCAAGTTCTCAAACTAACAAAAGTACAATGCACAGTGATCTTCACTCTGTGACAAGCAAATGCTATTTGATGGAATGTTAAATGTGGTGAGAACGTGGACAGAATGTGGGCTCTAGCCCCTGATTTGACAGAGGAAAATGGAAGCTCAGTGGACCTGCTCAGTGTCAAGTCAAGCCCCCAGGCATTTCGACTCTCACCCCATGATTTCTTCCATCACCTTCAGCTGGTAAAAGTGCATTAGAGCATGAGAAATGTGAACTAAAAGAAAATCCGAACTCCCCCAACTGACTGAATACACCACCTCCCCTTGGCCAAGGGTACCCCAGAGAAACTAAAAACTGAGTTCCTGGCCATGATGGGACAGTAGATCAGATACCCCTCATTATAACCTCTTCCTTTTGGGTTTAGACACGACTGATCAGCATTGATGTTAAAATAGAGATCATAAGACTGACAGAATGGACTCTGTGGCAATATGATCCCAACCTGTAAACCTAAGACCATGCCAGGCAAGACCTATGCCCCTACACTTAAAAGACTAAAATATGTTCTTTTTTTAAAAAACTGCTTAACATTTTTTGTTTCTTGTTTTTATCTATTTACTTATTTTTATTTTTAGTAGAGATGGGGTTTTGCCATGTTGTCCAGGCTTATCTTGAGCTCCTGGGCTCAAGCAATCCCCCTGCCTCGGCCTCCAAAAGTGCTGGGATTATAGGCATGAGCCATCACAGCTGGCAACAAATAAACTATGTTCTAACTGCCACAGGTTTTTATTTTTCTCTAGCAGTGAAACAAGCACTGGCTTCAAGATAAGCAATATTAAAATAATTTGCTGCTCATCTACCACAAGATACTGACTGGTTCTCCTGTTCCAAAAGCCACAGGTATAGCTTTCACTGGACAAGAGACTGATTTCAATCACTTTCTCCTGATAAGAGGCCACTGATCATGAACTGGTTTTGGTCAGTTTACAGAGACTGCACACTGGAATGCTTTTGTGTCCTGTAAAGACCTATATAATACACTTAAAGGTTAAGTCTCTATCCCATAGTGAACATAGGTTGTATGTTTATTCAGTACACTTGAGTTAGGACCACCTTCATGAATATTCATAGCTCCTCCTGTAATCTGTTGAATAAGTATACTTGGACAACCTGTTCAGCTTAAATTCCTGTCTCACGCTTCCCTCTCTCCAAGTGCCTGATTCTAGGCTTGGACTGGAGGCTACACTCTGAGCCTGTCAGAATGGTCACTTTACAAGCTGTAATCCTCTATAAGAAATAAAGTGTCCTTTCCAAACTTATAGATCTCATTAGTCTTAAGTTGACAGGAAGAACCATAACAAAGTATTAAGCAAACAATGCTGAAAAGAAAAATTAATATATCTACAGCACTTTAACAAGCATCCTCTTGTTTTCAACAATAATCCATGTCTGGAAAACAATCATTTATCAATGTACTAACTTTTCTACAGCTGCTTACTCTTTCTTGAGCAAAAATCTTTAACTTTAAAATATATTTTAAAACTTTGCTTTTAGCTTTAATTGCCTATCCATTTGCCTCCATTGTAGGAATTATAAAAACACTCATTTTTTTCTTCCCTAAATGAGAAATACCTGATAAACTAAGGGTTTTCCTGTGTACTGGTGTGCTATAAAACAACTTCAGGCAAAGGATGATTCCAACTAGATATCAAATTCACATGGACTAAGTCTCCTGCCTGTGAAAGAATTTTTTGAAATGCCACAGAAGCAAGAGAGAAGGTGGTGGATCTGAGACTGTGAATAAAAACTGTAAAAAACTCCCAGAGACAAAACAACGGTTGGGTCACAATATAGAGGAAAAATGGCAGCTTAGAATAGAAGAAGGCAGGAACTGCAGACGGTGGAAGCTCTGTCGTTGTGTTTGTTTCTCTCTCTAATGTTTTCTGCCAATATAAATCAGAAAAACAGTATCATAAGCTTAGCCCTCGCTATAGACCACAGAGAAATGATACATGCAACTGGGGTGGGAAGAAAATAAAAGCTGAGGACAAACCTCTCCATTCCTCTCTACAGAGCAAGGATTAGTTATTTAGATTATAAAATTGCAGCACCCAGGGCAGAGGTCCAGGGAGGTACTTTGAAGGCTGTTATGGATTGAATTGTGTCTTTCAAACTATATATTTTTTATAAAGGCATCAAAATTTATATGTTGAAGTCTTAAGCCCCAGTACCTGAGAATGTGACCTTATTTGGAAATAGGGTCGTCATAGATATAATTAGTTAAGATGAAATTATACTGGAATAGGGTGGGCCTTTAATCCAATATGCTGTTGTCTTTATAAAAAGGAGAAATTTGGACACAGACATACACACAGGGAGAATGCCATGTAAATATGAAGGCAGAGACTAGGGCGATATGGCTAGAAGTCTAGAAATGTCAAAGATTGCCAGGTGATATGGTTTGGCTGTGTCCCCACCCAAATCTCATCTTAAATTCCCATGTGTTATTGGAGGGAACTTGTGGGAGGTAATTGAATCATGGGGGCAGGTCCCTCCTGTGCTGTTCTCATGATAGTGAATAACTCTCAAGAGACCTGATGATTTTTGAAAAGGGGAGTTTCCCTACACAAGCTCTCTTCTCTTTTCTGCCAACATGTGAGACATGCCTTTCACCTTCCACCATGATTGTGAGGCCTCCACAGCCACTTGGAACTGTAAGTCCAATAAACCTCTTTCTTTTGTAAATTGCCCAGTCTTGGGTGTGTCTTTATCCACAGTGTGAAAACGGACTAATACGCTAAAATGGTATGAGTAGAGTGGGGTGCTGCTGAAAAGATTCCCAAAAATGTGGAAGCGACTTTGGAACTGCATAACAGGCAGAAGTTGGAACAGTTTGGAGGGCTCAGAAGAAGACAGGAAAATGTGGGAAAGTTTGGAACTTCCTAGAGATGTGTTGAATGGCTTTGATCAAAATGCTGATAGTGATATGAACTATAAGGATCAAGCTGAGGTGATCTCAGATGGAGATGATTGATATGAACTATAAGGTCCAAGCTGAGGTGATCTCAGATGGAGATATTGTTGGAAACTGGAGCAAACAACTTTGTTACAAAGAGCAAAACTCTTGTTATCTTTTAGCAAAGAAACTATTGGCATTTTGCCCCTGCCCTAGAGATTTGTGGTACTTTAAACTTGAGAGAGATGATTTAGGGTATCTTGCAGAAGAAATTTCTAAGCAGCAAAGCATTCAAAAGGAGTCTTGGGTGCTGTTAAAGGTATTCAGTATTATAAGGGAAGCAGAGCATAAAAGTTTGGAAAATTTGCAGCCTGACAACGTGATAGAGAAGAAAATCCCATTTCAAGAGAAATTCAAGCCTGCTACAAAATTTTGCATAAGTAACAAGAAGCCAAATGTTAATCCCAAAGACATTAGGGAAAATGTCTCCAGGACATGTCAGAGGTCTTCATGGCAGCCCCTCCCATCACAGGCCCGGAGGCCTAGGAGGAAAAAATGGTTTCGTGGGCTAGGCCCAGGGTCTTCGTGCTGTTTGCAGCCTAAGAACTTAGTGTCTTGCATCCCACCCACTCTAGCCATGACTAAAAGGGGGCAAGGTACAGCTCAGGCCATGGCTTCAGAGGGTGCAAGTCCCAAGATTTGTCAGATTCCATGTGGTGTGGGTACACAGAAGTGGAGAATTGAGGTTTGGGAACCTCTGCCTAGATTTCAGAGGATGTATGAAAACACCTGGATACACCAACAGCTTGCACTGTGCACCTGGAAAAGCCACAGACACTCAATGCCAGCCCGTGAAAGCAGTGAAGAGGGAGGCTGTACCCTGCAAAGCCACAGGGGTGGAACTGCCTGAGACCATGGGAACCCATCTTTTACATCAGCATGACCTGGATATCAGACATGGAGTCAAAGGAGACCATGTGGAGCTTTAAGATTTGACTGCTCTGCTGAATTTCTGACTTGCATGGGGTCTGTATCCCCTTTGTTTTGGCCAATTTCTCCCGTTTGGAACAGCTGTATTTACCCAATGCCTGTACCCCCATTGTATCTAGGAAGTAACTAACTTGATTTTGGTTTTACAGGCTCATAGGAGGAAGGGACTTGCCTTGTCTTGGATGAGATTTTGGACTACGGACTTTTGAGTTAATGCTGAAATGAGTTAAGACTTTGGAGGACTGTTGGGGAGGCATGATTGGTTTTGAAATGTGAGGACATGAAAAGGCCAGGGGAAGAATGATATGGTTTGGCTCTGTGTCCCCACACAAATCTCATCTTAAATTCCCATGTCTTATGGGAGGGACCCTGTGGGACGTAATTTAATCATGGGAGCAGGTCTTTCCTATGCTGTCTTGTGGTAGTGAATATGTCTTTTGGTAGTGAATAAGTCTCATGAGATTTGATGGTTTATAAAATAGGAGTTTTCCTGCACAAGCTCTTCTTCTCTTATCTGCTGCCATGTGAGACATGCTTTTCACCTTCTGCCATGATTGTGAGGCCTCCCCAGTCACTGTAAGTTCTTTCTTTTGTAAATTGCCTAGTCGTGGGTATGTCTTTATCAGCAGTGTGAAAATGAACTAATACACCAGCAAACCACCAGAAGCTAGGGGAGAACTGGAACCAGTTCTTCCTCACATCCCTCAGAATGAAACAAGTCTTCTGACACCTTGATCTCGGACTTCTTGCCTCCAGAACTATGGGACAATATACTGTTTAAACCATTCTGTTGGTGGTACCTTGTTAAAGCAGTGCTAGCAAAGGTCAATGTTGCTGGTAGAAGTGGCAAGTGGACAATACCAAGATAAATAAGTAATCCTAGAGGCCCAATGTCCTGAGGCAGGATCCATTCTCCTCAGACTTACAGGAGGGAAACCAGGAGCTGAACTTTTGCCTCTCCTGGTAGAGATGATATGGTGAAGCCATTCATATTTACTAGATGCAGTAGAATGAATGGAGCATATTAAAAATATCTAAATAGATATAGTAAATATCTCAAAGGAGTAGTCAAGGGAATTTGTAATAAAGGCCAGAACAAGCACTTGCAAAGAATAACCAACTTGAAAATTAGGATGTGAGAAGTCTATAATGGAAACAGTGGACTCTTATCAAACCAAAAAAAAAAAAAAAAAGGAGAAGGAATGAAGATAATTAGGGTCTTTGTACTGTTTGGAGAAACGTAGAGTTAATGCTAAGTTTTAGAGACCCATATAGAAAAATAAACACAAGTATAGGTCTTAATAGTTAAGGGTAAACACTTTGAAAGTAGAATGAATGACTTTCATGCAGAAGACAACTTGATAACAGATATATAAGCAAAAAAATCCTAACTGATGACATTTTCTTTTAGCACATGAGAAATATTAATGAAAATTAACTAGGTATCCAAATAAATGGTCTAAATAAGAATAATTGTATGATTAGTAGATTAAAATATCTGATAAAATTCAAAATATATTTATGTTAAAACCTCTTAGCAAATTCAGACTAGCAGGGAATTTCTTAAACTTGATAAAATATCCATACCTAAACCTTACTGTAGGATGATCTTTAATGGTAAAATCTTTGATCATTCTCATTAGATCAGGAAAATAGAATGCAACCTTTTATTACTGCTACTGTGAATGTGGTTTTGGCTTTGGAGGTCTTGGGTGCTACTGTCAGCCAAGAGAAATAAAATTTAAAGACTGGAAAGGATGAGAAGAGTAACATAATTGAAGATGATATGATAATCTACACAAAACTCAAACCGTCATGAACTAGAATTAATAAGACATATCAGTAATATTTGCAGAGACTGTATCAAATGATAATAGTGTTTCTCTATACCAGCAACATCAAACTAGAACATATAATGGAAAATAACATAACATTTACAACAGCAATAAATCTCTAGCATATTTAAGAATTTACTTAACAAAATATAAGAGCTTTACAGATCATAATTTAAAGCTTTATTAAAGGAAATAGACAAAGACTTGAATATATGAAAATGCCATTATGTTAATGGGTGGAATGACCTAAAATTGTAATAGAGTCAGTTCTTTAAAAATTAATTTGGCTGGGCACGGTGGCTCATGCCTGTAATCCCAGCACTTTGGGAGTCCGAGGTGGGTGGATCACGAGGTCAGGAATTCAAGACCAGCCTGGCCAACATAGTGAAACCCCGTCTCTAATAAAAATGCAAAAAAATTAGCCAGGCGTGGTGGCAGGCACCTGTAATTTCAGCTACTCAGGAGGCTGAGGCAGGAGAATCGCTTGAACCTGGGAGGTGGAGGCTGCAGTGAGCCGAAATCGCGCCAGTGCACTGCAGCCTGGGCGACGGTGCGAGACTCCGTCTCAAAAACAAAACAAAACAAAAACAAAAACCAATAATTTAGAAATTAATGCAGTTTATAAACATCAGCATTTTAAAAATAAACTTAAGACTTATCTCAAATTTGTGGTTAATACTAAAAGTCCATGAATAGCTAAGTTAATTTTTAAAAAGAAGAGAAAATGAAAGAGAATTTCTTAGCAGATATGAAGATATACTACAAAACCATGGAAACAAAAACAGTACTATCACAGGAACATTCAACTATCACAATGAAATGGAACAGGAAATTCAGAAGCAGATCCATATATATCTAGGAATTGATATATGATAGAGGTGGCAAGACAAGTCGGTGGCTCAAGGACAGATTGTTAAGAAGTTGATATTGGGAAATAGACTCATATTAAGGAGAAAAATAAAGTGAGATCTTCATCTTATTCCATAAGCAAGGAGAGGATCTTTCATTTATTTCTTTTATTTTTCAGACAGGGTTTCATTCTGTCACCCAGACTGGAGTGCAGTGGCACGATCACGGCTCACTGTAGTCTCCACCTTCAGGTTCAAGCGACCCTCTCACCTCAGCTTCCTGAGTAGCTGGGACCAAGGCATACGCCACCATGTCTGGCTAATTTTTGTATTTTTTAGTAGAGATGATGTCTCACTCTGTTTTCCAGGCTGGTCAAGGGAGGAACTTTTAGATAATTAGAGACTTCAATGTGAAACATACAGCTACAATCTAATGAAAAAAATAGGAGAATTTTTGAATGGGATTAATACCTAGAATATACAAAGTACTCCTGCAAACCAACAAGAAAAAGGTAAGAAAGCCAACTCTGTCATCAAAGGACATAAGTAGGGGAGTCATAGAATGGGAAATTTAAATAGCTTAGGAGAAAAGTTCAACATCTCTCATAACCATAGAAATTCCCAAGTTAAATGGCAACATGACCCCACAGTACATCTATCAGATTAATGAAAATCATATTGTTGGAGGATATTTAGTTCAACAAGGATGGCAGGGTTGGAGAGGGAGAAACAATAAGCTTCACCTCTCAGCCTGTGGGAGCTGTGGGAAATGTGATCTAGCCCGTTGTTAACTGGATCAACACTCTGGGGAGTGGGCTGGCAAGCAATATGGCAGAAACCGGGAAGATAATATTTTTTAAGTTGTAAACTAAACAGGTTTTAATTAAAAATATAAACTTACAAAAATAGTGTTTTTTTGCACAAAATATCATGCTGGAGGACATAAAATAATTTATATCAATAGTCATGCGCACCTCAATGAGCAGCAGAAGTCCATATTTATTCTCCAGGCTATGTGGTTTGGAGGAACAAGGGTATCCTTTGGGTCAGACCCTCTACCTCCAACTTCAGTGCTCTTTCTACTGCACCACAGACAACTTGCTGTTGCTGTGAAAACCACTAGTGCCAGGAGACCGAAACCAGCTGCAGATTGCTCTTGCTAATGGTCAGCCCAGACTGAAAAGCCAGCCACACAGGCCTAAATAAAATAATACTTAAAAAAATTACTTGGGTTGCCATCCCAATGCTGATTGAAAGGTTTCAAAGATTGGATCTATTAGAGCAAACTGCTGATTCATCTTGTTTCTCTGCTGTTAACTGAGTTTCTAACATTTAGGGACATCCTAATCACTCCTACAGAAATAAAGGACAAACTCCTTGATTTCAAAATCATGGGAATACATTTTTTGGAGAGAGTGACCTCAGCTTCTTTTCCTTTTCTGAGGGTCCTATTATTCAAGAAACATGTTTTGATCCCCAGCTGTGTGCCAGGAAACATGCAAAGTGCATTACATACCTTGACTCATTGAATCCTCCCACAGACCCCACATATAGGAACCATCGGATCCCTGTGTACAGATGAAGAACTGAGTCTTGGAAAGCTTAACTACCTTGCTCACAGTCACACGTTAAGGTCTAAAGTGAGAAATTAAACCAAGTCTTCCAATCTCAAAGACTTTAAAGGAAAAGCTACAAGCTACAAGGTAAGCCCCTCTCTTGTTATGATAGAAGCTGCAAAATGAAACCAGACATGTTTTCTTTCCTTAAGAACCTATCTACTCAGGCAATTATAAACAGTAGAAAGTCTGAAATATTTAATGTGAAAACTTAAAAAAATAGTCTAAGAGATCACAAAGGGAAAGTTTAATTCTCTCTGATTAGAGATTGACTTCCCAGAGATGGTAGTATATGAACCGGGGCTTGGAGAGTGAACAGAATTTGAACGTGCCCAGAAGTGTTTCTTGAGAGGAGATCAACATGGCTACAGCGTTAGCCATAGGGAAGGGCAGGATGTTTACATCAGAAATAGTGAGGGCGGTTGGAAACAAAGGACTGGATATAGAAAAGAACCTGGCATCTGAGATACCTCTTCATAGGTGTGATAGTTACAAGTCTAGGATTCCATAACATCACTGAAGGAAGTACTGTCAAGCAAAGGTTCTAAACATGGAACCAGGAACTTTGTGAACCCCCCTGAAATTGTTGGCTGAAATGTGTGAGCATGTATGTGAGTGTAGGTGTGTGCAAGTGTGTAAGAGTGTGTGTTCTGTTTCTATCAGAGTGTGTGTGCCAGGAGGGGCACAGTCATCTGAGTGTCTTTTTCTGGAAAGAATGTCCGTGGACCATGGGTGACCATTGGTTTTCTATGGGTTACAAAACCTGTGACAAGGTGCATAACCACTACATCTAGAAAGAGAAGGCAAAGAACATACCTTAGGAGTTACATAGATAAAGTAGATTTGGTGAAGGCTGGAAGAAAATGGCCAGAGAGAACCATGAACATCTACTATTACAGAGGGCAAAGAGAGAAGTTATTTAAAGCATGGAATGACAGGCCAACTGTGCCTAAGGAGGATGAGATATCAATAAACAGATGAGTTCCACCAGGTGTGTTCATCTATGTTCTCTTGGGTTACCTGGAAATCATTTGCAGACTTTAATGGATGCTTTACATGATTAGGAACAGTCAAACAAATGCAATCACAACTGAAAACAAAGCCCTATTTAAAAATGATCCACAAGATGGCACTGTGGGCCAATAAGAATATTCATCTGGTTTTCACAGTGAAATGTTTCTCGTTCATTCGTTTTTCTCTATCTTTTGCTAATATACTGCAGCCTGATCCCATACCTTATTTGTCTATTAAAAACCCTGGCATTTGAAAATAATATTCCTAATTTTTATGATTCCTGCTTACTCTTTATATAATCCTCAGTAGAGTTTGGAAAACCTTCATTTAAATTCTGGTTTCAATACAGGAAGTTGGATCTTATTTCTAATATACTGAAAACCCTTAGAAGGCTGTGTGTAGTCAATGCCGGAATTTATTGGTCCTTGGGGAGCTTCGAGATTGGGAAAGACAGGAGGGAAATAAAGGGAAAAGAGAGAGAAGGACTCTAAGTTTGATCAGAAAAGCAGAGAACACAAGTTTCAGCCATGATTAGCCTGGCAAGAACATAAAGCACCCAGGAAATCCACATAGGTGTAGTGTTGCTTCCAAGAAAAAGAATCTCATTCTGGGGAGTGTGTTAGCTAGGGCTTTCACTTTGAAACATGCATTATTTATTTGTTATTATTATTATTATGCAGAAAGAACAACAAATGGCTTAAATTAGGCACCAAGACACAGGAGTTAAAATGTGTCCTTTTGTCAAAGAGAATCATAATGCAATCTTACCCGTATATGGCATGTAACTATATAGTTTACAAAGAGCTTTTATACGTTCATCATCTTGCTTGATTCTCAAAACCACCCTGTGCGTGGGAAAGGTCACCAACCCCACTTCACATATCAGGACACTGAGACCTTGGATATGTTCAGAGACTTGCTCAAGGACACACAAGCAGGACAAGCTGGCAGAGGAATCTAAGTCTTCAATTTTCTTCTCTGCAAAATGGGGTTAATGGCGCTTACTGTCGCAGAAGTGTGTTAAACATAACCACATAGTAAAAGTCTAGACAGAGAATCAGTAAATGTTAGCTGGTTTCATTATTCATAAAAAGAACATTACAATGTCTATTTCCAATGATATATATTTTAAAGATATTTAGTTGCAACAATAGAAACCACTTATCTTGCTAACTTAACTTGCCAACAATCTGCTAAATTACCTTCCGTATTTCCTCCACGTGCCCATTGTTCATGGGCAATAAAAAAGGAATTTATTGGAAGGACACAGAAGAGCTTCAGAATCACAGGAAGAGCAGAATAATGTGGCTTTGGAAAATACAGGACACAGGAGAGAGGCTGGCTAACCTCAGGGTACATGTATACGCCATAGTGAGGGGAGGCAAGGATCCCTGGCTGATAGTCAGCCAGGGGGACAAGTTCCCTGAAAGGGAAATTGGGATGCTATTTTAGAAGAGAAGAAGAAATAAGTGCCTGGTAGGAAAAAAAAAAAAAAAAACATGAAATGCCACTGCACAAAGTATTTCTAGAATGAAGGAGACCTTAACGTCACTTTACGTAAAGCTAATGATAATGACCGATGTTTATTTAGCACTTATGTGTCAGGCACTGTTACATTTATTCACTCATTTAGTCCTCGTGATAACCCTATGAAGCAAGCAGTATTATTAGTCTCATTTTACATGGGAGAAAACGAAGGCACATTTGACCAGAGTAGCAGAGCTGAGTTAAAAACCCATCTAGAGCTCATAACAAAAGACAACAACAGTGTTTAGAAGATTGTTGTAAAAATCAAAAGAGTTAATCTTAGATAGAAATATGAAATTGCTGGTGTTTATCCATTTTTGGCCTAGAAAAACAGCCGCTGCATATGACTCTACCTAATACCTTTACAGCAATCAGAACAGTGCTAGAACTTAGTGCCTGATGATGTTTCTCATTGTTACTAGATTATCCTGCCTGTCTATAGGCAATGGGCTTTAAAAACTATTAAAGTGTGCAGGTCCATTGTCATTTAAACTGGACTGGGTTGGGGTAAAGCCCAGGAAGGTGTCTTTTGTCTAGTGCCACATTGCAGTTTTCTAAGGAGCTAAGGAGCAAGTTAGGCATTGTATTAGGTTTTATTATTATTATTATTATTTGTGATTTCTATGTGTCTATGCATCTCCTTCGGATCTTTCTTCTCATACATCAGCTTACAGCTTATTCTTTGGGACTGGGAGCACAGCGAGAGGTCATTGTTTCATGGCAATGCAACAAGAAGTGGAGAAGCCCTGCCTTACCATTCAAAGCTGGATCCCCTCTCCCTCCTCCGTTCACCCCATGCCCCATGCTTCTTGCCCTGATGTGTCTCTGAAAGCATCCTGAAGAAATCAATTGCATGACCAGAGCTGGAAGTGTCTCTGGGAGCTGTTTAGTTCAACCTATTTATCAAAGCTGTTTATCAATGAGGAAGTGGGCTCAGCTAGTCAAACAGCTGCAAAAAAGGTCGGGGGGCTGGTTTACATCTAGGAGGAATTGTGGAGGACCAGTACCAGCCCGGAGTCCTCTGAACCCCAGATTAGGTGGAAAAATCAGTGACTACACCGTTCACTGCAGGTCCAAGCACACAGCTCCACACGCCACCCTGAAGGAGAAAAATAAGTGCTGCAGGCACATTTCCATTCTTTTCTTTCAAACACAATCCTCTCTCCAATCTGCCTGAAGAAGAAAGGCCATGCACGAGCCACAGGTTACTTATTTTCTGGAAGGATAAATGTGGGCCTGTTTCCAGTAAAAGTGACTTCCAAGAAGCATGAGCCTTCTTGAATACTGACCCACTTCCGGATGTGATCCTGGCTGCGGCAGTTTCCAGAATATCATCAGGGTAACTTTCCCGCTGTGCGGTCTATGTTGGAACTTACATCGTCTTTAAAAGGCACAAATAGCTGAATAACATAATGTAACCTGAT
Organism: Homo sapiens; assembly: GCF_000001405.40. Lineage (NCBI taxonomy): Eukaryota > Metazoa > Chordata > Mammalia > Primates > Hominidae > Homo > Homo sapiens. The sequence goes on from NC_000004.12 coordinate 16,292,924, forward strand.
GTTCTGACAACCCCACTTATACTCAGGCTAAATTTAAAGGTCACCATTGCAGGGAAATAGTGGCATGAGAATAAAAGTGCCTTAAACATGGATTTCACTGATGTTTCCTCATTTCAAAATTCTTACGCTGTAAAATAGAGGCAAAATGGCCTGTGAGCTTGAAAATATATGAAGTGAAGAATCCATTTCTTGGGAACAAGGTGGTTTTAGGAAAAATTGTAAAATAGGTAGACACAAGTGTACAGTAGCCAAAGTTTATCTTAGATGTTCTCTGTAAAATCGTGCTTATTCATTCTTTTCCTTTGTATTTACCAAATGCCTACTATGTGTCAGGAATTGTGCTAAGCCCTGTGATCAAATGGCATGGGAGACAAACAATCCCTGCTTTCACAGAGCTCACAGTTTAGCAGGGAAGAAAGACATGGAAATAAATAATTATAACAAAGTGAGATGAAGGTGGCGAAAGAGGAAATGCATTTGGGAGCACACAGCAGGGGGGCCTGTAATAGTCTAAAGGTGTGGACAGCACTTTCTCCTGATGAGGTAATGCTTTACTGAAAGCTAACACATCAGTAGAAGAAAAGCATTTAAGGAAAGGGGAAAGTGTAATACAGATCAATGGGACAGCAGAGCTAGAAGCTAGGAGAGGCAGAAGAGCAGGCCACAGCTGGGACTAAAGATAACCTGGAGCAGAACTGGCAGACTACTGCCCACTGGCCACATCCTGCCTGCTGCCTATTTTTGTAAATAAAGTTTTATTGGAATACAGCCACATACATTTGTGTACTTATGGTTTATGGCAGCTGCTGCCATACAATGGCTGAGTTGATTAGCGTGTGGCAAGTATCATAGTAGGCCCTTGATAAATAGTTGTCTGTATTCTCCCCATTTTACAGGTAAGAACATTGAAGGGAAATGGCTTAAGGAAGAACAGAAAGTTCCTATCTTCTTAGGAAAGGGCTCATTGTTCTTTGGCCTTGAAACAATTGCCAGACATGGTTTTAAACTTTTCCTAATTGGTCATTAGCTATTTTGCATCAGCACAAACACTGCTGAAAGTCATCCAATCAGCAAGACTGTCACTCAGGCATACAGCTAAATATTACCCAATCTGTAAGTACCCCTACTTCTGAGAAATTCCATGAATCCCTGAACTCCATACATCCCAAATAAATATATATAGCCAGCTCTCAGCTGTGCTCAGAGAGACTGGGCTTTACAAGTTGTTTTTCTCACTGGTTATTATGGCCTCTTTTTTGGAATACCCAAAATGAGTGAAGGAACTGAACTGGGATTCAATTCCGGACTATCTTCTTTCAAATCCCATACTCTCTTGTCTACTCTTCTTCTCTTAGAGTTTTGAATGCATGCTGCTGGTGTTAGTGGAGACGATGGTAGCTGGGTAGCTGGTACACAATATTGGCATTAAATAACATCACATAGGAAGGAAGTCATTTCCTTCTCTACCTTCAATTCTGTTTTAATCCTTCTTCATATACCCAAGATAAACTCTCAGTTGAGAGATAGTACACATAGCAGTTAACAAAACAGGCTCTGGAGCCAGATTTTCTACTGCTATTTTAGTTATCTATTGTTGGATATGAAACTAGCCCCAAACTTAGAGATGGAAGACACCAATAAAAATTTATTATCTTGCACATATCATGTGGGTCAGGAATGAAGAAGTGTCTAAGCTTGGTGGTTCTGACTCAGCATCTCTCATGAGATCATAGTCATGATGTTAGCCAGAGCTGGAGTCATCTGAAGACTTGAGTGAGCAGGAGGATTCTCTTCCAAGAATGCCCCCTCCCATGGCTTGCAAGTTGGTGCTGGCTGCTGACAGAGGCCTCAGTTTCTTGCCTTTCCATAGTGCTGCATGAATGTTGTCATGACGTGGAAGCTGGCTTCCTTGAAGTAGCTGATGCCAGAGAGCAAGGCAAAAGGAACAATATCTGTTATGATCTATCCTTGAAAATCACACAATATCACTTGTGTGTGCTTTGGTCACAAATACACTATGGGAGCTGACTACACAAGGGAGTAAATACCAAGAGGCAAAGACCACTGGGGGTCAGTCACCTGGGAGGCTGCCACTACCACTTACTAGCTCTGTAATGTTGGGAAAATTATTAAACTTCACTGTGCGTCAGTCTCTCTACCTATAAAGTGAGAATAATAATATAACCTACCTCATATGCAAGGTTTTTTTTTGAGAATTAAATGAGGTAATATCAGTAGGGCCTATGAAAGAGTGCTTAGAACTGAGTGCATACTAAGAAATGTCCACCGTTAGTACTTTGATAACTGTCTAATCCTGTAATCCAGTGTTACTCAAAGAGACAGTACTTCTTGAGATCAGGAGTCTGACACAGCAATGTAAATCAATGCCTTGCTTTCTTCATTGAAGAAGTCATAAATTTGTTTTTAATGTCAGTTGTAATATTGTATATAGTGATTTAGTTAATTTACATTTGGAGCAAGCTTATTAAGTGTTTGTAAACTAAAAAAGCAGTTTGTAGGCCAATAATCTGTCCATAAACCACACTTTGAGTACTGCTTTCAACACTTGCTAATCTTTTGTTAACATAAGAGTATAAGGAATAGTCCTTAATGGCATCATTTTCTTTTCTTTTCTTATCTTCTAAATTTCTCAAAATATAGAGGGAGGTGGGTAAGAACAGATAATTTTATGCAACTGATAATGTGCTATCAAAATGCAGAAGGATGGGAAGAATGAGCTAAGAGGAATAGATATTTACAGGCAAAGAAGTTTTGGAAAGTCATGGAAGGGAAGAATTCATCTTTGTAATGGCAAATGGCTGTTTTTATCCATTTATAGACATGTTATAAATTTTTTCTTTTAAATAATCTTATATCTTAGCCTGGGTTCTCCAAAAGCAAAGCCCAAGACGAAGGTTCTCATATGGGCTAATCCTCTGGAAAATGATTTCAGGGAGCAGAAATTTGGGAGTAGATCAGGAAGCAGATACAAGAATGAGTTGTTGAACTGGCCTCTGCTGCGAGGGTGGGAGTTCGGTCTCACCAGGATGTTCTGAGGGCCTTTTGAAATCCTTATGTCCCTGGGAGATGAAAGAGAAAAACATTTATCCATCGGCTTCTTTCCTTCCATTAGTCAAAGATGGTCCCCTGGTCACCACTCTCTTTTACTTCCAGGATGCATGTTGCATGTAAGTGTTCTATGGGTTCCAAAAGGGAGTGGGCAGCAGTGTGGAATTCCAAGCTAGGCAACAAGAGGTATGTGGTCTAGCTAGAGGCCAAGAGCTCTTTGGTTATTTCTTTGCAGAGCTAGGAAAAGTCTGCTGCTTAGAACTTTCAGAGTTGGCCGGGTGTGGTGGCTCACCCCTGAATCCCAGCACTTTGGGAGGCCAAAGTGGGTGGATCACCTGAGGTCAGGAGTTCAAGACCAGCCTGACCAACAAGGTGAAACCCTGTCTCTACTAAAAATACAAAAATTAGCCAGGCATGGTGGCACATGCCTGTAATCCCAGCTACTTGGGAGGCTGAGGCAGGAGAATTGCTTGAACCCAGAAGACGGAGGTTGCAGTGAGCCAGGATTGCACCATTGCACTCCAGCCTGGGCAGCAAGAGTGAAACTCTGTCAAAAAAAAAAAGAAAAAAGTAGTTTCAGAGTCACGGCGATCACAAAATACAACAAAATAAGACTCAAGAAGATTTCTGTGGATAAGGAATGTTCAATAGAATCCATTAAAATAAAAAAGCACATTTTGAAAATATAAAACATTAAGTAGGGACTTTGAGTTTTAGCTCAAGCATGTAAACAGCTAGGAAGCCATCATTCCCGTCTTTAAAAGAAAAGCTGGACAAATTGAAAATCAGTGACTTTTCCTGGAATCATCAGGGAAGTGTGATTGCACAACAAGCTGCCAGCTTAACACGGTAGAGAGACAGGTGCATCCAGAGATTTGCTTACCTAGAGGGAAGCTACTAATGCCATACACTGGGGAATATCTAAGTGGTAATTTAAATGAATTACCAGAGATACAATGAGAGAATGGGAAACTGGTGGAGGTCTCCAAACTTTCAATGGGCCTTCCCTCTAGGAGCCACATCGAGTTCTCATGATGGGGAGACTGAGAAAAACCTCCTTGAGGCTCTGGCAGTGGAAAGGGAGAGTAACTATTGTGAAATAAGCTCAGAGCCTACTTGGTGAAGAAGGGCAGCTCTCCTAAAAATAACTTTAATGGAAACTTATTCTAGCTGGAATGAGGAAATTCCTCCCCACTCCAGATCCCATTGGCTTTCCTGTCCCTCCTGAGGAGAAGAAAACTCATAGTCATCAGAGGACAGGGCTTCAAGGAAATAGAGTTGGAATGCTGAGGCCAGAGAGGGATGCCAAGGGGCATGGCAGAAATTTATATCATGGAAGAAATACTTGTGAAGGTCATGATCCCAAGACCCAGGCACAAGAAAAGTCTGAGTTTTAATCAGAAGATGGTAAGATGCTCTCTCTCGCTGATATCTGGTGACCCCACCAACAAGGATGCAGTATCACGGTGGATTGCAGCTGAAAGAACTGCAAGGCACTCTCTCTGAGGAAGAGCATACAGGGAAGGCCAAAGTTAAGAGGGAAGACAAAAAGAATGACACTAGAGGAATCTGAATTGTCAGCAGCTACAGCTACAAGAGAATGTGGAGCAGTGACAATAGGTATAACTTCTGTGTGGTGGAAATGCAAGAAGGCAAAGAAAGGGAGAATAGAGCAGAAAATATATGTAAAGTAATCATGTCCAAGAACTTTCCAAAATTAATGACAGACATCAAACTACAGATCCAGAAAGCTCAGAAAATATCAAGCAGGATAAATATCAAAAAGTCTACACCTATGTATATCATATTCAAACTGCAGAAAAGCACAGATGTAGAGAAAATCTTGAAAGAAGTCAGGGGAAAAAAGCACCTCATCTATAGGAGAAGTGAGGATAAGATTTACATCAGACTTCTTATCAGAAAGCATGCAAGGAAGAAGAGAGTACAATGACATATTTATTTATTTATTTATTTATTTATTTATTTTTTATAGATTTTTTTTTCTTTCTTTTTTTTATTATTATACTTTAAGTTTTAGGGTACATGTGCACAATGTGCAGGTTAGTTACATATGTATACATGTGCCATGCTGGTGCGCTGCACCCACTAACTCGTCATCTAGCATTAGGTATATCTCCCAATGCTATCCCTCCCCCTCCCCCCACCCCACAACAGTCCCTAGAGTGTGATGTTCCCCTTCCTGTGTCCATGTGTTCTCATTGTTCAATTCCCACCTATGAGTGAGAATATGCGGTGTTTGGTTTTTTGTTCTTGCGATAGTTTACTGAGAATGATGATTTCCAATTTCATCCATGTCCCTACAAAGGACATGAACTCATCTTTTTTTTATGGTTGCATAGTATTCCATGGTGTATATGTGCCACATTTTCTTAATCCAGTCTATCATTGTTGGACATTTGGGTTGGTTCCAAGTCTTTGCTATTGTGAGTAGTGCCACAATAAACATACGTGTGCATGTGTCTTTATAGCAGCGTGATTTATAGTCCTTTGGGTATATACCCAGTAATGGGATGGCTGGGTCAAATGGTATTTCTAGTTCTAGATCCCTGAGGAATCGCCACACTGACTTCCACAATGGTTGAACTAGTTTACAGTCCCACCAACAGTGTAAAAGTGTTCCTATTTCTCCACATCCTCTCCAGCACCTGTTGTTTCCTGACTTTTTAATGATTGCCATTCTAACTGGTGTGAGATGATATCTCATTGTGGTTTTGATTTGCATTTCTCTGATGGCCAGTGATGGTGAGCATTTTTTCATGTGGTGTTTTTTGGCTGCATAAATGTCTTCTTTTGAGAAGTGTCTGTTCATGTCCTTTGCCCACTTTTTGATGGGGTTGTTTTTTTCTTGTAAATTTGTTTGAGTTCATTGTAGATTCTGGATATTAGCCCTTTGTCAGATGAGTAGGTTGTGAAAATTTTCTCCCATTTTGTGGGTTGTCTGTTTAAAGTGTTGAAAGAGGCCAGGCGCAGTGGCTCACGCCAGTAATCCCAGCAACTTGGGAGGCCAAGGTGGGCAGATCATGAGGTCAGGAGTTCGAGACCAGCCTGCCCAACATAGTGAAACCCCATCTCTACTAAAAATACAAAAAAATTAGCTGGGCCTGGTGGCAGTTGCCTGTAATCTCAGCTACTTGGTAGGCTGAGGCAGGAGAATCACTTGAACCCAGGAGGTGGAGGTTGCAGTGAGCCAAGATTGCACCACTGCACTCCAGCCTGGGTGACAGTGTGAATCTCCGTCTCAAGATAAATAAATAAATAAATAAAGTGTTGAAAGAAAAATCCACCAATCTAGGATTCTATATCCAATGAAATAATTCTGAAAAAAGAAAGGAGGAATAAAGAATTTCTTAAACAAAGACAGGAAATTCATTATTAGCAGAACTCTCTTGCAACAAATGTTAAAATATATTCTGCAGGGAGAAGAAAAATGATATAGTTCAGTGACTTGGATCTACATAAAGAAAGGAAGAGTGACAGAGAAGGAATAGATGAAGGTAAAATAAAATTTTTTCTATTTCCTATTCCTAATCCACCTAAAAGATAACTGTCAGTTTGAAGCAGCAATAGTATCAATGTATTGGGTGATACTAGCATATATGGATAAGTGAAATGAATGACAGCAATGTCACAAGAGACAGACAGGAAGGAATTGGTAATACTTTGTTATAAGATTATAAGATACTTGCATTACTTATGAAGTGATGTAGAGCTATAATTAATTATGAATGTGTATCACTTAACTCAGGGCAACCACTCAAAAAGAAGTTAAAATGGAATCATACTCAAAATGGATCATAGATTTAAATGTAAAATGCAAAACTATAAAATTCCTGGAAGATAACATAGGAAGAAATCAGGTTGACCTTGGGTTTGGTGATGAGATTTTCAATACAACAGCATGATCCATGAAATAAAAAATTGATAATTAGACTTCATTAAAATTAAAAACTTCTGCTCTGTGAAAGACACTAAGAGAATGAAAAGACAGATCACAGACAGAGTAAAATCCTTGTAAAAAACATATATATTAAACGGCTGGTAATAAAATTATGCAAATAACTCTTAAAACTCAACAATAAGAAAAGCAATGTAATAAAAAAAATCAGCAAAATATCTGAATAGACATCTCACCAAAGAAGATATGCAGATGGCAAATAAGCATAAACAAAGGTGCTCAACGTCACATGTCATTAGGGAATTGTTAATTAAAATGAAAATGAGACACCCCCATATGCCTCTTTGAATGGCCAAAACCCAAAACACCAACAACACTAAATGCTGACAAAGGTGTGGTACAGCAGGAACTCTCATTTATACCAAGTGGGAATGCAAAATTGTACAGTCACTTTGCAAGATGCTTTGGACGTTTCCTAAAAACTAAAGTTATTCTTATCACATGATCCTGCAATCATGCTTTGCTTTTTGGCATTTTTTGTACATGAATTGAAAACTTATGTCCATGTAAAATCTTGTACATACAGTTTTCTAGTAATTTGATTCATAATTGCCAAAATATGGAAGCAAAAAAACTGTGGTACATCCATATAATACTATTAATACTATCCAATAATAGTGGATAGTATTCATAATAGTATCTAATAATACGATCCAATAATATACTATGATTCAGTGATTTTTAAAAAATGAGCTATCGAGTCATGAAAAGATATGAAGAGTCCTTAAATGCTGAACTAGAGAAGCCAGTCCGAAAAGGCTACATATTGTATGATTCCAACTATCTCACATTCTGGAAAAGGCAAAACAGTAAAAAGAGAAATGATTGCCAGGAGTTAGGGGGAAGAAAGGAGTGAATAAGCGAACAGGGTTTTAGGGCAGTGACAGTATTCTGTTTGGTACTATCATGGTGGATACATGTCATTATACATTTCTCAAAACCCACAGAATGTTCAACACCAAGAGTTGAAACCAGGACTTTTGGTGGTCATAATGTGTTAGCGTAGGTTGATTGATGGTAACAAATATCCCATCTGGAATGGATGTTGACAGTAGGGGAGGCTGTGCCTGGGTGGGGGTATGGGACATAGGGAACAGTCTGTACTTTCTGCTCACTGTCGCTGTGAACATAAAACTGCTGCAAAAATTATAGTCCATTAATAATAAAAAGGACACTAGGTATAAACTAATACGGTGTGAATAAAGTATGGAGTTTAATAACGAGTTATCAACATTGCTTCATTAGTTGTTGTAAATGTACCACAGCAATGTAAGAGGTTAACATGGGGGACCCTGGGTGACTGTGGGGCAGGAATATTCTTTGCAATTTTTCTGAAAATGTAAAATGATTCTAAAGTTTTTTTTTTTTTTTCAAATGTAAAGAATGAAAGGGAAAGAAAGAAAAAGAGAGAGAAGTTTTTCAATGTATGGCACATTACTTCATTTTAATAAAAATAACAGAAGTGATATTTAATTCTCTAATTTCATTGTGTGTCAGACACGTGTGCTAAATACTTTGTACAGATCTCACTTAAGCATAACACAACCCTGTGAGTGGATACAGTTCTCCCCCATTTACAGGTGAGGAATCTGATTTTCAGGTCAAAGGAACTTGCCTAGCAAGCTCTTTTTACCCTCTCTGTGCTTTTGTTTCTGTATTCTCCTTTCTAAATGAAAGGAGACCATAGCTGGGTTGCTGTAAAAATGAAGTGAGACACGTTTTTACAGCAGTGCTTTGAATGGAGAAGTACCATGTTGCTGATAGTTATTATCAGTATCATCATTATCATCATTATTTAGATATATTGGAAGAAAATCACTTAATATCTTAAAGCTCAGTTTCCTTAGTGTAAAATAGGAATAACTGTCTCACCAGTCTGCTGGAAGGACAAAATGAGTTCTGTTAGGTGAATATTTCTCAGCTTCAAGCACCCTAAAAAGAGTCATAATGACATGAAGGTTCCTTCTACCCTGGATGTCCAGCCCTGTCTCTGCGCCATTGCTTCTCTTTCCATCTCCCCTGTAGGGTTGGTTGGTTGGAGACAAATCCTTTCTCAGACCAAGGGGAGACATCCAACCCTGGGACTTTAGATAGTACTGGCTCTACTTTTTCTCCAGGGTTATTAAACCTGAACAAAATGTGAAGGAAAGGAAAGCCTTCCATGGAAGTTCTACTCCTGATGCATGTTTACTTTCTTGCTTAAAGCTTGAGGATGCTGTACAGGATAAATTCGCTGACTCTTCTGTTTAAGAATGAGGATCAAAAGCTCTTCCCCCATCTACAGCAGAACCAGCAGACAGGTTGTTCTTTATGCTGGCATTCTGGAGGCTGGGGTTGAAATGGCCTCTGAGGCTGTATTCAGGCTCGTGGGAGTGCCAAGAAGCCTTCCGGGGGCACTGGAGGGGAAAGTGATCCAGGTGAATTGTCATCTTTGGCCAGTGGGACAAACTCTTCAGCTTTGCAGTTAAGACCTCTCTTCGACTTTGCAATCTTCCTTCTACTTCTCCCACCACAAACCTGCTCCTTCAGGCAACTAGATTACTTACTGATCCTCCAACAGAGTGTCTCATGAGTTTGAGATAGCTTCCTGAATTAGTTCAATGGTACCCAGCCCCAAGGAAGTCTTTCTCAATAATATAGCCAACTGGCTGATGGCTGTGAATTGTTTTTGTAGTTTATTATCTGGATTAGTTCCTATCTAATGAGTAACTCCTGAAGTGCAGGCATGCAAGTTGTATCCGTCTTTTTCTGTGGACAGTAGAAGCCCCTTTCCTGTTGAGAACTGCCCTCCTCTACTCTGTGGGTTTCTGGGCGGCTGTACACCATGTGGCCGCTGCTCCCTGTGACAGACTCAGTGATTGTACCAGGGGTGGGCAATGAGAGATCCCTTCAGAGTTCACATGAGTGCTAAGGAGATAAAGGTCAGGTTCTTTTATTTTGCAAATAGAAGGAACATGCTTGAGAATGAAACTAGATAATGGAAAGTGCCCAGCAGAGAAAGAGAGAGAGACAGGGAGAGACAAACAGAGAGATGTGGAGAGAGACAGAGCTACAGACACACACACACACACACACACACACACACACACACCCAGAGCCAGAGCTACAGACACACACACACATACACAGAGAGCTACACACACACACACACACACACACACACACAGAGCTACACACACACACACAGAGACACACACACACACAGAGCTACACACATACACAAAGAGAGAGACACACACACAGATGTGGAGAAAGATACAACTACTGACACACACACACAGAGCTACAGACACACACACACACAGATGTGGAGAAAGATAGAGCTACCGAGACACACACACACACGCACACAGAGACAGAGCTACAGACACACACACACAGAACTACACACACAGAGAGAGAGAGAGAGAGAGCTACACACACACACAGAGACACACACACACACAGAGACACACACACACAGATGTGGAGAAAGAGCTACCCACACACACACACACACACACACACACACAGAGAGACAGAGCTACAGACACATACACACACAGCTACACAGAGACAGAGAGAACTACAGAGAGAGACAGGGAGAGAGACAGAGCTACAGACACACACACACACACAGAGAGACAGAGACCAGACAGAGATTATGTAAACATTTGGATCCATGTCTATCTGAACCATCTTCACTTCTTATATACAGTGAGCCAGCACGTTTTTCTTTTCTTTTAAGCTCGTTAAAGTTGAGATTCTCAATCTATTACTGAAATAATTAGACTAAGACATCTAGTATATACCAGGAAGTGCTATGGAGAATGGAAGATGGAGGTATCTAAGACGGAGGGATTGTCTTTTCCCCAAAATCTATGGGAGGGAGAGGCTCAGATTTAAGAACCATATGACAATGCCCCAAACACTCTGCTGGGAGGTTCATTGCCCATAGACCCAGGCAAGTCCAGGCTCTGCTTTCTGAGCTCTGCAGCATTTGCCAAAGGATTCGGCCCCTGTAAGCCGCAGTTCCCATCTATCCTATGAGAACCTGGGCAGACTTTGCCCCTAGGTTAGGGTTCTTGTGGAATAAAAGCCAATGGGCCTTCACACATTCATCTCTAGGAGTTACATATCCCCTCAGTCCTGGGAGCATGGGGAGGTGGAGAGGCCTGTAGCTGCAGGAAACTTCTATGCACTGTATGGCTTCATGTCCTCTGCAGTCTCCCCAAGGGCACTGGAAAAGAACATTTCCTAAGCTCATCTAGATGTGAAGAAAACTTGGGGAAACAGCCTTTGCACATTGCCCAGCACGCCATAAGCTCTTTGGAGGAAGCATGCATTTCTCCCCGTGGACATCCATGAAGGTGTGGGGTGGTATGGTGAGCATCACGAGCCAATGGCACCAACAGAGAGGGGCTCGCATTGGAGCCTGGCCTTGAAGGATGAGGCGGTGTGTGCCAGGCAGAGAGGGAAGGGAAGGGGATCCCAAGTGCAGGGGACAGCAGAGGCAAAGGCAGGAAGTGGGTGTGGGCACAGAGCGTCTGCAAATGGTGGGACAGGGTTTCAGTGTGGCCAGATTGCAGTGTGTGTGTGTGTGTGTGTGTGTGTGTGTGTGTGTCTGTCGGTGTATGTCTCTGTCAATGTCTGTGTGTATCTGTGTATGTGTCTTTGTATGTCTGCATGTATCTTTGTGTGTGTGTGTGTCTGTCTGTGTATATGTGTGTCCCTCTGTGTGTACCTGGGGATGGATGACAGGATAGGCCAAGCAGGCAACTGCGCCACTGCAGGCTTTGATACTGTGCCACCCATTCTAGAAGGAAAAGACCAAGGCAGATGCTAGGATGGGAGTCACAGAAGGGGAAGGGTCCCAGAGAGCCAGTGGGGAGTGTGTGGTGTCACCTGGCAAATCTCAGAGAAGCACTTCCCAGAAAGACCCTGTAGTCTGTGTGTTTCCTTATAAATATGCTTTGTGTTCCCATTGCAATCTTCCTCCAGAAAGAATCTGCCTGCCTCCCGAGGATCAAGTAGAATTTCACATTTTGTAGGAGACCCACCGATTTATGTCTCCCTTGTTGAGCAAAACAGCTTTATCTCCTTATGTCCAAATAATCCTCCAAAAAAAAATACTGCAACAGAGCACCTGTTTGCAGAGGTCAGGGCCTCAGTGGAGTGTTTGCGAGGACAGTGAAGATGGACCCCTGGGTGAGCCAATTTTAGGAGAGGTACACACCTTCAGAAATGGCTGCTTCCGGTGGATTTATGCAGAGACTGAGCAGCTGAGTAAATCAGTCAACATCTGTAGCTGTGACCACAGAATTCTCAAACAGGTGGACTATACATGAAATCCAAATACAGTTACAAGTTTTAACCTGTACATCGTTAGATCAAGACACTGCTTTTCGGAAATTTGGATTACATGTCAACCAATTTCATATAAACACACCTTTATTTTGAAGCATCTCTTAAAACAATCAAAAAGTCTGACAATACTGAGCCCTATCCACACACACCGTCTTAGTCAATTGGAGCTGACTGTTGACCTTTAGAGAGGCAGAAGCTCTAGTTTGCTGCAGTCCCTACCATGATGCCTGCCCCAAAGCCAAAGGTCATTTACCATTCATCATCAAAGTTGTACTACTGCTTTTCTTATTCTTGAGTTAAGAAAGAAGTGAACAATTTTTTGTATGCCCAAATCTATGAAAAGTGAGGTGACAAGGTATACTGAAGTCCACATCTTTTTTTTTTAATGGATGTGAGTCTCTTACTATATGATGAATACATAAATATGTCTTTTTGTGAAGAACTAAGTTTCAGACCCCATTATGAACCAAATTTCTTTTGCTTCACTTTATGTTAATAACTCAGCACTGTGAGTATTGAGTATGCAACCATACATGAAGTGCTGCTTTTGTCAGGACAGGGAGGATGAGTAGATGGAAGATTAGAGAGGCTAAGTAGTTTGGCCCAGTCATCATTGAGTCATCAATCATTGAGTCAATGATTTCTTTCAAAAAACATTGATTATGGGTCTTCTTCTTCTTCTTTTTTTATTTTCTTGAGACCCAGTCTCCCTCTGTCGCCCAGGCTGGGGTGCAGTGGCACGATTTTAGCTCACTGCAACCTCTGCCTCCTGGGTTCAAGCAATTCTCATGCCTCAGTCTCCTGAGTAGCTGGGACTACAGGTGCCCACCACCACGCTGGGCTAATTTTTGTATTTTTAGTAGAGACGGGATTTCACCAAGTTGGCCAGGGTGGTCTCAAACTCCTGACCTCAAGTGATCCACCTGTGTCGGCCTCCCAAAGTACTGGGATTACAGGCATGAGCCACTGCACTTGGCCTGATTATGGGTCTTCTTTATGCCCTGGGTTCACTTTACCCAGTCAAATCAGATGACCTTCCTTCCTTCATGCCTTTCCTGAGGCTCTTACCTCTTCCCCAAATGCTCCTCCTACCCCCACAACCCCACCCACTTCAGTGTGTCAAAGCCCATGCATGTTCAACCCTCTGTCAATGTCAACATCATCTTTTTTGACACTTTCATGAGCTTTACCATGCCTTTTCTCATTTTGTGGTCATCTGTATCCATGTGAGATTGTGAGATAGAAATTTAGCACATTGGAGCTGGAAGAGAGCTTGGTTATCATTTCATCCAACACTGTGATTTCCAGATGATAAAGAAACTGAGGGCCAGGCACTGTGGCTCAAGCCTGTAATCCCAGCACTTTGGGAGGCCAAGGTGGGTGGGTCACCTGAATTCAGGAGTTCGAGACCAGCCTGGCCAATATGGTGAAACCATGTCTTTACTAAAAATACAAAAAAATTAGCCAGGTGTGTTGGTGGGTGCCTGTAATCCCAGCTACTCGGGAGGCTGATGCAGGATAATTGCTTGAACCTGGGAGGTGGAGGTTGCAGTGAGCTGAGAACATGCCATTGCACTCCAGCTTGGGTGACGGAGCAAGACTCTGTCTCAAAAAAAAGAAAAAAAGAAACTGAGACCCAGGGGAGAGTCACTTGTCTAAGATCAAGTTGAGACAGAGATGGGACAGACTCCCTTGTTAATGGTATTTAAATTTCCCAATGAGTAGCCTCTAAGGTCTTTAAAACCTGAGGCTTTCTCATTCACAGTAGTATCTTGAATACCTAGTCTAGTGCATGGCAAGTACTAATAGTAGGCACTTAATAAATGCTTGTTGAATGAGTGAATGAGAGTGAGGAGTGAGTAAATGCAGGAGTTCTTGAGTGAGTAGATGAGAAATAAGGGTTCATGAGGCTCCAAAGAATGGTAGTTTTGTGACACTCAGGACTCAAGCCAAGTGGAAATGTGAGTAGACAGGCTGCTTGTCTAGTGATTCCAGAAGGCAGAAGCGTTCTTGGTCTATTCCTAATTTAGGCAGGCACCTGTCAGGGTGGAGGAAGGCCAAGGTGCAATCCTGCACAGCGGAACTGCTGCCTGCCACTGACTCACCTGCCTTTTGTCAAACAGGTGCCACCCAGATGTAGCCATGAATACCCATAGCCTCACCCTGTTCTCCTTTCTCCTACTGGCTTCTCAGGTGCTCCTGGTGGAGGGGAAAAATGGAGTAAAGCAGACAATAGAGTAATGCCCGGGGATCAATGGGTCCCCCTGGGAAAGCCCTAGAGCTCCAGATTGTGACAAAAACCCTGCCATACAAGTTCCCAATCACAGCAGCCTTGTCACTAAAGACCAAGCCAACTGTAGATGGGCTGTGACTGAGTAGGCAGAGGGCATCACTCTCAAAGTTGAGGGTGTTTGAATGAACAGTGAGTTTTCCTGTGTCTCTGTGGGCAATCCAGACTGTGCCTACGGTTTTTGGACAACAATGTGGTCTACTGGAAATAAATTAGCTAGAACCTGTGCCACAAGAAACATGCCTATGAGAACTCCAAGGCCAACCTGGTGACCAGGGCATGTTGTCAGAAGTATCCAGAATCCAATGTCAAGCTGGTGAATTCCACTCTGATCACAAATAAGAGACCCAGCCACAATGACATGGAACTCATGCCCACGGTGTGGGATAAGGTCGAAGAGTCCACTTGTAGGGACCCAACCAAGGTCAAACCATGCTTCCCCAAGCAGAAGACCCAGATCCAAGAGTTATTCTCCACAGAGTCATTGAGGATAGAAGAGATCACCCCCACAGGGCCAATCAAGACCAAAAAGACCATCCCTACAGTGCCAATCAAGATCTCAAACACCACCCCCACAGAGCCAATCACCACCAAGATACCACCACCATAGAGCAAACTGAAGAGTCCACTCCCACTGAGACAATCAAGACAGAAAAGATCACTACCACAGAGCAGGTGGAAGTGGAAAAGACCATCCCTACAGAGCTAATGGAGGTCCCAGAGACCATTCTGAAATATCGGATAGAGATGAGAGAGTTCACAAAGCCAAACCAGGACTTAGAAAGCACCCTCACCAGCTCAACACAGACACAAATCTTGACCACTGCTAAACCAAGTTATGCAAATACACAAGGCAGCAAAACTCTGTTAAAGACAACCCAGCAGACAGATCAGCAAATGGACCAGCCAGTAGATCAGTAGTAATGTGGAAAGTCCTGGAGCTCCTTCTGCAATATCTTCCTCATGGTATTACAGACATGTAATGGTAATTAGGTTAAGAGAACAGGGCAGGTCATGTCATAAGCCCCTCTGTATGCTGTAAAGTTTCCCATAAGCTATGAACTTTTGTGGTATGAGAGTATAGTGGAATATTTAACAGATTTCATAATTTTTGTTCTTTGTGTTTTGCTTTATATTCACTTCCTTGGATATGATTTTCAGAGGCTATCTACCTCATTATATACTTCCATGGCCCACACGGCAATGTGCATATGAGCAGAGAAGACCTGTCCTTGAGCTGAATGAGGCAGAGTGATGAACTTACTGCTGAATTAGCAAAGATAATACAGCTCTGAATGATTTTCAGACATGTTTTCAACCACTGTTTGATTTCTTTGTGTCTAGTACCAAGTGAACTCATAATGTAGTCCCTATACATCAGTGGAAAAACTAAGGAACAACTTCCAGTTTTCTACCTATTTCCTAATGCAACCCATTTCAGAATCCCCCTTTATAGTTTTATCCATTGGTCTGTGGTGCTTGATGCTTATTGAAGTGTAATAATTAGGATCCCTGTTTTCAGGCAGGATACTCGGTACATGGTATGATTAAATCGCCTGTTGGGGTCTTATCGGTGGTAAGAGGGGAGGCAGGATTAGAACCCAGGAGTTCTGACAGCAGAGTTCACAGGATTGAGGAACCTCCTGTACTGACTCAGGTCAGAGCTGCCCATTCTCACCATCATCTACAGGACCCGTGTCCTTGCAGAGCTCATTTCTGGAGAAGAAAGATCTGGTTGCATAGAGTGCCCTGTGATGAGGGCTGTAATGGAAGGGGCAGAGAGTTCCATGGAAAACTGGAGAGAGGAGGCAGAAACTGCTGCAATATCTGGGCTTGAGCTTCACAGGGAAGGTAATATTGGCTCTGGATTTTGGAGAGATTATCTTTAGGAATAAAATGGCGCAAAGTAGAGGTACTTTAGGTGTTTGACAACATGAAAGAAAGATGGGAAATTCCAGATTCTGAGAGAGGTCAGGTGGCTGGGATGGGATGAGACGAGACTGCTGTTAGTCATTTACTACTATGAAGGATCTGAAAGTGTTTCACTTCGAGAGTTGGGGAAGAGGATGAACAGTCCCCAATGCCTAATCATAATTTCACAGACAGGGAAAAGTGAGGAGCAGAAGTTGGTGAAAGCACTGTTCTCTAGCATGTCTGATGGTGGCAGGGAGGAATGGAAGGTAGGGTGGAAGGATGGTCCTTTATACTCCCCAACCTACTGAGATATACACTGAGAATGTCAGAGGCCAATCCACAGTGCCACTGCCTCAGAGTGACATTTGGATGTCATTATCAACATCATCAAAACGAACACTTATCTCTCATCTGCTATGTGCCGGGCACTGTGCTAAGCTTTTCCTATGCATGATGCCTGCATTCATTTATTCACTCACTTACTCAATATATAACTTACAGAGCACTGACTCAAGCCAGGCTGTGTTCTAGGTGCCAGAGATATAGCAATGGATGTACAAGAGATGGGTGCTCTGCCCTCATGGAAATTGGCAGTGGGGAAATTGATGATGAACTCATGATTACACATGAGTTAAGAGGAAAAGCATAGCAAAGGAAGAGAATAAAAGCGGTAGAAGGTAACTATTTTTAGGTGGGGTGGTCAGGTGAGGCATCCCTGTGGAGGTGACTTTTGAGTCTAGACCCAAATGGAGGAATTTAGCCATTTAACCCTGGGCTAAAGATGTTCCAAATAGAGGAAATGGTCAGAGAAAATTCCCTGATGTTAATTAATTTATTTATTGCTTATTATGAACTCTAACTATATGCTGGGCAGTGTTCTGGGGACAAGAACTAGCAGTAAACAACAACAACAACAAAATGCTTGTCTTCACATCTTATATTCCAGTGACTAGGATCCACTCTGCCTGTTCAGGAAACATCAAAGAATGTGTATTATTGTAGGATGGGGCCAGGCCTGACTGTGAACCCTACCACGACACCAAGGGAGTTGAACAGACATTCCAGACCCTCCCCAAGCTCCTTTTAGCCACAACAAATGAGGGAATATTCCCTTGAGGTCTACACAGATTCTCACAGGTCCCCTACCTGACTTATACCACTCAACTGAGATTGGAAAAGACTGGTAAACTCTTCTACAGATTATTACATAATAACCCTGGTCTAATGTGGTTGGTGCTGTGGTTTCAATGTTTGTGTTTCCTAGAAATTTCATGTTAAAACTTAACCCCAATGCAACAGCATTAAGAGTTGGGACGTACAGGTGGTGATTAGGCCATGAAGGCAGATGAGATTAGTACCTTATAAAAGGGCTGGAGGAGGGAACTAGCTAGGCCCTTTTTGCCACTCGAGGACACGGTGTTTGACCTTTCCAAAGGACACAGCAAGGTCCCATCTTGGAAGCAGATACTGGGCCCTTGTCATACAGCTAACCTGCTGGTGTCATGATCTTTAACTTCCTAGCCTCCAAAACTGTGAGAAATAAATTTCTCTTCTTTAGAAATTACCAAGTCTCCTATATTTTATTACAGCAACAGGAATAGACAAAGACAGCTGACAATAACATTGCAGAACCCACCCAACTCAAAGCCACTGTAAGATCCTTTCCATTCCATGAGGTTGTGACTTCTTGTAGCTCACTCATGGCTTTTGGACACTGGCAGAACTGTGGGGAGTTTTGCTTTCCAACATGGTAGTGTCGCCTGGACCTGGGATAGAGGTTTGCCTCTGCTGATAGCTACCCTGTTTCTGGGCAAATTATTAACCCCATGACCACCAATCAGATCCTCTCCACATGGGGATAATAAATCTCACCTTAAGAGTTGCTGGAACACTGATGTTTGCCAATATTTCTAAAGCACCTGTAGTAACACCATTTACATAGTAGGAGTTTAACACAAATGATCATTAAAAGTATAGCACAAGACTGGATTTCTGAGGGAGGTCAAGAATTTTCTTAGTGAAAATTTTTTAAAAGTGGGAATTTTGTTTTATCCTCTAGGATGGCCAGTGGACAGGAAACATTATTATTGTTTACCTATGATGTGTCAATGGCTTTGCTCCTATTCTCTTATTTAATCCCTCCACAACCCCATCTGGTAGGAGTTCTCATCCTTACTTTCTATATGATGAAGCTGAGGAACTTGCCAAGGTTGCAAAGCCATTAAGCGACAGAGCCTGTAAAGAGAACTTCTGGTCTGCAGGTCCCCAAACCCTTTCTTCCCCTGAAGCTCATGATTTTCTTTACTTGATAAGAGAAGAGTGACATTTATGGCCTTCAGACATGGGCCAAACCTGACAGTGAACAGGATCTGTCAGTCCCTGTGTGCAACCCCAACCAAGTCCTTATGAAGAGAAAATTCTAGAAGCTAATACTTTCATTTATGCTCAACCTGGAGGGGACATTTAAAAAACACAGTAAAAAAGTCTCTACAGACTTTCCACCAGCTTCTACCCAACTTATTACTGTATATGTTCTCCATGAGGACTTTCTGGATATCAAGTAGAGGAGCGAGCTCATGTGTGTGTGTTTCTTAAGGAATGATTTGACTTGAAAGCAATAAGATGGGAAGGTTTTTCTAGGTGAGAGATACTAAAAGTTGGCTTGTCTGTATGACCCAAAGCTGTAAACAGTAGGAATGTCTCTTCTCTGTAAAATCATCGCAGCACCAGCTCTGTATAGCAACCCAAACCAGACCAATGCCAATTTGAATTGCTGGAATCCAGCACATCTCCCCTGGCCATCCATCTATCTACCTCCTTCCCCACCTTCCCTTCTAAGTTGTTATTGGCTGAACAAGCAAAGATGACCTCTCACCTAGCTTCTGGTGGCTCTAGCAATTTTTGGCCTTCCTTGGCTTACAGACGTATCTCTCCAATCCCAGCTTCTGACATTACATGGAGTTATCTTTTGCTAGTCTTTGTGCAAACCTCCATCTTTTTTTTTTTTTTTTTTTGAGACAGAGTCTTGATCTGTCCCCTAGTCTGGAGTGCAGTGCCACAATCTCGTCTCACTGCAACCTCTGCCTCCCTGGTTCAAGCGATTCTCCTGCCTCACCCTATTGAGTATATCTGGGATTACAGGCGCGTGCCACCATGCTTGGCTAATTTTTGTATTTTTAGTAGAGAAGGGGTTTCACCATGTTGGCCAGGCTGGTGTCGAACTCCTGACTTCAGGTGATCCACCTGCCTCTGCATCCCAAACTGTTGGGATTACAGGTGTGAGCCGCCTCACCCAGCCTCAAACCTTCCTCTTCTTAGAAAAACACCAGTCATCAGATTGGAGCCCATTCTCATTCATTATGAGCTAATTTTAACTTTGCTGTATCCATAAAGTCCCTATTTCCAAATTCACATTAACAAGTTCAAGGTAGACATGAATTCTGGGGGGGACACTGTTCAACCCAGCACAGCCACCCAACAGCAATAGCAAATAGCTGAAAAGAAAGAGAAGTGAACCTGAAAGTGAGCAACTCTACATAAGTCCTAATAAAGAACTTTATCCAAAATATACAAAGGTAATCAAAAACAAGAAAAGTCTGAAAAGCTGTCACAGCCAAGAGAAACCTAATGAGACAGGATGACCAAATGCCATATTCGGGATGGGATTCTGGAACAAAAAAGAGGACATTTGTTAAAATAAAAATTAAGAAAATCTGAATAAACTTACAGAGTTTAGGTGATAATAAAAATGTATCAATATTTGTTCATAAATTGTGGCAAATATACCATCCCAACATAAGATGTTAATAATATGGAAAACTTGTAGAGGCTATGTGGGAACTCTCTGTACTATCTTCACAAATTTTCCATGAATCTAAAACTCTCCTAAAATAAGCAAGTTATTATTTTATTCTATTTTATATTTCTATTTCTTATTGTATACCCTTTGCAATCCTATAGGCAAGTTATTTTTATTTTAAGTTCTGGGGTACATGTGCAGGAAGTGCAGGTTTGTTACATAGGTAAATCTGTGCCATGGTGGTTTACTGCACCTATTGGGTCATCCAAGTTATTTTAAAAATTAAGTGAAAAGTAATGCAGGCATGACTGTATAGCAAGACAGAATCACAAAACTGATGTTAAATAGCTAGAGTTTGGGGCTCCCCACTCATCACTGTGCTATGTCTTTACCTTTGAGGAGCTTAAAACATGGAGGAAGATGGGTGAGGGCCAGGAACTGTATGCCAACTAACAATGAGATATAGGGATGCAGAGGCAGGAGGTGAGGAGCAGTTAATAAGAGGCTTTGCAGAACAATCATGGAAGGGCATGGAAAGGCGTTGCAAACAAAGGGAAGAGCCTGAACAAAGACATAGAGGTGGAATCTTTGCAGTTTTGACAAGAAGACATGTTCGTTGGAAGCTTGGCAGCTGTCTTCGATGGTGTCTCTTTCTTTGCCTCCCATTTCCAGCTTTATTGCAATTTACTTATTTAGTGTGATGTCTCTTGAATTAATCCTTTTCTCTGAACCTCTTCCAAATTACTTTGGTTTAGGCCACCTTCCTCTGGCACTTGGCACACTAGTCTGGTTACTAGCTCAGGTACTGAAACCTAAACTTCAGTTCTTTGTATTTTGGTTCCCTCCTCTTTAAAATGGGGATTGTAATGCTGCCTAACATCTCAGCGTATTTGTGAGGACTAAATTAGTTAATAAGAGAAAAGAGCTTAGGATAGGGTCTGGCACATAACATGATATAAGTGTTAGCTATTATATTATTATTTTTTTGTTTTTAACACAGAGCCAAAATTACTTATAAAACTTAAATTTAAGAAGCAAAAGCACTACATATGTGTGATATTTGCTTTGGCCTCATTTCTTTCTGATTTGATAACATCCATGCAATTCAGTGGTGATAATTTGTGTGACTGCTGATGTGAAATCATTCATTCCATCAGCTTTGAGTGCCATTGGTGGCAGATGCTGGCTGTGTATCTAGAACTGTGTCTGAAAAATAAAATGAATTCAAGGTCTATCACTAACCAAAGAGGATAACCTTGGGGTTTTTCACAGTCTGTGTAGGGGATATTGCCTTTGCAAAATCGATGTCAGAAGAGACCCAGTCCATCAGCGGAACAGCTACTGGTAAGGAAGGAAGACAAAGCAGATAGTGATGGTCACACTACAGGACATCAGGGGGCCTGCAGAGAGCATTCTGAGACAGAGCAGTATAGAGGCTATGAGAGTGGACTGTGGTGTTTAGCCAGGGACTTCTCCTCTGCCACTTGCTTGCTCTGCGATCTGGGAGGGGTTAGGTAACCCCTGAGCCCTGGTTTCCTCATCTGTAAAGTAGGAAAAGATGAGAGCACCCACCTTTGATCTTAGGATTGGTGTGCAGCTTTAATGAGTTAATAACTATAAAACACTTGGAGCAGTCCTGACCCTTAAGGAGAACTTCCTAAGGAGTCAGAGACCCCAGAAAGGTGAATGATCTCATCTTGACCCCTTGATGTCTCTCCATTTTCCAGAGCTGCTCCTGTGAGGCCAGTCTGCGTCACTCTGTGATGCTGGGCCAAGACCATGCAAAGAATTAGTGTCAAGGGTTGTCAGTGGAGGCCCCCCTCTGGACATCTTCAGTGATAAGCCAATTGTGAGCTTGAGAGCTGGCTCATTCCAGCTTCAGACCATCCTAATGAGGAGAAAGAACCCCTGCTGGATGGGCTAGAAGCTTCCTCCCATTGCTTCCACCCACTGGCTATCATTTTGCCCACTGGTCATAATGGACCTTGTCCTTCTTCCTGACACTCCATCAGAGCACATGGAATTAGCCATCAAGCCACTCTGAGTCTTCCTTTTTCCAGCCTAACTGGAGATGGATAAGAGAATGTCTGGGTGTAGTAGGCTGACTTTAGATATCTAAAGTAGACACGGTCTGTTTTCTCGAAGCCATCGCATCAGAACCTGTGTGCCTCTGCAGGACTCAAGTACCAGCTCAACAAAGCGTGAAGCTGCCTGTGTTTTGGAAGAAGGGATGACTGTAAAGGCATTTTGTTCACAAGTATGCTTGCCCAAGGGCCTGCACAGTCTAATTTCCTTCAAGCCTCTCCAGAAGCTCCATTTCCTGATGATCAGTGGTAAACTCCCTGCAACAGGATAGGTGGCGTGAAATTTCAGATTTTATGCAAGTTCACGGCTAGAACCAATGCACAATTACTGCTAAGAGTTTGATTTTGTCACTGTGAAAGCCCCGCGGATTAGGCCTTTCAGAAGAAAGGGAAAAGCCGCTTCTGAATTTTTAGCCTCTGTTGGGTACTTCACCATAGAACAGTGCTCATACTGCCAGTGCATTTACAATGTAAATGTTTTCTTTCCAAGGTCAAGGTTTTAGAGCCCAAGGCCACTATTGAGACCGCAGGGGCAGAGCCATAACAATTCTGCTGGCATCCTAAAAATAAAAAGCTTTATTTTCAAATTGATGATGTGGTTTAAAAGACAGAGTCTCAATAATTTACTTTTCTGCCACTTGCATCCTTTTTCTGTTGATTGGGCCTGGGAGAAAGAGGTTGGCTTCATATCGAGGGAGTGCCAATTTCTGAGACTTGCGTAAGACTAACCCTCTTGGATTCTGGTACTAATGTCCCAATCTTCTCCTCCCTTCTCCATCCAGGTGTGAGCTGTTAGATTCACTGAATCCTTAGGCCGAATCCTAAGCATGGTCAGGCTTCTGGCAGACACACCAGCAGAGTGTGGTGACACAAATTCTGAAAAGACACCAAAGGGGCAGCAATTGACAGAACTGAAGTGCCAAAGGCTTTAGGGAAAAGCTTCCCATGGCCGCCTCAGAGGGTCAGACAAGCATAGGAGGCAGGCTAGGGTTCTCAGTTCCTCATCATCATCCCTTTCTTCTTTCCAGGTCTCATCCTCCACGGAACAGAGAATGGTTTTTAGAGTAACAATGCATCCAAGGTATTTACTAAAATGGACACAGTATTAGCACTCTTAAAATTTGTCTTGAAGTTGCTCTTCTCCAAAGGCCCTGGAAGATTCTAGTAGGAGTCATTATTGCTTTCTCTGGAGGGGTGGATCTTTGCCTTGACCATACTGGACTCAGGCAGTATGAAGTTGGGGCCCTGGGGAATAAATCTGCGGGGGGCAGAGGAGAAAGAGGAAGATCAGAGAGTATAGCAAAGAAGAGAATGCACAGGTGAAGGGCACTGACCTATGAACAAGTTCAGTCTTGAGTATGTGTGAATGGAAAACCAACCCACAGGCAACAGCAAGTTCCTGCCACTGTCTTCTCAGTTGGCCCACGGTCAGCTACCAGTTAAGAGCAGGTGTTTGCTGTTACTGGACTGCACCAGCAGGCCCATGCAGAATTTGATGTATATAATAGCAGTCTTTCACATAGTTTTCATTTATATATAAACATATATTCATTCATACATATATATATTTATACATGTGTTAATATATGAATATATCAAAATATATAAATATTATATTCATATATACTTTTATAAATTTATATATGAATATGCTATGAATACAGAATATACTTTATACATTTATATGTATATATTTTTTTCCAAGCACCATGTTATTCATAACATCTCCCTCGAAATCCAACCTGTTTTTCCCAAGATTGAAGCAACCATTTCACAGCCATCAAATGATAGCTGTTAATCTTTTTTCCATCAGTCTTTTGGGATTTTTGAAAGACACTTTTTAAAAATGAAGTATCATTTAGAATTGTTTTTATGGTGCTTGAGAATCTTGACTGACTGAGTACTTCTCTGAAGGGAAGGGTTTAATATGCGTTTGAGTGCTTTTCTCTACTCCCTCCAACCCCAGAGCTAAATCATTGTTTTCTACTTCCTTGCTAAAGTCATGTCATAGATTTCTAATACCTATGGAAGTTTAACATTTGTCTTGTAGGGGAATATAAAAGATGGTGTCAGAATAGCTGGCTAACTGGTGTTCAGGAAGGTCACCTTTAATCATGTTGCCCAAGCAAGGTAGCCTTGATAAAATTACTACCTTTTCTGAATCGCTGTTTTTATATCTGTATAACAGAAGAGTTAAGATGGCTCGATGATGATAATATTTTTTTAATATAAATTTGAAACTCCCTCTTCCATTCTTTGATTCTTTGAATCCATTTTATTATAGGATTTGCCCTTATTGGTCTTTGCTCCTAGATTATTATTTTCCTAGTTTTTCCAATATATGCTTCATTTTTATTCTTTAAAGTTCATGTATCAAAAGTTACCTCCTTAACAGGCCTTCCTGAACCACTCTGTCTAAGTCATCCTGACCTGCAAATGCCCTGTTTCTGTGTTGTCATGTATTTATTTTTCATGTCCCACAAGAGGGCTGGGATCTTGTGTTTCTTGCTCACTGGGAGCTCATAAGCTTGAAGAGTGCCTGGTTCATCATACATGTTAAGATAAATGAATAACTTGTACTTTTTTCAAAATTAATTTCATACTTTGCTATGATAGAGTTTAATTTCTTAATTGTACCAACTTTAGAGATGTGAGAGGTAGGGAGAGGATGATGGCTTTTGTTTCTTGCCAATCTGGCATGAGACCTCCTGCTGTAGGCCATGTGGGAAGCCCTGGAATTCAGAAACCAGGGTGTGAAGTGTGGGCAGCATATCCCGCTGCCTTCTAGCTGCAGTGAGTACTCGGCAGGGGGACCCAGTGACTGTTTCTGATGGAGAAGTCATTGGAAGAGTTTGATATGGTTCCTTATGCCAAATTATCATTTTAAGTGATTCAGTGTCCAGCACATCAGTGTTTGAGGGGGAAAAAGAAGCTGAGATTACCCATGTACACATCTCATGCTAATAACTTGATGACTGGGAGCAGCGGTTTTTATCGCTTTCTTTGAGACAGTTTTGTGTTCATAGAAACTACATATACATAGCAAAGCAGATCAGTCAATCAGCAAACATTTCTTGCATACTTATTTACCATGCAACATGCTGTGGAATATTTCTTGTCATAACCTCCTTCAACTTAAAAGCATCCAGGAATGCTCTTCATGAACAGGTTTTAAAATGATTAAGTATGATCCTTATCCAGGGGTTGCTGCAAGTGTTGGATTTATCTAAACCATCTACCATTCTTAGATGATATCACAAAGTTTTCGGTGTCTACTTCTCATTTTTCAAATCAACTATGTAAGGGGTTCATTCACCTCTTAAAAATTGGCTCCTAAAATGGAATCTTTTAGTGGCAGCCTTCTAAGGTCACGTGGTCGAAATAGTTTGGCAAAAATTAGAAGCAAGGCTTGTCTGAGGTAAGAATTTAGCATCTTTTGCTAAGCCTAAAAAAAAAATCCAAATGTACTGGTTTAGAAGGAGAGGGAAGCATGTGCCAACCTCAAAGAAATCTTCTACAGTTCAAATTTTATAGCAAATCCTTTCCTTTTTTTTTTTTTTGAGACAGAGTCTCGCTCTGTCGCCCAGGCTGGAGTGCAGTGGCGCCATCTCAGCTCACTGCAAGCTCTGCTTTCCGGGTTTTACATCATTCTCCTGCCTCAGCCTCCCGAGTAGCTGGGACTACAGGTGTGCACCACCTACGCCTGGCTAATTTTTTTGCATTTTTAGTAGATACGGGGTTTCACCATTTTAGCCAGGATGGTCTCGATCTCCTGAGGTCATGATCTGCCCACCTCGGCCTCCCAAAGTGCTGGGATTATAGGCATGAGCCACCGTGCTCAGCCACAAATCCTTTCTTAAAGCAAATTTTTATTTTTGAGGAAAAAGAAAATGAACACATCATTGGGTACCTTTTATTTCTGCTACATGGTATGTATTATTATTAGAAATTACAGTCATTTTCTAGCAAGATTATGAGCTTTAATCAGTGATGACCCAAACTTCTTCAGCTTTGGCAATCACTCACCCAACTTTGTGCCATTTCTACAGAGAAAAAGTGCAAAGAAAAACACTGAGCAACCTCAGAAGCACACAACAAATCGGGAGAAACACTTGCTCAATGTTTCTTGAATCCTAGACAAATGGCTCACTAGAAATGGTTAAGAGAAAGACCCATGGTCAGAAGACAAATGGCTAAAGGATGTAAACAGACAGAAAAAAATTATAAACAGAAGTATAAAACATACAAAAAGATGCTCAACTTATTCTTAAAAAGAGAAACACAAATTAAAGCTATGCAAGAATGTCATTATTGCAAATCATACCGTCAGAAACCATACTAGCAAAAATCCAAAATTTGGATGTTATTGGGGTCACAGGAAACCAGGTATTTTTATACATTTCTGGCAACAATGGAAATTTGCACAATTCTACAGAGAACAATTTGAAGGTAGCTATCAAGTTTGCTAATGTATGTATTCTTTGACCTCATACTCCTACTTCTAGAAATTTATCCAGCAGATATGCTCCCATGCATGAGAAATAATGTTTGTACAAGCAAGGTTAATTTTTGCATGATATGTAATTGTTTGTAATTGCAGAAGACTGGAAACAACCAAAATGTTAAACAGAAGGTGACTGTTAAATTTTTTTTTCATCTACAGAATAAAGAAGTTCTTCATGTATATTTATGGGAAAATTGCTAAGGTGTAGTCTCAAGTCCTAAAAAAGCAAAGTTCAGGAAGTGTAAGTATGCCATCATTGTGCAAAGAAAAATAATAAAAACTTGTATGTGTGTATTGTGTGTAGATAGATAGGTATTTGCTTGTTGTGTTGGTCAAGATTCTCCAGAGAAACAGAACTGATAGGTGTAGATAGATTAATATAGAAATGGATTTGTTACGAGAGATTGGCTCACATGTTTATGGAGTCTGAGAAGTCCCATGATCTGCTTGTCTGCAAACTGGAGGCCCCGGGAACAATAGTGGTGTAGTTCCAGTCCAAGCCTGAAGGCTTGAGAACCAGGAGAGCCAATGGTCTAAGTCCCAGTCTGAGTCCAAATACCAGAGAATCAGGAAAAGTAATGTCCAAGGGCAAGAACATTTGTATTTCCCAGTGTAAGAAGAGAGTAAATTTGCTCTACATTTGCCTTTTTGCTCTATTTGAGACCTCAACAGGGATAATGGCCACTCACATTGGTGAGGGTGATCATCTTTACTCAACCTACTGATTCAAATGCTAATGTCTTCTGGAAACACCCTCAGAGACACACCCAGAAATAATGTTTTGCCCAGCTATCTGGGCACTTCTTAGACAAGTCAAGTTGACACATAAAATTAACCATCACAGTTGTATATGCATGAAATATCTATGGAAGTAGGAACTTACTGCATAAGTAAGGAAAGAGACAGATGAGGAATGATTCTGTTACCGTGTAAAATGTGACATTACAAACAAAAGTACAAGGCCCCCACAAGGGCCTAGAGGAAAGAGTGACTCTTTGTAGGGCTTGGTAAACGAAGAGGTAAGTCTTTATCTGGAGGGGGATTCTTCAGACAAAGAGGAACGGAAGGGACACTCCAGGTCAAAAAAATGTGCAAAGGCTTGAAAGAGGCTGACGTGACATTTGATGCTCAGTAAGAAGTGCGATGTGTCCAGAATTTCAGGTGAACTGGAATGGAGTGGCAAGAGATGCGTCAGGTAAGGCTGAATTCCAAGCCAAGGGAGCAAGATGGGTGACAATGCTTGGGTGTCTCCCAAGGATATCAGGTGAATGACACCAGCCTCGCCATGGCAGAGCCATTGCTTTGAGCCATTGGGAATACAGCTGAAGTAGCCAGGGACAGCTTTGCACAAACTGAGTTAGCCTCACAACTCTAATCCTTCTCATGGATGCTCGGGTGATAACAACAGCCGGGTTTCTAGCACTGCCTCATCTAATCTACCCTCCATTTGGCTGACAATGTCATTTCTAAAGCAACATCCACCTACTGCTCTATTGTTCTCAGAATCAAGTCCAGTTTCCTTAGTGTGACACATAAGGCCTTTTGTAATCCGGTCCTGGCCTTGTCTCTCCCCAGCTTTATTTCTCTGAACTTAGTCCTCCAGCTATCCCATACTACTTGAGTCTGGCCAGAAAGTCTTATGCTATTCCATGCCTCCCTGCTTTTCTCCTGCCTAGGATGCCCCATCTCCACCTCCCCTTCCTTCTTGACTCATGGCTCAACATTTAAGACATAGCTCCCTCAGCGTTCCTCAAAGACCTATTCATTCCTACCTCTACCCTAGGCTGATTTCAGTGCCCCCTTCTCTCCTTCTAAACCATACTATATACATCTCTATTAGTCTTTTCTGATGCTGCTAATAAAGACATGCCCGAGACTGGGTAATTCATAAAGGAAAGAGGCTTCATTGACTTACAGTTCCACGTGGCTTGGGAGGCCTCAATCATGGCAGAAGGTGAATGAGGAGCAAAGTCACATCTTACATGGTGGCAGGCAAGAGAGAATGAGAGCCAAGCAAAAGGGAAAACCCCTTACAAAACCATCAGCTCTCATGAGACTTATTCACTACTACGAGAACAGTATGGGGGAAACTGCCCTCATGATTCAGTTATCTCCCACTGGGTCCCTCCCACAACATGTGAGAGTTATGGGAGCTACAATTCAAGATGAGATTTGGGTAGGGACACAGCAAAACCATATCAACATCCTTGGGAGAAGTGGGGAAAAAAATCAAGATTTTGGTGTCAGGGAGAGATTTTTCCCTCTCATTTGCTCTGCTTCTCTGTATCTTGGTGTCTTTCAGACAGCTACTTAACCTTGCTGTAGCTCCGTTTTCTTTTCTATGGAATAAGGATCATAATCTTGTTTTGCATGATTACCATGTGGATTAAATGGGGTTGTGTATCTAAAGCATGATTGACAATGTCTGCCTTGGCTGGAGTTGCCTACCACTGCAGGTATTATTGCAGGCATGTCTCTGCTGCTGTCATTATTATAGCATTTCTATTTTTTACATCAAAATTATCTGTTTATGTGCTCTGTATGTCTGCTTTTTCCCTTTGTCATGAAGGAACTACCTTCTGCAGTCTCTGCATGCCTATGCTCAGCACAGTGTGTATCTTGTACTAGGTGCCCAAATGATATTTATTGAAATCAACTATAAAATATTTAAAAATATTTCCTATGATATATATTACACATGGTTATAACAATGGTGGTGATGGCAATAAACATTTGCACAACTTTACAGTTTAACAAGGAAATTTGGCATATTTTAAAGCTATGTTCCTTGCTTCATTTTTCTTTACCAAAGAGCATCTTTATTTACCAATTCCTCCACTTAAAAAAAGAATGTGTTACTTACTGCATTCATTAATGTTCGTAAGGAATGTACCTGTGTGCTATTCTTTTGATGAATTTGACCTATAATTTGATTACATAAGAAAACATCTCTGCAGGGACTCCCTGAAGAAACAGGAAAGAGCACAGGAGATGAGGAACAAACACAGCCAATGGTGAGGCCCTCAGCAGGGAGCAAGGAGGGGGTGCTGTTGTTAATAAAAAAAGAAGAAAGAAGATTTTCATCTAAAATGAGAAAAGAGGAGAGAAAACAGCTGCATTTATGCAAGATGGTATGATTTGCTTCTATTCGTGGGCATAATGGGAAAAAATAACTTGAGCATTGGGGTTAAAATTGGGTTGAATTGAAAAGAAATCCAGCTGGATAAAACGGCAGATCTGAACGGAAATGTAAGGTATCCTTGAAATGGCATTAAAATGGTGAGGAAAACAGTCATATTTTAGGAGGGGTGATTGCTCTGTGACCCAGAGGAGCCTGGGCTATATTATTCATTTAAAGTTCTCCGGTTTCCAGCCTGTAAGAGTTCAGAGACTTGAGCTTCGCTGGGCTCAGTCTGCACTAGGTAAGTGTGGGGCTGAGCTGGCTCCACTGGCATTGTGGCAATCTATGGAAAGATACCTGTGCTTCTGATCCTAGTTGTGCAGTAGATCAGTATAAATTGAAGCCCCAGTCTACCTTCACCACCTCCTCTCTACCACTCAGCTTGTCATGACCTGCTCAGCAAATAGCTCCACAATTCCTATTTCTCCATCCTAGTTGTGCAGTAGATCAGTATAAATTGAAGCCCCAGTCTACCTTCACCACCTCCTCTCTACCACTCAGCTTGTCATGACCTGCTCAGCAAATAGCTCCACAATTCCTATTTCTCCATCCTAGTTGTGCAGTAGATCAGTATAAATTGAAGCCCCAGTCTACCTTCACCACCTCCTCTCTACCACTCAGCTTGTCATAACCTGCTCAGCAAATAGCTCCACAATTCCTAGGAGCTGTCCTTCAATGCTTTCCTCTCAACTCCCTTATCCAGTCTATCAACAAGTGCTCTCAATTCCACCTCCTAAATATGTCTCTAATCTGAATCCATTCCTCCTCTACTCTGAAGCCACTAGTCCAAGCCTTTGATATCTTTTACATTCTAATTAGTCTCTCTGCTTCTCCCCTATTGCCCTTTTCATACTCAGTCTCTTAATAGGAGCCAGAAGGTGTTCTTAAAATGGATCAGATTTTCAGTGGCTTGAAAAACCAACCCTCCCAAAATGGCTTAGCCAGCCCTGCATTATGTGGCCCATGCCTTCTGCTCCAGACCCTTTTCTTACCATTCTACAGTTCATCCACCACACTCTATACACTGGCCTTTGTTCAGGGTTTTCCCCTGGCCACGCATCTTCTATTATTCTGTGGGTAACAGGGCCCCCAAGGCTCACTTATGTCCCTCAAGCCTTATGGTTCATGTGCATACAACCCAGGTGTCTAACCTTGACCTCCAATGACCTGTCCCTTATCATATTCCCAACAGATGTGGTTACTTTGTCCAAAGCACTTGGCCTTCCCCCTTCATCTGGTCTGTGCTGGATTGGTGAAAAGAGACAAATCTAAACCATTTTTAAATCCCATTCCTTCCCCCTTTTAGAGGTTTAGCTGGCAGCTGGTACAGTGGGTCTGCTATCCTCTCTCCTGGAACAGATCCTGTATCAGGCACAGCCCAGCTTTGTCTAGGGGATAATGAGTGCTGGAAGATTGTGTATTCTGTGCTACTTCAAGACATATAACCTTCCCCCTCTGAAGCCCATTTCATATATATTGCAATGCATAGTTTCAGTGTCTTTCTGCCCCTTTTGCCAAATCACTAAGTTCATCTCATTCTCATCACTAGAAAATCAGCTCCAAGGGGGCAGGAACCCATCTGACACATTTACCTCCATATCCCCCTCCCCTCCTAACATGGTGTTCAAGAGCACCAATGCTGCACCCAATAGCCTGGGCAGAATCTTAGCCTAAAACTTTCTGCATGTTTTGAAAGAGATACATCAAATCTCTGTACCCCCTTCTTATTCTTTGTAAAATAGGAAAAGTAATAGAAATTACTTTCTACGTTTGGGTAGATTAAATGAGTTAACATACATCAAGCACTTAGAATAGTGCCAAACACTTGAAAGTTCTCACATAGGTTTGAATGATTCTTTTTATTGGTCTGTGATAGATGCTCATCAAATGTACTTTGAAAGAATGAATGAATGGACTCTGCAGGTATCAGCTTAAACATCATCTCTTTAGCGAGGTTTTCCAAGAAATCCAAGCTATAGTAGGTTCTTTTCTACAAGGGCACATTACTCCAGTTTGGCCTTCTCTTCTTTGTCTCGCTCTCAGGATCTCTCTCTCTCTCTGACTAGACATGATCACTCTGAAGGCAGCCTGTGTTTGCTTCATGGACACATTTTTCCAGCAAGTGCTTAGCACATGAAGTTGCCCAGGGTTAAGTACTGAATGAAAGAAACATAACTGGAAGACCGAAAGGTTTCTGGAGTGTCTTAGTAGTTGTGTGTGTCCAAGGAATGCAGGACATCAGAGGTCAAGGTTGGATATCCTCAGATCTTATGCACATGGACCAGAAGACTTTGGGGATCCAAGTGCAATTAGATAAGGGAGCTCTGGGGACCCAGATGCCAGTGACTAATGGGATCAAATTTGCAAATCCACACATACACACTTAAAATCAGAATGGTGCCAAATATAGCCAATATAGTCATGGTCTTTGGAGTCAAAACTGGTCATAAATTCATGGCCCTACTGGCCATGTGACCTAGGCAAATGCCTTAACATCTTTGAGTCTCAGTTTCCCTATCGATGTAATAGGGATAATTATCATTCAATTCATAGGATTATTGTGAGAATTAAATGACAGAATGTGTAAAACTTGCTTATGATTTATAGTATTGAATTATGTCTATTCAGCTCCCCACTAGATCATCACTAAAATGAAAGTAAAGGAATGAAAGAGGAGAGGTAGGAGAGGAAAAAACAATCTGTGAGAAATAACAACATATATCAGAAGCTGGAAAGTGCATGGAGTAGAGCTCAGTGACACAACAGAGCAGAAAAAGCAGAAGCAGAGAGGAATGAGCGTACAAAGCAAGTCTGAATTTACCCTGGAGAACCCCACAAAGGCTTGAAACTTGGAAACATCATGAACTGCTGGGCCAGAGGTGAGGATCCAGATGAAAATCAAAAGAATTAACTGAAAGTCTGAACTAGAACAGTAAGACTTCTGGATGTCTCCACCTCTCGCTGCCCAAAGACAGCTCCTTTCCTCTCCTCCACAGAGACCAGAGGTTTAGTCTCAAACACTGAGGGTACCAGTGAGAAGGGAGTGGAGGAGTGAGGCATCAGGTTGAAATCAGAGTGGTTAGGGGAGAGTCTAGACTGAATAGTCAGACACTGCCTACCTGCTTCAGTTCCTGACTTGTGTCTAGAACTTCATTAGCCAGGGGTATTCCATCCTTTGTCCACTAACACACACAGGAGATCAGAAAATTCTTCTATGGAGAAATGGAATTGCAGAAAACTGCTACAGATATTGGCATCCTGACCATGTACTGGCCTCCCCAATTAAAAACCCAATTTGGCTGGGCACAGTGGCTCACGCCTATAACCCCAACACTTTGGGAAGCCGAGGCAGGCGGATCACCTGAGGTCAGGAGTTTGAAACCAGCCTGGTCAACATGGTGAAACCCTGTCTCTACTAAAAATACAAAAATTAGCCAGGGGTGGTGGTGCACACCTGTAATCCTAGCTACTCGGGAGGCTGAGGCAGGAGAATCACTTGAAACTGGGAGACGGAGGTTGCAGTGAGCTGAGATCGGCCATTGCACTCCAGCCTGGGAAACAGAGTGAGACTCTTGTCTCAAAATAAATAAATAAATAAATAAATAAATAGAAAGGAAAAACCCAATTTGCCTCCAAACTACCCTGCAGTGAGGCTTTCTACTCTTATTTTAGTGACCCATTCTCAAATATGAAGTATCACTAGATACCTGAGAAATGAGTGAAAAACACCAGATAAAAAGGAACTCAGAAGAAACAAAGGCAATAGAGAAAGCAAAAAAAATTTAAACTTTTTCTGTTAATACCTTTAGATACATAAGGCAAGATCTTGAGTGTATGAAAAAGAATAAGATTACATAACAAGGAGTAATAAGGAAAAAAAACACTTTTCAATTTTAAAAATATAATAAATGAAATGAAAAATTAATGAGAAAGATTGGTAGAAATATCAAGAAAACCTTTCAGAAACTAGAGTAAAAATCAAATAGGTGAACATTAGGATAGAAAAATAAGAAAAATTAGAAAACTAATCTAGGGAGTCTAATATCTAGCTAACAGGGACTTTGGAAAGAATAAAGAGAATAATATTGAGAGAAAATTTTCAAAGAAATAATACAGAGAAATTCCTCAGAACAGTAACACATTACTTTTCAGGTTGAGAGGGCCTACCCAATCCCCAAAACAGTGAATAAAAATAGATTTACAGAAATTTTAGACTACCAGTGAAAATAAGAACCAAAGATTTCACATAAAAATACAAGTCAGTACAAGGAAACTAGATTAAGGATGGCATTAGAAAATAGAATAAATACGCTATATGCCAGAAAACAAAGAAAAATGTCTTTAAAATTTTGAGTGAAAATTATTTTCAACATATAATTCTCTAATAAGTCACCTTTCAATTAAGCCCGAGTGTAAAATAAAGCCATTTTCAGATAGAAAAGAACTTAGCATTTTTAATCTCCTACATATTCATTTTTAGGAAGCTTTTGGAAGATATATTTCAGCAAAACAAGGGAATAAGCTAAGACATAGAAGTAGAAAAATCCAGAATCCAGGGAACAGGAAAGCCAACAGAGAGGCAGTGAAGGAAAGTTCCAGATTGCGACCACAGAGCAGTCCTAGAGAGTCATCCAGTCTATGTTCGCATTTTCAGCCACAGCATGGGAAGTGGGAAGCCAGGCAGAGCTCAGTAGATTCTAGGAGCTGAAGAAACAGAGCTGGGAGGCTGGAGAAGCCAAGACAGATAATAAAATTCACAGGGTAGAGTACCAAAGAGAAACGTGTTGCAGAGAGAACTCCAGAGATTTACAGAGGATCTTTCTCAAGTATATAGATGAGTACTGATGCATCTCTGTAATACAATGCATGCCTATGAGGAAACTGTTCAAGATCAGAGGAAGAACCACCTCAAAGGATTAGAGGGAACAGTATTCAGAACTTATGCAGGGCTGGAAATAGTGTCTGTGCCCAACAGCCGAGGTGGAAAACCTTGTAATTCACAAGACATTCATGAATAATGGTCTTGCCTCAGTAGTGGAGAGCAACTAAACCTACCTAGCACCCAATCAAAAATTATCAAGCATACAAAAAAGCAAGAAAAGATTACCTTAATTAGGAAAAACATCTGTCAATTGAAACTGACCCAGAAATAACACAGATGATAGAATTAATAGACAAAACACTAAAAGTTATTACATCTGTATTCCATATATTTAATAAGTTAGCGGAAAGACTGAACACGTTAAGTAGAGACCTAGAAGAGATTTTAAAAAGACTCCAATAAAAATTCTAGAGATGAAAATTACATCTAAGATGAAAAGTACACCGAATAGGATTAACAGCACATTAAACATTGTACAAATCTTACTGAAACATTACTTTGATTATGGAGTAGCTACAAAGTATTTTTAAAGTTCTAAAGGAAGCAGTGCTCTTATCTTAATTCTCATTTATAATCAACGCTGGACTTTCCTATGGACAGTACCTGTGAGTTAATTAAGAAATCACCTGGCATTGATGTTGAGAAACCTGGCATGTCCTTCATCAAAATAGATTCTTTTCAAGCCATAGAGGGTAAGTGCTGCCTGTTTAATGATACTGAGTGGTTGACTCCTTAGCTTGTCATGACTACATCCCTTTCCCAAACACATACATGCCATGTTTTTAACCTCTTGTGCTATAAATAAGAGTCTAATGGGAAAAGCCCAGGATTTTGAGGCCTGGTTTACCATATTGTTCAATCAATCTTGAATGTGTTCTAGGCATGCTGTGAGGTGCCAGTGACTCAGTGATATATAAGACACAGCACCTGTCTTTATAATGCTCAAAATTTAATGGCAAGAGACAGATGAGGAAATGTGCAATTATGATACAGCATGATATGGTTATGATGGGAAGGAACTGGGTATTAATGAAAGCATACACAATGGTATTTAAATTTGGAAGCTAGAGAAGTTTTGGCGGAAATGAGGTCTTTTATGAACCTCAAAATATGAGCAGGAGTTTATCCAGTGAAGAGTTGGAACATAGGTCAAGCAAAGGCCCAGAGCCAAGAAAAGGTAAGGTATATTTCAGAAACTGCAAGCAACTCAGCATGGTTAGAAAGCTTGAGGACTGGTCTTGGTGAGAGAGAAGGCTGGGGAGGCTTGATTTGGATGTTGTCCCAAGGGAAAAAAAGGAATGGAAGGAATTTATAATGTTATCACATTTACTTTAAAGAATGTTGACTCAGAATAAGATGTCAGAGTTGAAGAGAAGGCAGATGCAATAATCCCAGTGAGATGAATGTTAAATGGCATGAGGCAAAGGCTGCCAGGATGGAGAGAAATGGATACTTTCAAGAGAAATGTAGGAGCTCAATTCAACAAAATGTCCTCAGTTAATGATAGGGCGCATGAAAGAACGAGAAGCCTTAGGTCATTTTTGGCTTGAGTAACTGTAAGCCCCCATCCCTGAGTCACTCTAACAAGCTTTCTTTCCTGAATGCCCACCTGACTGCTGGCTGCTACTTGTAAAGTCCCCTAGTCCCTGTGTGGGCTAGTGTCTGTTTGAATTCACATTCTTGGAGCTCACCTCAATCCCCAGTGTTACCTGGCAACAACTGTGCATTTTTTGAGTCAGCTCTCATTCTACTTCTCTGGAGTGCTTCAAACCTCCCACCCTCCTTAAAACTCCCATCCAATCACTCATCATTCCCTTTTCAGTCCACAGACTTGCCTTCTATTTCACTAAAAACAATCAAAGCCAACCAAACCAAATGATGCTTGTTACCCTCTCACCCCCTATATACTAACTTATCTTTACAGCTTTCCCTTGACATGCAGAGAAAAATGTGCCCTATGCACTGTCAGCATAATTTCTCTGCCTGTGCACTAGATCACCTCCCTTTTCATTTCTTCAGTCACCTGGCTTTGGGGCTGTATCAATTATCTCCTCCCTCTGTACTTCCCCTACTCTTCAGTTTCCTTCCCACCAACATCTAAATATTCCCAAACCTCTGCCATCTTGGAAAGTCCTCCCTTGAGTCTTTCAGGCTTGCGTGGCTCTTTCTTTTCTGTTCTAGTTTGCCTAAGACCTAGCCACCCTTTCTCTCACCATGTCTGACTTTCCCATTGATTCCTCAGCCTTCAGAGGCCACCTGTGGGCTAAACCTAGTGCATTTCTTTTTAGCTTTGATGTTACTTTTCTTATTTCAGCAGCACTTAACGTGATTGAAACCATCGGACACATTCTTCAAATTCTTTCTTCCCCTCACTGGTCCTTCCATTCCCTTTTGCCTATTCCTCTCCCTTTGCTGGAATGTAATAAATTCATATTACCTGCAGTTTTATATTCAGGTCATTTTATTTTCTACTTAAAGGATTTTAACCAATATTTGGCTTTCTATTTTTTACATAATAAATGTGTGAATATATCTCTTTATAAACCATTCATTGTTTTTGGATAAAGCCAAAGTTCCCCTAAAATACCACCCTTCATCCCTTTCTATATTGCAGAGGTAACTGTGTTTATCTTTTGGTGAAGTTCACTCCTGAGTTTGTTATCTCAGCCTTTACATACACACCTATGAGGGGTCTTCAAAATGTTCATAGAAAATGCATATTATGAACAAACTATGCATGGTTTTCACTTTTTTTTGCACCAAAATAAACTCATACTAATGTGTTATACTGTGTCTGAACAGAATCTAGTTTAAGGCACTAAGAAGGACAATATATCAGTTTGAAAAGAATCCTTATCAGAACAACATGAATTCTGCTAAAATTGAAGCAAGAACAAACATCAAATTTATGGTGAAACTAGGGTGGAAAATTGATAAAAATCATTGATGCTTTATGAAAATTTATGAGGATAATGCCCCATATTATTCAGCAGTTTACAAATGAATAATTTGTCTTAACAAGGAATAAATCCAGTGTTGAAGATGAAGCCCGCAGTAGCAGGCCATTCACATCAACTTGCAAGGAAAAAATTCACCTTGTTTGTGCTTTAATTGAAGAGGACTGATGATTAACAGCAGAAACAAGAGCCAACATCACAGACATCTCAAATGGTTCAGCTTACACAATTCTGAATGAAAAATTAAAGTTTAACAAACTTTCCACTTGTTGAGTTCCAAAACCATTGTGTCCACCAAATCATCTGCAGACAAAAAAAAGTTTTCAATGAAAATTTTAAACAAGTAGGATCAAGATCCTGAAGCATTTTTTAAGAAGAATTGTAACAGAAAATGAAACAATGCTTACCAATATTATCCTGAAGACAAGACATAATCAGAGCAATGGTTACTAAGACATAGAAGTGGCCCAGTCAAAGCAAAAGGGAACCAGCCAAGAGCAGAGGTCATGGTAACAATTTTGGGGGATTGTCAAGGCATTTTGCTTGCTGATTTTTCTGGAAGGCCAATAAATGATAACATCTGCTTATTATGAGAGTGTTGAGAAAGTTAACTAAAGCTTGAGCAGAAAAAAACAAAAAAGTCTGGGAAAGCATTACTAGAGAGTCCTATTCCACCATGACAATGCTCCTGCTCACTCCTTTCATCAAACAAGGGAAACTTTGGGAGCATTTCAGTGGGAAATTATTAGGCATTCACCTTACAGGTGTTATTTGGTGTCTTCTGACTTCTTTTTGCTGTCTAACCTTAAAAAAAATCTGTAAGGGGCACCCACTTTTCTTCAGTTACCTCATGTCAAGATCCTTAATTTAATCGACTGATCAGTCCCTTTTGCCACATGAGGTAACATATTCACATTCTCTTCCTTTCTGCAAATACTTACGGAATGCCACTATGTACTTGGCACTATACTAGACACTTGGGATATAGAAGTTAACAGTGACAATTGGTAAGAAAGACCCCTAGCACCTCTAAAGGAATATAAAACATGATATTTCATATAATTACACATAAAAATCACATAAAAACATAAATTTCACGTTCTGCTTCAGAATACTAATGTGATAGTTTATAATCTAAAAAAGGTTGCATAGACATGGCTAAATTTTCAGGACCCTCAGTTCTTTAGGGATGAACTAAATGGCTGAAATCATAGCTTACAAAATTGTCTTGACTTTGATGTGAAATAAAACTTACATATTTTATTTTTATCTTTTAGTTCCACTTTCCGTAAACTTTTTGAAGTCCTCTAGTATCTGCAATCTTTAGAGCCTTCCTCTACCCCAGAGGTCACCACTGTTTTGGTTTCATAGAAATGGTACCAGATCTTTTCCCATGCATTTATAGACCTGTATAAATCCATGGGTATTTAGTTTAGTTTTGTGGAGGTTTAAAAAAACTTACATAATTTATTTTTGCAAATTGTCTTAAAAACAATGACAATGTGTCTTGAAAAATGTTTCCCTGTTACTACTAATGGGCCAATCACATTCTTTTAACATACAACAAAGTGTTCTATGGGTACTGTATTAGCTTCCTATTGCTGTCATAACAAATTACCACAAACGTAGTGGTTTAAAGCAATACAGATTTATTTATTTATTTATTTTAAAACATTTATTTCTGGTTCAGGGGTACAAGTGAAGGTTTGTTACACAGGTAAACTCATGTCATGGGGGTTTAAAATTTATGGTTCAGAGGTCAGAAGCTGAAAATGGGTTTCACCGGGATAAAATTAAGGTATGTGCAGGGGTGCACTCCTTCTGGAGAGAGTGTTTCCCCTTTTCATGGATAAAGATCCTTGAGATTACATTCAACCCATCTGTATAATCCAGGATAATCTCTCATGTCAAGATCCTTAATTTAATCAACTGCTCAGTCCCTTTTGCCACGTGAGGTAACATAGTCACAGATTCCAGGAATTACAATGTGGACTTCTTCTGCATACCTCAGGCCCCATAGTCTGTAGCTGTTTTCCTTTTTTTTCTTTCTGCATGCTCCTTGGTGACCTTTCTCATTCTCCTGGATGATGCTACATTTCTACCTTCAACGCCAGTTACAGCTATTTATTGAGTCTATCTGCCCTCTGAGATCCCACAGGCTCTGGAACCGTGCCGTTTGTCTTCTTCAGGCCTTTGCACATTTGCTCTCTTGGTTTGAGGACTTTTCCCTCCTTTCAAGTCACATTATCTTCTTTGTCCTTCAAGACTCAAGGTGTTAGCATCCTTCCCCAGGATGTTTTCTTTCCAGATCAGTTCATACCTTCCAGAACTATGCCTATTGCAGTTTTCATCCTGTATTCTAAATGCCTGTGTTTTACCTGTCAACTTTCTGGGTTTATCTATTATTTCTTGTAACCCTAGTGCTTGGACCAAAAGTAGACATTTAATCAATGTTTGTTGAATATATGAGGTCAGAAAAAGCAGTCCTGAGGGCAACCGTTTGCTTTGAAATCTCTCTTAAAGTTGCAGCTACCTCTAGATTTCCAACCCACGAACTTCTAACATTCTCCAACTGGTACAGTTTAGGAAAAGGGGGCTGCAAGTGTGACTTCATGCCAACCCTCCAGGGGTTGTCTGAAGAGCTCAGTTTGTATCAGGTGTCTCTGCATGCAGCTACTTTAGGTCCTGGCAACCTTCCCTTCCTCTTGCCCATTCAGGAAGAAAGGTGAACTGCTCCTCTCTGTCATTAGTCCCAGGGTCCTATGCTTGTTCTCATTAGCTTTTCTATTCCTGCCCATTCCTTTGAGGTATTCCCTTTACTTTCTTCTCCGTAACTTATCCATCTTGAACATGCTCTCTGTTTCCTGCCAGATCCCTGACTAACAGGGGCAGTGGTCATATCTAATCTGTAACCAGATCCTCAATAGTTCAAACCAAGCCTGTATCTCAGCACTCAGTTGATGCTGATGGAATGAATATTGAATATTCTGTAATAAACTTACTAAATTTTGTAATGTCA
The DNA here is from genome assembly GCF_000001405.40 of Homo sapiens. Classification (NCBI taxonomy): domain Eukaryota; kingdom Metazoa; phylum Chordata; class Mammalia; order Primates; family Hominidae; genus Homo; species Homo sapiens. The sequence continues at coordinate 16,333,945 of NC_000004.12, forward strand.
TAGTGTAATCGTGAAGTGTTATAACTGGACCTGACTTTTGATATTTTCCAGCCAAGACCCATCATTTTACCTAAGCGAATTTTAGTTTGGAAATTGTGATGGAAGAGAGAGTGTGCAATAATGGGTAGAGGAAAGATTTCAGAGTCATGTAGACTTGGGTTTGGATCAGAGGTGCCACTGGGCATACTCAGTTTTGTCAATTGCTAAATGAAGACAATATTACATCACTGGGTTGTTGAGAAGATTAAATGAGCTGATGCACCTGAGTTCCCTGGTATAGAACCCAGATGTCCTGGTTTCCATTCCAGGGTGCACGCCACCATTTGGCCAACCAAACTGAGCTGAATATGTGATAGTTTAGTATATAGGAAGGACTTCATGTGGCCCTACTCCTGGTGTGTACGTCCATGTTGCTAAACCAGTGATAAGAGATGAAGGAGTTCTTACAGCCGGCTCCCAGCTGACTCTTCCAGACCATATTTTGACATTTATGTTTTCTTCTCTTTCATTCTGTCGTTATACTTATTTTTGTAGCTACAAATTTTTATATTTAAATTCACAGTCTTAGAAGATAGAAAAGGTGAAAAAAAGTTGTTCAAGGGGATTCCACACTTGTTCTCCAGAACATTATTTTCTAACTCCACGTCTCTTCCTGCATAAGTTCTTCCAGGGTGGGTGCTCTATGAAACAAGCTTCCTATTTAGCTAAGCCTCAGGCAAGCTCATACTCTTTTTTTCTAAGGGATAGAATGTGTGGGTCTGCAGTCCTATTCCAGCAAGTCTCTTGATACAGCAAACATTTCCTGAAGTCCTATTTCCTTCCAAGTATTTTGAAGCTTGCAAACGCAGATATAATGAATGGAGCCTTTAGAGTGAACAATCACTCAACAGCATAAGTTATTTTAATGGGCCCATCACTTGAAACTAAACTTCCGCCATCTGTTCTACCCTTTAACTGCAAATGCAAAAAGAACACCATTCCCAGTGGCATCATAAAAAGTTAGATATAAGTGATTTAAATGCATGTTTTGGTTTTGTATTCATTGCAATATACATCTGAAGGAAGGCTCATATTGGATTTATTTTTTATGGCAAAATCAAAATTCAGAGTGGAGGAGCTTCTCTGTTAACAGTTGAGTACCTTTAGAGTTGGCATGGAATATGTTCTACCATGTTATTCATTCATTCATTCGTTCATTCATCTTTCTTTCTGCAAATACTTATGGAATGCCACCACGTACTTGGCACTGTATGGACACTTGGGATATAGAAGTTAACAGTGACAATTGGTAAGACCCCTAGCACCTCTAAACGTAAGTAAAACAGGACATTTCATATAAACACACACAAAAATCACATAAAAACATAAATTTCATGTTCTCCTTCAGAATACTAATGTGAAGGAATAAGAAAAAGTTTGCAATCAGTCAGATCTTGATTTAAAATTCCCAACTGCTCCACAACGTAACCTGAGACTGTTTCCTTATTTAACAATGATTTACATATCAAACTTTGTCTCCTCATCTGGAAAATGGGAGTAATAATATCTCCCTCTTGAGTCTGTTGCCATTGAATAGGTTGTATACACAAAGCTGTTAGCTCAGGGCTTGGCTCATAGTTGGTGCTATATGATAATTCTCCTTCTGTTTTCTAAATAGCATTTTTTATGGATTTGGGGAAATTACATCTTAGAGTAATATTTCCCCTTTACTACGTAAAATAATACACTCATAGAACAGCAGAGTAGAAAAGAATCTAAGAAATATTCAGCTTTCAGCCTGGGCAACATGGCGAGACCCTGTATCTACTAAAAATACAAAAAAAATAGCCAGGCATGGTGGTGTGCACCTGTGGTCCAAGCTACTAGGGAGGCGAGGTGGGAGGAGTGCTTGAGCCCGGGGGGCAGAGGTTGCAGTGAGCTGAGATCATGCCACTGCACTCCAGCTAATGTGACAAAGAGAGACCCTGTCTCAAAAAAAAAAAAAAAAAAAAAAGAAGGAAAATTCAGCTTTAACTTAATATTCCTTATTGTATAGATACATTTCATTCCAGAGAGAATTAGCAGCTAAAGTCTCGCAGTATGCAATGGTTTCTAAAGCATTTTGGTTGTGTACCTATAAATAAAAAAATTTTAAGCATGCACTTCATATATATATATATATATATATATATATATATATATATGTATTTAGAATCATGGATAGCTATATTAACATATTATAGGCCGGGTACAGTGGCTCACTCCTGTAATCCTAGCCCTTTGGGAGGCTGAGGCAGGCAGATCACCTGAGGTTGGGAGTTCGAGACCAGCCTGACCAACATGGAGAAACCCTGTCTCTACTAAAAATACAAAATTAGCCGGGCATGGTGGTGCATGCCTGTAATCCCAGCTATTCGGGAGGGTGAGGCAGGAGAATCGCATGAACCTGGGAGGCGGAGGTTGCGGTGAGCCGAGATCGTGCCCGGGCAGCAAGAGCAAAAGAAACTCCATCTCAAAAAAAAAAAAAAAACAAAAAACACAAAAACAAACAAACAAAAAATGACCAAAAAAACCATATTACGTACATTACTATATATAATATAAATAAAAAAGAATGAGATAATACAAACAATATTTATTGTCTCACTGGTCTTAGTGGCTTCATACTATGCTTAAGGCATGCGTATTGGTCTCTGGAGGCACACTGCATGCTTGGATGAAGTTTATTATTAACATTAATATATAATTTCACAGTCAAACACTTTTTGAAAATACATTGAAGAAATTTTTAACTGATTGCATTATTTCTATCTTGTGATGGGGCTGACCAAGAACTCATACCAGGAGGAGAAGCATCAACTCTGCCATTTTCTTGTTTTCTTCCTGTATTATGCTCAACCCACCATTTCTTTGCAGGGATATTTTCAGCCACTTCTCCATTTCGTGATGATTAGTATGATTAGAACTGGACAATAAAATGCATATCCACTTAACCAGGTGCATGTTAATATACTGACAGTGAACAGATGTGTGAGGGAGCTGCAGCTGTCCCTTCCCTTCATGGAACTTGTCCTTGAGAGCACTCTTTGCACATTATGTGGCATGTGACCCTCTCACATAACAACCAAAGGTGGGTGAGAGTATCAATATGTATGTAAAACATTAGTAAAGCTCTTATTATTTCTCAAGGATGAATAGTTAAATAGTTTTTCTTAATATTTTCTTTTCACTGTTCCCAAAATGGCCATGCTCACCTCATACTGAAGGACACTGAATTGCTGGAAATGGAAGGACTAGAGTCTATTGATTTCAGCTAATGTTTTTTCCTCAGAAAATATAATTGTAAGGAAATACAAAAAAATTTTATTTCTTTGTAGTCTAACTTGTTCAGAAAAGTGTGCATACCAAAGTGCACAACTTCATGAAGCTTCCTAAAGTGAATCCACCCCATGACCATCATGAAGATCAAAAAATAGAACCTTCCCAGCACCCACTGTGGTTGTGTGCTTCCATCTTCCCCCACATAACTCCCGTCCTGACTTCTAAATCCACAGATTAATTTGCTTGTTTTTCTAATTTTATACATAAGGAATCATACAATGGAAATTATTTTGAATCTGGATTTCTTTTGTGTAACATAGTATTTGTGAGATTTATCTGTGTTGGTAGGTGTAGTGTGGTTCTTTCATTTGTTTTGTTTTTGTTATATAGTATTTTATTGTTTGAGCATATAATTGTATATGTATCCATTCTAGGGTTGATGAATATTTGAGTTATTTTTATTGTATGGTATTATGAATAATGCTCCAGTAAGGCTCATACATTTGGGGTGTGCATGTGTGTGTATATACATATATACATGTATATATATGTATATATATACACATATATATACATATATATACATGTATATACACACACATTTTAATTGGATATATACATGTATGTCCATTTAAATATATACTTAAAATATGTTTTTATATAATTATACTTATATATAATTATAAATATGTATTATAAATATATATAAATATAATTATATATATAAACAGTGGATTTGCTGAGTCATAGATTGGATATATATTGAGGTTTACCAGGTAGAGTAGAGCACATATGAATCAACCATTGTCACAATAATGGCATGAAGTTAACCACATCAAAATGAGCAACATATAACAATGAGCATTTATTACTCACCCGTCTGTGGGCTGGCTGGGATGCTGCTGATTTAAGTTGGGCTTACTCTGGCTTTGTTTGGGTGTCTCTCATCTTTCTCGGACCAGTGGCTTCTCTGGTAGTACATTCTTTTCACAGCAAGAGGCTGGAACCAAGATGGCTTGCCTAACTGCAAAAGCATAGTTCAAGCCTCTGCTCACATGTTGTCCACCAATATCCTCAGTGCAATGCAAGTCACACCCAAGGGATGGGGAAAAATCATGCCACCCACCATGCGGTCTTTGTTAGTGTGTGAATATATAATTCTATTACAGAGAAATGAGGAAATTCGCATCAATAATTAAATTGGTCAAATAGTTATTTAAAGTGTGCCAATTTACACTGCCAGCAGTGGTTCTTAAAGTTCCCATTACTCTACATCTTCAACATTTGGCATTTTCAGTCTTTTTAAAGATAGTCATTCAATACCATGGTTTTAACTTATAGTTACCTAATGATTAATAAGGTTGAATACCTTTTCATATGTTTATTACCTTTTCTAAATGGCTTGCCCAAGATTTTTACCCATTTAAAAAATTAGGTTGCCAATCTTTTCCTTATTGATTCATGGAATATATTCTGAATAGGAATTCTTTGTCAGTTATATCTTTCCCCACTCTGTGTCTTGCGTTTTCACTGTTCTAATTGTGTTTTGGATGAATATACACTTTTTATTTTGAATGTAGCCCAATTATCAATCTTTCCCTTTATGATGAATGCCTTTTATGTCCTCTTTAAGAAGTCCTGGTCTACCCTGAAGCCATGAAGATATTTTCTCATGTTTTCCTTCAAGAGCTTTATTGTTCTTTACATATTTAGATATGCAATCTCTCTGGAATTGGTTTTTATGCATTTTATAAGGTAATGATTCAGATTCATATGGATGTCTAATTGACCCAGTATCATTTATTGAAAGATCATCTTTTCGCTACTGCAGTGCGGGGACACTCTCATATGAAATGACCATTATGTGTTACCCATCCCTGAACTCTTCTTTACATTCCATTGACCTATTTGTCTATTTTTATGTCAATATTACACTCTCTTGATTACTGTAGCTTCATGATACATCTTGACAATTGAGACCATGAACCTTCTAGCTTTGTTCTTCTTCAAGATTGTTTTCACTTTTCTTGACCCTGTATTTTCATTAAAAATGTTTAAACCCGCTTGTCAATTTTTACAGCAGTCCTTCTGGGATATTGATTAAAATTATAATGATTAACTTGTGGAGAATCGATAATTACAACTTCTTTCAGTCTATAAGCATGAAATATTCCTCCATTTTTTAAGGTATTTAAAATGTTTTACTCAATAGGTTTCTATCTCTCTCTCTCTCTCTCTCTCTCTCTATATATATATATATACACACACACATATATACTTTTTATTTTTATTTATTTTATTTATTATATATAGAGGTATATATAAATATATATTTTTATAGTTATATATATTTATAGTTATAAGTTTTTATGCTACAGTAAAAGATGTCTTTTTAAATTTCATTTTCTAGTAGTTTTTTTGTTAGTATATAGAAATAAAATTAATTTTATATTGTTTCTATCTGGTGGCTTTCCCAAATTTACTAACAAATTCTATCTTACCTGTATTTTTTCAGATTTTTCTATACATACAATAATGTTATCTGCAAATAATAACAACTTTGTTTTTTCCAATTCTTATACCTTTTAGTTCTTTATCTTGCATTATTACTTTGAATATATTAGTATATATTGAAATAAAATACTTTCTGAAGTTCTTTCTGTAGGTGCCCTTAATCAAATTTAACCCGGTCCTTTCTAGTCTTAGTTTACTCAAAGTTTTTAATAGGAAATTTTATCCATTTTTTTGCATTATTAACATGTTTGTGTAATTTTTTATGTTATTCTATTAATATGGTGGATTATAATCCATTGATGTTTGAACATTAAGTTAACCTCATGTTCCTGAAATAAGCACAATGTGGTCATAATAATTCTTTTCATGTGTTGCTTAATTTGTTTTGCAAATATTTTGTTTGGTGTTTTATTTATTTATGTTCATGTGAATTATTGGTCTCTAGTATTTTTCTTGCAATATCATTGTCAAGTTTTGATTTCAAAGATGTACTGGCCTTATGTGTAATATGACTTGAAAAGGGAACTGGCTTTGTCCATACTCTGAAAAAATTTGTGTAATATTGGTGTTATTTCTTCCTTAAAGTGTTTGGAAGAGTTCACCAGTGATGTATCTTGGTATGGAATTTTCTTTATGGAAAACTTTACTTAGTTCAGTATCTTTAATACTTATATACATATTCAAATTACTTTTTCTTGTTTAGCTTTGGTAAGTTGTTTTATAATAAATCACCTATTTAACCTACATTTCCAAATTTATGGGTATAAATTTATCATTTTATTAATTTGAGTGTCTATAGAATTTGTAGTTATGTCCTATTTTTCACTGATGGTATTACTTTTTTGCAGCTTATTTTTTTCTTGATGTGTTTTACAATGGATTTGTCAATTGTATTAACTTTTCAAGTATCAGCTTTTAGATTTATTGATTCTTTTTATTGTACATTTATGTTGTATTGCAGTAATTTAGAATTTCATCTTCATTATTTTCTTCTTGACATGTTTTTCCTGTCATCATCTTGTATCATGACTTCAAGCCTGTCTTCCTATCTGCTAGGTTTAATTGAGGCTATATGTTTAACTATGAGCGTGATTTTAACTACATCCCATATGTTTTGATATCTTGCATTTTTATTATCATTCAGTTCAAATTATTATTTAATTTCCATTTTGACTTTTTCTTTCACTTATGGGTTATTCGAGAGTGTAAAGCTTAAACTGAAGATATTTGGAGCTTTTCCAGTTAGCTTATGCCATTAATACTGTTCTTGCTTAATTTCATTGTAATCAAAGGATATATTCTCATTTAAGTCATTTAGAATTTGTTGAGACTTACTTTATGGTCCAACGTATGGCTGGTTTTGACAACTCCTATATGTCCTACGTACCCCAAAATAATATGCTTTCTGCAGGTTATGAATGCATTTTCCTATATAAGTTAATTAGATTCACTATTGCATACGTGTTCAAATCTTACATTTCCTTAGTTTTGTTTATGATGCCATATTCCACTGATTACTGATAGAAGTATCGCAAAATTTCCCACTATAATTGTGGCTTCATATGTTTCTCCTTTGAATTTGGGTCATTTTTTGCTTTATATATTGTGAAGCTGTGTTATTTTGTGCATAAAAATTTAGATTAAAAATATTTTCCTGTAGATTGACTCTCTTATAATTACAATATCCCTTTTATTAAAATTTGTTTTTATTTTTTATTTTTAGATATTGGGTCTCTTTATGTTGCCCAGGCTTGTCTCAAACTCCTGGACTCAAGCAATCCTTCTGCCATGGCCTCTCAAAGTGCTGTGATTATAGGTGTGAGCCACTGCACCCAGCCTTCCCTTTTTTTCTCTAATAATATTCCTTGCCTTAAATTCTATTTTGTTTCATATTAGTTGGATGTTATACATTTTCCATTGTTTTACTTTTCTATATTCTTCTATGTAAGGAATATCTCTTGAAAGTATCATAGAGTTGGTATTTCTATTTTTTCCCATCTGGCAATCTTTGGCTTTTAATTACTTACTTTGTTGACATTTTATGTAATTACAAATATATTTGGGTTTAAATCTATCATCTTACTACCTTTTAAAAACGTATTTCACTTTTTTCATGTTTGGTCACCCTAATTTCTTGCCTTCTTTTGGATTTTTTAAATTATTTCAATTTCTTCTACTATTTGTTTGTTACTTTTACTTTTTTCTAAGTCTGGATTCCCAAGAAATACAGCCAGAGATGAGGATCCGTGTTCAGGTTATTTACTGCAGGGATGCTCTCAGGAGAAGAAGAGTAAAGAAAGCAGAATAGGTCAGGGAAGAAACTCAAGCAAGAGTGGCTTTCTGCTACAGACTAGCTTCAATATAATCTTTTTTTAAAATTTTATTATTATTATACTTAAAGTTTTAGGGTACGTGTGCACAACGTGCAGGTTTGTTACATATGTATACATGTGCCATGCTGGTGTGCTGCACCCAGTAATTCGTCATTTAGCATTAAGTATATCTTTCAATATAATCTAAGGGGAATCTCTGGAGCACAAATTGCACCACAGAGTTAGTCCTCCTTGAAAGAAGGGGGCTTTTTGTACTCCTGTCAGTCAAACATTATTCAAGTTCTGTTGTGGTGGCTGGGGAAAGAATGAGGGTATATAGCCCGCATTTCCTTGCTTTTTTAATCAGGTTAATTTTTAAAATGTTTGCTCACCATTTGTGATTTTTCTCCTGTGAAAAGCTTGTTCATACATATTGTCCATTTATCTATTGGATTGCTGGTCTTTTTCTGTATTTCTTTATATATTCTGGATATTCATTCTTTGTCAGTATATGCTGCAAATATTTTCTCTTTCTTGTCTTTTCATCTTCTTTATTGTTTTTTGACAAATGGGAAGTCTTACAATTTTTCTTATTGTCTAAGACCCAGGGTACATGTGCAGGAAGTGCAGGTTTGTTACATAGATAAATGTGTGCCATGCTGGTTTGCTGCACCTATCATCACCTAGGTTTTAAGCCCGGCATGCATTCACTATTTTTCCTGTGCTCTCCCCACCCCGCTCATGCCCTCCCCTGACAGGCTTCACTGTGTGTTGTTCCTCAACCTGTGTCCATATGTTCTCATTGTTCAGCTCCCATTCATAAGTGAGAATAGGTGGTGTTTGGTTTTCTGTTCCCACATTAGTTTGCTGAGGATAATGGCTTCTAGCTCCATTCATGCCCCTGAAAAGGACATGAGCTCACTCCTTTTTATGGCTGTATAGTATTCCATGGTGTATATGTACCACCTTTTCCTTATCAGTCTATCATTGATGGGCATTTGGGTTGATTCCATGTCTTTGCTATTGTGAATATTGCTGCAATGAACATATGTGTGCCTGTATCTTTATAATAGAATCATTTATATTCCTTTGGGTATATACTTAGTAATGGGATTGCTGGGTCAAATGGTATTTCTGGTTCTAAATCTTTGAGGAATCGCCACATTGTCTTCCACAGTGGTTGAACTAATTTGCATTCCCACCAACAGTGTTGTTCCTTTTTCTCCACAACCTTGCCAGCATATGTTGTTTCTGGGCTTTTTATTTTTATTTTACTTTATTTTATTTTTTTGAGACAGAGTCTCGCTCTTGTCATCCAGGCTGGAGTGCAATGGCGTGATCTCGGCTCATTGCAACCTCCGCCTCCCAGGTTCAAGCGATTCTCCTGCCTCAGCTTCCTGAGTAGCTGGGATTACAGGCACCCACCACCAGGCCCGGCTAATTTTTTTGTATTTTTAGTAGAGACAGGGTTTCACCATGTTGGTCAGTCTGGCCTCAAACTTCTGAACTTAGGTGATCTGCCCACCTTCATCTCCCAAAGTGCTGGGTTTACAGGAGTGAGCCACTGTGCCTGGTTGGACTTTTGAATAATTGCCATTCTGACTGGCATGAGATGATATCTAATTGTGGTTTTGATTTGCATTTCTCTAATGATCAGTGATGTTGAGCTTTTTTCCAAGTTTGTTGGCCACATGTATGTCTTCTTTTGAGAAGTGTCTGTTCATGTCCTTTGCATAAATGGGAAGTCTTAATGAGTGTATTTGAATTTATTAGTTTCTTCTATTAGAATTTGTGCATTTCATTTCATTTTGTTCTCTTGTTTACAGAGTTAATTTCTACCTCAGTCTTATAAAATACTTTTTAGTGGTGTCTTCTAAAAGATTTTACAGTTATGCCTTTAACATTTAAGTCTTTGTTTAAGCTGGGATGGATTTATGTATGGTGTGAGGCAGGGCCTCAAATTTAATTAGGAATCTTAATTCCACTTGTAATCTTAATTCTCCCCTGCCATGTAACGTGGTATTTCACAGCTCCTACAAATTAGAACATACACATCTTTGGAGTGGAAGAAATTATTCTGCCTCCTACAATGTGCTGTTTGGCCTCAAAGTTTCATATCCAACTTACATGCAAAATATAAGTTGGATATGAAAGCATTCACAATGGTCTAATTCCTCCTAACAGCCATAAATGTGTGAACTAATTACAGCATACACAGTAAAAAAAAAAAGTCATCTAAATTTCATCAGCTTAAAAGTCTTAAGTCTCACCATCTAAATCATTTAAATCAGGTATGAATGTGGCTCTGTGTATAATCCATTCTAAGGCAAATTCTCCATCTGAAACCTACAAAACTCAAGAAATACCAAAATATATAGTGGTAGGACAGACATAAGATATCAGTTACAGAAATTCCCATTCAAAAAGGGAGAAAATTGAAGGAAACAAGCAAACAAACAAACAAAACCCAAGAGTCAGTGGTTCCAAGCAATTTTGAAATCCAGACAGGAAAACTCCATTTGATTCCAGGACCTGGGAATAATCCTCTATGACTTGAGGCACCTCCCTCTGGGCTGGAGGATTCAACCTTTAGGCTCATGGATTTATTCTCACAATCATAACTCCTTTTTCTTAAAAGATAGCATGCATTTACAGCTGAGTAGTTTTACCAGCCTGTTTTTTGCCTCTAGAATCTGGGGGAGGGGTTGACAGACTTTCATTTCATCCTCTCCCTGCACCTTTCAGTCCAAGATGGCAGTATTTCTGCTGATATGAGATTTCAAGAACTTTGTTGATCACTCGTGTATGTCATGGGGATTCATGCCATTAGACAAGAGGCTCCTCCACAGATATTTCCTGGATAAGCCCAACTCTGTTCTTGGCTTCTGCTTAGATAGCTGAAATGATCCATGAGTAACACTTCTAGTTTCTCTAGTTTCTTCAAAAACCCATCTGTGCAACTGAATACTCTGATCTTCTGATTCTTCCAAAGCACTAGCATAAGGCTGTCCACCACACCCTTGACTTTCTCTCCAGAGCATGCTTCCCTGAAACTGAGTATCCTAATTTTAATATCTTTTGTAATATGGATAAGCCAAGAATTTTCTGAATTATCAAATTCTAGTTTCTTTTTGGTTAACAGTTCTACAGTCTACCTATTTCCTCTTGCATTTTACTATAGCAGAGAGAAGAAACTAGACTTCACCTTTAATACTTTGGTTGAAATCTTTTCAGCTAAATATCCAAGCACATTGTTTACAAATTCGCTTTCCACATACCTGTACACAATTCAGCTAAACTTTCTCTCACTATGTAAAAAGGATCTCTTTTCCTCTGGTTTTCAATAATATATTCCTTATTTCCATCTGTGCCCTCACTGGCAGTGCCTTTAATGTCCATATTTCCACCAACAATCTGCTTATAATGATTTAAGCATTCTCTAAGATGTTGTAAGTTTTCCCTATCATGATCCTCACTTTCTTCTGTGTCCTCACTAACAGAGTCATTAACAGAAATATCTCTGCTAAGAGTGTTTGTGAGGCAATTTAGGTTTTCTTCTCTCATGCACTTCAAAATTCTTCCAGCCTCTTCCCATTGCACAATTCTAAAGTTAATTCTATATTTGTAGGTATTTATCTCAATAACACCACATTTACAGGTACCAAAATTTAAATTAGCTCCCTATTGCTATTATAACAAATTACCATAAACTTTATGATTTAAAACAACAAAAATTGATTATCTTACAATTATGAAGGTTAGAAGTCTAAAACAGGTCTTACTGGGCTGAAATAAAGACATTGGCAGGGCTGTGTTCCTTCTGGATCTTCTAGAGGAGAATTCATTTTCTTGACTTTTCCAGCTTTTAAAAGTCGCTCACATTTCTTGGCTCTTGTCCCCTTCTTCCATCTTCAAAGACAGTAATGGCCAGTCAAGTCCTGCTCATTTTGCCTCCTTCTTCCACAGTTAAGGACCCATGTAATTACACTGAGCCCAGATAATCTAGGATAACTCTATTATTTTAAGGTCAACTAATGAGCAACCTTAATTTCCCCTTGCCATGTAATAGAACATATTCCAGGGATGCATATCTTTTTTTTTTTATTGACACTGAGTCATAGGATGCATAATCTTTATAGGGACATCTATCTGCCTCATGACATGCTTATTATAGATTTCTGTGAATATCTTTTTTTTTTTTTTTTTTTTCTTTTGAGATGGAGTCTCGCTCTGTCACCCAGGCTGGAGTGCAGTGATGCAATCTCGGCTCACTGCATCCTGCACCTCCCAGGTTCAAGTGATTCTCCTGTCTCAGCTTCCCAGGTAGCTGGGGTTACAAGCCCATGTCACCACGCCCAGCTAATTTTTTGTATTTTAGTAGAGATGGGGTTTCACCGTGTTGCCAGGCTGGTCTCCAACTCCTGAGCTCAGGCAATCCACCCACCTTGGCCTCCCAAAGTGTTGGGATTACAGGCGTGAGCCACTGTGCCCAGCCGTGAATATCTTTTAATAAATAGTTTTAAATTAATATTTTTAAAACAAATTAAGGATGTTTCTTTTAAATTTCATGAGACACAATTACATATTCATTCACTAATTTTTTCATTTATTGTGAAAATGTTTGGAACACTAATCTTTGTTTTGGGTACTTTAATGGGAGTTGTCAAAATGGAACCATCTCTGAGAGGCAGTGGAGCATGTGGCTAAGCTCACAGATTCTAGAATTTAACTGCCTGGGGTTGAATTCATTGCCTCAGCAGCAACACTACTTATAAGCTTTCTGATCTTGGGATAGTTACTTATCCTTCCATGCCTCAGTTTCCTTATCTTAGCAAGAGGCTTAAACTAGTGCCTGACATATCAAACATCACATTAAGTGTTTGCCATTAACATCATCTTCATTTTCAGCCCTCAAGGAGCTCATGGTTTAGTTGTGGTTTCAGACAAGTAAACAAAATGTGATCATTTCCATGACTAAGGTAAATTTTAGACATAATGAAACTTAGTGCATTTTGGTTAGACTATAAAATCAGCTTATCTGAGAATAAATAAGATATTTTCTTCTCCCTGACTATCATCTCCCTTTCTCCTGTGTTCCCTCATGAAATGTTAGCATTCTGCTCAACTTATCCGTGTGAGTCTAGGTGCTCTCCTGCCCTTCCCTTCCCCATCCTTCACATCTACTCAGACAAGTCCTGTTAATTCGATCTCACTAAAATATAACTTTTCTCTTCCCTTCTTTTCATTTCTTTTCATGTCCCTTTTCCATTCTTTTATCATCATTAACTTTGAATATTTAGTAGTTTACTAATTGGGCTACCTACCTCTTTTATCTCACCCGTTTCTTCTATCCTTTACAAAGCTTCCAGGGTGATTTTTCTAGAAAACAAAGTTGATTCCTTTCTGTTAAAAACATTTTCACCCTCAGGATTAAATCCAAACCCTTTAACATGATATATGCATCAGTTAGTATGCTTTTGTCCACTGTAAATTAAATCTACCTAACTTGTGACATGAGTCCCTAGTAAATACATATTTTTCTCACATGATAAAATGTCTGCAAACAGGTGATGACTGGTATTTGTTCAGAGCCTCAGTAAAGGATGCAGGGTCTTTCTACCTTTCTACTTTGCCACTATTAACATGTTGGCAACTCTCATGCATGCTACCTCATGGTCACATGATGCTTGCTACTGCTCCAGGCACCATATTGATGTTGAAGGCAGGAAGAAGGGGAAGAGACAAAAGACTTCTCTTTACATCTTATTGGCCAGAACTGGATCACATGTCTGATTGTTGGCCAGTCATTGAGGAAGGGGAATGATATTACCTAATTGGTTTAGACCAGTCATAGTTTAATCCCTTGACTGAGAAGAGGATTGCCTTCTCAGAGATCAAGGGATCTCTATATGTGACCTGAATCAAGATTCTGATAGCAGGGAAGACATGGTGAGTGACATTGGGTAATCCACTGGCAGGGTTTGCCACAGCATCCATGCCTGATCTGGCTTTTGCTTACCTCTTCAAGCTCATTTCTCACTATTGTCCCTGTCAATCCACACACCACCCTCAACCCTAATCCATCCAATCTGGGTCTCTGTTACAGGTAATTTTCCAAGATGCTATTGTTGCCTTATGCATTTGTGCCTTTCTCTATGTTGTTGCATCTGTCTGGCAACCCTCTGTGCTGTGTCTTCCTAGCAAACATGTTCTCATCTTCCTGGATGAGAACATATCCTTATCCTGCAAGAAAACTAGAGTATCTGTCCCTCTATGAAGACTTTCCTGAGTCTGCCTGAGCTTCCACTCTAATCTGCACACAATTCCGTTCCAGTAGGTATTGTATTTGTTTGTTGTATGTTTGTTTTCCCTCCCTAAACAATAACCTCCTTGAGAGAGGACCAATGTTTTACTGTCTTTGTATTCTCAAAGTGCATTGTGGCTGGCATGAAGCTTTTCTTTGAACACTTTTGGCTGTAACATTGGAAGGGATGTATTATCTGGAGCTTGAAAGATGAGTAGGGTTGGCTAGAGAGGCCATGAAGAAGGTCATTCAAGCAAGAGAGAATGGCTTACGTTTCCTAAATGACCTTTAGGAATGTGTGAATGACCTAAGGTGTTACGTTAAAAGTCATTTCCTCCTCTGATACCCGTGCCAGCTTACATTACCCTGCTCTATTTCCACTTTCCTTATCACAACATTGATCCCCTCTTCCTTCCATCACTTCCCCACCTAGCCAATCTGAGCAAAGGGCACTACCATTCATCATTCATTCACCCAGTTGCTCAAGATAAAAACATAATGGTCATTCTTACTTCCTTTCTTTCCAACATGCCTTTTATTCATTCCAGCAGTATGCCTTGCCAGCTCCATCTCCAAGTTACCCTGTCACTACCTCTTTTCAAGTCAGTCTTGGCCATGATCATACAAGCCAGCAGCATTTCTCTCTTGCACTTCCTTAAAATTCTTCCTTCTGCTAACACTTTGGCTCTCTCTCTTTGCATTCCATTGTTCACCCAGCTGCCAAGGTAGTATTTTGCAAACTCCAAAGAGATCACACCTTTCCCCTGCTTAAAATCCCCCATCTATGGCCAGGTGCAGTGGCTCAAGCCTGTAATCCCAGCAGTTTGAGAGGCCAAGGCGGGTAGATCACGAGGTCAGAAGTTTGAGACCAGCCTGGCCAATATGGTGAAACCCTGTCTCTACTAAAAATACAAAAATTAGCCGGGTGTGATGGTGTGCACCTCCCAGCTACTCGGGAGGCTGAGGCAGAAGAATCACTTGAACCTGGGAGGTGGAGGTTGCAGTGAGCCAAGATCATGCTACTGCACTCCAGCCTGGGCAACAGAGCGAGACTCCGTCTCAAAAAACCAAACCAAACCAAACCAAAACAAAAAAAACCCCGTCTCCCTTAGAAGAAATGCTTCTTTTGGTTTCCAAGGCCCTATGTGTTCTGCCCTCTGTTTGTCTCTCAGACTTTGCTCCTGTTCCTCCCTCCCCTGATTCACTGTTCCAGACCTCTTTGCCTTCTTGCTGTTTCTTACTCCTCTGTCTGCCTGGACTACTCTTTCCCCAGTGACTCCCATGACTTGCTTCTCCTGATAATCCTCATCTCTTCTCATTCAGGCAATGTCACTTAGAATATACTGGTAAGCAATGAGGGATTTGGAGTCAGATTTCTTGGATTAAAATTCAACAATTTTCAGCAAGGGACATTAGATAAGTTTCTTAAATTACCTTTGCCTCAGTTTCCCTCAACAACTTTAAAGTTTGTAAGTACTTAGCAGGGGGCTTGTCCGTGGTAAATCATATGCAAATGTGGCTCATTATAATTTTCTTAACTTAACTCTTCAGAGAGACTTCCTCGATCACTCAGTGTAAAAAGGTAGCCCCAAGTCTCTCTATCACATCAGTCTGTTTTTAATTCTTTGTAAAACCTATAGCATTACCCTGTTTGTTCATTTATGTGTTGCTTCCTCCTCCTAGAATTGAGCTCGAGAGACCAGAAGGTGTGTTCCTGCTGTATCTTCAGCATCTGGAACAGGTCTAGCACCTGGTAGCATTTCAATTGGTAATACACACACAGGTGTGCCATTGACCTTGGAATAAAATCCAGACTCCCAGCTCCATCCTACAAGGCGGATATTGTCTCCTCTTTGTCTTTCTGACCCCATCTCTAACCTCCCTTCTCTTTCCTCGTGAGGCCTCTTCCTTAGCATGAGTTTCTTCCCACAGGATTCTTTTGAGCACCTTGCAAATAAAGTTCTCAGACTTTCCTCAAAAGACCTAATATTACTCCTAATTTTTCTGAATTTGCAGCCAGCACCCATCTTAGGTCTTTTGCTATGGATTCCACTCTTCTGGATGTTACCACTTCCTCTTTGAGTCCATGTCTGCACTTTTATTTAGTTCCCATGTTACATAGTTCCTGTCTGCTAGCCTCTCTCCTCCATTCTAGAATCCCACTTCAAGGGAGTTGAACAGCACCATGCTGTTTGGTTACAAATTGAATTTTAGGGACATTGTAAATAATGTTAACATACTGCCTGGATAGTCTTGTCTCTTTGTCCTTTATACACGGATTATGGTTGACAACTCACCATTGACACAGTCCATGATTCCAATTCTTCTTTTTAAAAACTAATTATCATTCTATTTCTGGGCAAGACCCCCAACCAGGGAGGTAAACAACTAAATCATTATGATTTTACATGTCTACAGAGAGAGATAAAATGATATAATAGGAGAATAATTAAAAAGCTATTGTGTTAGTTAATTATAACTTTAAAATAATTTATTCTTTAGAGGAAATAAAAAGAAATAAATGGAAATCCTAAAAATTATGGCACACTATGTAAACAGATCTCTTTGATGACACTTAAATGTAGATACTCCTTTTAAAAATTGGGTTCTGATTTTGAATACACTTGGAATTTCATGCCTGGTTCCAGATTAATAATGATAGAATAAAATTCTTTAGTATTTAACACGTTACTGTGACACAGCGCTTCCTTATAATTTTGGGAAGTTTAAGGCCAAACTGAAATAGTAAGAGCATTAACCCAATTCTTTGAGAAAAAAAAGAAAAAACTGGAATAAAAAATAATTAAGTCCCCTTTGCCTCCTAATGAACTGGCATGCAACTGTATCCAATTTCCCTCTGCTTTTCCTTTGATCTCTTTAAGCTCTCCCTTGGTCAAACCTCTTCTGTTTGAATTGCACTAATTTGTAACTCGGCTTCTTCCATCTGGGGATACAGATTTGTGCAGACCCATTCCACGCTGGGCTAAATGCGTTCAACACCTGGCTGAACATATTGGTTTCAGTGTATTTACCCAAATTGTTAGTAAAACATCAGAAACAGTCGGCTCCTGCTTATCAAATTGCAAACGGGGTCCCTATCACTTAACGCTAATACAATTTAGACTCGAAGTTCACAAACAGATGCACGGCATTTCCAATCATATCAGCTGCAGCCTCTGGAATCCCAGATTTGGTGTCTAAAACATCCACAGAGAGGGAGAGAAATAAGGGCAGTAATTCAGTTGGTCTCAGCCTTGTGTTTCATACATATTCTGCAGATAATCTTTTGACTCTTCCTTTTTGTCTCCTTTTAACGTCCGCAAATCCTTTGACTAGGGCTATGTCCCGAGTGCTATAGCCACTCTTATTTCCTGTGGTCTTTTCAAATCCATTCTTTTTAGCTCCCTCTGTTTGGTTGAAGGATTAGAGCTTCTTAGCCTTGAAGCCAATTTTGGAATGCAGATTGAGGGTCAATGGTGAAGAAACCGTTTCCTCCTTCCATTCTTGTCTTGAAGTATCCTTTTTGACTTACATGTCTAGAAACCAACAAAAGCCCTCTATTATTATGGTAGTTGGAAAATGGCCCAGTTCCAGCCCAATCCTTTGCAGCGAAGAGGTCCTTCCCCCCATTCTTGCCTTCTGCTTTAGCATTCATTATTGTGATGCCTTGTTTACTTACATTTCTATCTGGTGATAATAGGCTTTTCAGCCTTTGGGCTTCAAGGTCCCTGGCTGCAGAAGGAAGGCCAAGAAAAAGAGAGAAAATATGGGATGGCTGGGGAACTTGCCCTGCGACTGGCTTCTCTTTGTCGATTCTGAACACTGATGATCAACTCATTGTGTCCTACTCATCTCTCTTAAAAAATTAGAATCTGTGAATGAACCAGTTTGTTTTCGTAGTTCAGTGTCTGGGTGGGGTTTCAGAGCCATGAGCAAAGTTAGTCGCTTGTTATCCCTTCTAAGGAGTGGATGTGGTGGCCCCAGGATGGAAAGAACCTACTCTATGCTGCTGTAGGAATGGATCTATAGCTGGCCCTGCCATCTCTTATGACACAGAAGAGACCTCTCTCCTCCCACACACAGGTAGGAACAGAGTCCACCCCTTCTGCAGCCCCCCACTACCCAGTGGACACAGCAGCCTTAGG
Organism: Homo sapiens; assembly: GCF_000001405.40. Taxonomy (NCBI): domain Eukaryota; kingdom Metazoa; phylum Chordata; class Mammalia; order Primates; family Hominidae; genus Homo; species Homo sapiens. Next base: position 16,352,520 of record NC_000004.12, read on the forward strand.
AAATCAACTCTCATGTTTCAACACAGCCAAGATTTTCCAAGGAATAGATTGCAATTGTGTCTGTGGTTATGGGTCAGGATTTGTGTGCTTTATATGTCATTTGTGTAGCCAGGGAGGTAATTTTTATAGTATCCATCAATTTATTTATCCATTTACTACTTAGCCATTCCTTCATGTGTTCATTTACCAGTCCTCACGCTGGAGCGCTCACCACCTTCTGGGTCCTGCACTGGGTCCTGACAGTAGATGCTTACTAAATAATGAGCAATAGATGAATAAGAAAGTGGAAACAAGGCTGGGGAATGTCCCACAACAATTCATAACCAGGAGACATCAGTCACAATCCTGACTAGGGTGGTGAAAGGGTAAGGGGGTGTAAAGGGTCAAATAATTCAACAATTAGCCAATAAAATATTTTGTTGAAAGCAGACTTCTGTGTACTCCATCAATGATGAGAATTGAAAGAGGTTGTCTTAGGAAAGGGGTGAGGTGATACTGGGATGGCAAAGTCAAATCCCAGATGAAAGGCTTGGCTATGGTGGCCCCTTAGATACAGTGGGCCCATTTTAGAGAGGTCCTCTGTGTATCTTAGATGTGTATCCTTTTTCTTATTTTTCCCCATCAAGGAATCCATTTCCTTTAGGAAGCCCATCCCTTAGGAGACTTGATGACAGTGGACAGAGACTTGATGACATTACAGACCCTGAAATTCAGATTCTGACTTTCCTAGCTTCCATGCAGCCAATGCTTTGGTATGTGCCTTGGACTCGGGTAATCAGATACAGGTGCCTTAGGCTGTGAATTGTGAGCTACCGATGCGAAGAAAAGCAGATAATTCATTCTGGTAGCACGTGGCAACAGCTACAACAGCAGCATCCAGCTTCTAGAGGAGCAGTGGCCATGGTGATGGTTTCACTGTCTGCATCTATCAGGCAGTACTGGTGGTGCACCCTGCCATGCCTCATCTCAGCAATGACACAGTGTTGTCCTCCCGCAAGGAAGTTGAATTTTGCCATTTTCCCTACAAGCACAGCCTCTGAAGCTGGTTTCCCAATATTCCTTCAGCTCTAAAGAATCCAGTATCCTAATGGTAGAGCAGTTTATGGTTTAAATTTGCCAGTGGTTTTCTGTTGCATAAAATAATCTATCGCCCAAGTTTATTCTCTTGAAGTGACATCCAAATTTGCATAATCCCATTCAAAATCTTACTTTTAATCTTTAATTTTGTTTTTAATTAACTTTTTATTTTGTAAAAACAACTGTAGCAAAGTTGCAAGAACCTACCCTTCATCTAGATTTACCTACTGTTAACATTTGTGCCACATGTTTGCTCTATCTTCCTCTCTACACACAAATGTGCTCACATTGTTATTCCTTTCACTATTCTTATTTTTATCTTTTGCTGAACCATTTGTGGAGATCTTACATTTCACTCCAAATATTTCAATGTCACTACCCTAAAGAAAGTGACATTTTCCAATATAATCACAATGCAATTATCAAACTCAGGAAGTTTACATTTATTAAAACTGATATCCAATATATAGTCTGCATTCAAATGTTGTTAATTGTCCCAATGCTGCCTTTTTGGCTATGATTTTTCTCCCTAATCCAGAATCCAATTCAGGATTATGCATTGCTTGTAGTCATTATGTCTATTTGGCCTTCTTTCTCTCTCTCTTTTTTTTAATGACATTGACATTTTTGTAGGGTACAGTCTGTTGTTTTGTAGAATGTCTGTTAATTTGTGTTTTTCTGGCTGTTTCCTCTCAGTTTGATTTAGGTTATGTGTTCCCAAGTCTTTCACAAATCCCTTGAATGTGCAACCTGTGTCTCAAATCTCTGACAACATTGAATCTGTAATTTCATTTGCTAAAGTAGGGCTGAGATGGTAATTCTATTCTGTTTGGTTGGATAAGTGACTTTGTAACTACAGGAAAGTACAAAATATAAGCATAGAGATGATAAAAAATAAATTTGGTGTTTAAAACTTCATGTAAATTGTGATTATACAAGTGTAATGAAAACTTTTGTATTCATTGTGTTGTTTGGATAAACTTGGTAGGATGTTTGAAACATTTAAGATATAATGACATTCTAGAGAATCTGGCTTAAGATTTTAATTTAAATTGTAAGATGGTTTTATTTAATTACATTTGCTTAAAGCTTAAGAGAACTGAAGTTACCAAATTTATATATTGCTTTTGAAGATATTGAAATGCTTACCTGTATCTGATCTACTAATTTGATAAATTCATATTTATTAAAGTTGGAAGAGTTAGCTTGAGAAAATAAAATATATTCAATTTATGATCATAGTTTGACATGTTTAAGGAAACTTAATTAAGTTTTAGATAGTATGAGAGATTTTAATTTGTTGTTTATAAGCTTTATGACTTTAATTTGATATGTCTGAAAAAATTTGTTGAAGTTTGAAAATAATGCTTAGGAAAAATTAATCTGTGAAATTTATGCTATAAATTAGCAGAAATTAAAGAATGAGAATGTTTTTAATTTTCACTCCCAATTGTTAAATTTATAAGCAAATATACTGGACTTGAAAGTTGAATTTAAAGGCTAAAGGAATGACAGATTTTAAAATTTAAAAAAGTAAGTAAATTACTATCAATAAAAACCCAAGTCATGGTAATTTTTTTTTTTCTATACACCAATCCTCCTTTGGATGTTAAAAAAACCAGTTGATAAGTTCTGGGTACACAGTTCCTGATATATTATTAAGTCATAGAAAAGATAGACAGATGGACACAAAATCGTGGTACAAAATTCTGAATGCAATGGAAGAGGCAGACCCAGCGGGTTGGAGAAGGCACCTATTGGATCTCAGGGTGGAATAGGATCAGAGAATGCTCCAGGGGTGAACAGGAGTTTATTAGCCAAAGAGGAATGGAATGGCTTTCCCAGCATGAGTTGGAGAATTGAAACAGTGCTAGGGAGAGGGAGGTATGGAAGGCGAGAGATGTTGTGCTTGACAAGATCTAATCAGGTCTCAGCATTGCATAAGGCTGTGAGAAATTTTTTCAAGTGATTTATTTATTTATTGAGTGCCCACTGTGTGCCAGCATCTGTGTTTCTCTTTCAGGGCAAAGACATGGAAGATACGGGCCCTCACTGTATAGTAGCTATATCAGTCTTCTTGGGCTGCCCCAAGTCTCTGGTCTTGGATGTTTCTGGTTGTCTGGCTGGACGGCTTAAACAACAGGAGTTAATTTTCTTACAGTTTTGGAGGCTGGAAACCCAAGATCAAGGTACCAACACGGTTGATTTTTAGATCAAGGTGCCAACAAAGGTTGGCCTCTCTCCTTGGGTTGCAGATGGCAACTGTCTCACTGTGTTCTCATATGGTCTTACCCCTGTGCACATGCAGAAAGAGAACGAGAGAGAGAGAGCACAAGCGAGCTCTGGTGCCTCCTCCTCTTCTGAAAAGTATACCAACTCTATTGATTTAAGGCCTTTCTCTAATAACCTAATTTAACATTAATTACCTCCCTAAAGGTCCTATCTCAAAATATAGAACCTATGAATTTTGAGGGCATACAGTTAAATCCATAACATTAGCATTCGTTATCTCGTACTCAAGTGAGTCAGTTTATCGATATGTCTACATGACAAGGCTGACAGTGCCGTCAGAACTGGAGCACAGACTTACGTTGTTTTTTGTATCTCCAACACTTGGCATGAAGCCTAAAACATAGGAAGCACTAGATAAAAGCCAATTATGTGAGTAAAAGAAATTACTAAATGAATAAATGATGGCAACTAAACCCAGCATGACAATTCAGTATGATATGGTTTAAACTTTTATTCAACAATATTATCTGGGGCCCATTGTGTCCCATGCTTTCTAGAACCTTTGAAATATCAGTAAACAAAACCATTAAAACTCTCTGTCATTTAGGTAAAATTCCTTAGGAGCTGCTGAAACAGGTATCTTTGTTCAAGTAATTTTTTCCAGGAAATGGTCGTAGAAGAGGGGAATGAAGGAAGCAGAATAGGGAGGGAATAAAAGCTAAGTAAGAATGGGGCCTCAACTGGAGGCTAGCCTTAGTTTGTTCCCATGGGGAAGCTCTGAAGCACAAATAACATAGCAGAGTTAGTCTTACCTTGAGTCAAGGGGTGCTTAGTCTTTTGTACACCCATGTCAGTCAGTCATTAGCTGAGGTCTTTCCTCCAGAGGATATAGGATATAGTTCCACAGGACGATGGTTGTTGTATTTGCCCATTTATAGGACGTAGAACTATCAAGATATTCTGAAAGATCACCTTCATGCCAGCAATTTTTTGGCCCCATGATTAAGGAGCAGTTCTATATCCTCATGAGGACAGTGGTCTATTATCCCCACTGTTATATAATGTCTGCTTTCTGTGACTGCTCGTCTATTTGCATTAAGATGCCCAATGACCACGTAGCACTCTCAACTGCATCCCTTGGTGGAAACACCTCCTTCTCTGGAGACTAGGACTTCTGTACCTATAGTGTATAAAGGTACAGACAAAGGACACACAAATTTCCTAAGCAGCTCATGCTACTCCCATCCCTATTTCTCTCACCATATGTTCTATCTATTGGGTACACATCACCATATAATGACCGTTGGTATACAGTATATACCCCATCATAAATTATAGCACCCCATCTTCAGAAGGATGTCATCTTCAATCTGACCCCTCAGCTGTACATTCCAAAGGTTGTTTCATCACTCTATCAGGCCAATAGCTTCTGGATGGTTTGTGTATGGCAGGACTGATGGATTCCACAGTTATATGCTCACTACCATTTTTAGGATGTCCAGACATTCACAGTCCTTTTGGATTTTAGCATGACAGAGAATGGAAAAATTAACAAAGTTCTGCAGCAACTCTGAATTTGTACCATTATTTGTGCCTCGAGAATGTAAACTGCTTCTGATCTTCCTCTCATGTAGATATGGAAAAGAACACATTCATTAGTTCGATAGCCACATATGATATATCTCAAGCTGTGTTAATCTCCTTTAGTAAAGACACCATATCTGGCACAGCAGCTACAAATGAGACTACACTTGGCTAAGTTTGTGATAGTCCATTAACATCTATCATAATGCATCCAGTTTTTGCCCTACTGAATAAATGGGATATGACAGAGTCTATTACTCCTGCATTACGTGAGTATTTGAAGGTGGCATTAATATCTGTCATATACTCCAGGATGGGATCTTGGTTTTGATTTACTATCTTGGAGCAGGGAGCAGTTTCAGGGACTTCCCCTTGGCCTTTCCTACTGCCATAGCTCTTACTCTGCATGCCAGTGTGGGAGTTCTGTCAACTCCTGAGTATGAAATTGTTGTTTATGCCTTTAGGAATCAGAGAAATAGCAATGGATGAGAATGAATCCATTGTGAGATGGACCTTGGCCAGGACTTCATTTATTATTTGACCCCCCATAGGCACTATCAGGGATAATATTGGTACTTTGGGTTCCTGGGTACTAGTGCCTACTCAATTCTATGTCCTATAGCCTTTGAAGGATTTGGGTATTCCCCTTTCTGCAGTGTACAATTATTTGAGTACATAGCCATAATTCTTTTCTTTTCGTTGTTGCTGTTATTTGCTTGTTGGGAAGAACTGGGAAAGCACTACTGTGCTCACTGGCTGTTGTGTTGTAGGATTTTTTTGTTTTCTGTGGGAATATGATCTTTCTTTAGTCGACGTGCTCTGGATCTGAGAACTCCTCAGGGCTGTAAACTGGGCAATCAAGACTTTCTAACATTTGAGACCAGCCTGGGCAACATAGCAAGACCTTGTCTCTACTAAAAATTAAAAAAAGAAATTAGGTGTTGTGTTGCTAGCCTGCAGTCCCAGCTACTTGGGAGGCTCAGACAAGAGGATCCCTTGAGCCTAGGAGTTCAAGGCTGCAGTGAGCTGTGATTAGGCCACTGCACTCCAGGTGGGAAACAGAGCAAAATCTTGTCTCAAAAAAAAAGTCTTTTTACAGAGGCAGCAGACCTTAAGTCTCTTGATCATCCATTCTCTGTGAACCCTTTTGTTTTTTGAGACAGTGTCTTGTTCTGTCGCCCAGGCTGGAGTACAATAGGGTGATCATGGCTCTCACTTCAGCCTCAAACTCCTGGGCTCAAGATCCTCCTGCTTCAGCCTCCTAGGTAGCTGGGACTACAGGCACATACCACTGCACCTGACTAATTTTTGTATTTTTTACAGAGACAGGGTTTTCACCATGTTGCCCAGGCTGGTCTGGAACTCCTGGACTCATGTGATCTGCCCGTCTCAGCCTCCCAAAGTGTTAGGATTACAGGCATGAGCCACCACACCCGACTGTCATTCTCTGAACTTTTTGGATCATGTATTTTAAGCAGTACACTTTCTGGTTGCCCATCTATTTTGCACCTAAGAATACTATGTTCTGTGAGCCATTGCCATGATCCCTATGGGACAGATGCCTCTGGCTGCCATTCCAGTCTTGCTGTCCATTACAGTAACTGGCTTTACTTTATTCTTTTTCTGACTGTTAAGGGCTGCCTCCTGGCCTCTTCTTTTCCAGAGTCTTATCCTCATTGCTGTTAGGGAGCCCACTTGTGTAACAACAACTTCTCCTATCATCACTCCTGACCTACAGAGGATAATTACTGCTCACTTTTGCACTGCCTGTGACTCTCTCACCAGAGCCCTCTATCATTTTTGTTAATAAAATGTCCTCTGAGCCATCTTTTTTTTTGTTTTTAATTTGGCTACATTTTTATTCGAGCATGGTCATTTTCAAAAGAAATTACAAATTAAAAATTCAATAATACTTTTACAAAGACAATTCAGAAAGATTTTTGCATGGTATCATACATTGTATTTAACAGTCCCTCTTTTTAGCTAAAAAACAAGATGAAGAAAGTGGAATTTTCAATAAAAAATACAGTGTTTTCACAAGATCGTATCAAAAGTTCCCAAATTTGGAATTTCCAGTAATTGGAAAAAACAAAAATAAAATAATAAAATCGAAAAATTCCATCTCACAATTAATGTTCCAAAACACAATAAATGCTCTTCTCTTTACATAAAATTTGCCCAAATGACCAATGTCATGTTCCTTTTTTACTAAAATATATCTATATATTGAAGAACTATAATACCGTACACTATAGTATGAAATAAATAAAATTAGTAAATATAAAATTAGGAAATATAAAAAATAAAAAAACATAAATAAAATGTTATTTGACCTAAAATTAAATGAATGCAAAAAAAAAATTGTTGTTGCAAAAACAGTTTGGTGTAATACTGACAAAATTAATGAACAAAAAAGTACATAAAATAATTGCACGAACATATGTAAACTAAGGAACTGCTGCCTATTCTTCTAATACTGACATGGTTGCTTCAGAGAACAGGGTGAGCTTAACACTGAAGCTGGTGCAAAGGTAACCCATGTTATCTTCTTAATACTGTACAAAGATGGCACTTGCAGAAACACAGAGTAAAAGGTTTGCATAAAAGGCTTTTAAAACCACCTTACAAAGGCTTTATTTCTCATCTTACTTTTTCTTTTACATCCAGGTCACTTTAAGACTTCGGTATCTTAAATTCACACGTGCAACACTTCAAGTTTCTTCATAGAAAAAAAAAAATTGAGGCCTAAAATTGTGTGGTTACTTAAGCTGGAAAAAAAAAGGGAAATTGATGAATAGCAAAAGGAAAGTACAGAGGAATCGTAATACTGATGCATTGTAGTGCGAGCAGATTAAATTAAAAAGGAATAACAATAATAATAATGATGTATGGTAGTGCTGGCACCTTTTAAAAATGTATTGATGTAAATTAGACATAGTTTTGTAAAGTTTGTAGTGATACGTAAGTAGAGTGCAATTTTTACAATTTTCTAGTTGTGCTTAAAGTATAAATGCTATTAAACACAGGAATTAGTCTCTGAACCACACAGTTTTTAGGCCTTAACACTGTACAAAATTTTTGCATAATGCAGTTTTTAACAATACCCAGCTCCAACTCTGTCTACATCTGTCTTGGCTGAACCACCCCTTCTGTCCCTCTCCACAGCTTTCTGGAAGCGTCAGGCATGTGCATGAACCGCTTAACACAGCAATGTTTTCAAGCAGGTAACAATACTACTGGAAAAAAAAAAAGGAAGCTTCAAATGCAGTAGTTTAGTCCATGCCACGTTCCATATTGTCTTCCTCGTGGTCTGATTTGGTTTCCATTTTCCCATCCTCCGAACTATCGTCCATGGAGTGATCTCCAGTTTCTTCTTTATCTCGTATCGTTTCGGGATCCGTATCCATACTTTTATTTTCACTTTCTTCCTCTTCCGCCTCGAACTCCTCGTCGCCATCTTGTCTGCCCAGCTTCCCGTAGCCATCCTCGCCTGCCTTCTCGCGCTGTTTCTAGCTCTCGCCATCCCTCGGCGTACTCTTCCTCTCCTCCGAGTCAGAGTACCCTGGAGGGATAATGCTCTGCAGGTAAGCCCGGTTCATCAGCAGGGTGGGTTCCAAGTGCCCTTTCTCGCGTGCCTTGCTCTCCGCGGCTTCCCGCTCCTCCGTCTCCCGCTTGCAGTAGGAATACCTGTGATTCCTGTGCTGCGAGTACGAGCCGGAGTGTGAGAAGCGCTTGCCACATTTATCACACTGATAGGGCTTCTTGCCCGAGTGAAGCCTTGAGTGCTCGTTAAGGTGATGCTCGTGTTTAAACGCTTTCTTACAAATCTGACACTGATGTGGTCTGTGTGTTCGTATTTATGTCGCAGAAGGGAACTGCTTTTCTGGAATTTCTTGTCACATAAGTCACATGCATACATACCACTCTCTGTCTTCCTGATCTTCTTGCGAGACAGACAGCAGTTGGAGTCTGTCATAACATCTAGACCTGACATGTAGTCTTGTGCTCCATAAAGCAATTCCCTGAAATCCTTGTTTCCGCAGGTACTTTCTCCTTCGCTGCGTATCAGCAAAGGTAGTTGCTCCAGTTGGGTAGGTGTAGGCTGTATGTGGCCAGCTGGGTAGGTGTAGGCTATATGTGGTAGGAAGCTTATCTGATCCAGTGTTGGGTATTGTCGTAGCCCAGGAATACTGGTCTAAACTGGTGGCATGAAAGTAGCAGGGGGAAATGCGCTTTGAGGTGGAAGAGCTGTGTATAAAGGTTTGGCACTAAAAGGGTTCGTGCCGAACACTGGGTTAGTGCTTTTGTTGTCCAGATTATTTGAATTTGAAAATTCCTTCTTGATAAAAGTCAGGTTCAGAGGTTTATCTGAGTTTTCAGATGAGGAAGAAGCACTGTTATGGTCAAAACTGATGAGCCATCTTAAGAACGCGTAGTTGGTACATTTTCTGGTCTCCTATGATAGACATATTCTAGTATCCCTACTTCTCTGAGGCTCAGGATTCCTTCCTCCAGAGTTTTCCATGGCTGCTCTGGCATCTCTCCTTTCTACAAGATGGGCCATAACGTTTCCCAAGTTCTCAAGAGTTACTCCAGGAATGTATTAGAACAATCACGTGAGGTCCTTGCCAGATGTCAAACATTGTGTTATGGAGGAATGCTTCATGTTGAAAACATGGTCCAGCGTGCTCAGGATCCACCAATCTGAGTTCCTGACAATACATGTTAGCACATGGTCCTACAGCTCCTTTGGTAAATCATTCCTTTCTTTACTTAGCAGGATTGCCACTTACCTTGTCATTTCTGGCTGAGATTTGTCTCTACTTATGGGTCTGGTGGCCAGTAGGAAAGGAGGAAAGAGATTCTGATGAAGGCAACTATTACATTGTAAAGCACCTGCTTCATTTTATTTATTTATTTATTTATTTATTTATTTATTTATTTATTATACTTTAAGTTCTAGGGTACATGTGCACAACGTGCAGGTTTGTTACATATGTATACATGTGCCATGTTGGTGTGCTGCACCCGTTAACTCGTCATTTACATTAGGTATATCTCCTAATGCTATCCCTCCCCGCTCCCCTCACCCCACAACAGGAGCCGGTGTGTGACGTTCCCCTCCCTGTGTCCAGGTGTTCTCATTATTCAATTCCCACCTATGAGTGAGAACATGCGCACCTGCTTCATTTTAGGTCTCTATATAGTTTTCAGGCAAGAGGTTCTCTACCTTCCAAAAAGAGAGTGGGACACTTCTGTAGGTTCAGAGGGTTCAAAGGAATCTGGATGTGATTCTTCAAATGTGTCTGCCTGGATATCCCTATCCCAAATCTTAGGGTTCTACACTTTGTATCAGGGCCCTGACTTTTTCACTGTATACATGCATAGGCTGATACTTCAAGATTCTCTTAAATTCCAGAATTCTTTAAAAATTCTACAATTCTTAAAATTAGGTCTGGTGCCTAATCTTAAGCAATGTCTGTCTGCTGGCTGTAGGAGATAAAAGTCTTTAAATGCTCCCAAGAATACCCTATGACTCTCTGCTTTAAGATGTTGAGTAATAGATCCAAGCCTGTCATTTTTTTTCTTTTTAATAAGACAGTGCTGCTTAGAAACAGCTACCAGTTGCAGTTCTTATCATTATTTATTCTACATCTCTCAAGTGTCAAAGATACTGCACCAGCTAGTACACCTCCTTCCAATTGTGTCTCATCTTAGTCCATCAAAAGTAGAAGTCTTAGCAATTACAATGCTTGAATATGCCAGGGACAATCTATAATCCAGCTAAGACTAGTAGTGGGATCCTTATTGCCATTCAGCCAGCAAGTGACACAACTTGAAAATCCCATACTTAGAGCCTCCTAGGACTACTCCACTTTTGGTACCAGTTGTCTTAGGCCAGGGTCCCTAAAAACAAAGTACCCATCCAGAGATGGGTATTGGTAATCAAATGGTTTATTGGGAAAATGCTTTTCAGAGCAGGTGAAGTGAGGAAAGAATGATAAAGCAGGAGAAAAGCTAAGCAGGGATGTAGCTTCAGAGGAAAACTAGTTTCAGTCTGTTCTCAAAGTGAGTTTTGGAAAACAATTTGTACTACAGAGTTAACCTGACCTCAAGACAGTGGGCTAGCTTTCGTTTGTCATTGGCTGTGGTCTGCCTCCTAAGAGAAGTGTAGTTAAGTTATTTTTATTTTTTAAGCTGAATTTAAAAGAAATAATGTTTGCTGTTGGGAATGACCTAGTAGAAAGACTACAATAAAGTTGAAAACTAAAACTAAGGGGAAAATAAAAATGAGAGACAGAGAGAATTGCTGCAGCTAAATGGGTAAGTGGATATTTAAACAATGTATGGGTTCACCTAAGACAGAAGCATGGAGTTTCATATGCAATAACAGCAAAGAAGGAGGAGCAAAGGCAGAGGCTACAGTGAAGTGTGTTCAGGTCCCAGGTAGGTGTCCCATGAGGTTACAAAGCAGAAATATCAACTATGAGCGGCGCTTGCCAGAATGGGAAGAAGTCTTCCTGACAGACATCAAATTGGATCTGCATCTTAAAGAAGAATAGGAAGCATTGTTTAGGTGGAAAAGGGGGAAGGGAAGAGTTTATACATTTGTGGTTTTTCCCTTCTGAGGAATTTATATTATTTTCCAAATTAAAGCAGCTTCTCTGAAAAATATTTCACAAATATATTTCTGAATTGAGGGAAACAGCATTTACTCAGGATCTGCTATATGCAGAATGTAGAGCTCATCCCTATTGGAAATAAAGACAAAAAAAAAAAAACCAGAAAAGCAAGAGATACAAGCTATCACCTTGCCTTTATGGCTTGAAAAGCCTTCATCAAGCTGCCTACTTGGGAACAAAATCCTCAGGATCCACTTCATGGCACTTCCTTACAATTTTACTAATTTAAATATCACAGTTCCTTCTTCTCAGCATACCCTCGCAAAGTACATTTGTCCTTGTAGACTTCATGTATTAATTGTGCATTTCTTCACTTTTGTTCAGATGACTGTATCTCCTTTACTCTGCCTTCTAGTGTCTGCCTGCCTTGGTGAGTGTGCGCCATATTGGTGATGAATACACTATCTGGGCCATGTTTTGTAGTCTTAGTCTTATGACACACCACCTAGCCACACATTACATGTACATAACCAAAGTAATTGGGATAAAATTGTTGTTGCTGTTGATGATGATTGGTGATGATGATGCTTGAGGGAGTTATCATGTGAATTCTCAGCACCTGTAACAACGCTCTGCAGAGAATAGACTTTTAATTTGCTGATTGGATGGATGGATGAAGGGTGAATATATGAGTTAATGGGTAACATAAAACTAGATTCCTCAGCTACTCTTACCCTCACCTGGATATGCTCTTTTAAATATGAAAAAACTAAACATCTATTTTTCAGTTATGAAAGTTTCTTTGTCTTTCTTTACGGATCATTATGCTGCCAAGGCTGAGTTTACTGTTTGCTGTTACAAGAAGGATTGTGCTTCAGTGAAAAGAAGATGGATTTTGAATGTGAGGACTGGTGTTAAAATCTAATTCAGTTACCGCCTAGCTGTGTTATCTTGGGCCAGTCACTTAACCTCTGTCAGTCTTTCTCCATATCTACAAAAGAATAATAATAGCACACTCCATTGTACAAGATTTTGTAAAGATCACATGAGATAATACATTAGAAAGTGGCTTGTGTGCCAAGAGCAGCACAGAAATGCGAGTTGCTATTCTTTTCTTTGATGCAGGCAATCCCAGCCATCCTTTCTTTTGAATTCACAGGAGCTTAGCTTTTCAGATATGCTATTTTTTTTATTTCTGCCTAGAAAACATAAAGATAATGTGAATGCTGCTAATCCACAGGAAAATAGTAGAATAATGACAGCCTTTCACCTCTGTAGAACTCAACAGCATACACAGTGTGTTCCCACGCACTCTCTCATTCGGTCCTTACACAGGCTCAGGCAGTGAATGTTGAAGTGTTTTTATTACTGCAGTAGGGCTGTGTTCCTGACAGCATTCCCCTCTGGAAGGAAGGCCGCCAACAGAGCAGAGTAGACCCTACAGCTGAGCTGCCTGTGCAAAACGTAGAAAAGGAGATGGGCTCCCAGTTGCCAGGGGTGGAGGCAAAGAGGGTGGAGGTCTGCTGTCTGGATTATTGTTGACTCCAACTATGATGTCTAATTTATGCTTCAACTTGACTGGGTCATGGAGTGCCCAGACATTCAGTCTGACATTATTTCTGGGTATGTCCATGAGGGTGTTTCTGGTGTATTAGTAAACTTTATTTTGTAGAAGAGGATACAGAATTTTACTAATAAACTGTATTGTTTAGAACAGTTTAAAATTTACAGAAAAATTGCAGAGACAGCACAGAGAGTTCCCATTTATGTCACACTTGGTTTTCCCTATTATTAACATTTTACATTAGTATAGCATATTTGTTACGATTGAAATGTTACAGCCAGTATTGATATACTATTATTAACTAAAGAATATAATTTATTCATCATTCATTAATTTTTGCCTAATCTCCTTCTTATGTTCCAGAATTCCTTTCAGGATCCCACATTCCACTTGGATGTTATGTTTTCTGAGGTTCTCTTGGCTATCATAATTTCTCAGACTTTCCTTATTTTTGTTGACTTTGATGCTTTTGAGAATTGCCAGTCAGGTGTTTTGTAGAATGTTCCTTAATTAGCATTTGTCTGTTGTTTTTCTCATGCTTAGATTGGGGTCAGGGCTTTTGAAAGAAAGACCACAAAGATAAAGTCGTACATTGGTATCAAGGTTAAACACTATTAACATGACTTATCATTGCTCATATTGACTTCATTACTTGGTGGGGGTAGTGTTTGTCACGTTTCTTCACTAAAGTTACTCCTTTCTTCTGTACCATATTTTTTGGAAGGAAGTCACTTTGTGTAGCTCACATTTAAGAAATAAGGAGTTATGTTTTGCCTCTTTGAAGGCAGAGTATCTTCATAGACAATTTAGAATTTTCTTTTTTTTTAATTTACATAGATTTTTTGGGGAAAGGGTGGTATTCGGTTACATGAGTAAGTTCTTTGAGGTGATTTGTGAGATTTTGGTGCTCCCATCACCTGAGCAGTATACACTGAACCCAAGTTGTAGCCTTTTATCCCTCACTCCCTTCCCACATTTTCTCCATGAGTCCCCAAAGTCCATTGTATTCTTCTTATGCCTTTGCATCCTCATAGCTTAGCTCCCACTTATGAGTGAGAATGTACAATGTTTGGTTTTCCATTCCTGAGTTACTTCACTTAGAATAATATTCTCCAATCCCATCCAAGTTGCTGTGAATGTCATTAATTCATTCCTTTTCATGGCTGAGTAGTATTTCATCATATACATATATATATCACAGTTTCTTTATCCAGTCATTGGATTGGGTATTTGGGCTGGCTCCACATTTTTGTGGGCAAAATGGGCATTTGGGCATTTGGGCAAGTAGGCATTTGGGCTGGTTCCACATTTTTCCAATTGCAAATTGTGCTGCTATAAACATGTATGTGCAAGTATCTTTTTCATATAATGATTTCTTTTTCTCTGAGTAGATACTCAGTAGTGGAATTCCTGGATCAAATGGTAGTTTTACTTTTAGTTTTTAAAGGAATCTCCACACTGGTTTTCATAGTGGTTGTACTAGTTTGCATTCCTACCAGCAGCGTAGAAGTGTTCGCTTTTCACCACATCCACCCCAACGTCTATTATGTTTTGGTTTTTTGCTTATGACCATACTTGCAGGAGTAAGGTGGTACCACATTGTGATTTTTATTTACTTTTCCCTGATCATTAGTATCTTTTTAAAATTATTTATTTATTTATTTATTGTGTGTGTGTGTGTGTGTGTGTGTGTGTGTGTGTTTTATTATTATACTTTAAGTTCTAGGGTACATGTGCACAACGTGCAGGTTTGATACATAGGTATACATGTGCCATGTTGGTTTGCTGCACCCATCAACTCGTCATTTACATTAGGTATTTCTACTAATGCTATACCTTCCCCAGCCCCCACCCCCTGACAGGCCCCAGTGTGTGATGTCTCCCACCCTGAGTCCAAGTGATCTCATTGTTCAGCTCTCACCTGTGAGTGAGAACATGTGGTGTTTGGTTTTCTGTCCTTGTGATAGTTTGCTGAGAATGATGGTTTCTAGCTTCATCCATGTCCCTGCAAAGGACATGAACTCATCCTTTTTTATGGCTGCATAGTATTCCATGGTGTATATGTGCCACATTTTCTTAGTCTAGTCTATCATTGATGGACATTTTGGTTAGTTCCAAGTCTTTGCTATTGTGAATAGTGCCACAATAAACATACGTATGCCTGTGTCTCTATAGTAGCATGATTTATAATCCCTTGGGTATATACCCAGTAATGGTATGGCTGGGTCAAATGGTATTTCTAGTTCTAGATCCTTGAGGGATTTCCACACTGTCTTCCACAATGGTTGAACTAACTTACACTCCCACCAACAGTGTAAAAGTGTTCCTATTTCTCCACATCCTGTCCAGCATCTGTTGTTTCCTGACTTTTTAATGATTGCCATTCTAACTGGAGTGAGATGGTATCTCATTGTGGTTTTGATTTGCATTTCTCTGATGACCAGTGATGATGAGCATTTTTTCATGTGTCTGTTGGCTGCATAGATGTCTTCTTTTGAGAAATGTCTGTTCATATCCTTTGCCCACTTTTTGATGGGGTTGTTTTTCTCTTGTAAATTTGTTTGAGTTCTTTGTAGATTCTGGATATTAGCCCTTTGTCAGATGGGTAGATTGCAAAAATTTTCTCCCATTCTGTAGGTTGCCTGTTCACTCTGAGGGTAGTTTCTTTTGCCATGCAGAAGTTCTTTAGTTTAATTAGATCCCATTTGCCAAGTTTGGCTTTTGTTGCCATTGCTTTTGGTGTTTTAGTCATGAAGTCCTTGCCCATGCCTATGTCCTGAATGGTATTCCCTAGGTTTTCTTCTAGGGTTTTTATGGTTTTAGGTCTAACATTTAAGTCTTTAGTCCATCTTGAATTAATTTTTGTATACGGTGTAAGGAAGGGATCCAGTTTCAGCTTTTTACATATGGTCAGCCAGTTTTCCCAGTACCATTTATTAAATAGGGAATCCTTTCCCCATTGCTTGTTTCTGTCAGGTTTGTCAAAGGTCAGATGGTTGTGGATGTGTGGTGTTACTTCTGAGGCCTCTGTTCTGTTCCATTGGTCTATATATCTGTTTTCGTATCAGTACCATGCTGTTTTGGTTACTGTAGCCTTGTAGTATAGTTTGAAGTCAGATAGTGTGATGCCTCCAGCTTTGTTCTATTTGCTTAGGATTGTCTTGGGCAATGCAGCCTCTTTTTTGGTTCCATAAGAACTTTAAAGTAGTTTTTTCCAATTCTGTGAAGAAAGTCATTGATAGCTTGATGGGGATGGCATTGAATCTATAAATTACCTCGGGCAGTGTGGCCATTTTCACAATATTGATTCTTCCTATCCATGAGCATGGAATGTTCTTCCATTTGTTTGTGTCCTCTTTTATTTCATTGAGCAGTGGTTTATGGTTCTCCTTGAAGAGGTCCTTCACATCCCTTGTAAGTTGGATTCCTAGATATTTTATTCTCTTTGTAGCAATTGTGAATGGGAGTTCACTCATGATTTGGCTCTCTGTTTGTCTGTTATTGGTGTATAGAAATGCTTGTGATTTTGTGTATCCTGAGACTTTGCTGAAATTGCTTATCAACTTAAGGAGATTTTGGGCTGAGATGATGGGGTTTTCTAAATATATAATCATGTCATCTGCAAACAGGGACAATTTGACTTCTTCTTTTCCTAATTGAATACCCTTTATTTCTTTCTCTTGCCTGATTGCCCTGGCCAGAACTTCCAACACTATGTTGAATAGGAGTGGTGAGAGAGGGCATCCCTGTCTTGTGCCAGTTTTCAAAGGGAATGCTTCCAGTTTTTGCCCATTCAGTATGATATTGGCTGTGGGTTTGTCATAAATAGCTCTTATTATTTTGAGATACATTCCATCAATACGTAGTTTGTTGAGAGTTTTTAGCATGAAGTCCTGTTGAATTTTGTCGAAGGCCTTTTCTGCATCTATTGAGATAATCATGTGGTGTTTGTCTTTGGTTCTGTTTATGTGATGGATTATGTTTATTGATTTCCGTATGTTGAACCAGGCTTGCATCCCAGGGATGAAGCTGACCTGCTTGTGGTGGATAAGCTTTTTGATGTGCTGCTGGATTCGGTTTGCCAGTATTTTATTGAGGATTTTTGCATCGATGTTCATCAGGGATATTGGTCTAAAATTCTCTTTTTTTGTTGTGTCTCTGCCAGGCTTTGGAATCAGGATGAAGTTGGCTTCATAAAATGAGTTAGGGAGGATTCCCTCTTTTTCTATGGATTGGAGTAGTTTCAGTAGGAATGGTACCAGCTCCCTTTTGTACCTCTGGTAGAATTTGGCTGTGAATCAGTCTGGTCCTGGACTTTTTTGGTTGGTAGGCTACTAATTATTGCCTCAATTTCCGAGCCTGTTATTGGTCTATTCAGAGATTCAACTTCTTCCTGGTTTAGTCTTGGGAGGGTGTATGTGTCGAGGAATTTATCCATTTCTTCTAGATTTTCTAGTTTATTTGCGTAGAGGTGTTTATAGTATTCTCTGATGGTAGTTTGTATTTCTGTGGGATCGGTGGTGATATCCCCTTTATCATTTTTTATTGTGTCTATTTGATTCTTCTCTCTTCTTTATTAGTCTTGCTAGAAGTCTATCAATTTTATCTTTTTGAAAAACCAGCTCCTGGATTCATTGATTTTTTGAGGGGTTTTTTTGTATGTCTATCTCCGACAGTTCTGCTCTGATCTTAGTTATTTCTTGCCTTCTGCTAGCTTTTGAATTTGTTTGCTCTTGCTTCTCTAGTTCTTTTAATTGTGATGTTAAGGTGTTGATTTTAGATTTTTCCTGCTTTCTCTTGTGGGTATTTAGTGCTATAAATTTCCCTCTACACAATGCTTTAAATGTGTCCCAGAGATTCTGGTGTGTTATGTCTTTTTTCTCATTGGTTTCAAAGAGCGTCTTTATTTCTGCCTTCATTTCGTTATGTACCCAGTAGTCATTCAGGAGAGGGCTGTTTGGTTTCCCTGTAGTTGTGCAGTTTTGAGTGAGTTTCTTAATCCTGAGTTCTAATTTGATTGCACTGTGATCTGAAAGACAGTCTGTTGTGATTTCTGTTCTTTTACATTTGCTGAGGAGTGTTACTTCCAATTATGTGGTCAATTTTAGAATAAGTGTGATATGGTGCTGAGAAGAATGTATATTCTGTTGATTTGGGGTGGAGAGTACTATAGATGTCTATTAGGTCTGCTTGGTGCAGAGCTGAATTCAAGTCCTGGATATCCTTGTTAACCTTCTGTCTTCTTGATCTGTCTAATATTGACAGTGGGGTGTTAAAACCTCACATTATTATTGTGTGGGAGTCTAAGTCTCTTTGTAGTTCTCTAAGGACTTGCTTTATGAATCTGGGTGCTTCTGTGTTGGGTGCATATATATTTAGGATAGTTAGCTCTTCTTGTTGAATTGATCCCTTTACCATTATGTAATGGCCTTCTTTGTCTCTTTTGATCTTTGTTGGTTTAACGTCCGTTTTATCAGAGACTAGGATTGCAAACCCTGCTTTTTTTTCTTTCCATTTGCTTGGTGGATCTTCCTCCATCCCTTTATTTTGAGCCTATGTGTGTCTTTGCACGTGAGATGTGTCACCTGAATAAAGCACACTGATGGGTCTTGAATCTTTATTCAATTTGACAGTCTGTATCTTTTAACTGGGGCATTTAGCCCATTTACATTTAAGGTTAATATTGTTACGTGTGAATTTGTTCCTGACATTATGATGTTAGCTGGTTATTTTGCCCGTTAATTGATGCAGTTTCTTCATAGCATTGATGGTCTTTACAATTTGGCATGTTTTTGAAGTACCTGGTACCGGTTGTTTCTTTCCATGTTTAGGGCTTCCTTCAGGAACTCTTGTAAGGCAGGCCTGGTGGTGACAAAATCTCTCAGCATTTGCTTATCTGTAAAGGATTTTATTTCTCCTTCACTTATGAAGCTTAGTTTGGCTGGATATGAAATTCTGGGTTGAAAATTCTTTTCTTTAAGAATGTTGAATATTGGCCCCAACTCTCTTCTGGCTTGTATGGTTTCTGCTGAGAGATCCACTGTAGTCTGATGGGCTTCCCGTAGTGGGTAACTCGACCTTTCTCTCTGGCTGCCCTTAACATTTTTTCCTTCATTTCAACCTTGGTGAATCTGACTATTATGTGTCTTGGGGTCGCTCTTCTCGAGGAGTATCTTTGTGGTGGTCTCCATATTTCCTGAATTTGAATGTTGGCCTGCCTTGCTAGGTTGGGGAATTTCTTCTGGATAATATCCTGCAGAGTGTTTTCCAACTTGGTTCCATTCTCCCCATCACTTTCAGGTGCACCAATCAAACGTAGATTTGGTCTTATCACATAGTCTCTTATTTCTTGAAGATTTGTTCATTTCTTTTTACTCTTTTTTCTCTAACCTTGTCTCCTCACTTTATTTCACTAATTTGATCTTCAATCACTGATAACCTTTCTTCCACTTGATCAAATCGGCTATTGAAACTTGTGCATATGTCATGAAGTTCTCGTGCCATGGTTTTCAGCTCCATCAGGTCGTTTATGGTCTTGTCTACACTGTTTATTCTAGTTAGCCATTCGTCTAATCTTTTTTCAAGGTTTTTAGCTTCCTTGCGATGGGTTCGAACATGCTCCTTTAGCTTGGAGAAGTTTGTTTTTACCGACCTTCTGAAGCCTACTTCTGTCAACTCATCAAAGTCATTCTGCATCCAGCTTTGTTCCGTTGCTGGCAAGAAGCTACGATCCTTTGAAGGAGAAGAGGCACTCTGATTTTTAGAATTGTCAGCTTTTCTGCTCTGGTTTCTCCCCATCTTTGTGGTTTTATCTACCTTTGGTCTTTGACGTTGGTGACCTACAGATGGGGTTTTGGTGTAGATGTCCTTTTTGTTGATGTTGATGCTATTCCTTTCTCTTTGTTAGTTTTCCTTCTAACAGTCAGGTCCCTCAGCTGCAGGTCTGTTGGAGTTTGCTGGAGGTCCACTCCAGACCCTGTTTGCCTGGGTATCACCAGCAGAGGCTGCAGAACAGCAAATATTGCTTCCTGATCCTTCCTCCGGAAGCTTTGTCCCAGAGGGGCACCTGCCTATATGAGGTGTCTGTCGGCCCCTACTGGGAGATGTCTCCCTGTTAGGCTACACGGGTGTCATGGACCCACTTGAGGAGGCAGTCTGTCCGTTCTCAGAGCTTGAATGCTGTGTTGGGAGAACCACTGCTCTTTTCAGAGATGTCAGACAGGGACGTTTAAGTCTGCAGAATAGCGGCAGCGTACATGATTTCCAAGCTAATAAAGAAGGAAGAATGGAAAGCATATGGGTAGGAGTGACAAGGGAGGAGGGTGTAGAGAGAGAGAAATTGAATCAATTCAGTAAGTGGGTAGGCAATAAAAAACAGAAAAAGACGATAAATAGTATGTATAAAACATAATAGCAGAAGGAATTTTAAAATCTTGGTAATCGAACACCACGGTGCAACTAATGCAAGTGTTGCCTAGTTATACTGCACAAGCTGGTTTCTGCAGCAATGTCTGGAGTAAAAGATAGAATTGAATAATAGGAGTCAGGGTACAATGGAGTCTAATATATCATTCACTATTAAAAAAAACCCTCAAAAACTAGCAATAGATTGGAACATTCCTAAACTAATAAAATAATCTGTAAAAACCCTACAGCAAACAATGTACTCAAAGGAAAAAAAAAGTAAGGAATTTTCTTAAGTTCAAGAACAAGACCAGGATGTCCCTTTTCCACTCCCCTAGTTGCAACTTCTATGTAACCTTCTATTGGAAGTCATAGCACATGTAATTAGATGAGAATTATAAGTTAGTTTCAAGGATTGGAAAGTAGGAAGGAAAGTTGCCATAATTCACAGATAATTCTGTTTACAAAGGATACCTAAGTGAAGGTAAAAGCAAAGCAAAAGCCTTAATAAAACTGTTTAGTAAGGCTCATGCATCTGGGATACAAAAGTTAAAGTATTTCTTTACATCAGCAACACAACACAACATAAGACAAACAAAAATCAAACAAAAAAATCAGCTTAAAAGCCAGAAAATAAAAATTTAATTATGCAGTTATAATCTTAACCAAAACCAAAGTACAACGGAACACATTTTTTGATAATGACATTACATATTTTTTTGTAATAAAAACTTTGTTGAAAGATGTCAAGAAGACTTAATACATAGACATAGCAGGTATATGTACAGAAATAATTAATACTGTAAAGAGGTTAATTCTCTCAAAATTGAACAATAGATTCAATGCTTTTTCAACCTATATCTCAACATATTTTCTTGTGGAACATGATTGAGAAGTTCAAAAGTTGTCCTTGGATTGTGCATTGGTTGTGTTCTGTAGAAACCAGATGCCATGATGGAGTTAGAGGTACAAGTGGTTTATTGGGTGAAATGCCTCAGAAAGAAAAAAGGAAGAGGGAGTAGAAGTAGACAGGGAAGGCCTTTAGACTGCCATGTTGATCTGATCCCTGTAAAAGGAAAGAGGGAGGACAGGAGGCGCGAAGAGCCTCAGTCTGCAATGCAAATGTGAGAAATTTCCGGTCGTCCACACTGGTGAGTGTTGTTAAAATAATCGCCTATATAGGTGTCTCAATCTCGCCCAACACAGCAAGCCCATCCTCAGCCACCATTGTGCTCAGTGCTGGGACTTGTCTGTGAGTGCACAGCCTCAGGTTTAAAGCTGAGGCCAATTCTGAAGACATCTCCAGCTTACTGCACTCCCCATTGGACGGTTCTCACTTTGAGGGAAGACCTAAGTAGTATACTTTATGGCTGCTACAAAGGACAAAGTGCCAAAATCAGCCAAGACACTTTTGATGATGACGTCCCTACCCAGGTGCAGTGGAGACTTGCCCTTCTGAATATCAAGGCTTATTATAATGAAGCTAAAGTAATCAAGATATTGTAATTTTGATACATACATAGATAGGCAGGGCAATGGGACAAAACAGGGAGCCAGCATCAGATCTACACATGTATGGAAACTTGCTACATAATTGAGCTGGGCCTGAAAATCAATGAAAAAGGATGGGAAATTCTATAAGTGATACTTGGACCATTATCAATCCAGATGGTAAGAAATGAAAATGAATCCTCTATCTCAGGCATAAAAATCAATTCCAGATGGATTAAGTAGCTATTGTGAATGATACAACTTTCAGACTTTTAGTAGAGAATATAAGAGATGGCTTTATGATTTTGAGATAGAATTTCTTAAAATACAAAAAGCACAAATCATAAAGAAAAATATTGACAAATTCAACTACATTAAAATTGACAACTTTTGATTATCAAGACCCATTATAAACATGGTGAAAAGGTAATCCACAAACCATGAAAAGTTGTTTTTATTTTATTTAAAAGAAGATATTTTTAATACATATAATTGACAAAATACTATTATGTATATCTTTTTTTAACTCTTGATAATCAGCAAGAAAAAAGCCAAATGATTCCCAATGGATAAATGGACTAAAGACACGAATAGGTATTTAGATTAACTTCCTTCTTTTATCTCTCCTGCATGAAAGTCTTCATGATTATCACATTGTCTAGGATGGATATTAAATACACTCTTTTAAAGTGTAAAGGAAAAGAAAACAAGCTACACAAAAAAGAAAACAAACTTAACCAATTAAATTGTTGTAACTCACAAATCATCCTTGTATAGAAAATTTTATAATCCTACTAATTTTTATTTTTGCTTTCTGCCTATAAAAACAAGACCTTAACATTTACTTTTGAAGTACTGACCCCAGTTCTCTGGAATCCAGCTTCCCAGGATGGCCATTCCCAGCTTTTAGCCTTAATAAACTATTTAAAACTGGATTTCTGATTGAACTCAGGAGGTGGAAGTTGCAGCGAGCCAAGATTATGTCACTGCGCTCCAGCCTAGGCGACAGAAATAGACTCAGTCTCAAAAAAACAGAAAAACAAACAAACAAAACAACAAAAAACCAAGTGGATTCCAATTCTTTTGATTATTTCAGGTTGGCAGATACTATACACAGATTGAATTAGCATTATCTTTATTTCTTAGGTTTGGATGAAAATATTTTAATGCATGATAAATACATGATATGATAAAAGCACTTTATCAAAAAATATATCAGCAAAATTTGATGAAAATAAATAATATTTTCTTGTCACAACTCTTTCCAAGTGCATCAGGTTAAGCAAGATGCCTCTAAGGAAAAAGTTATAGGTACAATGAATAGTTATTTGTTAAATCTTCCTGAAATTGATATATAATAAAATGTCTTTGCTATCTTTCCCATAAACTGAAAAAAATGAATAATTCAAATGACTGAAAAAGTTATTGCAAGTCAAATAGTTTCCAATTCTTTACTTTCAAACGAATTGACAAAAGACCTTATTAAATGGTTAGTTGATGGGCCCTTGAAAGTAATTTTTCAGATGCTAGTTTACTAAGTAAATTTTTGCATAAAACAGAGAATTCAAAGAATTGAGCAATTTTTATTTTTCAAAAAAATTTTTTTCACTTCCAGGTTTAATAGCAAAGGAAATGTTTCTGAGTCCTGCGACTTTCTGGAATGCCCAGAACAATGGTAGTATTGTTCCAGGCATCTCTGTTAGGTGAGGTCCATCTTCTCACCCTGATCTAGGGAGCCTGGGCTCTGTTGGCCAAAAAAGCGAAACTGTAAAATATTGGAAGAGATGTATTCTGAGCCAAATGTGAGGACTGTAACCTGTGACACAGCCTCAGGGGGTCCTGAGAACATGTGCCCAACGTGATTGGGTTGAAGTTTGGTTTTATATGTTTTAGGGCACAGAAGATATTAATCAATACATGTGAAATATACATCGGTTTGGTCCAGAAAGGCAGAACAAACTCAAAGTGGGGGCTTACAAGTCTTAGGTGTCTTCAAAGATTTTTTGATAGGCCGTTGGTTGAAAGAGTTACATTATTATCAAAAGACCTGGAATTAATATTCAGGAATGTCTAGATTAAGATAAGGGATTATGGAGACCAAGGTTGTTGTTATCTAGATGAAGTCTCATAGGTAGCTTCCCTTAGAGGCAATAGATGGCAGATGTTTCCTACTCAGACCATTAAAAGGTGCTACACTCTTAGCTAGTCTCTTTCAGGATCAGAAAAGGACCCGGAAAGAGAAGAAAATTATCTACAGAATGTAAATTTCCCTCACAATAGACAGCTTTGCAGCACCATTTCAGAATACGACAAAGAAATATATTTTGGGGTAAAATACTTTCAAGGCCTGCTATCTGTCATGTGATGCTATATTAGAGTCAGATTGGAATTTGGCATCTTATTGCTACAAAGAGTCTGTTTTGTCAGTCTTAAGATCTCTGTTTTAACGTTAATGCTGGTCAGTTTTGCCTGAGTTCCAAAGGGAGAAAGATACAATGAGTTCCAAAGGGAGAAAGGTACAATGAGTCATGGCTGACCCTCCTTTCCATAATGGCCTGAATTAATTTTTCAGGTTTCTTTGGAATCTTCTTGACTGAGAGGAGGGATCTTTTTAGTGGGTTGAGGGATTTAGAATTTTGTTTTTGGTTTACAGCCCAATGATTTCTGAAGATACAGGAACCCACTTTCCACCTTCTGTGTTGCCTGCTGTTTTCTCACCCAGCTCTATCCTCTCCTTTACCTCCACTCTCAGCCCCTGGTCCCATAGATTAAAGCTCATTTGAGAACAGAAACTGGTCGAAGAAATTTGGCAAATTACTAAAGATTTTATGTTGGAATTTGCCTTATCACCAAGTTTTACCATATTTACGGCATGACAAATATTATGGTCTTTGCAACAATGTAAACTTCTGTTGATTAATTTTAGATGTCCACTTAGAAATATTTAAAAATATTTGAGGGAATTTTCAAAAAGTTTGTAGCAGATACTCAGGGAAAACAAAAAAAAAAATTGAGAAGCTTCACCCTAGAAGTTTTTGTGCATATGCAATAGGGCCCATATACAAGAATAAAAATGCTGAAAACATTCGAATGTCACTTTACATTAGAGTTGAGAAAAAAGTTTGCTGCATTCAAACAGTGAAATACTGTACAGCAATGGAATTCAAGAAATTAGAGTTATATTTATCCTTATGGTTCTCAAAGTTGAGTTTGAAGAGCAAGTTATAAAAGAATATATTCAATATGATTTATTTTATCCAAAGTTCAAAAACTGGCAAAACTAAACATTATATTGTTTGGGAATAACCATGGCAAAATCCTCAGGACAGATAGAGAATGATTAACATAAAATTTATGATAGTAGTTTTTTTTTTTTAATGAGAGAGTTTAAGACGGTGATGTAATCCATTAGACATACACAGAGGGCTTCACCTGTGCTGACAATGTTCTATTTGTTAAACTGCACGGTGAATACTGGGCTTTTTATATTGTTTTTATTTTTAAATTATAAGTATGCATTCTATTGTTACAGTAGGTAGCTAGTCAGACGTGAGCAGGGCAGGAGAGGGCTCCCCACCACCAGGAATGTCAGGCGGAGTGTGAATCTTTTGTTTTGGAGAGAGGGGATGCCATTTGCCCTGATCACTTAACAGCCTTAGCTCCTGTCCTCCTTATTCCGCTCTCAGTTATAAAAGACTGAAGAGGCTAACCTGAGGACCTCCTGCACAGGGACACTGGGTTCCAAGGCTGATTTTTGTAATTTCCTCACAGTTCATTTTAAAGCCAAACAGTATTACAAAGGAAAACTAGTTTTTTGTTTTAAGGTTTAGGGGAATCAAACTTTTCTCAATTTTGGGGGATGCATCCATGGGGCATGTCCTGTGGTATGGAGACATGATTACCCATCTGTGAAGAGAGAATAAAGGAGAAAAAAAGAAAAAAGAAGGTGTTCCCTCTACTTTCCTGTTGTCCTGAATGAGGCGTCCCCCATCGTCCTCTGGGTCCTGGAATGAACCAGTCTTATGGTGTACCCTTGGTCCCATCTTGTCACGATTGCCCACTTGAAAGTAGAGGAGATATGCAGTGAACAGTGGGCCCCCTCTTCATCCTTGGGGTTCTGAAGTAACCAGTCGCGTCATGTGCCCCCTAACCTTTCATCTCTGTTCTAATGGTAATCTATTAGCCTGGGACCACCCTTCAATTCTGTCCTATGGATTCCTTGCACCCAAGGCCTTGGGCCAGCCTATATCCTTGTCTCCATGACCTAATAGTGTCGTTCAGAGCATTCCAGCAAAAAAAAAAAAAAAAAAAAGATTATCTCTTTTTACAGATTCCTATTTCCCATGGTCTTTTAAGTGACAAGAAGCCTGTTTTTTAGATAACTGCCACATGGGGCTGAACTTCCCTCTCCACTACCTTCAAATATAATCTTGAAGGTCTTGATGCATATTGAGAATGGTGTGGAAGTAATTGGAGAAGTGGAGGCTGTAGGAGGAAGTGGAAGGAAGTGAGAGGACTACTCATGCTCACAAAAATAGCAGCCCTTGGATTCAAGAGGGCTTTATGTGCCCTCTCGACATAAAGGAGGAACCTCTGGAGGACTTGGGACTTGGGGTGAGAACTCACAAATGGCAAATGAAGAATTTCTTTCCGCCCAAAGGGGTGCTAACTCAAAAAAAGCAAGTAGGTGGAATCCTTAAAGGGCCAGAGTGAGACCCTATGCGGGCGAAGAAACTGCTTCAAATGCCACTGGAAAACTCGGCCCTGCGGCATAACAGGAATGAAAAACATATGGTAAGTCATAAAGATCTGGCAGAGCTGGAATTCCAATTAGTGTCTGTCCCGGCAATGTGCCAGCAGACAGGGGAAGGGTTGAAGGTCATCTGAGACTTAGGGTAAAAAGAAGTACAAATCTCCCCAGAGATTTATACTTGTTACAAGGGAGCCTGTGTCTTTGCTCCCACACAAATGCAGCAAAAGCCGCAGGTGTACGAATAACAGGGAGTGTGTGTTTAAGAAGTTATGTGGCATGCTAAGTGAAAATAATGAAGAGGCAGGGTGCTTAAGGCCATTTCAGAACACACACAGAGAAAACAGGAGAATGGGCAGTGCAGGTTTTTGTGAAAGAGTCAACTGTAGTTGAAAAAGCAGAGGAAACCCCAGACATTGCATGGTTTTAGGCTTTAGCCCTACTGCTCTTGCAAGCCTCCTGTCCAGGAGGGCCATTAGTGCCTCAGTTATACTCAGTGCAGACCCTAAGGTCCTTCCTGCCCCGATGAGCCACCCATCAGGGTGAGCTGAGAAATCAACTGAGGGGAGCAGAGTCACTTATGGCCAAGAGAAATTGCTCTGGTGGTTGGTTAGTAAGCAGGAGAGAGAAAGGGGAGAAGAAAACTGCATACAGGGATTGAATGCCTCCAGCCAAAGAAGGCGAGGCATAGAGGTGTCTTAACACTAGGGGATGTATCAGAGTCACATAGCACCAAAGTATGTTATTGGTGGTGGATCCATATGGATCTGTGGCAACCTCAATTCTTGCCTCCTCAGAAGAAAGAATTAGACTGAGGGGCATAAGGCAGAAGGAGACACTGAGACAAATTTTAAGAGAAGTGAAAGCTTATTAAAAAGCTTTAGAGCACTTTATGCATGGTTACCTGCTAGTACTTGGGAGGGGAGCATGCAGTGTGTTTACTGTAGTTGTACGCATGCTCGCTTGAGGTGTTCTTCCCTTACTGGTGGAATGTTCCTGGAAGGTCATATATCAGTTAAACTCCACCATTTTGCCTCTTAGTTTGCATGCTCGAGCCCACTCACTCAACTCCTGAGATTGTACTGGGAAGCTGCTGATCACCAGTTTTAGGTTTTTTCTATCTATAGGGAGATTGCCTTTCCGTGGCGCTGGCTGTGACCAATTATTATTTTCGAGAGACAGTTGACAGCTGCCTGACCATCTTCTAATGGTTGCCTGACATTCCTGGTAGTGGGGAGCCCTCGCCTGCCTTGCTCATGTCTGACTAGTTACCTACGGTAACAATACCAATACATGTATCTATATAGATATATGCTATTCTTTAATATGACTATTTTATGACTGTTTTCAGAAGAAAAGGGGATGGAAACCCAGAGTGTCTCAATGCAGGATGAAATACTAGTGTTAAGGGATAAAATAAAAAGTGAGATAAGTGAAAGGCAGCTGAAAGCTCAACACAAGGACCCTGCCCATTGTGGTTCTGTGCTTTCTTGATGGGTGTTCTCTTCCTCTCCTCAAGAGTCCCCAAATCGTATGGAAGCAGAAGCCATGATGGTAGCAATATTCTTGCTCTGCATGGTCTTTCTGTTTTGATACCAGATTCTTTATGGCAGCTGGGGCTCAGAAGCAAATCATGGTTAGGGAAACAGTCTGGCAGGGAGAAGGCAGGTTGTCAGCCTACAATCTCAGTGAAAAACTAATGTGCTTATCAGGAGCCAAACTGGAAATGGAGGCAGATGCAATGGTGATTAGGTGTCTAGAGGTCTTGTAGGGACAAAAGGCTCACCCCAGACTTGTTGAATTGCATGACTATGATAGTGTTGAAGAAAAAGTGAGTCAGTGATTCTTGTTAAAGCGTGGTGATAAGAGTTTACTCAAGACCATCACGAGAGGTATAGAGACTGCGGTAATGGGATTTTTGCATTAAAGGAGAGAGATTGGGCTCAATGCTGAATATAGACAGCATGGGTAGATGGGAACGTATAGCCAGGGAGCAGTGTAGGGGTCAGTGGATGGAAAATGTCTAAAAGGAAACAGCAGGAGCAAGTGGGATTCTGTCTAAACTGACCTAATAGGATTCTTGCTGAAGACAGGCCAGGGTGATCAGATATCACCTGGGGATGGTGGAGGATGAAGAGCCTAACCACCTATCGATCAGTCATTGATGTCAGGAACTTCCTGACAGATTGACTCAGGAAAGTTACTTGTCAAAATTGGATTTTACAGGGAGGTACACAGATGGGCCTAGGAAGTTTTCAGGAGCATAACTAAAGTTTAGGCAAGCAAAAAATCTTTGTCAATAATAAAAGCAATTCCAGATGCCCACCAGCTTGTGAGCCTGGGCGTCCCAACAGACAGTCTGTCTTGCTTAGAACTTGTTTAGGACCTTGTCTGTCAGCATGCACCCTGGGCTTTTGAATCAGACCGACCCCCTCAGTCACTGCATCTCCCCAGTCTTATCCATGCCATGAACCCATCTTTTTTTTTGTTTCCAGAATTCCTTTTGTTCTTGTCCCTTGCTCATGTTTAATGGATATGTGGGCTTAGAACCTTTGCATTTTCTACTGTTTCTGCTCCTTGAACTCCACATCTGATGTCTGAGTAAGACACCCTAGTTTA
The DNA here is from genome assembly GCF_000001405.40 of Homo sapiens. NCBI lineage: Eukaryota > Metazoa > Chordata > Mammalia > Primates > Hominidae > Homo > Homo sapiens. The sequence goes on from NC_000004.12 coordinate 16,381,864, forward strand.
AGCTTGGCCCTGCCTAAAGATGAGATTTAGGTAATGTCTCACTCCAGTTCTTCTTCTGCCTGGGAGTTCCACCTGGGAAAGGCTGGCATCAACCTACTGCAGTGCCTAAAGGGTCACTTCATGCTGGCTTTGAAGGTCACTGAGAAAGTCAAAGATTGGCGACACACCCACACAGTGTAACGTTCTTCTTACAATGCCTGAAGTAACTGCTGTGAGGATAGTTGCTATGGACTGAATGTTTGTGTCCACCTAAAGTTTATGTGTTGAAACCTAATCCCCAACGTGATGGCATTTGGAGATGAGGCCTTTGGAAGGTGATTAGGCCACAAGTGCAGAGCATCCTTATAACAGAGGCCCCAGAGAGCTGCCTTGCCCCATTTGCCATGTGAAGACACAGCGAAGAGATGGCATCTAAGAACAAGGAAACGGGCACTCACGAGACACTGAATCTGCTGGTACCTTGATCTTAGACTTACTGGTCTCCAGAACTGACAGAAATAAATTTATGTTGTTTATAAGCCATTCAGTTTATGGGACTTTTTTATAGCAGCCCAAACAGACTAAGACAACAATTGAAGGCTTTGCAGGAGCCTCAGCAAAGAACATTGACTTGAGTCATACTCAGAAAAAAGAAGAACCAGGGCTACAATATTTTTTCCAGTATCTTTCTGAGTGATTTTCATGGAGCCTAAGTCCTTTTAATACACCATGCGAGTAGAGCACTAAACACAGGCTTTCTAATCCTCCACTTAGAAAGTCATAATGCAGAGTTATTTGTAAAGGTTCTGAGAAGTCCTTTAATAAATATTGTTTAATTCTGTGTTTGCCTAACATAAAAGATGGTGGAATTTCTCTTTTCTCTCCCTCCCGACTTGTCCCTCTCTGCACTACCTACCTTCCTACCTTCCTTCCTTCCTTCCTTCCTTCCTTCCTTCCTTCCTTCCTTCCTTCTCCTTCCCTCCCTCCCTCCCTGCCTCTTAAGATCTCAAAGGACTAGACTTGTTTAGAATATACTTTGCATAATGTGACTTTAGTGACATGACTCAGCCCACAATAGAAAATGAGAGGTGGGTCTCACAGCCGTTGTGCACTGACCAGCCAGCTGACCTTCACCTCTTGGTGCCCTTAAGGGGACACAAATCAACAAGCTCTATGACATCACTGAAAAGAGCATGTTGGAAGGCCACCCTGCCAGATGTTCCACATTATTAGTTGAGTTGAATGAACTCATTATGCCTAATGAGAATGAATTTGTGTCATTTTATTGACATAAATTTACCAGTAAAATGTAGATCTAAGTAACAGAATGGTCCCTTTGCACATAGTTTTAGAAGCTTTCAACATGTTTCCATAATAAATTACTTAATTGGCACCTTCTGTCATTCTGGTGACATTTTGCGTACTGAACATGTAACTAGTTTTGATTGTTGATGCTTTATCATTGAATCATAAGGTAGACATTCCAAAACACTGTACCATGTTTAAGTCATTTTTATATGATCTTAGAGCATATTCATTCTTTCTACAAACATTAGGAGCATACTGTGTTAATTCAGAGAAACAGAGAATGGAACAAAACCAATTTCACTTCCCTAACAGAAATTTTAACAAGTGTGAGCCTCCTGCATGCAAAGTAGTACACTCGGCCTTCTTCCATTCTTTGGGCATCTATTCAGTAGGTATTATTATCTCCATTTTGCAAATGCAGAATCTGAGACTTAGAGACATTAAACTTTTCCAGGGTCATTCATGCTGTGAAATTAAATTTGAGAGAAAAATACAAGATACTTGACACAGGCTGCACGCTTAAGCAAGGAAATTGTATACTTCTTTAATCTGCAAACTTAAAAAATAATGGCAATGCCCAAATGGTGACTTTAAGCAAGAGCTACCAAACCTCCCTGCCAGCCAATTTATGAATCATTGACAGTTTTCTTTCTCAGTGGTGCTGTGATTTAAGAATTTTGTTATTCTGGCCAAATTCTCTTCATAGCCTAATTTGATCTTCTTTGGGCAGTCAAGTCGAGAGCAGAGGTTTTCTATCTTTTGAAAAAATAGGACTTGAACCTTGTCTTCAAATGAAGCAATGCACAGATGTCTAAGAGAGAAGTAGCTCTAGGAGGGTCCTTGGCTCCCCTTTTCTTCAGCCTCTCCTTGCCTTTGGCAGTGGTAGCTCCAGGGTGTCTTCACAGAAGGAGATTAGGGCCATTTATCTGGTTGTAAAGGGGCCAGGGGCCTGATCTTAAACTCTAATTAATTGCCAAAGTTTTATTAGATATAAATTATTTAGGCTTTTATTAGATACAGCTTATTCTTATTATAGGTTATATTACACGTAATTCATATTATACTATAGATTATAGATTATTGTTACTATAGGCTTTCATTAGATATAGGGTATTGTATAGGTTTTATTCAGTATAGGTCAGATACAGGTTTTTGTTAGATGATAGGTTATTTGGGGATCCTTGTGTCTGGGGTAACTGATGTAGAACTTAAGTGGATTAGGGCTCCCTCTACCAAGGCACTCACTTATTTGCCACTTTTGTCCCGGAGTCCCTCTGCAGAATCAGAGGTAGAGCGCAGCTGTCTGCATTTGGAGCACAAGCATCCTGTGACCTCCGCAAGCCTCTTCTCCCCACAGACAGTTTCTGCAGGCACACGAGGATGCAGCATCTTGCCCCAGGATTTCCTGAAGACTAATGAAATCAAGTCTACAAAGCCTTCTCTGCTCCTTGGGGAACGGGGGGATGAGGGGAAGAGAAGAGAAAAGATATCATTAAATTGAATTATCAGGCCTGGCCACACTGGGGCAATCCAGCCTGTTGCATTTGAGGCTTCGGTTCACTTATTTACAAAAGGGCCCAGAGCCTCCCCCTTCTTTCTCTAAATCCGGAAAGAGTTTGGAAGTGGCTGACAGCTGTGTCTTCCTTCTGGCAGCCCTTATATTTTCTCTTTACACGAAACTCAAAAGAAATCCTCTGTCAGAAGGAAAAAGTGGAGGCAGAGGAGGTGGGATAATGTGACCAACAGCTAAGCTCCCATCCTTGACACAGGCTTAGGCGGTGATCCGGGCTGAGACAAGGATTGGTGAGTTACCTTAGAGAAGCCTCTTCTAAATGCTCAGACTCACTGCCAACTGGAAGGATTTGACTTTGAATACTTCTGGAATCCTCCCCTCCTTGTTCTTGATTAACCATTGAGATGACAGTGTAGATTTGAGGGAGAGGTGGCTCTGATTCTGCTTAAACCAGAGACAACTGAAAGTGATATTGGTGTTCTCAAATATCAATCAGTTAATCGATTCGTTCATTGAGTCACTGATTCATTCATTCATGTGTCAGGCACTGTTCCAAGCAGTCGAGATGCAGAGACAAAATAGCAAAATCAGGACAGTGGATTCTTACTTGGGATTTAGTGGTCTGTGGATCCTCTGATAGGGTAAGTGAAATCCAAGTATGTGCTTTTCCAGAGAAAAGATGTGTCGCTCTGGTCAGATTCTCAGAAGTTTAGAAGCTGCTAGTTCTTGGGAAATAAAGTTCTTGCGGTTAAAATATACAATCTATTAATTCAATCAGAGTGCAGTGGGGAGGTAGTGGGATGCGCAGGTGAACATCTGAAATTCCAAAGGGGGCCAAAGATGACCAAACCTCACAGCAGCTGGACACAAGCAGCAGCAACAATTTCTCTGGGGTGTTTATGATGGCATTTTAAAAAAATGTTTGCCTGATGCCTGAGAATGGAAATGTGAATGCAAATCTTCTGGGAGACAAGAAGAGGACCAACCTATGGAGAGAGAAGTCTGAATGGAGAGGATATGCCTTAAGGCTCCTGAGGAGTCTGCAAGTATTTTGGGAAGACAATGTAAATATTCTTTTTTCCCCATCATCATCACACCTTCTTTAGCAGAGAGATTTATAGTATTCTTTGCAATCATTGTCTTGACTCCCAAGGCTGAAAATGTTACCCAACCTGTGGATGCCGGTGGCACCTAATTTAATGTTTAGTAATTATCTACTAATCCATTTCCTGTCTGGAGGACAGAAACTGTGTCTCATTCACCAATAAAAAGCGATCATAGCAATAGATACTGGGTATTTCCAGTACCCTAAACCCTGCCTGGATGTCTTAGGCCTTTCAGGATGGTCCCTACACCCCACCCCTTGGCACCTCCCTTCAGGAGATGGTACGGCATCTTATTTCTTCACTCCTTGAATATGGGCTGGCTTTGTGACTTGTTTTGACCAATAGAATGTGGCAGAAGTGACAGGGTGCATATTTTAGAGCTTAAGTCTCAAGAGGCCTTGCAATTTCTGCCTTTTTCCTCTGGAAAAAGGGAGATACCCTGCCCAGGCTATCCTGCTGTAGAGACCGCCTAGGGAGACAGAGCCTGGAGGGCGAGAGAGCATGACGGAAGAGATCCACAGCCACACAGAGGCCTTTCTGGTCACTGGAGCCGGGCCACTAGGCACATGTAGATGTGACGTGATCTTGTGTCCCCTAATTCGGGTTGGTCTGTCCCACCAACACCACGTGGAGCAGACACAAACTGTTCCCACTAAGATTTGCCAAAATTGCAGAATGGTGACCAAACAAAGGTTATGGATGCTTCAAGCCTCTAAGTTTTGAAGTCATTTGGCATAGAGCAACAGATAATTGATATGGTGGCAGGTAACTACCACTCAACAAATATGTATAGATGAATAAATGAGTGAATCAACCTGGCCTCAGCTCTGAAGAGATACAGATTATCTGCTGAGGATCTCTGGTCTATTACATGTACTTGGTAACCTCTCGTATGACCAAGAGGAGCTAATGTAAATACTTGGACCAATTTGCCCTGTGCTGATTGTCTTTATATTAGTGATCCCTGGTGGATATTTAGAAAATTCCTTTCTGCTTGACAGACAAGACAGCAAACACACAGTTTTAGGGCAGTGAAGTAAGTGCTATGGACAAAAGAGTGTGCATGGCTCCAGGGGATTGTAGTGGAGGAAGCTTATGGCTGCCTAGAGTGGTCAAGGAAGTCTTCCAAGGGGAGGAGTTGTGAGTTGAGAGGATTTTCTTCAACATCTGGAGCTGCAGAGGGAGCCTTCCAAGCAGTAGAATGAAATGTACAAAGACACATCAGCTGGGGAAGTTTTGCAGTGTACATGTACCAGGAGTGGCTTCTGGACTGTTTTTCACTAGACCTTACTGACTAGTCTGAGATATCCCATGTATGTGAGGGGTGGTGGATGGGGCAGCTGGATGGAGGTGATGCTGGGGTGGGGGTGGACAGGGACCTGAGCATAAGCATCCTTGTTGGCCCCTAAGAGTGGAACTTTTCCCTAAAGACTCAGGAAACCCTTGAAGGATTTTAAGAAGTTTGATGTGATCTTATAAGGGCAGCCCTCAGCTTTTGAGATTTCAAGGGACCAGAGCAGCTTTCCAAGTCTTGGACTTTGATCCCACATGGCTCTGCTTTCTGTTTGCTGCTGGCTGCCATGCAAAAAGGGCATTATCTTCAGGCAACAGCATGTCCTCAGTCTATCCTTTTTCCACTATGCTTAGAAATCTTCAGGGGGTAAGTGCTACGATGAGAACAACTGCTAATTCATTAAATCATTAACTTGTTCTTCAGTCATTGATATGGGTAACAGACTCCTGAAATAGCATTTTCCTTATGAAACTAGTGACAAAGATGTGTTTCTTGGCCAAACTTTAGTCAGGCTCCTGAACCTTCTCCTAGGCTCATCTATGCACTTTCTAGTAAAATCCATTTTTAGCAAATAACTGCTGAGTCACTTTGGCAAGAATTCCCCATCCTCGATACCTGATCAGCCTTGATATCTGATCAGATTCCTCACCCTCTACTGTGTCCTCTGTGATGTCTGATCACCCTGTACCATCTTCAGCAAGAATCCTCTTAGGTCAAAATTGAGCCAGAATCCTTCTTTCCCCTGATGTGTCCTCTTAGTAATTTTTCATCCACTGGCTCCCCTCCCACTTCTCCCCAGGGCTCCTTGGCTATAGATTCCCACTTGCCCATGCTGTATTTGGAGTTGAGTGCAACCTCTCTGTACTGCAAAATCCCATTGCCATAGTTGCTGTGCCTATTTGTGATGGTCTTGAATAAAGTCTTCCTCACCATGTTTCACAAGTATCATTGAAAATTTTTTTCTTTAACGCTAGACAGCCAATGTATAGTGCTTTGAGTCTCTCTGAATATCCCTTCACACTGATAATGAACATACAGAAAGTAGAGTCTCAAGTTAAAGGCGTGTTTTCAGAAATAATTGGAAAATGTTTCTGAGTTAGCAAATTGTGATTTTCTGCAGTCAGTTTCTGAGGTCACAGAACAAAATATTAGGGAACTTCTCTGAGTGCCATAGATACTATTCTGCTTCAGAAGGTATTAGACTTCAGAAGCCAGAGAAAGTTTGTGTATCCCTCCGATCCCTGGGATTTATGACATTCTTAATCAGGAAGAAGGATCTGTAAGATTTCTTCCAATTTCAAATGAAGGCAAAATTTATGAGTGGTCAGATGAATAGGCCATCTCTTTCTGGAGACAATTTCATTTCCAGCCTTCATTCAGAGTTAGGATTGATTTATCCCTTTGGTTAGGTGCCAAATGGTCAGCCCTGAGCAAAGGTAGATGTGAGATGTTTATTAGACTGGAGCATGAGCCTGATGGTGTTCTGCTCCCAGTGGGCGCCATGGTCCTGTCCACCCACCAAACCAAGGGCAGGCTGCACAGAGTTGCACTCAGAGCAATGGCAGTCCCAAACTAATAAAAAGTGTAAAGCAGTTTAATCTCAGTCTCACTCACAGCAGAAGTTTTGAATCTGCTTTTTTCATCTTTTGTACATAAATTTTACTGCCATGTGCCACCCCCAGCCTCTGCTTTCCTCTAAATTCCCCATAAAACTCTCTCTAAATGGGAGCACAACAGCCTCTCACTTTTTTCCCCCTTTCCCCATTTCTCTTTGAGTTTAGTTCTTCATTATATTAATCAAAATTATCCCCCTTCCCTCATTATCTGTACTGAGCCAAAAAAGAGGCAGGGATAAATTTGACCGGAATTCCTCCTCCTTCAACAAGAGGATATGGGGATGGTCAGGGGAATGCTGAGTTCTGAGCACTGGCCTCATGAAGCCTTGCTTCTCACATGCTCTCCGAAAATCCTGACATGGACACAAGAACTGGCCCAAACAAGCCTACAGGAGATGAAGATGGTGGGAAGCAGAAAGGAGCCATCCCGCCACGGCCATCCTTGACCAGCCAGACCAGCCTCCACGCTAGCTGGCTACCAACACAGGAGCAAGCCCAGGAAAACTTAGCCAAGCCTGGTCCAGATCAGCAGAGCCACCCAGGCTTCCTACAGAACTGTGAGAATTAATACATGTCTATTGTTTTAAGCTGCTGAGTTTGGGGCGGGTGGTTGCTACAGAGCAATATTGTGGTGATAGATAGCCAGTGCTATCTATCTACTCTCTTAAATCCATCATGATTCAGGCCAGTGTCTAACTTGAATCTCACCTCTTTCCAAGTGGATATCTTTGACTCCTCCAGGCTACCATGATTTTCCTCTCAGACAAATGTCTTCACCAAACAATCAGGTATCAATCTTAGTTTTTCTCTTATAACGTTTTCTGTTTTTTCTCTTGTGTGCCAAAGAGTCACTGTATTATCTCATCACTCTGCCCCCACCAAGATAATGTTCCACTCTAACGTCTCATTTAGCCCACAGGAAAAAATAAATTTTGAACGTCTACATAAAATTAATCATATCTATTTTGAAACCTAACTCAGACATTTTGTTCTGTCTCAGTGGAATCTGTCAAAACAAAAACCAATGAAATAATTGAGTGGTATTAAGGGGGAAAGTAGCTGGCAAGGTTAAATGGTACTAATCCACCCTCTATACATTTTAAGCCTTTTTGTCTGGGAAAATCTGCCTTTTCTACTGGACTGTAAGCTTCCTGAGGTCAGCATCCATATCCTGCATCCCTCCTAAGCCCTCACTGACCACCAACAATTGCTAGTTCTTGGTTATAGATGACTGTCAATTACATGCTTGATGGATCCTTTAAAAAAGGTAACCAGCTAACCATTTCTTCTAATTGATGGGTATTTTGCAATCCTTGCCTGCCTCGTCCTCTTCCCCTCATTTCTCCTTGATTACTGCCAGGGAAAATTCCTCCATCCCAACCCCAGGGAGTCTGTTTCATTTCCTAATTACTTTCCCTGCCGAGAACTTTCTTGTCTTGCTGTATCTAACCCAAATTCCCCCTTCTGTAGCTTCAGGCCATTGCACCTTAGTCTTAATCCTCTGGAAGGAAGAGTAATTCCCTTGATTAATTTATATTGTAATCTCAAAGCTGTTTATACATCACAATTTCTGCTTTCCCTGGAGTCTCTTGTTGCTAGATTAGAGGAATAAGATTTCTTTTTTCATTTTTCCTCTATACCTAATTTTTTTGGCTTACAGACCTCTCAGATCTTTCTAGGTGCTGCAGTTAGATATCTTTCTTTCCAGGCTGATGTATCAGAATTGCTTCTCGTTTATTGAATATTTACTCCATGTGTTAGGCACTGGGCTAAGCATTTTTACACACATTATGTTGTTTGACTCTCAGAATGAGACAAGTGTTGTTATTAACCCTATTTAATAGATGAAGAAATGGAAGCCTGGGAAGGTTGAGTCACATCCACACAGCACAATAAATTCATACAGCTGATTATTGGCAGAATTGGGGCTTGAGCATCTGTCTTTCCATTCTCAGTGTAAGTTCTTAACTATTGTTCTATACTTTCTTTAAATATATTATGTTGTCTTCTCAATGATTCTCACCAGGTTACCTAAATGACACCATGTTCTTCTCTTTGGATATCCCTTTGGTTACAGAAATAAGTGCCTTCAAACAGTTAAAGAATATGGGTTTGAGTATCAGTTTTGAGCACCTATTTTCTCTGTGACCTTGGACAGGTTATTTTCTAATCTGTGAAATGAGAGGGAAATCATGTATATTACGATTTCAAATGAGATAACTATGAAGCACTATACTATTAGAATGGATTTTATTTGTTGGAATTATTTATTTTTGTAACAATTAATTATTTATTTTTATCACTAATTTTGAGAGTGAGAAATAGGGGAGTGGGGAACTTGATAAATCCAGAAATATAAAAATAGCCAATAATTATATGGTGTGGCAGCCTAGTCTGGATTTGGAATTTGGAATTCTACCCTTGACTTTTATCTCTGGTACTTATATGAGTCTGGGTGTTATGGACTGAACTGTGTCTTTCAAAAATTCTTATGTTGAAGCCCTAGCAGTGAGTGTGATTGTATTTGGAGATAGGGCTTTTAGGAGGTAGTAAAGGATAAATGAAGCCATAAGGTAAAGTCCTAATCCTATAGGACTGGTGACTTTATAAGAAGAGGAAGAGAGAGTGATCTTCATGCGCACACACAGAGGGCCAGGCCACGTGAGGACACAGAGAGCAGGTGGCCATCTAAAACCCGAGGAGAGAGCCCTCACCAGATAGTGACCCTGCTGACACTTTGATGTGGTACTTCTGGCTTCCTGAACTGTGGGAAAATGGATTTATGTTGTTTAAGCCACACACTCCATGGTATTTGGTAATGGAAGTCTGATCAGCCTAATACACTGAGTCAGTCACTGATTGCATTATGGTCAATTCATGGTATCCCACTAGAATCTTCCCTTGTTGTCAGTGAAGGCATAAACTCCATTTGCAGAGGCGTTTTGTCTGCTTCCCGAGACTTCCTTTCCCATAAGGAATGGTGAAATGATCTTGAGTGAATCATCAAGGGAAGGACCATCTCTCAAGATGAGTCTTCGCATGTGGTGCAGCCCTGCAGGGAATCTTCAGCCTTCCTACCCCATGGGGAGATTCTCCCTTCCTTTTCAGTGTTGGGAAATCAGGGTATTTTTGTTGTTTATTTTTTTATTGATTTTAAAGGAGCCAGTGAGTTCTTTAAAAACACTTCAGTTCTCTCATCTTCAAGGTAACAATGAAGTCACTTACCTATTACTTAGGCAGGATAGTAGAAGTGAATGAGCATTGTACTAGCTGTGATTCTTTAGCCGAGATGCTTAACCCTTCTAAGCCTGTTTTCTTTTTCTGTAAGATGAGTTCTGTTAGACCAGATGACAGGTTGGAAAGAAAATGCCTATCTAGACAGGTATCAAGGGTGACTGCAGAAACTGGAGCTTACCTCCCCAAGGGGAGCCACTGCTCACCTCCTGTCAGTTGGTGACCTGTGGAATGCACACACTTGGGATTGCCAGATTTCAGATTTTTCAAAACAAAGTTAGGGATCAGATTTCTTTGTGACATTCCTTGTTTTTTAAATATGGGAAACAGAATTACATTTTATGAAGACTGTGAGCAAGATGAAGCTGGATAGTCCAAGCAGAAGACCTAGGATGTTACTGCTGGGTGAATGGGGTAAAGCAGGGCTTTAAGACGTGCACATGAATTCTCCCTTGTTGACAGGTGGGATTGTGAATGAGCTCTCAGGTGATGCAATGCTGCTACTTAGAGTAGCAAGGCAGCTAGATGATCTCTGGAGTAGGTTTCCTTCACCTCTAACAGCTGGCGATGATATTGGAATTCTTAAACTTCATAAGACTAACCTACATTGGACATGCATCTTTTTTTTTTATTTTTATTGATCATTCTTGGGTGTTTCTCACAGAGGGGGATTTGGCAGGGTCATAGGACAATAGTGGAGGGACGGTCAGCAGATAAACAAGTGAACAAAGGTCTCTGGTTTTCCTAGGCAGAGGACCCTGAGGCCTTCCGCAGTGTTTGTGTCCCTGGGTACTTGAGATTAGGGAGTGGTGATGACTCTTAACGAGCATGCTGCCTTCAAGCATCTGTTTAACAAAGCACATCTTGCACCGCCCTTAATCCATTTAACCCTGAGTGGACACAGCACATGTTTCAGAGAGCACAGGGTTGGGGGGTAAGGTCACAGATCAACAGGATCCCAAGGCAGAAGAATTTTTCTTAGTACAGAACAAAATGAAAAGTCTCCCATGTCTACTTCTTTCCACACAGACACGGCAACCATCCGATTTCTCAATCTTTTCCCTACCTTTCCCCCCTTTCTATTCCACAAAACCACCATTGTCATCATGGCCCGTTCTCAATGAGCTGTTGGGCACACCTCCCAGACGGGGTGGTGGCCGGGCAGAGGGGCTCCTTACTTCCCAGTAGGGGCGGCCGGGCAGAGGCGCCCCTCACCTCCCGGACGGGGCGGCTGGCCGAGCGGGGGGCTGACCCCCCCACCTCCCTCCCGGATGGGGCGGCTGGCCAGGCGGGGGGCTGACCCCCCCCACCTCCCTCCTGGACGGGGCGGCTGGCCGGGCGGGGGGCTGACCCCCCCACCTCCCTCCCGGACGGGGCGGCTGGCCGGGCAGAGGGGCTCCTCACTTCCCAGTAGGGGCGGCCGGGCAGAGGCGCCCCTCACCTCCCGGACGAGGCGGCTGGTGGGCTGACCCCCCCACCTCCCTCCCGGTCGGGGCGGCTGGCCGGTGGCGGGGGCTGACCCCCCCCACCTCCCTCCCGGACGGGGCGGCTGGCCGGGCGGGGGGCTGACCCCCCCACCTCCCTCCCGGATGGGGCGGCTGCCGGGCGGAGGGGCTCCTCACTTCTCAGACGGGGAGGTTGCCAGGCGGAGGGTCTCCTCCCTTCTCAGATGGGGCGGCTGGGCAGAGGCGCTCCTCACCTCCCAGACGGGGTCGTGGCCGGGCAGAGGCGCTCCTCACATCCCGGACGGGGCGGCGGGGCAAAGGCGCTCCCCACATCTCAGACGATGGGCGGCCGGGCAGAGACGCTCCTCACTTCCTAGATGGGATGGCGGCCGGGAAGAGGCGCTCCTCACTTCCTAGATGGGATGGCGGCTGGGCAGAGACGCTCCTCACTTTCCAGACTGGGCAGCCAGGCAGAGGGGCTCCTCACATCCCAGACGATGGGCGGCCAGGCAGAGACGCTCCTCACTTCCTAGATGGGGTGGCGGCCGGGCAGAGGCTGCACTCTAGGCACTTTGGGAGGCCAAGGCAGGCGGCTGGGAGGTGGAGGTTGTAGCGAGCCGAGATCACACCACTGCACTCCAGCCTGGGCACCATTGAGCACTGAGTGAACCAGACACCATCTGCAATCCCGGCACCTCCGGAGGCCAAGGCTGGCGGATCACTCGCGGTTAGGAGCTGGAGACCGGCCCGGCCAACACAACGAAACCCCATCTCCACCAAAAAAATACGAAAACCAGTCAGGCGTGGTGGCGCGCGCCTGCAATCGCAGGCACTCGGCAGGCTGAGGCAGGAGAATCAGGCAGGGAGGTTGCAGTGAGCCGAGATGGCAGCAGTACAGTCCAGCTTCGGCTCGGCATCAGAGGGAGACCGTGGAAAGAGAGGGAGAGGGAGACTGTGGGGAGAGGGAGACCATGGGGAGAGGGAGAGGGAGAGGGAGAGACATGCATCTTAAAGTCTGTTCTTCACCCACCTAGACCTGCATTCCTCTTGTCTCTGTCCCTCTGTGTCACACCTCTATCACACTAACATCCTGAATTCCATTTGACCTTAAAGTAATTATAGTCTCTTTGGGTCATTTTGGATGCTTGGCATTGCTGGATATTACAGATGACATATATGATATAGAGGCATCCCAGGTTTTTCCAGGATGATTGCATGGGAGCTATCATAGGATGATATGAGAAGAGCAGAGATTGCAAAATGGGAAAACTGAACATAGAATAAGAAATGATGGTCACAATTTCAGACTCAGGTTTTAGGTTTTTCCTGATAAGACCCTCATAAATTAGATTGTTCTGGTGATAGGGGCAGGAATTTATTCACTCAGCCACTTAATAAGAATTTATTCTTTGCGTGTGATGTGCCAGGTAGTGTTCTTCTGGGTAGGGATGTAACAGAAAGCAAGGCAAAATTCCCTTTTCTAATGGAGCTACATTCCAGTGAGAGAAACAGATAAGAAACCAGGAAACAAACAAATAAGTAATATAATGTCAGACAGTAATGAATGCTGTGAAGAAAAAAAAATATCAAGGTTAGGGGATAGAGTTTGCTGTTGGAGGAGTGGGAGCTTCTCTGAGTGGTCACGGAAGGTGTCACCAGGCAATGTGAAATTCCACTTCATGGTATCCAGATTTTTCATGGTCTGGCTCTAGCCTCACCTTCCACTATCTACCTTATAGTTCGTGACTCAGAAAAGCTGAGCCTCGATCTGTTTTTCCTTCCTGTGCTTCTTCTGTCTGGCTGTTCCTTCTATCTGAACTGTCTTCCTTCCCTCATCTGGTTAGCTCCTAATAATCCCTGTAGGCTCCACTTGGGTGTCTCTTCTGCTTAAAGCATGCCCTGAGCTGCCCATTACACCCCGTCCCTCACTGGGACTGCCAGTGGTTATCCTTTAACCTCAGCAATCCGCTAATGCCTTCTGCACTACTTTTCATTGCATTCTCAGTTTCTATTCAGTTGTCTCTATCAATTGGAACAGACCAGCTCAAAGGGGTTTAAATAATGGGCAAAAAATCTAGACTCTTGTTGCTGGGATTGCACAGGTTGATTGGGCTGCAGGGCTGACCTAATCTGGGTGCTTCTGCTGAGTTTCTCTGTGATTCTCTTGCCCTGCCATCCTCTAGGTGCTGGCTTCATCTCCAAGTTGGCTGTAATGATTTTACTACATCCAGTGGCCAGAGAAAGAGACAGCAGACTTTCCCTCTTTATCTCATTGAACTCTTAGAGGTCATGTGGCTGCTTCTGAGTCAGTCTTTTAATTGGGAAGGCTGGGTGCTGACCCTCTCAGGCCTGGGTTCCTGCACTAATCCCTGGCAAGGCTAAGGGGTTCCCCTTAGAACTGTCATGCACAATCTTCAAGCCAGGAATGGGGTCACCTTGTCCTTGGACCCATAAGTGGCAGAAGGCAGATAACTGAACAAGAGCAGGGGTCTGTTAAGAAGGAGGAAGGGGCTACAGATGCTGAGTAAGCTGTCAACGGTCTTTGCTATGTTTGAGTCCACCATTAGATGAATCTCCTTGAGGACAGTAATACTGCCTTTTTCATCTCTGTACTCCCAATACTTGGCACAGTGTCTAACATATAGCAGGCATTCAAGAAAAACCTGTTGAATGACTAAGTTATAAGGATATTAAAATATAAGTTAGTTAGAAGGAAGACAACCTTAAGAGAAAAGCCACATTTTGGCCAAATGAAGAAAATCCATGTATATTTCGCAGCACTTTATCCCTACCTCATGGCTAACCCTACCCTTTGTTATTCCAGATGATGCATGTGCTTCTAACTGTAGAAATGTCCTTGTCAATCACTAAAATTAAGTAAGTATCTAGTGGACAAAGGTTTGAAGGACAATAAGTCATTGAAAAATGTAGACTGATCGGCAAGTAGTGGACAGCATATGAAGCCGTGGCCTCCACCTCCTGGTGGGTGCTGTTGATGGCCATAGATCAAACTAAATGCTGCAGGCAGAGATTCACTGAGTTCAGATACTATCCAAATGTTCTGAAACCATTGGGTGAATGATCCCTGGAAATTTTAATCACCGTATTGAAAGTCCTTCAGGGAACAACAACATTTAGACTAAATATGACTTCTGGCACTCTGCCACATTACGCAGGTCTGCAGGATGATGGTGGGAATCTGCACTGACCTCTTCTAGTCAGTCACTTTCCTGTATGTGCAACTTTTGGTGACAAGATGCATGAACCCAACTGGAACCAGCTGAAGATTATGGAGTTGCTCTCAGCGTCCACTAAAAGCCAGAATCCAGGCTTTGGGAAGGAAAGGCAAATCCAGCACCTCGAAAACTAGACTGAGAGACCTGAACTCCACCAAGATTTACTCGCTGTCACTCTTGGCTTTTCTCTGTTTTTGGAGCGCTGATCTCTCCCAGTTTCTACAGATGATGTTGCAGCTCTTTGCTTTGCTTCTTCTGAACTTGGTCTCCAGAGGCAAACGCTCACAGGAAATATTGTGATTGGCACAAACTTGGGTGACACCCACACAATTTGGACCAATTAGTGGCCATGAGCTCAGGTCCAATTATTGGGCCAGCTTGGGTTAGAGATCTTCTCTCAGACCAGTGACACACCAGTGTTTAATATGCTAAGTTCATGCACCTCTCATTTGCAGCAAGTGTGCCCAGACCTTGGAATCTCTTAGCTGTGTGATCTTGGACAAGTTATTTAACTCTTTGTGACCAAGGTCGCTTATCTGCAAGTGAAAATAATAATATTATATGGACATTGTTGTGTATGTGTGTGTGTATATATATATATATATATATATATATATATATATATATATATATATATATAAAAAATATGTATGAATGGATAATGTTCATTAGCTCTCACAATGTCACAATGTCCATATCGTTATTATTCCCATTGTTTAGAACAGTGCCTGAGACATAGTAAGTGCTGTATAAGTTGTAGCTTACCAATTAGCTATTAACTGGGTCAGACCCGGAAAGAGTGTTTCACCAAAAGAAGCGTGGGCCTTAGGTTGCTGCTTGACCTTGCCTATTTCTCCTAATGATAATGTTGAAATTGTGGCCCAGATGAGTGGCCCTGTCTATTAGACTCAGCTGCTTGCTACTGGATTCCCCTGATGCTGGCCATATTTAAATACAGAAAGACCCAATCCTGGGTCATCTAAACCACTCTGAAAGGGCATTGCCAATCCTTCTGACCAAGGTCAAGGTTGGCATGTGGGGCCTGTGCCTGCATGGGGGGCCAAATGCCCTCTTGATTCTTCATGTCATTGCATTCATGGGCTCAAAAATGCAAGCCTTGGCTTCAGTGCAGTTCCTCATTCTCCAGAATGATGCATCAGTGTGTACTCTGAAAGGCCTTGTTGCCACCTGTCCCTGGCCTGAAGGGTCAAGATTAAGGACACCATGAAAAATATCTTGTTATGTTTAGTTTGTGTTTGACTTGGGAAATCTATAATTAGGATCACCTAGCATTATCCAGAAGAGTTATTCATGCCTTATAAACACTACCAACAGAATTAGAAGAACAAGTTTGGTCAGCAAGCACACATTAAAACATGATGTCTTTGGTTGATAGAAAAATCTGACAAATCCTATTTCTATTTTCCAAAAGAGTGAGCAGTCTTATGAGAGAGTCTTTTGGATCAGAAGCCTGTGTGTCTTTAAAAACATATATGGAACTGTGGCACCCCTGAGCTTACAAAATCTCCAGTGGTTCCCACAGCTCTTAGAATACAATTTGCAGTCCTTATCAGGGGTTATAAGACCCCTGATCTGCATTCTTTAATATGGTGGCCTCTGAACACAAGTCACTATTTAAATTAAATGCAGTTACAATTAAAAGTTTAGTTTGTTATTTTCATTGGCCTCATTTTAGGTGCTGAATAGATGCACCCATATTAGACAGCACAGATATAGAGCATCACTATAATTCCAGAAGTTTCACCATCTTTCATTTTCTCCAGCACACAAAACTTTTTCCCACCATTACACATTTCTCCCTTCTTCCCTCTTCGCCTCTGTAACTCATCCGGTTTCAGGTTAAGTGTTACCTTCTCAGAGAGGCTTTCCTTGATCTCTCCTTCTAAATTGGGTCCCCCAATTAGTCTTTCTCATAGCAGCCTGTCCTTTGCTTTCATGCTACTTAAGATTTATGGTTATGTAGGTATTTTTGTGGGGAATGCCTGACTTCCCCTCTAAGTTGTAAGCTCATGAGGACAGTCAGTGTCAGTACTTTAACCTCACTGTTCAACATATAGCAGGTGCTCAATCAATATTTGTTGAATGAATGCATGATTGCCTGGGTTCTCATATGTGCCACCCCCACATGACACATTCTTTTTGGTTTTCAGAGGAGACAGAAACCTTAATTTTCTCTTTCCACATATATTTTCTTCCTCCCCTTACTCTGCTATAGGTCACACTTAAAATTCCCTTGCAATCTGCTCTTCCAAGCTAGCCCATTAGAGCCTGTCTCTGTGCCATGTCTGTGCCATAACCATGTTAATGGGATGTACAGTTTCCCTGGAAAAAAGGAAGGTATGTTGGCAGAGGAAACTAAACTTTCTTGTTCAAAGTCTATGGTTTATTTTTCATAATACTAATTGACAGGGTAAGCTATTTTATTTTTCCTATATCTATGTAATTAATATGTCCACTTTAGAAATCAATTATCCTTGATAATTACCATTGGTGCTATGGCTATAAACTGAATGCCAGTCTTGCTAACAAACTGAATAAGACATAATTTCTTGTTGTTCAAAGAGATGATAAACTCTAATCAGCAGCAAATTCAATCAAAACTTACTGACATCAATTGAAATCACATTAGACTTTGTAAAAAATAGGATAATTATGCTCGTCTTGTAAGTTGCAGGTATTGTAACAACTCTAAAATGTGGGCCTGTTTGAATAAATGCTTATGTTTGCTGGCTCTACGCAAGCAGATGCAGAAATGTATAATCTGCATAAATAAATCAGGAGATTATTTTTCCCCCTTATAGCTCTTTAGTTCTATGAGATTCAATTAATTCAACTTTTTTTTTTTAATGGGCCCAGGGTAATGAGGTAAGCAGGTGTTAGTGTGTTGGCCACTGAAGCAGGATAGCCCCTGGTACAGATTTGTCACATGGGGTTACTTTTTAAATCTCCCTTGATTATTTAGAGATAAACTTAATAGTGATTAAGATAATGACTCCTGGAGCTATGCTGGCTGGGGTCAAGTCCCAGCTCCACTGCTCAGAACTGTGCGTCTTAGCCAAGTGTAGGGAGGATGTAGGTGCTCTGTCCCGATCCCTCTGAGTCCCTCTTAGTGGATTCACTGGGATGACCCTTACCCAATGACTGAAGAGCACAGGAATACAAAGGGCTCAGTTCTGTCATATTGTGATGTCATAAGAAATATATATTTGGTTTCTGTCCCTGGTTCCTGGCACAAAGCTCATAAAACCCTTGGAATCTCTAGAATGATGAGGGTCTTTTGTATGCTGATGAGATGACTGATGGCTGGGGGTCTCTAGGTAGCTTCAGGATGCGGGCTGGTCACACGAAAGACCCGGGCATGATTAGAGTGATGGGACTTTCAGCCCCATCCCTTTCCCAAACCTCCAGGGAAGGGAGGGGGTTTGAAGGTTCAGTTGATCACCTTTAATCGATCATGCCAATGTAATGAGGCCTCCATGAAAACCCCAAAGGCCCAGGTTCAGAGAGCTTCCTGGTTGCCGAACATGTAGACGTTCCGTGCTCCTTCCCACGTGCTTTGCCCTATCTCTTCATCCGGTTGTTCATCTGTATTGTGTGTGTGTGTGTGAGAAAGAGAAAGTGAGAGAGAGAGAGAGATGGAGGGAGACGGTCTCCCTGTGTTGTCCAGGCTAGAGTGCAGTGGTACGATCATAACTCACTGCGGCCTTGAACTCCTAGGATCAAGTGATCCTCCCACCTCAGCCTCCTGAGTAGCTGGAACTACAAGCATGCACCACCATGCCTGGAAAAGTTTTTTTTTCTCTTTTTTGTACAGATGAGGTTCTTGCTATGTTGCCTAGGCTGGTCTTGAACTTCTGGCCTCAAGAAATCCTCCTCCTGATCCTCCTACCTCAGCCTTCCAAAGTGTTGGGATTACAGGTATGAGCCACCACACCTGGCATCATCTGTATCATTTGTAATATACTTTACAATAAATAGGTAAACGTGTAAGCTATTTCTCTGAGTTCTGTGAGTCCCTCTAGGAAATTTGAGATGGATGCTCGCTCTGTTTCCCAGGCTGGAGTGCAATGGCACAATCTCAGCTCACTGCAACCTTCGCCTCCCAGGTTCAATCAATTCTGCTGCCTCAGCCTCCCGAGTAGCTGGGATCACAGGCACCCACCACCACACCTGGCTAATTTTTGTATTTTTAGCAGAGACGGGGGTTTCACCATATTGGTTAGGCTGGTCTTGAACTCCTGACCTCAGACAATCCACTCGCCTCGGCCTCCCAAAGTGTTGGAATTATAGGCGTGAGCCACCACACCCAGCCTGATATTTTTAGTACCTAGACAAATCTGAGGCAAAGGTTTCCTGAGGCAAGGCAGGGCATGAACAGAAGTGGGTATCAGAGAGCAGTGAGCCTCTGTGCATCTTATCCCTGGATCTGTTTCAACATCAAGCTTCTTGTTTTATGGATTAAAAAAATATGTATGTGACAAAGGACTTTAGGACCGATACAACAGGTATAAATTACTCTAAGTTTTGAGGGGGAGAAGGTGTCACATTTCTAGATTTGTCTAAATCACGTAAACCCTGGCTCCGGGTCTCTGCTCACCAAGGTCCCTGAGAAGCCCAATGACAGCCACATGACTGGCCTGCTTTGCAATCCCGGGGCTTCCACACACTATAATAATATAGGGAGAGAGGAGGCTGCGAGGCATCTGTCCCCACTGATCACACCACTCTGCTACAAATGCAGAGGTCAGGTCCTGTTCCTTCAATGTCCTTTCTGGCATCTCTGCTTCCAGTGACACCAGAGACATGCCTCACAACACATCTTTCCCTCACTTGGATCAGCACTGTGTCCCAAGGCCCCTCCCTTGGCCCCCTGAAGTCACTGAATTTAGTGTCCAGGCTCTCCGTAGTCGCCCCCACACAACCTCTCCAAGGTCCTGTGGTCCTGGAGTGATGTCTGAGAGTAGACTGCAGCCTCCATCCCTGCTGCAGCCTAAAGCCTTTGCCCTCGCCTTGCAGCATGGGATCCAGCCCCCTGGTAACAGGTCAGTCCTTCTCCTTTGCCCTCAGAGGACAAATGCCTCCATTCTCTTTCCCACTAAACGCGCTGTCCGATAGGGTGACCATGAGTGCCATGCGACTATTCCTGGAGCAGCTGACATGTATCTAGTTCAAATTGCAACATGCTGCAAGTGTGAGATTTACACCATATTCTGGGGACTTGGTACAAAGGAAACGTAAAATATTTCAATAATAGTTTTTATATCACAAACATGTTGAAATAATATTTTTAAACTATTGGGTTGAATAAATATATTATGAAAATTAATTTCACCTATTTCATTTTACTCTTTCAAGTGCTTACTAGAAAATTTAAAGTTCACACGTGGTTCACATTATATTTATTTTGGACAGCAGCACTCTCTGCCCAGTGCCTTTCTCCCCACCTCAGAATGAAAAGCTAGGGGAACAGGAGGGAGCATGTGCAGGGAAGCCCCCTCCCATCAGGCCTGAAGTGCAAGTAGGCCTGTCCCTGTTCCTGCCTCACTCTTCCTGGAAAGCCTGGATCTCTGCATCTGAGCACCTTGCTGCCCTGGTCTGTTGCGAGCATGTCAAGGAGGTAAACAGGGTTACTACATTGTGAGCCAATGTCTTGGTCTTATTTATTGTTAATGTTCTCTCTGGTTTTACAGATGAGGGGGCCAAAGCCCAGAGAGGACAAGCGACTTATTTCTTTTTTTTAATTTTTTTATTTTATTTTATTTTTTTATTTTATTATTATTATACTTTAAGTTTTAGGGTAATGTGCACAATGTGCAGGTTTGTTACATGTCTATACCTGTGCCATGTTGGTGTGCTGCACCCATTAACTCGTCATTTAGCATTAGGTATATCTCCTAATGCTATCCCTCCCCCCTCCCCCCTCCCCACACCCCACAACAGTCCCTGGAGTGTGATGTTCCCCTTCCTGCGTCCATGTGTTCTCATTGTTCAATTCCCACCTGTGAGTGAGAACATGCGGTGTTTGGTTTTTTCTCCTTGCGATAGTTTGCTGAGAATGATGGTTTCCAATTTCATCCATGTCCCTACAAAGGACATGAACTCTTCATTTTTTATGGCTGCATAGTATTCCATGGTGTATATGTGCCACATTTGCTTAATCCAGTCTATCATTGCTGGACATTTGGGTTGGTTCCAAGTCTTTGCTATTGTGAATAGTGCCCCAATAAACATACGTGTGCATGTGTCTTTATAGCAGCATGATTTATAATCCTTTGGGTATATACCCAGTAATGGGATGGCTGGGTCAAATGGTATTTCTAGTTCTAGATCCCTGAGTAATGGCCACACTGACTTCCACAATGGTTGAACTAGTTTACAGTCCCACCAACAGTGTAAAAGTGTTCCTATTTGTCCACATCCTCTCCAGCACCTGGTGGTTTCCTGACTTTTTAATGATTGCCATTCTAACTGATGTGAGATGGTATCTCATTGTGGTATTGATGTGCATTTCTCTGATGGCCAGTGATGATGAGCATTTTTTCATGTGTTTTTTGGCTGCATAAATGTCTTCTTTTGAGAAGTGTCTGTTCATATCCTTTGCCCACTTATTGATGGGGTTGTTTGTTTTTTTCTTGTAAATTTGTTTGAGTTCATTGTAGATTCTGGATATTAGCCCTTTGTCAGATGAGTAGGTTGCGAAAATTTTCTCCCATTCTGTAGCTTGCGTGTTAATGCTGATGGTAGTTTCTTTTGCTGTGCAGAAGCTCTTTAGTTTAATTAGATCCCATTTGTCAATATTGTCTTTTGTTGCCACTGCTTTTGGTGTTTTAGACATGAAGTCCTTGCCCATGCCTATGTCCTGAATGGTATTGCCTAGGTTTTCTTCTAGGGTTTTTATGGTTTTAGGTCTAACATGTACGTCTTTAATCCATCTTGAATTAATTTTTGTATAAGGTGTAAGGAAGGGATCCAGTTTCAGCTTTCTACATATGGCTAGCCAGTTTTCCTAGCACCATTTATTAAATAGGGAATCCTTTCCCCATTGCTTGTTTTTCTCAGGTTTGTCAAAGATCAAATGGTTGTAGATATGTGGCATTATTTCTGAGGGCTCTGTTCTGTTCCATTGATCTATATCTCTGTTTTGGTACTAGTACCATGCTGTTTTGGTTACTGTAGCCTTGCAGTATAGTTTGAAGTCAGGTAGCCTGATGCCTCCAGCTTTGTTCTTTTGGCTTAGGATTGACTTGGCGATGCAGGCTCTTTTTTGGTTCCATATGAAATTTAAAGTAGTTTTTTCCAATTCTGTGAAGAAAGTCATTGGTAGCTTGATGGGGATGGCATTGAATCTATAAATTACCTTGGGCAGTATGGCCATTTTCACGATATTGATTCTTCCTACCCATGAGCATGGAATGTTCTTCCATTTGTTTGTATCCTCTTTTATTTCATTGAGCAGTGGTTTCTGGTTCTCCTTGAAGAGGTCCTTCACATCCCTTATAAGTTGGATTCCTAGATATTTTATTCTCTTTGTAGCAATTGTGAATGGGAGTTCACTCATGATTTGGCTCTCTGTTTGTCTGTTATTGGTGTATAAGAATGCTTGTGATTTTTGTACATTGATTTTGTATCCTGAGACTTTGCTGAAGTTGCTTATCAGCTTAAGGAGATTTTAGGCTGAGACAATGGGGTTTTCTAGATATACAATCATGTCATCTGCAAACAGGGACAATTTGACTTCCTCTTTTCCTAATTGAATGCCCTTTATTTCCTTCTCCTGCCTAATTGCCCTGGCCAGAACTTCCAATACTATGTTGAATAGGAGTGGTGAGAGAGGGCATCCCTGTCTTGTGCCAGTTTTCAAAGGGAATGCTTCCAGTTTTTGCCCATTCAGTATGATATTGGCTGTGGGTTTGTCATAGATAGCTCTTATTATTTTGAGATACATCCCATCAATACCTAAGTTATTGAGAGTTTTTAGCATGAAGGGTTGTTGAATTTTGTCAAAGGCCTTTTCTGCATCTATTGAGATAATCATGTGGTTTTTGTCTTTGGTTCTGTTTATATGCTGGACTACATTTATTGATTTGCGTATATTGAACCAGCCTTGCATCCCAGGGATGAAGCCCACTTGATCATGGTGGATAAGCTTTTTGATGTGCTGCTGGATTCGGTTTGCCAGTATTTTATTGGGGATTTTTGCATCAATGTTCATCAAGGATATTGGTCTAAAATTCTCTTTTTTGGTTTTGTCTCTGCCAGGCTTTGGTATCGGGATGATGCTGGCCTCATAAAATGAGTTAGGGAGGATTCCCTCTTTTTCTATTGATTGGACTAGTTTCAGAAGGAATGGTACCAGCTCCTTTTTGTACCTCTGGTAGAATTCGGCTGTGAATCCATCTGGTCCTGGACTTTTTTTGGCTGGTAAGCTATTGATTATTGCCATAATTTCAGAGCCTGTTATAGGTCCATTCAGAGATTCAACTTCTTCCTGGTTTAGTCTTGGGAGGGTGTATGTGTCCAGGAATTTATCCATTTCTTCTAGATTTTCTAGTTTATTTGCGTAGAGGTGTTTGTAGTATTCTCTGATGGTAGTTTGTGTTTCTGTGGGATCGGTGGTGATATCCCCATTATCATTTTTTATTGCGTCTATTTGATTCTTCTCTCTTTTCTTCTTTATTAGTCTTGCTAGCAGTCTATCGATTTTCTTGATCTTTTCAAAAAACCAGCTCCTGGATTCATTAATTTTTTGAAGGGCTTTTTGTGTCTCTATCTCCTTCAGTTCTGCTCTGATTTTAGTTATTTCTTGCCTTCTGCTAGCTTTTGAATGTGTTTGTTCTTGCTTTTCTAGTTCTTTTAATTGTGACGTTAGGGTGTCAATTTTGGATCTTTCCTGCTTCCTCTTGTGGGCATTTAGTGCTATAAATTTCCCTCTACACACTGCTTTGAATGTGTCCCAGAGATTCTGGTATGTTGTGTCTTTGTTCTGGTTGGTTTCAAAGAACATCTTTATTTCTGCCTTCATTTCATTATGTACCCAGTAGTCACTCAGGAGCAGGTTGTTCAGTTTCCATGTTGTTGAGCGGTTTTGAGTGAGTTTCTTAGTCCTGAGTTCTAGTTTGATTGCACTGTGGTCTGAGAGACAGTTTGTTATAATTTCTGTTCTTTTACATTTGCTCAGGAGTGCTTTACTTCCAACTGTGTGGTCAATTTTGGAATAGGTGTGGTGTGGTGCTGAAAAAAATGTATATTCTGTTGATTTGGGGTGGAGAGTTCTGTAGATGTCTATTAGGTCCGCTTGGTGCAGAGGTGAGTTCAATTCCCGGGTATCCTTGTTAACTTTCTGTCTCGTTGATCTGTCTAATGTTGACAGTGGGGTGTTAAAATCTCCCATTATTATTGTGTGGGAGTCTAAGTCTCTTTGTAGGTCACTAAGGACTTGCTTTATGAATCTGGGTGCTCCTGTATTGGGTGCATATATATTTAGGATAGTTAGCTCTTCTTGTTGAATTGATCCCTTTACCATTATGTAATGGCCTTCTTTGTCTCTTTTGATCTTTGTTGGTTTAAAGTCTGTTTTATCTGAGACTAGGATTGCAACCCCTGCCTTTTTTTGTTTTCCATTTGCTTGGTAGATCTTCCTCCATCCCTTTATTTTGAGCCTATGTGTGTCTCTGCACATGAGATGGGTTTCCTGAATACAGCACACTGATGGGTCTTGACTCTTTATCCAATTTGCCAGTCTGTGTCTTTTAATTGGAGCATTTAGCCCATTTACATTCAAAGTTAATATTGTTATGTGTGTATTTGGTCCTGTCTTTATGATGTTAGCTGGTTATTTTGCTCGTTAGTTGATGCAGTTTCTTCCTAGCCTTGATGGTCTTTACATTTTGGCATGTTTTTGCAGTGGCTGGTACCGGTTGTTCCTTTCCATGTTTAGTGCTCCCTTCAGGAGCTCTTTTAGGGCAGGCCTGGTGGTGACAAAATCTCTCAGCGTTTGCTTGTCTGTAAAGTATTTTATTTCTCCTTCACTTATGAAGCTTAGTTTGGCTGGATATGAAATTCTGGGTTGAAAATTCTTTTCTTTAAGAATGTTGAATATTGGCCCTCACTCTCTTCTGGCTTGTAGAGTTTCTGCTGAGAGATCTGCTGTTAGTCTGATGGGCTTCCCTTTGTGGGTAACCCGACCTTTCTCTCTGGCTGCCCTTAACATTTTTTCCTTCATTTCAACTTTGGTGAATCTGACAATTATGTGTCTTGGAGTTGCTCTTGTTGAGGAGTATCTTTGTGGCGTTCTCTGTATTTCCTGAATCTGAATGTTGGCCTGCCTTGCTAGATTGGGGAAGTTCTCCTGGATAATATCCTGCAGAGTGTTTTCCAGCTTGTTTCCATTCTCCCCATCGTTTTCAGGTACACCAATCAGACGTAGATTTGGTCTTTCCACATAGTCCCATATTTCTTGGAGGCTTTGTTCATTTCTTTTTATTCTTTTTTTCTCTAAACTTCCCTTCTGACTTCATTTCATTCATTTTGTCTTCCATCACTGATACCCTTTCTTCCAGTTGATCACATCAGCTCCTGAGGCTTCTGCATTCTTCACGTAGTTCTCGAGCCTTGACTTTTGGCTCCATCAGCTCCTTTAAGGACTTCTCTGCGTTAGTTATTTTAGTTATCCATTCGTCTAATTTTTTTTCAAAGTTTAAAACTTCTTTGCCATTGGTTTGAATTTCCTCCTGTAGCTCGGAGTACTTTGATTGTCTGAAGCCTTCTTCTCTCAGCTCCTCAAAGTCATTTTCCGTCCAGCTTTGTTCTGTTGCTGGTGAGGAGCTACGTTCCTTTGGAGGAGGAGAGGCGTTCTGCTTTTTAGAGTTTCCAGTTTTTCTGCTCTGCTTTTTCCCCATCTTTGTGGTTTTATCTACTTTTGGTCTTTGATGATGGTGACGTACAGAAGGGTTTTTGGTGTGGATGTCCTTTCTCTTTGTTAGTTTTCCTTCTAACAGACAGGACCCTTAGCTGCAGGTCTGTTGGAGTTTGCTAGAGGTCCACTCCAGACCCTGTTTGCCTGGGTATCAGCAGCGGTGTCTGTAGAACAGTGGATCTTGGTGAACCACAAATGCTGCTGCCTGATCGTTCCTCTGGAAGTTTTGTCTCAGAGGAGTACCCAGCCGTGCGAGGTGTCAGTCTGCCCCTACTGGGGGATGCCTCCCAGTTAGGCTGCTTAGGTGTCAAGGATCCACTTGAGGAGGCAGTCTGCCCATTCTCAGATCTCCAGCTGCGTGCTGGGAGAACCACTGCTCTCTTCAAGGCTGTGAGACAGGGACATTTAAGTCTGCAGAGGTTACTGCTGTCTTTTTGTTTGTCTGTGCCCTGCCCCTAGAGGTGGAGCCTACAGAGGCAGGCAGGCCTCCTTGAGCTGTGGTGGGCTCCACTCAGTTCGAGCTTCCCAGCTGCTTTGTTTACCTAATCAAGCCTGGGCAATGGCAGGCGCCCCTCCTCCAGCCTCGCTGCCACCTTGCAGTGTGATCTCAGACTGCTGTGCTAGCAATCAGCGAGATTCCGCGAGCATAGGACCCTCCGAGCCAGGTGCGGGATATAATCTCCTGGCATGCTGTTTTTTTAAGCCCGTTGGAAAAGCACAGTATTAGGGTGGGAGTGACCCGATTTTCCAGGTGCCATCTGTCACCCCTTTCTTTGACTAGGAAAGGGAACTCCCTGACGCCTTGTGCTTCCCGAGTGAGGCAATGCCTCGCCCTGCTTCGGCTCGCGCACGTTGCGCTGCACCCACTGTCCTGCACCCACTGTCTGGCACTCCCTAGTGAGATAAACCCGGTACCTCAGATGGAAATGCAGAAATCACCTGTCTTCTGTGACTCTCACGCTGGGAGCTGTAGACCAGAGCTGTTCCTATTCGGCCATCTTGGCTCCACCGCGACTTACTTCAAGTCACACAGATTGAGTTACAAGAGGGTGGCACATCCATGGCTCTTGCCATCACACCACAGTATCCACTGCAGTCCCAATGGCAAGAGAAAGTGGCAGGCAGAGTCAGACAGGAAAGAAGTGCCGACGACAAGGGGCGACCACACAACCCTGATTTTTGAGAATGCTACTGGGATGACTGTAGGTATCTGTGGCCCGTGACGTGAGTACACCCCAGCTCCATCCTAATCTTGAATTCTTTGTCCTTCACTTACATTTTTCAGACCCTCAGTATTTAAGTCTTATTTCTATGAAAGATATTTTGGTGATGGTAGCATGGGTTTTTTTTGTTTATTAAATTTATTATATATATATATGTGTGTGTGAGTGTATATATGTATATACATATATTTCAAGTATATATATATACACATATATATATATCAAGTGTCTGATCCTCATGCACTTGCAAATGCTTTTTGTGAGCTGTTTTGCTGTCATTTTAACTATATATATATATAGTTGAAAACTGCTTCAAATCCCTTGTGAGACAAGGCAGAGTAAAACCAAACCAGTGCACACAAATTTCAATAATTTCTGTGCTGTCCCCTTTGGTGTTGTCTCATGAGGTGCCCCAGAAAGAAGGCTGAGGAAGGAGTGCAGTCTCTCACACAGCACACAGCAGCACACAGCCAGCGAATGGTTCTTCCCCAGGGGGTTGGATACCTGTCTTTTAATAAAATGCAGACCAGCCTCAGGGGGCAAGGTGGTGAGAGACTTTGGTGGGCCTGCAGAGATGTGGAAAGACACAGGATCAGTTCAAATCTCTGCAAGCTCCTGTTACCACTTAAGTTTCTTCCCACACTTTCTTCCTCCTTGGGGGATAACATTGCTTTTCTGCATCAGAAACTCTAGGAGAAGAGGATTGTATTTCTTGGTGGAATTTCACAAAGACTTGGGTCTACCTTTACCCTCTTTCTTATCTGCATCCAACAATAGAGATTTTGCAAACAGCCAAGGATGTCTTTTAAGACTGTAATGGAGATCCATGGAAGCTCCCGCTTGCTTCCTTCCTTCGTCACTACCACCACAGCACAGGACATGCAGGAGGCCATAGACCCCAGACCCCTCTCGTGTTCACTGGAGTAGAGAACCCCATCATGGAACAGTCCATGATGTTTGATTAGAGAGAGCTGGTTTTTGCTGTATTTGCCCTTCATTAAGAATTTTCCAGGACAATGGGTTGAATGGATGTTCATGGAAGGCAGATAAATGATCTAATGAAAACTTAGTTATCTCATCTTTTAAAAGGCCACAGAGTCATGCTCATGATGGCCATTTTTTTGAGCATCTACTTTGTGCCAGGAATTGGGCTAAGCCATTGTCTTGCATGGCAGCTTTCTTTGTTGGAGTGTGTCTTTCATGTGTGGCTTGCCTCGCTCTTCTGAGACCAGATGTCAGCCAGCCAGGGTAGACACCTCACTTGACAGGAATGAGCATCATGTTTTGTGGAACAGCTGCCCTCCAGGGAAGCCAGGTCTGCGTCTTACATAATGGGTTTGTGTGTGTGAAATTTGCCAGGTGTTGATTTTGGAAGTCAGGGATGAAAGTCAGGGATGGAGAGGGCAGGACTGCCACTCACAAGAGTGAAAGAATAATTCAAAAATCTAAATGTGGGAAGGAAGAGGGTGAGAAGGGAGAAAAAAATAGAGAAGTCAACAAGAGCCTTGGCAGGGGGTGAAGTCCGCAGTGAAAATCCCATGGTGCCAAAATGGCCAAAGGATGCTTTAAAGACAAAAATGTTCTAATGTTTAATTTCAAATGGTTTGTTTTTCCATGATGCAAACCCATTCTTCATCTCCCTCAGTCTCCCCTCCAAATATTCAATCAAGTGTCTGATCCTCATGTACTTGCAAAGGCTTTTTGTGAGCTGTTTTGCTGTCATTATCATCATGTGGGAATTGAAGAAGGGTTTGAATTCCACATCTGGATCTAGATGAGGCAGAACCCTGTTTCAGCAGAAGCAGCACCTTAGAAGTAGATTTGGCTGCAATGATGTAATTGTCCCCCAGTTTTGAAAATAATAATGGTGGAAAGCTCTGGATCTTTATAGATAGTGAAATACAGGTTCCAATCTTACCAAGATTTCAAGAGTCTGGAAGATTCCAGCAGACATTTCTGTCTACATGTTATTAATTTAGGCTTTCTTTTTCTCTCTTTCTCTTTCTCTCTCCCTTTCCCCCCCCCCTCTCATCTTAAGCTTGTATACAGGAATCCACATGTAAAGCTACAGGTAGGTTGAGAAAGATTTTATAAAAACTCTCTCCAGGGAATTTTGCCCACCAAGAGGCCAGGGAATGGGTGGCGTAAGACAGGAGTAGGTGGCGAACACACTGTCTGTTCCTTTAATAAGACAAAGGGCGAGGCTGGACACGGTGGCTCATGCCTGTAATCCCAGCACTTTGGGAGGCCAAGGTGGGCAGATCACCTGAGGTCAGGAGTTCGAGACCAGGCTGGCCAACATGGCGAAACCTTGTCTCTACAAAAATACAAAAATTAGCCGGGCGCAGTGGCGCATGTCTGTAGTCCCAGCTACTCCAGAGGCTGAGGCAGGAGAATCACTTGAACCCAGGAGGGAGAGGTTGCAGTGAGCCGAGATCGCACCACTGCATTCCAGTCTGGGCGACAGAGCAACACTCCATCTCAAAAAAACTAAAACAAAACAAATAGAACAAACAAGACAAACAGTGAGTTTTCTATTACATACTCAATTTCTGGTAGGAAGCCCCTACAGGAGATGTAGCAACAAATAAGTTAGTATGTATGCACAATGTGTATACATACTTTATCTCAAATTCACACAAAAAAAATTGTATTCAAACTTAAGTAGACCATACCAGCAAAGTAGTTGATATTAGACTTCAGCTCAGGATTAGTCATGTAAGTCTTTCAACAATTCCATCTATTACATCTCATGCCAAGGGTTATTCAGTGTCTTTTACTACTCATATAAATTGTCTTTACCAATATGTTCCTTTGCATTCAGCCCTGTTAACCCCTGGGTTCCCATCGCATTTTACTGTGTCCCAGCCTTAGAAATGCACCGTTATCTTTATGCCTGTGTTAGCATCTAATCTGGCCATATATATTTCAGGCTTTCCTGGCTATACTTGAGTGATTGGTGTGTCTACCAGAAGCTTCCTGATAAAATACTGCTTTCTCTGCTATAGCAGACTTATAGTTTACTTTTAAAATAACTCACTTGAAATTTAACAGGCAGTTTTAAAGCTACATCTGATTTAAGCCCCATAAGTTCTAGCTTTTAAGAACACGCTTGACTTGCCAACCTGGGGTTTTCTGAGCTGTTGAGTGGAAACACAGGCTTGCCATTGTATTGTGCATTGTGGCTGTGTTCACTGTGGATATAAAAACAAAACTAAAAAAGCAAACCTGGGCTGGCCTGTTAATAAACTTGGTGACGTTGGATAAACAACCAGAGAATGCCTGAAACTAGGGATGAAATCTTTCAGTTTATAGATGAGGTGTTTAAGTGGTGCTCTCAGTAAAGAAGGGGAAGAAAATGCAAATCCTTTAAGATATAAGCTTATTATAGCCAGTGATTTTTTTTTTTTTTTTTGAGACGGAGTCTTGCCCTGTTGCCTAGGCTTGTGTGCAATGGTGCAGTCTCGGCTCACTGCAACCTCTGCCTCCCAAGTTCAAGCAATTCTCCTGCCTCAGTCTCCTGAGTAGCTGGGATTACAGGCATGCGCCACCACGCCCAGCTAATTTTTTGTATCTTTAGCAGAGATGGGGTTTCACCACGTTGGCTAGGCTGGTCTTAAAGTCCTGACCCCGTGTTCTTCCCGTCTCGGCCTCCTAAAGTGCTGGGATTACAGATGTAAGCCACCATGCCTGACCTATAGTCAGTGATTTTTAAAAATCAAAGAAATAGGCTGGTGCGGTGGCTCATGCCTGTGATCCCAGTACTTTGGGAGGCCGAGGTGGGCAGGTCACAAGGTCAAGAGATCAAGACCATCCTGGCCAACACGGTGAAACCCCGTCTCTACTAAAGATACAAAAAATTAGCTGGGCGTGGTGGCGGGTGCCTGTAGTCCCAGCTACTTGGGAGACCGAGGCAGGAGAATTACTTGAACCTGGGAGGCGGAGGTTGCAGTGAGCCGCGATTGCACCATGGCATTCCAGCCTGGCGACACGGTGAGACTCTGTCTCAAAAAAAAAAAAAAATCGAAGAAATCACTGGATCAATAATATTTATTGTCTTGGCAAATCATAGCATCCTCATGGAGGGAAAGAAAAGGGGCTAGACAATCTTCAGCCTCACAAGCAAAGCCCTGAGCAAGAAACCTTCACGAATTCTTTCCCGTGTTTCATAACAAGTCTGTGCCGAAGGCATCAAGATCTCCATTTTACAGATGAGGAAACTGGGACTTAGGAGGCACAGGTGGAGTACGTTGCAATCCACCTAAATCCCTGGATCCCAAGCCCATCCTCCTGCTGTGTGGCCACTCCCCCACACTTGCCTGGTACTTACGGTTTAGTCTTTGTAGACTCCCGTGGACACCCCTTGCAAACTCAGGAAACCCCCAAGCAGTGCACACACATTCCTAAAAGTGTCTCATAATTTAGCCTTTTATCCTCATCAGGACTTGTCAAACTCCTGGTCTTAAGAAACAAAGCAAAACTGGCTTTCTGCTAGGTCATTTTTGCAGAGCAGCATTTGTTTTCTATATATCATTGGTTTTCTAGCACTTCCTGGCTGCTCACAGCATTCTTTCTGTCATTCCTCTTTAAGATTCCACTTTGATTTCTCCCATGGAGAAAAATGTTGCTTTTAAAAGTCACAGAAAAAAAAACCCTATTCTGATATGGCCTTGATTTAAAATTGAGGAATAATTTGCAAAGCTCCTGTTGGAAAGAGGTGGATGCTCTCATGCTCTCCTTGTGGTTCTGTTCCCTGATACAACTATTTTGCAGAGGAATCGTGAAAAACCTTTAAACTTTGTCATTAATTATACTTTCAGAAATCTTTCTTAAAAATGATAGTTTCAAAGGTAGAAAGAATTTCATGAGTGAAGAGACTCACTACTGTGTTGTTTTTGGTGGAGGTGAAAAAAGGGGAAGAATTTAACTGTCTAAAAGCTAGATATAATGTATCTACTAATGAATATTATGGAACTATTAAAAATGATTTTTATGGAAGTTCAACTTTCATGTGAAAAACCGAATATATATATTTACATGTTTCTTCTCCAAATCTCACTAAAATGATAGTAAAGGGATTTAAACAAGCATAAGACCATGCATTCCAAGAGAATAAAGGAAGAGACTAAAGGAGATGAGAGACGGCAGCACAGCTTAGAAAGCTGGACAGCAAGTTGACTGTTGGTAATGAGTTATGTGGCTGAGAAAGCTGAGCCCTAAGTGCCCACTGGGATGAAGATAAGAAGGAAACAGATCCAATTCAGAGAGCCCTGGAAGACCTCAGGGACTCAAGGCATCAGGCAGCATCGAGGGGAAAGAATGTGTGGAACTGAAAGGAAGGAGTGCGGGTGAGTTTTCATGGAAGCAGTAAGCCTGGATATTTTCCCCAAATAGGCAATTCTCCCGAATCACCTCTGCAGAAGATCAGAGGTTTACTCTCAGCAAAAATTAAACCAGACAAATTCCAGATTTAGGGACCTGAGACATAAAATAGGAACAGAGAGGAGCCTCGTCAGAAAGAAAAAAACAGAGACTGAGTGGGAGTTAACTAACATACTGTACTGTGAAAATCTCAGCCTCCTCTTCCCAACTGTGCGAAGAATGCTAGCAGGCCAGCTCATAGCGCCTGACAGTACGCTGAAGAATTCTCTAGGTAGCAACTAGGAAGTCCCTCTCTTCCCCCAAATCTGCAGATTTTGATGGGGGAATCGTACATAATGACCAGGTCCAAGTCCTGTCACTGTATGGTGAAGTTCACTACTTGGTAAGCCTGACCCATACGCAGAAGGCCCAAATGGTTTTTTAATGGCCCATTCTCAAATAAGAACAGATGGGTAAGGATCACCTGACATTTGCAGAAAGCATATAATATGAAAGTTAGGCGCCAAAACACGCTGTCAACAAAAAGAAATAGAAAACAAACAATGCGGCAAATGAAGAAATAAAAAACGCCCCCAAATTAATAATAGTTACTTAGGAAGGTAAAACAAGATATTATACTTATGAAAAAATTTAAAGGAATATTTATAAAATTTTACAAAGAACTTCTCAAAGTCAAAAATATGAGAGTAGAAATATTAAAAATTCAACAAAAGTGTTGGAAAGTAAAATTGAAGTAATCTCCCAGAAAGTAGAACAAAGAGAGAAAGATGTATGAGAAACACAGGCAGGTTCCAAAAAGAGGGGACAGAAAAAAAAGGAGGGATCTATGGAAATAGGGTAAGAAAATTTCCCAGGTTTTAAAGGGCACACTATGAAGGTTTTTTAAAATGACCTTTATCAAGTCATATTTGAATGAAATTTCAAAACACTGGAGATAAAGGATACTGAAATCTCCCAAAGACGAAAGCGTGCTCAGGCAGAGGATTAGGGATCAGAATGACATCAGACTTCTCAATAGCAACACTTGAAGCTAGGTGACAAAAGAGTAACTTCAAATTCAGAGTGGAAATGAATTTCATTCCAGAATTCCGTATCTAGAAAATACTTATTAAAACGTGGTGCTGGAATAAAGACATTTTCAGGTGTGCAAGTTCTCAATAATCTTACTTCTCCTACTCCCTTTCTGAGAAGAAAGTGATTCACAACAAAAAAGGAATACGACAAGAAGTTGGGGGATGTGAAATTCTGGAAAGGGTCAGTTACCCAGAGGAGCGATGATATAGTTTGGATATTTGTCCCTGCCCAAATTTCATGTTGAATGTCAACCCTGATAGGGGCCTGGTGGGAGGTGACTGGCTCATGGTGGTGGATTTCTCATGAATGGTTTAGCACCATCCTCTCAGTGCTGTCCTCTGGATAGTGAGCTCTTGTGAGATCTGGCCATCTAAAAGTACGTGGCACCTGTCCCCCTCTCTCTTGCTCCTGCTCTGGCCGTGTGACATGCCTGCTCCCCCTTCACCTTCTGCCATGGTTGTAAGCTTTCTGAGTCCTCCCTAGAAGCCGAGTAGATGCCAGCACCGTGCTTCCTGTAAAGCCTGCAGAACCATAAGCCAATTAAATCTCTTTTATTTGCATATTATCCACTCTCAGATATCTCAGATATCTCTTTATAGCAATGCAAGAATGGCCTAATACAAGCAGGGAGAGGATTCACAGGGTGATGGAGAAGAGACATTCAGGGAGGACAGTTTTGCAGCCACCTTGGCCAGCTCCCAGTCTAGACTGAGACAAAAGGTCAGAGAGCTGCAGAGGAGGGTCACCAACATAAATACAATTGACAGCTGTGTGGTATTCAGAGGGTTTGAAATAACATTTGTGTTGGGTGCATAGGGAATTAAGCAAATTAAATACAAGGTAACTATTAACTTGAAGGAGAATAAAAAGTTACAGAAAGGAGAACTAAGGAGTTACAAATAACATTTATACAGAATCAGTCAGATAAACACTAATACATAGTACAACAAGTATCTCTCTGTATCTACATTGGAGAGATGGAGGGAGGGGAGGGTGTGTGTGTGTGTGTGTGTGTGTGTTTGTGTGTGTAAAGAGAATGAGAGCTAAATTTCTAGAAGGAAGGTAAGGTCTAAACCTGCGAAATTAAGAAGTGGCAGATAAGCGTTATGAGAGGCTGCTGTTTGTCCTCCAATATCAGTTTCCCTCTGAAGATTTCTCAAATGTGCATCTGCAAAGGCCTGGAGCTCCAAACTGGTGCAGAAACTGCAGAATCTTACCTATTGTGGCCTCAGATGATGAACATATCACAAAAGATTGAAAGAAATTTTGTGAATGTCTGCATAGCTGAAGATCTCCTGTGGATTGAGGGAGAAGGTGTCCCATTGATGACTACAGTGTTGAGAAATCAACACTATGTACAGGGAATTCCAAGATATATTTTTATTTGATATGGCAAAATGAGATAATGTGATATTTCATGAATTTCAGTATTATGATGGAAATCAGACTCACTAAAAAAAGTAATCACAGCACTCCAACTGAGAGCTGTAATAGAATAAAACAAGGAGCATTGCAGAGGCAAAGAGGAAGAGCCCAGCCCATCCTTGGAGTCCAGTGATTTATACACAGTACTTTAAGCCCCAGCTTGGAAAATGCTAATCTTCACATTCCAGGGAATGCCATTGTTATGCTGTAAGGTAATGGGGTGAAAATAAATAGCCTCAAGAGAAGTTCAGATAAATGAATGGGTGGTCATGCTAGAGATGGGCATTTTGAGAGGATATTGAAGATGTTTAGAACACCTTTTGTTGGGATAGGTTCACAGAAGTTAAATTCCTAGGTATGTTCTCCTGTCTTTTAAGTTAGGCAGTCAAATGGAAACCGGTGCTTCCAACCTTCCGACAAATTAGCCCTTGTTGCTACTATGAGTTGAAAATACAGAATGTCACCCACTGTGTGCCCCAGAATTGTAGACTTAGGGTTACAAGAGGCCTTAGGTGTTCCTTCCAGACTGGCCAGGCTCCAATGAGTTGGTAGCTTCACTTTGGACTAATCTAATCATATTATTATGTGTGTGTGTGTATTAGTTTATTCTCATGCTGCTATGAAAAAATAAATGAGACTGGGTAATTTATAAAGGAAAGAGGTTTAATTGACTCACATTTCCACAGGGCTGGGGAGGCCACAGGAAACTTACAATCAGGGTGAAAGGGGAAGCAAACACTTCCTTCCTCACATGGTCGCAGGAAGGAGAAATGCAGAGCGAGGTGGGGAAAACCCCTTATAAAACAATCAGATCTCATAAGAACTCACTCACTATCATGAGAACAGCATGGGAGAACTGCCCCCATAACCTAGTCGTCTCCCACGAGGTTCATCCCACCATATGTGGGTATTATGGGAACTACAATTCAAGATGAGATTTGGGTGTGGTACAGCCAAACCATATCAGTGTGTATGTATGTATATATAATACATGATATTACACTACCTGTGTTATACTAAAATATGGCATTACATATTTACACTAGAAGTCTCTCCTGCTGGAACCCCTTGTGGGCAGGAACTTTCTTATCATCTGGTTTATTAGTTCCAGATTGTCAAGCAGAAACATGAACTGTACAAATGGGTCTTTGGTAACCTCACTCTGACATACTCTGCTGTCTCTCCTAGCCCAGACATGAGGAGTCTACGTGTTTAGAAATGCCCCTCTGGAGAATAGATGTATTGAAAGGAAAAGCTTCAGTAATGAAAATAAAGCTGAAGATGAGTAAACTATATCCTGTAAAATGGATTATCTAGATCCATATTACTTTTTGTGTGGATATCCCTTTGCCATACCCTGGCCAGTGGTGATGTCTCCTTAAGGTTTCTGTTTAGTATCAGCTGTGCTAGGGTCATCAAGAAAACTACTGAATGACTCTGATGAAACCTCTAACATTGCCAGTAAGAAAAGTAAGGCATAGAAGGATTAAGTGTTTTTCGTGGTCACCCAGAATTGACAGGAACAAAGTCTTTTTCCTGCCTGTTCAATCTTCAAATTATGAAGTTTCTTATAGTTTGAGATAAGTAGATATTTTACCATGAAGCTCTAGTGCCTCTGAAGCTATAGTCTGAGAACATTCTCCATCATAGCCAATTCATTCAGTCAGTGGTTGCCATGGTTAATACTGTAGCCTATTTGATTGTCATAATTTACATAAAATATCAAATCAACCAAAAAAACCCAGATCATTTATGTTGTGGTCTAGTCACATGCATGAACATAAAACTCAATCTCGTGACCATGAATATGAATAAAGACAATTTTCCTTTTGGAGTGGTATCCTAGCATCAGAGGATGTCCATTTGCCTGGAACACCTCCAAAAGCACCTGCTGTTAAAGTAGGGGTTAGCAAACTATGGCCCATGGACCAAATTCATCCCACTGCCTGGTTTTGTAAATAAAGTTTTATTGGAACACAACCACTCCCACCCATTCTTTTACGTATAGTTCCTTTCACAAATGACAGAGTTGAGTAGTTACGGCAGGGACTAAAATATTTATTACCTGGCCTTTAAAGAAGGTGTTTGTCAAACTCTGTATTAGAGCATGTTTTCTTGTTAGGAAGCCTGGGTGCCCCTCTAATGTTGACTGATTTTAAATTGGCTACAGTCTCTTTTCAATGTTACCTCTCTGACTACAGAAACATCAAGGGGAAAAAAACCATCATGAACAGAAGTTTTCAAGTATGACTGAGCAGAATTACCTGGGGAACATTTACAATAGAAATTTTTGGACCCATTCCCAGAGATCATGATTCAGTAGGTCTGGAGTAGGGCCTGGGAAACTTACTTTGATACAAATGATTCTGGTGCACAGCCAGGAGCAAGAAACTTGAGGAAAGCACATGGAAGCTGGAAATGAAACAAGCAGGAAGTGAATTCTGATTCAGTCTTGCTGTGTAAACTTGGGTGAATTGCTTCACTGAGCCTTAGTTACCTCATCTGTAAAGTGGAAATAACAAGTTTTCCTTCACAGGGCTGTTCTGAGGACCAAAGAAGACAATAGTTATAAAATGTCCAGCACTGTGTTTGCACAGAGTAGACACTTGGTTAATGGTCCCTTCTTTCCTCCACTGGAGAATCCAGTGCCTTGGAAAGCACACCAGTTTGATTTTCTTCATTTTGTCTTGTGTATTATGTTTCCACTTCTGTTTATGTTAATTTTGCTCTTGTCAAACTATTCCCCAATCCACAAGTCCTTCTCCATGTATATTAAAGCTAGAGGTGTTTGATTTTTTTTTTTTTTTTTTTTACAAATTTGTTTCTCTGGGAAGCACCCAGAGAGCTGAATGACCCTAAATGGCTTGTTAGCCATATGACTGCCAATGGTCTTGATTAATTCTTTAAAACATAATTAAGGCCAAGTTTTTAAGTACCTTTAGTGATTTTCTTAAAAACCTTGATATAAGATGATAGACTTTATACATTCAGAAGACAATCCATTGGACAAATTGAGATGAAGTTTTGTGAGAATCTCTTTCTTTAGAAATGGAAAGACTTGCTATTAGTTTTTCTTTCAATGTCTGGTAGAATTAAGCAGTGAATCCATCAAGTTCTGGGCTTTTCTTTGATGAGAGACTGTTTATTACACTTCAGTCTCATTGCTCATTATTAGTTTGTTGAAGTTTTCTGTTTCTTCATGTTCGATCTTGGAGTTTGTATGTGTCCAGGAATTTATCCATTTCTTCTAGGTTTTCCAACTTGTTGGTATATAGTTGTTCCTAATAGTTTCTAAGGATTCTTTGTGTTTCAGTAGTCTCAGTTGTTAGTCTCCTTATTTATTTCTAATTTCATTTAGGTCTGCGCTCTGTTTTTCTTAATCTACCTAATGGTTTGTCAATTTTATTTATCTTTTCAAAAAACCAACTTTTAATTTTGCTGATCTTCTGTATTTTTTGTCTCAATTTCATTTATTTCCGCTCTGATCCTTTTTATTTTCCTTTACTAATTTTGAGTCAGTTTGTTCTTGCTTTTCTAGT
The DNA here is from genome assembly GCF_000001405.40 of Homo sapiens. Lineage (NCBI taxonomy): Eukaryota > Metazoa > Chordata > Mammalia > Primates > Hominidae > Homo > Homo sapiens. The sequence continues at coordinate 16,420,174 of NC_000004.12, forward strand.
TCCTTGAGGTGCAAGATTATTCAGTTGAAGTCTTTCTACTTTTTTGGTATGAGTGTTTATTGCTATAAATTGCCCTCTTAGTGCTGCTTTTGCTGTATCCCACAGATTTTAGGATGTTACATTTAGTTGTTTCAGAAATTTAAAATTTTTCTTTTTTAATTTCTTTACTGACCCATTGATCATTCAGGAACATGTTGTTTGATTTCCATGTGTTTGTATGTTTTCTGGTGTTCCTCTTGTTATTGATTTCTAGTTTTATTCCACTGTGGTCAGAAAAGAAATTGATATGATTTTGGGATTTGTTGAGGCTCGCTTTGTGGCTTAAGATATGGTCTGTTCTGGAGAATGTTCCATGTGTGGATACAAATAATGTGTACTGTTCAGCAGTTGGGTGATTTGTTCTGTAAATGTCAGTTGGGCCTATTTAGTCTAGTGTATAGTTTAACTCCTATGTTTCTTTGTTGATTTTCTGTCTTGGTCTCTTTGTCTTAACATCCTGACTGATTGAGAGTAAGCCATCTATAAGTAACAGACACTGTCGACGTTTTGCTCACCTGTCCTCCTGCCCCCTCTGAATTAACTGGCAGTCCTAGTAGACTTCTCAGCATGCTAACATCCTCCCACTTCAAGCAGCAGATCGTTCATCTGCTTCACCTGAGACCTTTCTCAGCTCCTTAGGAGCTTTCTCTCCAGGAGCCAAACACAACCTGGCAGTATGGGGTAGTGGATAATAACCCCAAGTCACCTGTCTGCAGTGGGACAATGCTGTGGGGTGTTCTACTTGATGCCTCAGAGGGTCACCACAGGGGTTGAGTCTCAGTTGCCCAACATGTTTATCTGCTCTTTGACGTACTCTTTACTGGCTTTTCTTTCTTCCCTGTCTCAGATTTCTCACTTCCTCACAGGACGTGTGGGATCATCTCCCAGATGAACTACCAGTTCCTAAGTATTTGTCTGAAGGTACGCTCTTTTGAAAATCAAAACTAAGACCAGTTTGGACCCAGGACATAACAGAGACCATGGTCTGGCTTTAAACGGGCCGCTTTAAATGATTGTATATCTAGAAAACCCCATTGTTTCAGCCCAAAATCTCCTTAAGCTGATAAGCAACTTCAGCAAAGTCTCAGGTACAAAATCAATGTACAAAAATCACAAGCATTCTTAATACACCAATAACAGACAAACAGAGAGCCAAATCATGAGTGAATTCCCATTCACAATTGCTTCAAAGAGAATAAAATACCTAGGAATCCACCTTACAAGGGACGTGAAGGAACTCTTCAAGGAGAACTACAAACCACTGCTCAATGAAATAAAAGAGGATACAAACAAATGGAAGAACATTCCATGCTCATGTGTAGGAAGAATCAATATCGTGAAAATGGCCATACTGCCCAAGGTAATTTATAGATTCAATGCCATCCCTATCAAGCTACCAATGACTTTCTTCACAGAATTGGAAAAAACTACTTTAAAGTTCATATGGAACCAAAAAAGAGCCCGCATCACCAAGTCAATCCTAAGCCAAAAGAACAAAGCTGGAGGCATCAGGCTACCTGACTTCAAACTATACTGCAAGGCTACAGTAACCAAAACAGCATGGTACTGGTACCAAAACAGAGATATAGATCAATGGAACAGAACAGAGCCCTCAGAAATAATGCCACATATCTACAACCATCTGATCTTTGACAAACCTGAGAAAACAAGCAATGGGGAAAGGATTTCCTATTTAATAAATGGTGCTGGGAAAACTGGCTAGCCATATGTAGAAAGCTGAAACTGGATCCCTTCCTTACACCTTATACAAAAATCAATTCAACATGGATTAAAGACTTTAATGTTAGACCTAAAACCATAAAAACCCTAGAAGAAAACCTAGGCATTACCATTCAGGACATAGGCATGGGCAAGGACTTCATGTTTAAAACACCAAAAGCAATGGCAACAAAAGCCAAAATTGACAAGTGGGATCTAATTAAACTAAAGAGCTTCTGCACAGCAAAGGAAACCACCATCAGAGTGAACAGGCAACCCACAAAATGGGAGAAAATTTTCGCAAGCTACTCATCTGACAAAGGGCTAATATCCAGAATCTACAATGAACTCAAACAAATTTACAAGAAAAAAACAAACAACCCCATCAAAAAGTGGGCGAAGGACATGAACAGACACTTCTCAAAAGAAGACATTTATGCAGCCAAAAAACACATGAAAAAATGCTCACCATCACTGGCCATCAGAGAAATGCAAATCAAAACCACAATGAGATATCATCTCACACCAGTTAGAATGGCGATCATTAAAAAGTCAGGAAACAACAGGTGCTGGAGAGGATGTGGAGAAATAGGAACACTTTTACACTGTTGGTGGGACTGTAAACTAGTTCAACCATTGTGGAAGTCAGTGTGGCAATTCCTCAGGGATCTAGAACTAGAAACACCATTTGGCCCAGCCATCCCATTACTGGGTATATACCCAAAGGACTATAAATCATGCTGCTATAAAGACACATGCACACGTATGTTTATTGGGGCACTATTCACAATAGCAAAGACTTGGAACCAACCCAGATGTCCAACAATGATAGACTGGATTAAGAAAATGTGGCACATATACACCATGGAATACTATGCAGCCATCAAAAATGATGAGTTCATGTCCTTTGTAGGGACATGGATGAAATTGGAAATCATCATTCTCAGTAAACTATCACAAGAACAAAAAAACCAAACACCGCATATTCTCACTCATAGGTGGGAATTGAACAATGAGAACACATGGACACAGGAAGGGGAACATCACACTCCAGGGACTGTTGTGGGGTGGTGGGAGGGGGGAGGGATAGCATTGGGAGATATACCTAATGCTAGATGATGAGTTAGTGGGTGCAGCGCACCAGCATGTCACATGTATACATATGTAACTAACCTGCACATTGTGCACATGTACCCTAAAACTTAAAGTATAATAATAAAAATAAAAATAAAAATAAATAAATAAATTTGCTTGTGCATTTCTAGCTTTAGCTTCTTTTTTGCAAGGGGAGCTTAATTATTAGGATCACAGCTGAGGCCCAAGATATAGGAAAAATAGCCTCTGAGCTCCAAGTTATGTCTATTCTGAATCTCTTGCACTTTGTTCACAGGTGAGCATCTTTAGGCCTCTCTTAGGACCTGCTAATCTTTTTCTTTGCATTGATGTAACAAACTTGTCTAAATAATTCCCAAATTTATAAATGTTAAAAGCAGCAAATTATAGAAAATTCAGAGGTTGCTATTAGTACTGCTGCAAATATGGTTGTTACTAGCCTGCTGGTAAACAAGAAGACATAAATTGCTCACAGTAAAAAGCACAGTAGTTTATGACCATTAAGTGAAGGGGTGTGTAATCCTACATACATACAGACTCCAAGGGTTTTTTTCTATTTTAGCCTAGTACAATAACTGATTGTCATGGTTAATTTTATGTGTCAACCTGTCTGGGTCATGGTGCCCAGATACTTGGTCAAACATTATTCTAGATGTTTCTCTGATGTGTTTTTGAATTACATTTAAATCAGTAGATTTCAAGTAAAGCAGATTTCCCTCTATGATGTGAGTGGGCCTCATCCAATCAATTGAAGTCCTGAGTAGAAAAAAAAAACTGATTTCCTCTGAGCAAGAGAGAATTCTGCAGCACATGGCCTTTGGTCTTGAGCTATATTGGCTTTTTTTCTGGGTCTTCAGCCTGCTGCCCTCTCTGCAGATTTTGGACTTGCTAGCCTCTGTAATTGTGTGAGCAAATTCTTTAAAATAAGTATCTTTCTCTACATATACGTACACATTCTATTGATTCTGTTTCCCTGGAGAACCCTAATACACTGATATTTATAATAATTTACCTCTTTGTTCAACACTTATTTATTGAGCACTTATTATGTGCCAAGTACCATTCTAGGAACTTGGAATGGATTATTAAACAATACAGGGTCTTACAGATTAAGACCCGACCCTGGTGTGCTTTTATTCTAGTGGGGGAAGATAAGTGGTAAAAAGTAAACATGAAGCATTAAATTATGTTCTAACATGCTAGAAGTGATAAGTGCTATAGAAAACAAAAGTAAAAGGAAGACAGTGTGAGGAGACATTGGGTCATTAGAGAAGGTTAAAATACAATCAATATATTGGGAAAGTAGGTAACTATGAAAGACTCACAAATGTGCAAATTGCTTTAAATTAAGCTTTTAATTTTGAGGTAATTATAATAAATGTGCAGTTGTAAGAAATAATATAAAAAGATCCTATGTACCCTTTATCCAGTTCCCTACTGTGGTAACATCTTGCAAATCTATACTAAAGATCACAACTGGCTATTAACACAAATGCAGTCAAGATACACAACAGGTGCATCACTACAGGTATTTCTCCTCCTGCCTTTTTATGACCACAGAGCCCTTCATTTCTTTCTTAACCATTACTATAATTTTGTCATTTTGAGGATGTTTTATAAAAGGGCCTTATGGTGTGTAAGCTTTCAGAATTGGCTTTTTTCATTTGGCATAGATCCTTGACAATTCATTCATGTCATTGTGTATATCAATAATTCATTCCTTTTTATTGCTGAGTAGTATTCATGGTATTGATATACCACAGTTTGTCTCACCATTCACCCATTGAAGGGCATCTGAGTTGTTTCCTGTTTGGGACTATTATGAATCAATTTGCTATAATTTTCCATGTACACATTTTTATGTGAACATATGTTTTTATTACTTCATAATGAATGCCTAGCGGGTGCAGTTCCAGGGTCCTATGGTAGTTACATGTTTAGTTTTGTAAGAAACTGTCAAACTCTTCCAGAGTAGCTGTGCCATTTAAAATTCCCATCAGCAATGTATGAGTGATTCAGTTTTACTGCTTCCTCGCCAGCATTTGGTATTATAACTATTTTTAATTTCAATCATTCTGATAAGTGTGTAATGATATCTCATTGTGGTTTTCATCTGTACTTGACTAATGGCTAATGATCTTCCACATCTTTTCAGGTGCTTGTTTGCCACCTGTATATCTTCTGTAGTGAAATGTTTATTCATGTCCTTTGCCCATTTTCTAATTAGATTGTTTAGGTTTTTTTTTTTTAACTTCAGAGTTTGGAGAAATATCTACATATATATATGTGTATATATATATATATATATATATATATATATATATATATATATATATATATATATATATTAGTTCTTTACTAGCTATGTGGTTTACAAATATTCTCTCCCAGTCTGTAGCTTGTTTTTTCATCCTTTCAACAGGATCTTTTGCAGAACAAAAGCTTTTACTTTTGATGGAATTCAGTTTACCAATTTTTCCTTTTATGGTTCATGCTTTTGCTGTCAAGTGTAAGATCTCCTTGCCTAACCCTAAATCCTGAAGATTCTTATCCTCTGTTTTTTCTTATAAGTTTTGTAGCTTTATGTTTTACATTTAAGTTTATAATTTTGAATTAATATTTGTATTAGGTGTGAAGCTTAGGTCAAGTTTCATTGTTTTTCCTATGGATTCAATTGCTTCAACACCATTTGTGAAAAGTCTCCATTTCTTTTGTTGAATTGCTTTTGTATAACTTTGTCGAAGATCAGATGGGGATATATTTGTGGACCGATTTCTGGATTTTTATTCTCTTCTATTGATCTATGTGTCTATCCCTCCACCGAGACCACACAGTCTTAACTACTGTAGCTATATAATATGTCTTAAAATCAGGAGGACTGATTCCTTCCACTTTATTATTTTGCAAAATGGTTTTAGCTATTCTAGTTCCTTTGCTTTTCCATTTAAATTTTAGAATGAACCTATCTATGCCTACAAAAAATCTTGCTGGAGTTTTTATGGGAATCGCATTAAATGTGCATATCAATTTGAAGAGAATTGATGTATTTATTGTGTTGCTTTTTTCAAATCATGAACTCAGCATGTCTCTCCATTTATTTTGATCTGTAATTTATTTCATCAGTGTTTTGTAATTTTTAGCATACAAGCCCTGTGTATGTTTTGTTAGATTTAAAACTAAGCATTTTTATTTTTCAATTGCAAGTGGTATTTATTGCCTTTTAATTTTCAGTGTCTGTTGGGACAGTTTTAATTTCTTTATTTCCATTTTCACTTGCATGTCTTTTATTTCCATTGTTGTTGTTTGTTTTCACCTTACAGCACTGGCTAGAACTTCCATCCCTGTGGTGAATAAGAGTGATGAAAGTGGACACCATCGTATTATTGAATTGAAGGGGTGAGTGCCGCCTTATTACTGTCAGGTGTGGGAAGAAGTTCCACTTCCCCACTCGGCCTCCATTGACATCCAATGCTGGGAGGGTCCTCATTACTGGTGAGTAAGGTGAGAGCTCCAGATCTTTTCTGAGCTTCCACTGATACCTCCTTGGCTGGAAGAGGTAGGAATACCTTCTTACTTCTCCCCACATAACCCCCACCAACATCGTGGTGGAGAGGTGGAGGGCCAGCCCCACTACCACTGGGTTGTATTGAAAATCCTAACTTTCCACTAAGCCTCCTCGGACACCAACTTAGTGTGGAGTGGGAGGTGCACCCAGTTACTTCCATGTGGGGTGCTACTACTGCCCAGCAAAGATGAAGGTCCTATTTTTATATTCAGCCTCCTTTGATATCCTCTTTCTCCCAGTGGGGAACTGGGGAGCCTCATTACATCTCAGTTGGGATAGAAATCTAGGCTTTTTACTGGACTTTTGCAGACATGAGTGGAGCACAGAATTTTCTGCTGGGTTTGGCTGGAGATGAGCTGCTATTTTCTGGAAGTTTTCTGACTTGAAAGATGGAAGCTTGGTTCGCTTGTTGGGTTGCCCTGTTCCTGGTTCTTTGGTGGAGGAAGCAGGCTTCTGTTGGGCTTTATTTTGTCTGTGCTTGCTCACATCTACGGGCTGCTGGCTTCCTTAGGAACAGTTTGGGATATATGAGGGAAGGAGCTTGGGCCCTGAGTTCCCTAGCTGGCCTATCTTCTTCTCTCTACTTTTCATAGCCTTCTCATATTTATTTTACCTATAACATCCAAGGTTTTAAGTGTGCTTAACAGAAGGAATAGGAAAAAGCACATTCACTCCATCTTCTCCAAAGTTGAAGTCCTTCATAAGTTTTTTAAATTTTCTATAGCTAAAATGACTAAATTTTTAGTTATCTAGAAAACTTTCCTATCCAAAGTGACTCATCAAGGACAACTGTAAAATTTTGTTTTACCACCTATGTTATTAAACTAGAGATTTCCCCCAGAGAGTAACATTTACTTTGCTTGGTATTCGGTTATAACTATCAGATATTTAAGGCTGAGTCACCTATTTCTAATAACCATGGTGATTGCACCAAATAATTACATATACAACATATGAAAGGCAGTCCTCCAGCCGAGGGATCTATGGAACCACAGGTCTGTAGAACTAGAGAGAAGGAGAAAATCATTAAATCCTTCTGCACCGAGGGGTGGATATCTGAGTTGGCAGAGCAGGAGTTGAAGGTGCAGGTTTTGACATTTTGGCATGGAGTTGGCTGAGCTCAAATTTCTACCCTGTGTTTATAAGCTGGGTGACTTTAGGCAACTTATTTCATCTTATTTTTCCTCAGTTTCTATTATTTTAAAATGGAGATTATAATCATACATACTTCAGGGGACTGAGGTATGCATTCAATAAGTGAGTGTATATGAAACACTTATAACAATTATTGGCACATATGACCATTCAATGAATATTACCTACCATAATTACTCATATAGTATGATTTAGAGAGATTAGGAAGACTGCTTTCCACCTATTTTCCTGCCTATTTTTCATCAGTAGCTGGGTTTCAACCACTGAGTAATTACTTAGGTGAAGGTATGGGCCCTATTAAATGCAAATTTCACAAGGCCTAGTGTATTATTCTGAAGGCATCTATACCTTGTATTAGAGAGATCTAACTATTGCCTCAGCTGTTGATGGCAGAGGCCCAAAATGACAGTGGCTTAAAGAAAGATGGAAGCTTGGTTTGATCTCATCTAAAAGTTCAGGTGGTCTGGAAGTTCTGGTCTGCAAAATTGCCAGGGCCCAGGCAGCTTCTGTCTCGTTGCTCTGCCATCTCTAACACGTTGTCCTTGTCTACATGGTGCTAGATGGCTCATCCTGTATCCATCCACCAAGCATCAGGATGGAGCAGAGACTAAGCAGGAAAGGATCCGCCTTCCTTTTAAGCACATGTCTCCAAAGAAGCCAGCATCACTCCCACTCACATCCCATTGGCCAGATACACGTCACCTGGCCACATGTAGCTGCAAGTCAGGCTGGGCATGGATTTCTTCAATGCAGTTGACTATGAGACTATCTAAAAATGCAGTTAATATGGAAAGAGAGTTTGCCCCACACTGCAGGGTGGATTAGTGTATCTTCTACTGCCTACCTTAAAACCCGTGAAGAATCTTCCTGATTCAAGCCCTGTATCCTCACTCTGTCTTCTTATTTGCCTTGCATATAAACAGTACCTCCTTCTGCTCTCATCAAAAGCCAGCATTACCAGGGCAACAGGGAGAAAAGTCAGTTGTCTCTGTTTTAGGGCAAAAGATCACCTTCTCTGTCATTCTTGGCTAACAATACTCACGTAGGTTTTGAAAACCTAGGTTATGCTGGCTTTGTGATGTTGGAATAATAGCTAATCTCTCTAAACCAGTGGTTTTCAACGGGGGTAATTTTGCTCCCCAGGGGACATTTGGCAATGTCTATAGGCGTTTTCAGTTGTCCCAGTTGAGGGAGAGGGCTGTTTTAATGGGTAGAGGCCAGGAATGTGGCTAAATATCCTACAATGCACAGAACAGCACCAACTTATAAAACGTTATGTGGTCTGAAAATATTAATAGTGTAGTGGCAGATAAGTTCTGCTTTAAGCTTTAGTTTCTTTCCTGAAAACTGGGACGAAATAGCACCTGCTTCATAGGTTATACGTGAGGAGCCTCTGAACCAGCACTTGTAAAGGATTTAGCCGAGTGCCTGGCCCATGGTGGGTTCCAGACAACCTCTGTCCTCAGGGACTCTTAATCTTCTCCTTGTTTTATCTGACTTCTCTGCACTCATCTTCTTGCAATGTTTATTATTATTATTTTTAATTTTAGATTCAGAGGGTACATGTGCAAGTTTGCCACCTGGGTATATTGCATAATGCTGGTGTTTGGGCTTCTGATGATCTTGTCGCCCAGGTAGTGAACACAGTACTCCCAATTGGCAGTTTTTCAATCCTTTTCCACTCCCTGCCTCCCTCTCTTTGGAATCTCTAGTGCTTATTTTCCTATCTTTGTGTCTGTGTGTATCCAGAGTTTAGCTCCCACTTGTAAGTGAGAACACATGGTATTTGGTTTTGTTTCTGCATTACTTGGCTTAGTATAAATGGCCTCCCCTGCATACATGTTGCTGCAAAGGACATGATTTCATTCTTTTTATGGCTGCATAGTATTCCATGTTGTGTATGTACCACATTTTCTTTATCCAGTTGCCACTTACTAGCACCTAGATTATTCCATGTCTTTGCTATTGTGATAGTGCTGGGATGAACATGTGAGTGCATGTGTCTTTTTGGAAGAACAATTTATTTTACTTTGAGTAAATACCCAGTAGTGGAGTTGCTGGGTCAAATGGTAGTTGTATTTTTAGTTATTTGAAAAATGTCCAGACTGCTTTCCATGGTGGCCGAACTAATTTGCATTTTAACCAGCAGTGTGTAACGTCTACTTGCAATCTTTAATTAATAGTATGTATGTCTCTTGAGAAGGGGAAATGAGGGAAATTACATTTTACTGTGGAACTGGTGGATACCAGAATTTTAACATAAATTACTTTATGTAAACATCTCCAAACCATGTGAAGTTGGCATTACTCTCCCCAACTTGGAAATGGGCCAGTGAGGCTCAGGGAGATCTCCTAACACCCTGCGAAAACAGAGTTAATCAGTGGCTGAGCAGGGATTCGACGTCATGTATGTTTGACCCCAATATGTGTGTTTTGGTTGCAAATTGGCTTTTCCCAGTCCTGTAACTTGGAAATTCTACAAGGGTAAAGAGGGCCGGGTGTGGTGGCTCATGCCTATAATCCCAGCACTTTGGGAGGCTGAGGCAGGTGGATCACCTGAGGTCGGTGGATCAACTGAGGTCAGGAGTTCGAGACCAGCCTGACCAACATGGTGAAACCCCATCTCTACTAAAAATACAAAAATTAGCTAGGTGGGTGGTGGGTGCCTGTAATCTCAGCTACTCAGGAGGCTGAGTCAGGAGAATCGCTTGAACCCTGGAGGTGGAGGTTGCAGTGAGCCGAGGTCATGCCGTTGCACTCCAGCCTGGGCGACAAGAGCAAAACTCAGTCTCAAAAAATAATAAAATAAAACAAAATAAAATGGCAAAGAGAATCTGAAGCACCAGAATGCTCTGGAGGAAGTCAGAAGAGACTGTTGCAGGGAACAAGGATGCAGTCACACTTTTTCCTCAGGTTGGGCTTGTAAAAGCAGCACGTACTTCAACCTGTTTAGGAGCCTTGGCCATGTTATCTTGTTCCCACAAAATGGTAGGCAGTGTTATCTTCTTTTTTCCTTGTTGAATCCTAGGAATTGGGTTTATATTAGTATCCTAAGGATGTTGTAAGAAATTACCACAAACTGAGTGAACTAATGCAATAGAAATTTACTCTCTTACAGTTCTGGATGCCAAAATTCTGAAATCAAGGTGTCGGTGGGGCCATGTTCCCTCTAGCCGCTCTAGAGAAGAATCCTTCTTTGCCTCTTCCAGCAATTGATGATTGCTGGCAATTCTTGGCATCCCTTGGCTTGTGGCTGCATCACTCCCATCTCTGCCTTTGTCTTCACTGGCTTTCTTCCCTGTGCATCTGCATCTCTGCATCTCTGTATCTCTACGTGGACTTCTCATAAGGACAGCAGTCATTGGATTTTTGCTGATTGTAATCCAGCATGACTTCCTCTTAATTTGATTACATCTGCAAAGACTATTTGCAAATGAAGGCACATTCACTGGATTCACTGGTGCTGGGGGTTAGGACTTAATAATAGCTCTTGGAGGGACACAATTCAACCCATGATGGGTCTAAACAATGTTTTATAATTGATATAAAAGCTAAACCATGTTTTCTTAAAACAACTAGAAACTTCTAACCCAGTGGCAACTTTGGGTGTGCAAGAGAGCTCAAAGCAAACTCTCAGTTTCCTGGCAAGAGAGGAGGCCTCCACTCTGTCACCCCATGGAGACTCCTCCTTGATACTGACATTATTGCAATACATGCAAAACACACAAAAAAATCACCTTAGAGTTTGGGAAGGATGAGGATATTTAATGGCAGCAATATAAGTAATTTTTTTTGCCTCTGCATATACTCTTTTTTAATTAAAAAAATAAAAACGGAAAAACAGATTGGGGTTAAAGGTCTTTAGTTTTTAGAGGTGATATGAAAGGAGAAAACCTGTATGGCTTCTGGTCTTTATACAGTGCATTGGAACAGAAAGTCTTAATTATACCAATCAAGGTGACATCCTTTTCCACTGAACTATGTATTATATTTTCCCTTCAAGACAAAGATGAACATTTATGCAATTAAAATAGGCTGATTGAAAAAAATCCGTGTCAGGCATAAGCTCGGATTTATACTTTTGGGCTCAATTGACTGGGGAACATTAAAAAAACTGCACAACTGAGCAAAAATGGTCTCTTTTCAGCACATATTTTGAACAGGAAAGAGGAGTTTGCTTTCCCCTGCATTCAGCAACCCAGCTCCCCTCCTCATTAGTCCAGTGCAGAGTTGGGGCTGCTCCCTCAGGTCCTCATCAGCTTACTCAAACATGCTGTAAAATTGATCTGACAGCCCATGAAAGGGAGTTTAGAGGCAGGGAGGGAAGGACATGAGAGAGCTAAGATTTTGGTGACATGGAACTCTGTATTTTCAAGGCTATCATCATATTTGCCTAGTATTAAGGGCTGTGACATTAGCAAGGCCCTCTGATCTTTGGGCTACAAAATTGTTGTGACAAGGGCCCTATGTGTGTCTGTGTGTATATGTGTGTGTGTTGAGGGGTATCTTTTGAGTCCTGAGTTTGAAAATACTTATTTGTAATAATGGGAAAGAAAGTTCTCTGTGATTGAAGGCTGAATCCTTTTGACATGAAGAGCAAAGACAATTAGCATTTGTTGATCATTTGTTAAATTTCAGATGCTTTCATTTTTTTTCTTTTAATCACCATGATAATCCTTGAGGTTTGTATTATTATTACCCCATTATACAGATTAGGGCACAGAGACCAAGAAAGATATTTGACATATTTAGCAATTGGAAAAACACAGGCAGAGACGATTTGGAGGTACTCTGGCCATAGGTCCTGGAGTTCCCCAGGAGCAAGTTAGGATGGCTGGGGCCATGGGAAGGTACACCAAGGAATCTTGGGGCAACAACTATTTATAATCACAAAAATATTTCAACTGCCACCAGAGCAAACCAGGTAAATTGGCTCTGTTTGGAAGAAAAGTTTGCTTTCCCTAAGACAAGCAGTTAGTCACATGGTCTGACTTGGGGTTTGAACTCAGCTCGTTTTACTGCAAATATAATACTCTTTCCAATATGCCACACTCTCGTCTCCTCACTCTATCCTTCCTGTGAGGTCAGAGCCTGCAAATGTGTCTGGAGGAGGAACAGTGGCAGATATTATCGGGGGTGAATGAGGTCAGAGGCTTTCCTGTGAATATCTTTGTCAAGGTGATGGAAAAAGTTTCCAGGAACCTTTAGAATGTGTGTCGTGTATCATGAGGATTGGAGACTACAAAAGAGGAAAAGGTGTTCAAATTCAGAGTTGGATAATTAAAAACAAATATTGTCAACATCAATAATTTTCCCCAGAGTTGCTCCTCCTTTTATGGTATGGAAAGTTTCAAGACCTGTGACCTAGATGGTGTTCTGGGGAGACGGTAGATATACATGGAGAAAATGCCAACATATTTTATGGTTATGCTAAGCATATTTTGAAAACTTCCGTTAAGATTTTGGTTCAGCCTGGTGCAGTGGCTCATGCCTGTAATCCCAGCACTTTGGGAGGCTGAGGCGGGTGGATCATCTGAGGTCAGGAGTTTGAGACCAGCTTGGCCAACATGGTGAAATCCTGTCTCTAATAAAAATACAAAAAATTAGCCAGGCATGGTGGCGGGCGCCTGTAATCCCAGCTACTCGGGAGGCTGAAGCAGGAGAATCACTTGAACCTGGGAGGTGGAGGTTGCAGTGAGCCAAGATGGCGCCATTGCACTCCAGCCTGGGCAACAAGAGCAAAACTCCATCTCAAAAAAACAAAAACAAAAACAAAAAACAAAAGATTTTGGTTCCCCCACACACAAAAAATAGAGTTTGAAATTTAGTGAATTAATTGTATTCCATGGCTTTTTCTTTACAGATAGATTCAGGTCTCATAAAAAACTATGCCATCTGTACACATTCTGATATGTACAGCAAAATGCTGTCATTTTCTTTCAACTGGCAACCCCAAGCTACAAACAAAAACATGCTGGTGGAAATTAAAGGAAATGCCCTCTCTATCCAATTGAAACAGAGAGATGTGTAAAATCCTTTCTTTTCTTTTCAAGTAAGGGCACAAAACAACATTCCCTTCTCTAAACACAAATAGAAATTTACTCACTGGCTTGGAAAAAACAGGCCAAGAATGGACACTTTTTCCTCTCCAGAGATCAGTGCAGCTCTTATCTCTATTTAAAAACCTTTGAATCTGTGCTTCCTGCTGTTATCTTACATTTTTTAATTTCATCTATTTCACTGTGCTGTTTTCCTCAGTGAACTAGTACCACCTCTCCCTTCCTTCTTGCAGATTCAAACCTCTTCTGTGATAATCATAGAACTGTAGCATCAGAAGGCAATTCCCTAAGTGTGGTCTGCCCACATCCCTGGTGGTAAGCCAAATGATCGTAAGTGGTAGAGCGGCAATTACTTTTAAAAAATTTGACAGTCATATATCTATTTCAATGTATAGCAAATATAGAATTGGAACATCAAACTATGATTTTATAGATATTATTGCCTAGGACCATGCTAAGTTTCAGAAGTGAATCTATTTAGATCAATAAAAATATATTAAGAAAGTAGTGGCATAGGTGGTGTGTCACTCTAACAGAGCATAAACCAGTTGGGAGACAATCCTACCGAGGTCTGAAGTGGCATTCTCACACATGGACTATGTTCTCAGCAGCTGGGCAGCTAGCTTCTGCTCATGAGGAGCAGAGGTAACTGGAGTAGCATAGTCTGCATGAGGATTGAGCAGACCCAAACACAAGTTGAGAGAGGCTGGGCATTAGAAGAACAAATATCTCCTTTTAAGATTGTTCAACCTGACAGTCTGTTCTCAATGTGAACTCAAGAGGCTGCTTCCTCTACGTGCCCATGCAAAGCACAAATCTGAGATCTTACTATTCCAATTTGAGGAAGAGCCACCTGCACCTTGGAAAAACGGAAGCGCGTGCAAAAGCCTGAGAACCAGCTGGTTGCAGGCCTGTGCCAGGCCTTTGTGCACTAGGTGTGCCTGGGTCGGGGGAGAAGTCCATGGGGCTGAGCTCAGGCAGGCCAGTTCTCCGTGTATGTGGTAACAAGAAGGTAAAGGAACAAGAAAAGCTGTTGAACCAGCCATAAATTGGCTGTCTTCCGTGGTATTCAGTGTCCTGTTTATGACTGTAAATTGGGTATATCTTTATCACAACTGTGCTTTTGGGGAAAACAGGAAGTATTTCTCCTAAGGAATGGGTTTACACAGAATATTTGGTGTATTCGTTCTCACAGTGCTATAAAGAACTACCTGAGTCTGGGGAATTTATGAAGAAAAGAGGTTTAATTGACTCATAGCTCTGCAGGCTTAACAGGAAGCATGGCTGGGGAGGCCTCAGGAAACTTACAATCATGGTGGAAGGCTAAGGGGAAGCAAGCATGTCTTACCCTGACAGAATAGGAGAAGGGGTTGGGGAAGTGCCACACACTTTTAAACTATCAGATCTCATGAGAACTCACTCACTCTCACGAGAACAGCATGGAAGAAATCCACCCCCATGATCTAGTCACCTCCCACCAGGTCCCTTTCCCAAAATTGGGAATTACAATTCAACATGAGATTTGGGTGGGGACACAGAGCCAAACCATATCACTTGGTATGTTAGTGAGGGCTCTCAAGATAAACAGAACTAACAGGATATATCTATATATTTATCTAACGTAGGAGATTATAAGGTATTGGCTCACTCAATTATGAAGACTGAGAAATGTCACAATCTGCTTGTCTGCAAGCTGGAGATCCAGAAAAGCTGGTGGTGTAGTTTAATGGACTGAGAGCCAGTGCCATAGATTCAAGTCCAAGCCCGAAGGCCTGAGAACCAGGAGCTCCAAGGATAGGAAAAGATTTACTTACTAGCTCATGCAGTCAGACAACGAACAAACTCAACCTTCTTCCACCTTTTAGTTCTATTTAAGCCTTCAACAGATTGGATGATGCCCCCTCACATTGTGGAGGGCATCTGCTTTACTCAGTCTACCAATTCAAATCCTAATCTCTTCTGGAAATAACCTCACAGAAATATCCAGAACTAATGTGTAATCAGATATCTGGCCATCCTGTGGCCCAGTCAAACTGACACATAAAATTAACCATCACACTTGGTATCCTCAACATTGTGCTAATGAAGACTGAGTTATTTAGACTTTGGAAAAGATACAGTGGACTATTGTGCTCATTTGAGGATGTCCATCAAGTCAGCCTTTAGTACTAAACAAAAAACAGATAGATATGAAGAATGGATTGTTTAGGCAGATTCTGGCACAGAACATGGCTGATGTTAGAACCTCCCCTCCCCCAGGGTCATGACCTTGGGAAGAAGAGATGGATAAGTAAACCCTTAGACCCATCTCAATATTACCTCCTCAGTAAGTTCTTTCCTATAATAATTGTACCTTACCCTTCCTTGTTCTTCCATCTTCTATATCACTTTATCTGGACAACTGTTAGGGTAAGCACACTGCTAATTATATTTTTGTTTAATCCACTTTGATAACATGTTAAGTGCCCAGAGTGTACAGATCTCTTCATGATTATCTCTGCACTCTACTCAGAATCCAGTTCAGTGCTTTGTGGAGAATAATAACTCAGAACAATAAAGATGGAACTGAAGGAGGGGGTATAAGTGGGGAGATGTAGCCACGCTCAGCAAGACAGGGCCATGTGGTCACAGAACTACCCAGGAGACTTTGTGCCTGGCCAGCGCCTAGATGACATTTGCTGGACACTTGGCACTGATTGCTGCTAGCTGAGTGAGGAAGGGAAAAAAAAAAAAAAAAAAATCCCAAAACATATTCAGCTGTTCTAGATTTAAGGTTTGCCTGGCTGCTTCACGGTCACAATTGAACATGCTGGTTACTCTGGGTAAATTAAATTAGCTCTAAAGATATGCCCAATTGCACCCTAAGTTCCAGGTGTTGACAAGTCCTTGCCTCGAAACAGGATCATCGGTGACAATAAATTTCACATATTTGGCTTTTGTAAAATCTAAAAGGTTTGTTCATATGGTTATAAATGGCTAAAGAAAACAGGCAAAGCAGCAGGTGCTAAGATATGTGTTGTTCGGTGGCTTAGACAGGCAGATAAGACCCTTAAATGTTGTAGCCTTTGAACCTGGGATGGGGCAGAGTGATATCTGATGCCATGGTAAGCAGAGTAACAGGCTGGGGAAGCATTGTCGTTGCATCAACAGGTAGGGGTTTGAGTTCTACCTCTGCTGCTTAGTGCCTGTGTCACCTTGGACAAGGTTATGTAATTTCTCTGAGGTTCGGTGTTTTTCTTTGGAAAACGGATTTTAAAACACTTGGCTCAGTGCTCAATAAATAGTAACTTTTTTATTATTTTAATGTAGGACCTCATTTAATCCTTACAATAACTTCATGAGTGCTCTATCAATATCCCCATTTTATAGATGAGGAAACCAAGGCAATGGAGACTTGGAGAATGTATTACTCAGGGTTCTGTAGAGGGACAGAACTAATAGGATAGACATATATATAAAGGGGAGTTTATTAAGGAGTATTGACTCACACAATTACAAGGTAAGGTTCCACAATAGGCCATCTGCAAGCTGAGGGGCAAGAAAGCCAGTCCAAGTCCCAAAACCTCAAAAGTAGGGAAGCCTACAGTGCAGACTTCAGTCTGTGGTCGAAGGTCCAAGAGTCCCAAAGCTGAAGAACTTGGAGTCCAATGTTCGAGGGCAGGAAGTATCCAGCATGGGAGAAAGATGTAGGCCAGAATACTAAACCAGTCTAGTCTTTTGATGTTCTTCTGCCTGCTTTTATTCTGGCCTTGATGGCTGCTGATTAGATGGTGCCCACCCAGATTGAGGATGGGTCTGTCTTTCCCAGTCCACTGACTCAAATGTTAATCTCCTTTGGTAACACCCTCACAAACACACCCAGGAACAATACTTTGTATCCTTCAATCCAATCAAACTGACACTCAGTATTAACCATCACAGAGAGCATAAGCAAATTGCCCATGGCATTAGAAGTAGAGATGAATTTTGAATGTGTTACCAGACCAACAGATTTGTATGCCCACTGTGCAGTAACATACCAATACATCGAGACAGCAAGGTTTGCATCAGAGAAAGAGTTCAATTATCACAGGATGGCTGAATGAGATGAGAGGGATACTTAAATTCAGCTCCTTGAGAAGTTCTGGGCTGGAGTTTTTAAGGGGATTGTGGAGAGTGAGGGGCTGGGAAATTGAGGTCATTGGCTACTTGTATTAAGGGGGATGAAATCATTAGAATGTAGGAACAGCATTCTTCAGTGAGTCAGCCTCTTCTTAGTAGTTTCACTGGTATGCAGGATCTGAAAGAACATCTCCAAATAGAAAATTTAAGCTTCACAATGCCTAAGTTGTTATCTATAGAGCCGTTAAGGGGAATTTTAATCTTGTGACAGGGTCTGCAAGATTCTGGGGCAACAGGTACCAACAACTATGAGGAAGCAGGTCAGAGAGCCAGCTCCCCTCATAGTTAATGCTGAATGTGCTGCAAGCTGGATTTATTTTTGTTTCTTCCCCTCCTTTCTTCTTGACTTAAATTCAGTTTTCTTCTCCTTTACTTTTATAAAGTTTATAGGTATGGTTACAAATCCGTGTCTCCAGGCCAGCGACTGATCCCACTAACCCACACTGGTAACTTATAGCTATTAGTAATTTATATTCCACAACCAGCATAAACATGCTGGATGGATTCACTTGAAGTTGTCAACTCTCCTTTTCTTCCAAGATGACTCAGAGACTTGCAAACTGAATACTTGTATAAGATGCATCTCTGTCCTCTTTGGCACCTTGGCATACTGGGTCACAATGTAATAATTACTTTCATGGTCATCCAGGAACAGACAAATCCCTTCTTTCCTCATGCCTTCATTGTCTTGCCTGAGAAGCAAGAGGGCTGGAGTTTGAGAGATGATCTCCCAGCTCTCATATGCGTGGGAACGTGAAAGGCAGGCATGGTCCATTGGAAAAGAAAAAAAAAAACCTGTTTGGATCAATAAAAAGGGACAGGCACAGGAAAACAGTCAGAGCTTGATAGATGAGGGAACATGTCGTTATGTAGGTGGGGAATAAGAGGAAGACAAGGGTGTATAGAGGAAATGGGAGAGATCTGTGGTTCTTGGGGACTTTATTTAGAAAATTCTTCACAATTCTCAGAAAGCTTAAATAGTTTTTGAAGAAATAGGAGTGAAATTCTTTGGCTAGAAAGTGGACAGGAGACCACTGGGTCTGTGTGCCTGTGTTTGTGAGAGTGTGAAAGTAGATGGATAAAATTTGCAAGCAGGAATGAGTCAGACAGCCAGCTTCTGGTACCCTTGCTATAACTATCCAGAAGCATGAGTCCATTCTGGTTTTAGGAGTCAGGAATATAAATGGAATTTGTATTGCAATCCAAGGGTGGGTGTGAGAACTGGTGAGAATATAATAGATTACTTGTGTTTATGAGGTCTGATATGAGTAGTTCAAGCTGTAAAAGCAAGATATGAGTGAGTCTCATTTTCTTTGGTTCTTCCAGTTGCCCCTAGAGAGAAAAAGTGGTGACTGGGTATACTCAATCCAATAAATAAATAAACACATACACATTTTGCAATGATTGCTTTCTGC
This sequence comes from Homo sapiens, assembly GCF_000001405.40. Lineage (NCBI taxonomy): Eukaryota > Metazoa > Chordata > Mammalia > Primates > Hominidae > Homo > Homo sapiens. The sequence continues at coordinate 16,439,400 of NC_000004.12, forward strand.
CGATGTTAAATATACCTCCCAAGTTGGGAAAATGGCTTATATGTTCTACTGTCCCTCCTGCTTTCTGTCTTCCCAGCCCCTCTCTTCCTTCAAGGCTGAAGGCTTCCATAGTCAGTTGAGACTCTGCTTCACACATTATAATGAAGGCGCTTGCTCTCTAAATGACTCTCTAGTCCTGATTGTGCTAAATAGGGTTTCTGTGGTTTCAGATGAGGACCATTTTTTGTTTAAATGCTGATGGCCTCCCAGACATTGTAGAATCAGTGGGGTGCTGAGGAGTGAGGGAGAGGAAGCTTCTTTGCCAGTCTACAAAGAATTGGGGTAGGAAGCAGTGAAAAGAACCCCCTGAGTTTCTAAAACCTCTCAACTGGAGTGGAAGAGGAGGGGTGTCCTTTGTAAATTATCCAAACACATTTCCATAAAAGTTGAGCATTTGTACTAAAATGGGATCTTGGCTTCATTTTCCCTGCAAATGGCCAGGGAGAAGGAAGCACTCTCTCATTGGGTGCAGAGAAGGAAAAATATGGCACCCTGCCTAGAATGGAGATTTTATGTTTTACAGAAATGACTTAGGGAGGACATCCTGCAAGAAGCTGTTGATCAGTGAAATGTGTATTTGCTCAAAACACACTTTCCCAGCTGAGCCCCACCCCTTCGTTCCAAGTCTTCCTGGCTGGGTCCTGCACATTTGGCTCCCCCATAACCTTGTTTAGGACTGTTTCTGTTGAGGATCACACTGTGCAGAGTTTCAAAGTCATTCTGCTAATGTGAGTGCTTCTCCTATTTTATGCATCAGAAGGCATTCAAAATCTGTCCACAGTTGAGAGCATCAGAAAAACAAAACAAAACAAAAAACAGGTGTTTATAAAAGCTAACTTACTATATGCCAGACCAATTCTAAGTGCTTTACAAATATTAACTCATTTAATACTCACAACAAACAGTTGTTGCACTTATTATTGCCCATTTAAAGAAGACTTAGGCATAAACATGTTAGTTTGCCCAAGGTCACAAAGCTCACGAGTGATGGAGCCCGTATTTCATTCCGAGCTGTCTCACAGCACAGCTCACACTTTAAAGCACAATACTGTAATAAAAATAATACCTGCTTCATGGGGTTGTTCTGAAGATCAAATGAGATTATCAATAAAGAAAAGCTGTAATTATCCAATGTGGGAGAAGCAGAAATATTTGGGCTGTGTTTCTGTTAGATGCTTCTGATAGAAAAATCACAATTGCCAGGATCCATCCTTCCTTCGTTCCTTCGTTCCTTCCTTCCTTCCTTCGTTCCTTCCTTCCTTCCTTCCTTCCTTCCTTCCCTTCCTTCCATTTCCATTTTCCATTGGCTGCCACAGGTGACTGGATACTTGATCTAACTGAGAAGAATTTTGAAATGTGGAAGGGAGGAAGGAAGGAACAAAGAAGGAAGGAAGTGAGGGAGGGAAGGAAATGGCTCTTTTCTTTCCTGTTTCACTTCCCATTCCCTCACTTCTGTGTCCTGAACTCACACTTCCAAATCACTTCCCGTCCATGAACCACTGTCACCATCTGCTTTCAGAAGGACCCAGCCTGAGATTCTCTCTCTCTTCCTCCTGCCCTTCCTTTCTTTCTTTTTTCCCTTAGCCTTTCCTTTTTTTTGAAGTGATATTAACTTTTTTCTTAGATTAGCGGATATTTTGATCTTATTTGAATCATCTGACTGGAAGACCTAGTTCAAATACAGCAGATTTGGGTAGGTAAAATGTCAGCACTTCTTACCACTCTATCCCAGTGTCCAACCCAGTTCTGGAACATGGCTAGTGTTCAGTAAATGTCTATCCAAAGATTTTGGAAAGTGTGGGTTAACCATTATTGCCCAATCTACCAAAAACACAAGTGTAAAATGTATTTTTACATTAGCAAAGTTGGAAAGTTATATTTTCTTTTTCCTTGTCTTTCCCAGAAAAATCATTAACTTAGGTCTGCTGTTTTCTGTATTTCACTTCACATGTGGAATTTCAATCGTTCAAGAAGACAGGAAGGGGTGGAGAAACACTAAATATATATGTACTTACACACACACATATATATATACACATGTATATGTGAGAGTGTGAAAGTAGATGGGTAATAGCACTGAAAAAAGGAAAAGGCTCAGGAAGGAAGGAAGGGTAGGAGGAAAAGAGAGAGAATCTTAACCTGGGTCCTTCTGAAAGGAGACTGTGACAATGGTTCATGGATGGGAAGTTTATTTGGAAGTGTGAGTTCAGGACACAGAAGTGAGGGAAGGGGAAGTGAAACAGGAAAGAAAATACACACACACACGCACACACATATGTATGTGTATATATGTATACATATATACATATGGGTGGGTCAGTCAGCTATTGCTGTGTAAAAAACCTTAAAAATATCAGTGGCATATAGCATACAAATTTATTTTTCATTTATGAGTCTTAAGTGATTGTCACACTAATGTGTATGTATATATATATATACACATATATGTGTGTATATATGTATACATACATATACTTATATACATACATATATGTACATATATACACACACACGTGTGTGTGTGTGTGTGTTTCTCCACCCTTTCCTGTCTCCTTGAACTATTGAGATGATAGGAAAAAGCTTTAGGCATGCCAAAATGGAGATATATTTGTGCCTTTCAAGTGACAGTTTTGAGGATCACTGGCCCACTGATGCTTCTATCTCTTTAAATTCTTGATTCAGACCAACTACCTAGAATGAACCTTTTCCAGGAGAGACTGTTACCCAGTGGACGAGGAGATGGTAAGGCATAAGTAGGTGCAGCTGGCATGGTCTGACAAGCGTGTACCGTAAAATGAAATCATCGCACCAGAAGATTCGAGGTGATAAAGTAAAATATGGAAATTTGAACAAAAAAGCAAAGCAACTCATTGGAGAATTAAAGGCAAGACTAAAAGTCTGGAATAAAGGGGTAATCGTGCTTCATTTTATGGCAGTGGTTTGTGGTTTTATTGATTGGTTGACTGATTTGTCATTTGTTGAATGCCTATGTGACAGATTCCCTAACAAGGGCATCTGTGTGTGTTATCTTGATGAACTGTAATTGAGAACTGTAGTCTTGATTCCTTAAGTGTATAGACTTGTCTTGTTTACTTTTAATTTTTTTCACCTCCAACATAACCAAGTAGTGATTATAAGGCATCCCTGTAAACCTTTTAAGCTGCTTTTCTATGTTTAAGGACATTCCTATCTTATGAGTTTGCTTCTTTCCAAGGTGAAAGCCAGAAACTCACCTTCCAACTTTCCTTGCTCTGGGTCAGACACAATGGTGTGAGATGTCCATGTGGAAACTAGTGTAATGGATATCCAGGTGCTAGGCAGTGACAGGCACGTGGTCCATTGCTGTGCAGAAGTAGCAGTGTTGGCAGAGGTTCTAGTGGTGCCCCCAGCATCAGAGGAACAATCCATGTTATCTCTGCCCAGAAGTGGCAGTGGTTGTGCCACTTCTGAAGCAGTCCTTTGTTGTAATTTGAAAGTTATTCCTGAATTTGTAGTCTTCAGTCTTACTTCAGTCTTTCCTTAAATTCCTAGAGCTTTTGTGATCAAACCAGTTGAAATAATCTCATAACTGATTCAATGTCATACTCACGTTTCAAATTTCAAAATGATAGCCTGAGAACTATTTGAAATATCTTCCTTCCACATCAAACACCTGAGAATGATAGAATTTTTTTAAAAAAATAATAAAATATTTATTTTAGAAACAATAAATAAATAAGAAAAAGTAGCTTTTAAAAATTAGAGAAAATGGGCTGGGCGCAGTGGCTCACACCTGTAATCTCAGCACTTTGGGAGGCTGGGGTGGGTGGATCACCTGAGGTCAGGAGTTCAAGACCAGCCTGGCCAACATGGCGAAACCCCGTCTCTACTAAAAATACAAAAATTAGCCAGTCATGGTGGCAAGTGCCTGTAATCCCAACTACTTGGGAGGCTGAGGCAGGAGAATCGCTTGAACCTAGGAGGCAGAGGTTGCAGTGAGCCAAGATTGAGCTATTGCTCTCCAGCCTGGGTGACAGAGTGAAACTCCGTCTCAAAAAAAGAGAGAGAGAGAAAACATTTCCTGGACCATAAGCTGCAAACAATTCCTAAAAGAAGGGAAGGCTGTGGGTCAGTCAGCTATTGCTGTGTAACAAACCTTAAAAATATCAGTGGCATATAGCATGCAAATTTATTTTTCATTCATGAGTCTTAAGTGATATGTGTCACACTAATGTTGAGTTTTATCAGTGAATTAATGGTCATCTCAGTAGTGACACCTGCTGGTCAGGAAGTAAACTCCATTAGTGGCTTTCCATTACACTCTGGATTAAGACCCAAATCTGTAACATTGTCTACAGGGCTCTGTGTGCACTCCCTCATCTCTCACTACTTCCGGCCTGGCTTATTCCATGGCAATTACGCTGCCTTCATTTAGCCCCTCAAATCAACTGGAATATTTCTAGACTTGAAAACTTTGCACAAGCTGTTCCTTCTATTCAGAGCACTAACATCACTCTACTTCTCCAATTTGCTTGGCAAATTCCTTTCTCTTCAGAAATCAGTTTAACCTCATCTTACCTATACCTTCCCTGTCTTTCCAAGCTAGAATAGTTTTCCTTATTATCTGCTCTTATGATGGCACCTGTTGCTTTCTGTTTGTGTCACTTAGTCACAATATAGTTTTCTATTATATGCCATACTTTGTTTAATGTCTGTTTCTCCAGTGTGGCTAGAAGATATTTGAGGGTTGGAATCATGATGTTTTTGTTCAGTGTTGTATTATGAATTATTGATCCAGTGTTGGGTTTTTGGTAGGTTTTCAAGAAATATGAATGAATGCCTGTTTAAATAAACTGATACGTCAGGGTATGCACAACTAAATTATGAATATATACCAGTGAATTTTGTGAATGTAACTTTTGTGGTTGACTGAGTAAAACATGCACCTCTGTGAAAGAAAGAACTGTAGGGAATTTGCTAGTGTTTGGTTTCACAAAAATACTGAAAGTTAGTTTGTCTATTATTCTAAGATTGGCTCTTAGGTAATCAACATGTGTCACATTAAGTTGAGCTTTACCAATGAACTAATGGTCACTCAGTAGTAACACCTGCTCTTCAGGAAGGACACTCTTCCTTCTCCCCATTAGCTATAATATTTTTATTGTCCTCCTCTTCACAGCTTCTATCAAAACTTGAAGTAGACAAGGACCTGATATGCAATGGACTGAATGTTTGTGTTACCCCAAAATTCATTCGTTAAAATCCTAACCTCTAAAGTGATGGTATTAGGAAGTGAAGACTTTGGGAGGAGAGTAGTTCCTGAAGGGAGAGCCCTCATAAATGGAATTAGTGCTCATAGAAAAGAGGCTCCTTCTACCATGTGAGGTTATAATGAGAAGACAGCTGGCTGTGAGGAAGAGAGCCCTCACCAGACACTGAATCTGCTGGAGCCTTGATCTTGGACTTCCCAGTCTCCAGAAGTATGAGAAATAAATTCCTGTTGTTTATAAGCCACCTAGTCTATAGTATTCTGTTACAGCAATCCTAATGGACCAAGATGTTTTTACAACTTGTACATATTGTTTTACAATCTTGTACATTGTACAACAATGTACAAGAAGTTTTTAGTTGCCTACCTAACCATCCTATGCTCTTTCTTGTTAATTAGAACCAATTTTGTTCAGACCTATCAACTTCAAGTCCAAGGATTTTATAAGAGATGAGTCCAGCCCTAGTCCTAGGTATGAGTCTTGATTAGTTTCAACCAACTATGATGATTATGAATAGATTTTCATTAAAGAAAATTGAGAACTCCAAAAAAGTAGAAAACATACTGATATTTCACTATGCAAATGCAACCACTTTCCATATTTTCTTGAAATTCCTTCCAGTCTTTTTTCTATGCACCAGTGAATTGTTTTAGCATATAGTATTCATAACCTCATATGCTATCATACCCTACCTATTTACATATAATACATTGTGCTCCTTTTTCTAAGTCTAATTCATTCTAATTTATTTTTATTGGCTGCATATTTCTTTAAGAAATTATTTCTCAACTAACATAAAGATGTTACTGTTTGTATTAGTTTCCTAGAGCTGTGGTAACCAATTACCACAAACTGAGTGGCTTAAAACAACAGAAATTTATTCTCTCACATTTCTGGAGGCTAAAAGTCCAAAGTCAAGATGCTAGCTGGCCATACTGTCTGTGAAGGCTCTAGGGGAGAAGCTTATCCAGGCCTCTCTCATGGCTTCTGGTGTTGCAGGCAGTCCCTTGCCATGTAGATGCGTTGCTTCAATCTGTGTCTCCATCCTCATATGGCCTATCCTTGTGTGACTCTGTATGTCTTCTCTTTTTCTTATAAGAACACTAGTCATATTGGATTAGGGTGGATCTTAACTTGAACACATCTGCAAAGACCCAATTTCCAAATAAGGTACTATTCAAAGGTGCTGGGAATTAGGACTTCAACATACCTTTTTGGAGGATATAATTCAATTCGTTATACCATTCGTCTGAAGTTGAAGAATTATTACAATTTTTTCTATTATATGTACCACAGCATTTAACATCTTCATTCAGTGTTTTCTACATCTAGAATTATTTACTTAGAATAGATTTCCCAGAGAGGAATTCCTGGGTAAAAGTATGAAAATGAGCATTTTAAAGTTCTTCTACAAATTGCTAGGCTCCTTTCCAAAATTACCAATTGCTAATTGCCATTAGCAATACACAAGGGTGTCTCTTTCACCTCATTCTTGTGAGTATTTGGATTTTTTAGTTTAAAAAATACACACACATAAAATGATCAGGAAAAAATAGTATCTCGTAATGTGCATTGAGATCAAACACTTTCCCATATTTGATTTGCTAATTGCATTTCCCTTTTTGGTGAATTTTCTGTTTCTTTCCTTTGTTGACTTACCTATAGGAGTCTTCATGCTTTTCTTTTCTTTTTTTTTGAAGCCTAGTTCATATAATGACCTACTTTTTTGATTGTCCCAGCCTAAAGAACTTGCCTTTTCTGCACTTTTTTTTATGTTTAATTTTTTTAAATTGTACTTTAAGTTCTAGGGTACGTGTGCACAATGTGCAGGTTTGCTACATATGTTTACATGTGCCATGTTGGTGTGCTGCACCCATTAACTCGTCATTTACATTAGGTGTATCTCCTAATGCTTTCCCTCCCACCTCCCCTCACCCCATGACAGGCCCCGGTGTGTGATATTCCCCTTTCTGTGTCCAAGTGTTCTCATTGTTCAATTCCCACCTATGAGTGAGAACATGCAGTGCTTGGTTTTTTGTTTTTGCGATAGTTTGCTGAAGATGATGGTTTCCAGCTTCCATGGATGAAGCTGGAAACCGTCTTCATGGTTTTCTTATCTGTTTTTCAAATGTGTTGCATTATTTTTCCTAGTCTGCTGGTTCTCATTTTTTTTTTGTTGTTTTCGTCCTGCAAAAATTCTAATTGGTATGTTCTTGCCTGCAAGAGTGATTTTGAAAATGTAAACAAGTATAGTGCAAACACAAATCCGTCAAAATGGGTGCTGTCTGTGCACTGTACTAGGATCTGTCTGCCCATCTTTCCTTTTATGAATTATTTTATTATTCTTAAAAACAGAAAGTCTTTCTCCCTTCAAAAAAGAGAATTAAATTGAATATTCTTTTAATTTTTGTTTATATACATTATATTTTTAATTAATCAGGATATCTTTTAGTATGTGGAATAAGGTAATTATTTAAATATATTGTGTTCCAAATTGTTAGCTGATTGATCCAACCTCATTTATTAAATAACTCGAGCTTTTCTGGGAATTGACTTGTGATGAATTCCTTATCATATATTAGAATATGATAGATAATAGGATCATTTTCTGGGCTGTTGTCCCTGGTGCTATTTTTGCACATATGTCACATTATTTAAATCTTTATAGCTTTATAAAATGCAGTGTACTTCCCCTTTAACATTTTCTTCAATATTCGGTTTCTTTTTATAGGTGAATCTTAGAATCATTTTGTCAAAGTCAGGTTGGGATTTTTGTTAAGATTGTAGCAAGCCACACATTAATTTAAGAAGAATTTATACTTTAGCAATATCCAGCCTCACCATATGGTATCTCTCTCTCCTTCTATGCAAGACTTCTTTTATATCTTTTCGTAAAGTCTTTCAGCTTTCTATGTAGGTCACGCAGTTTTCATTAGAATTGTCTCATGATATATTATCATTTTTGTTGTTGCTGGAAATAGGAATTTTTAAATTATTTTATACATTATTTTTGGTACTCTTTATTTGTTTATCTTGCATTCAAATTGCTAAGTTACATTAAATTTTGATACTTTATACCACATGCCTTTGGAGCTTTTAGACTGATAAGTACATGATCTATAAGGAATAATATTTTCTATTTAAAATATTTTTTGGTCAGAATTTCTCAAACAGTGTAAAATATGATGATAAAAAGAATTTGCTTTTTTGGCTCTTGATTTTGATATGAAGTGACTGCCAACTATCAGTGTGAAATACATTTTCTTTTTCTGGTAAGTAGCTCCTCTTATATTCCTACTTGAATTTTAAAAACAGACTGGTCATAAATTTTATAAAGTGCCTTTGCACCATTTTGATATAATTTTTGTTGGCTTTGACCTATTGCCGTGATATGTGATAATAATAGCTTTTTATTTGCAAACCATTATTAAAATCCTACATTATATCCTGTATGACCCTGGTCCTGGCAGACTTAAAAAATATATAGTTGAATTACACTTAATATTTCACTTTATTAATTATTAACAATGGGTTTTAAAATCATTAATTGCTAATAAAACAGCAACGATAATTTGTTTTTGTCACATAGACCTTACCTCATAAAAAGAAAAGAATTTTACAACCTAGAGACTTGGTCTAGTACCAGAACCTGGGGCTACTCCAAGATAAAGATATTGTTCATTTACTTATTCATCCATATGGGCATTGTTTGTCTTTCCACTGTAAATTCTCAAACATTTTCTGAGCAGCCCCTGTGCTGGGAAGAGGTAGAATTTCCAAGGTCAGTCCCTGCGGTCAAGAAGACTTAAGTTTATATCCTGACTCTTGTTATTTATTTACTGGCTATGTGAACTTGGGCAAGTTTTCTAACTCTGAAGTCTCAAATTTCCTCACTGGCAAAATAGGCATAGTATATAGCACCTGCTTGATAGTTTATATACAAATAGTGTCTATCAAGCTCTTAACGGCGTCTGCATGCCGATACTCAATCCATGTTATGATGTTATTACTACGTCCCGGGATATAAAGATGGATAGGTCTGTGCCCTGTGCTGGACAGCAGGGGTTATATAGTAACTGCATATCATCTGGTCCTTCTCAAGCGTCCACTAAAGGTTTGAGGGTTTTCCCGACTTGTATATTATTCAGGGTCCCTGGGATTCTAGCCCATTTCCCTTCATCGTTCTGAAATCCACACATACACTCCTCATCATCCAATCTTCATTTCTACCCCTATATAAGGGATAAGAACTGCTGGATAAGAACTAGAACAGTTCAACAATTACAGGAGAAACATAAGCCACATAACCAAGTCACCTGTGCCATAATAACTGATGAATTCTTGGTGGGGTAAGACGAGTTGAATATAGTAACGGCGGGTTTCTGTTAAAGCTAGCATCAGTCCATAACCTTGAGAACTCGGACTTCCAAGGGTGGCCTCTCTTTGCTTTGTCAGCATGAATCAGTAGCCTCAGCTGCAGAAAAGATTCAGAACATGCAGATGGCTTCACTACCCCAGTGCTGTCCTGATCTCTCCTGACACAAGCTAAGTGTCAGAGGTCTTGGCCTTGATTGCCTTTTAACAACTGGCCTCTGGATTGAACATGCTTCATCTGTATCATCAAGGTTGGCCGCCTGTTACTTTCCTGGTGATTGTGATGATTTATTTTATTTTGCAAAAATGATTTATTTTCTTGGTCTCCCCTCCTTTGAAGAAACTTAGCTAACTTGTCTTGTCTCTTTGCCCTCTGCCCCGGACTCTACAGTAAGTCTCATTTCAGAACACTGCCCCTCCTTCCCATGGGTAATGGGGTTTCTGCAAAGGAAGCCTCTTTGAACCTTTTGGGCTGCTGAATCGTGTCAGCCTGGAGACAAGAAGTTTGTTATGCTCATTGTGTCAGCTGCAGACATAATTCATGAAACCATCCCAGACACAGGATGTCACCAAGTGATGCTTCAATTTTACAGTCTCCCAGAGCTCCTGTTGGCAAACAGTGTTGGATGAAAGCTGGGAGGTTTTCAAAGGCCATGGGCCTTCTTTTCCTGCCCCTTGGTTCCCCTTTACTTTGCCTCCTCCATCTTTGCCTTTCTGTATGGGTCATGCTGTGTGCCCCTAAGATTTTTAAAGCCAATTAGCAGGTTAGAGACTGTCGAGGCATATTGACCTGTGAGATCACAGTATTTACTGTCACCGTAATTTCTCATAATATTGAAGCTTATACTGGCCCTCTCCATGGCTTTGTTCAAAGCCTGGTGGGGAGAAGGCTGTTTAGATACTGTAATCAGAATTCTTGAGCTGAACCGTTTTTTAATTACAGCTTTGATAGGGAGCTGTGCAGTTTGGGAAAGGAGTCCAGCTGGGAGTTAGCATCTCTTTGATCACAAGGCTGAACGATTCACTTTGATCACGGAGACAACAGTTCATAAAAGAGCCTGGTCTCTTTCTGAAATTTGCAGGTAAACAGAGGGATCACTTGAATGATCCCTCTGTGGAATGAGCAATTCAGATCCAAGACAATGGTCTTCTTTGAACTGGATTTAGAGGCCTATTGATTAGCATAGCAAAGGGGATTGATGGGTGAAAAAAGGTGGCTTTAGTCCCTAGACAGGTGCATCAAGAGGTCACTGGCTAGGTACTCTGTGGTTGGGCTCCCAGGTTTGGGATGAATCCCTCTTTCGGGACTGCATGTTGTTCAGGTAAATCTGTATACAAATAAACATTGCAGGTAACCTCAGAGGGAAAACCTTGATCTAAAGAAGGTGGTTCTAACAATAGGAAGCTAGCAGGCTTTGGAGTCAGGGAACCCCGAGATAAGATCCTTACCTCTCCATTTGTTTTTTTAATATGCAGGAAGAGGATCTAGATGCCTAAGCCCTTCTGTGCCTAAAGTCTTTTATCTGTACAAATTGGACATATTTAGGTTGGTGCAAAAGTCGTTGGGCTTCAAGGGTTATTTTAAAGGTTTAATGATGTGCATTTTGAGAAAGAAGGCCTGCTAGGTGCCAGACATGTTGGGAAAGAAAAAAATACCAAGGTGTCCTAAAACTACTGAAAAATTGTCCTGCCTAGGCTACTGAAAGGAAGCTATACTGGATTTTCCTGAGCAAATTGTTTTAAAGTGCTATTTGATTTATATTCTAATGGGATTTGTTTGAACATTTTGTATATAAGAAGTTCCATTTGGCTAAATTATAGTGCTTGAGTTTTGGGGGGTTATGGGGGTACTGCCACATGCCACATGGGGGAACCATATAACCACAGTTGCTGAGTTTTAGGAATATTAGTTGGGCAGGGATTATTTAGAATTTAGTTGTGAATGTGACGTGTGTGATTTGGTTGGTTCCTCTTGTATTACCCCATATCACTGATCACTTGCCATCTGGTTGGGACATACAGATAAATCACCAAGATCTGACAGTCACTGCAAAAAGACATTGGCCCTGAATAAATAAGCCAGTCGCTTTGAACAGAAAACAAAAGGCCCAGGGTTGTCGATGCCTAAGACTTGGCTCCTAGGAAGGAAACACACCATCTACAGAATGGCTCCATCAGACTTTCTTTCCCATTCCTCTCCTGTAGCTGCCTACAGCTCTGCTATTGGCTACTTGCATTTCTGTGTCATGGCCAGCACTCTTTTATGGGGAGCAAGTGGGGTTGGAGAAGGGAGGGAACGGTGGCTTTGTGTGGAGGGTCCACCTAAGAATTCCTGCTATGTCTTTTTTTTTTTTTTTTTTTTTTGAGACGGAGTCTCGCTCAGTTGCCCAGGCTGGAGTGCGGTGGTGTGTTCTTGGCTCACTGCAAGCTCCGCCTCCCAGATTCACGCCATTCTCCTGCCTCAGCCTCCCAAGTAGCTGGGACTACAGGCGCCCGCCACCACGCCCGGCTAATTTTTTTTGTATTTTTAGTAGAGACGGGGTTTCACCATGTTAGCCAGGATGGTCTCGATCTCCTGACCTCGTGATCCACCTGCCTCGGCCTCCCAAAGTGCTGGGATTACAGGCGTGAGCCACCGTGCCCGGCCAATTCCTGCTATGTCTTAATCAAGGGATGCCGGGAAAGTGAGGTATGGGACCTCCTAGTCATTAAAAAGACCAGGTCGGCAACACTACTTCATGCCATTTTAATGAGCCATTGTTGAACACCTACTGTGTTGTTTTGCTTTGGCTTCCATGACAAAGTGCCTTAAACAGGCTTAAACAACAGGGTGGCTTAAACAACAGAAATGTATTTGCTCACAGTTCTGGAGGCTAGAAATTCAAAATTTTAGGTGTCAACAGGCTTGGTTTCTTCTTCTTCTTTTTTTTTTTTTTTTGAGATGGAGTCTCACTCTGTCACCCAGGCTGAGTGCAGTGGCACGATCTCAGCCCACTGAAACCTCCATCTCCTGGGTTCAAGCGATTCTCCTACCTCAACCTCCCAACTACATGGGATTACAGGTGTGTGCCACTACACCTGGCTAATTTTTCCAGTTTTAATAGGGTTTCGCCACGTTGGCCAGGCTGGTCTCAAATTCCTGACCTCAAGTGATCCTCCCACCTCTGACTCTCAAAGTGCTGGGGTTACAGGTGTGAGCCACTGTTTTCTTCTAAGGCCTTTCTCCTTGATTTGATGATGGCCCCTTTCCTGCTGTGTCTTCATCTGGTTCTTCCTTTGTGTGTCCACAGGTCTGTGTACAAATTTCGCTTCTTATAAGGACACCAGTGATACTGAATTTGGGTCCATCCTAATGACCTCATTGTACTGTAATTATCTTTTTGAAGATTCTGTCTCCAAATACAGACACATTCTGAGGCACCAGAGGTTACGACTTCCAACATACGAACTTTGGATGAAAACGATTCAGCCCGAAGCACCTGGTCTCCATCCCCATCCCTAGGAATCCTTTTCTCTGTTTCCTAGTAACTCTGTGCCTCAGTGTCTTCATCTGTGAAATGGCATCGATAGAAATATTTTAAGGAATACATGAGTTGAGCTCACGAAGCAGTACCTGACACAGAGTAAACGTTCAGTAGGTATTAGCTATTATGGTGGCAATCATTTCAACTTTCTGACAAGTGCCCTTGAAATTTCCTTTTCGTCTCCCTACACCAGGATTGTTTTCTTTTTTCTGTCTTTTTCTTTTGAGACAGAGTCTTACTCTGTTACTCAGGCTGGAGTGCAGTACCACCTTTGCCTCCCAGGTTCAAGCGATTCTCCCGCCTCAGCCTCCCGAGTAGCTGGGATTACAGGCACCCGCCCCCATGCCCAGCTAATTTTTGTAGTTTTAGTAGAGACAGGGTTTTGCCATGTTGGCCAGGCTGGTCTCGAACTCCTGACCTCAGGTGATCTAGCTGACTTGGCCTCCCAAAGTGCTGGAATTACAGTTGTGAGCCTCTGTGCCCGGTCCCTACACCAGGATTGTTAAAGTGTGATCAGGTGACCACCAGCATGAAAATTCTCAATGGTGGGATGAATCTGAGATGGCCTCAGGTCTAAGAAGCCCAGCCCTGGGGTGGGTGCGGCAGTTTCTTAAGACAACAACCTCCTGAGAACAGGGACTATGTCTGAGACATCCGTGAATCCTGGACCTCTCCCACTTGGGGCTTGGAGCCCGTGTTCATCCAGTGCTTACTGCACCAGCTGACAGCTGGACGTTTTAGATGGGAGAGGAGGGAGACATCATCCAGGGTACGGTATGATGAAACAAAATACAAGGTACAAATGACGTTTTGGACATTTCCTAAATGAAGAAGCTGAGGAGGAGAGTGCTGTCAGCTTGACCAATTTATAGTTTTGAATTTGTGCCCAGAAGCTGTTTTCAGAGAGGATATTTTTAGAAATATGAAAATAAATACAATTAAATTAGAGAGATATGTCAAGTATTTTTTTTCTTGTTTTAAGACTGTCCTCTGACCATTACAGCTTAGGTAGTGACAACTCTTTGAATAACAGTGCCGTATTTTCTAATTAAACAATCAAGGCTCTCCAGTCATTACATTAACGAAGATAAGGGTCAAAAGGCTAGAACCTAGCAGGAAAGGAATTTTAAATGGACAGAAATGGCAATAAAAATGGAAAAATTTTTTCTGACTTTTTTCTGTATTTTATTAACACTTTGTGGCCTGAATATATTTAAATAGCTCCTTGCCACTTAATGTAAAAGTCAGCCTTTGGAGATGAGAATACACACACACACACACACACACACACACACACACACACACACACACACTTTAGAATCAGGCAGACCTAGGGTTGCACCCTGGCTTACTAGCTGTATGGCCTCAAGAAGGTTCCTTAACCTCTCAGAATCTCAGTTTGCTCTACTGCAGAATGGGGAGATTTAATACCAACACCATAGTTTGGCTGTGGGAATTAAATTAAATAATACATATAAAATGAATATGCATTTGACCCATCATAGTCAAGAGGTAGGGAATGTTGCTTAAATTATTTTTTTTCCTGTGTCCATGTGTTCTCATTGTTCAGTTCCCACCTATGAGTGAGAACATGCAGTGTTTGGTTTTTTGTCCTTGTGATAGTTTGCTGAGAATGATGGTTTCCAGCTTCATCCATGTCCGTACAAAGGACGTGAACTCATCATTTTTTATGGCTGCATAGTATTCCATGGTGTATATGTGCCACATTTTCTTAATCCAGTCTATCATTGTTGGACATGGGTGCAGCACACCAACGTGGCACATGTATACTTATGTAACAAACCTGCACGTTGTGCACATGTACCCTAAAACTTAAAGTATAATAATAATTTTAAAAAATTATTTTTTTCTCAACCAAATCAAATGTGGCTCAACTGGCAGATACTAGAGTTGGCTAAAAAAAACAAAAAAAAATTCTAACTTCTTAGTGACTCCTTCTTAGGGTTGTTACAAGAGTTGGAAGATATTTATAAGGGGTTTCCAAGGCTGAGGACACCATTCTGAGGTTTTGCCTTGCCTAGGACCACATGGTGCAGAGACCTGCTGGTAGCATCTGCTTCCCTCTTTTGGGTACACTTAGCCACACTGCTATTTGCCTCAGCTCCCAAAGATCTGGAAATAACAGCAAAATCTCAGGCAACTATGCAGGTCAGGTCAATCTGAGATTTAGATACTATTAATGACAACATCTGGAATTTGCAGGCATACTTTATAGATATTGCACGTTCAGTTTGTCTCAAACTACAATAACATGAATATCATAATAAAGTAAGTCATACAAATGTTTTATTTCCCAGTGCATATAAAAGTCATGTTTCCACTATACTGTAGTCTACTGAGTGTGAGACAGCAGTATGTTAACAGAAACAATGTACATACCTTAATTTTAAAATACTTAATAGCTAAAAAAAAATGCTGTCTTCTTCAGTGAGTCATAATCTTTTTGCTGATAGAGGATCTTGCCTCAGTGTTGGTGACTGCTGACTGATCTTAGTGGTGATTGTTAAAGGCTGGGGTAGCTGTGACAATTTCTTAAGACAACAATGATGTTTGCCACATCGATTGACTCTTCCTTTCACAAAAGATTTCTATGTAGCATATGAGACTGTTTGATAGCATTTTACCCACAATATAACTTCTTTCACAATTGGAGACAATCCTTTCAAATCTTGCTGCTGCTTTCTCAAGTAAGTTCATCTCATATTGTAAATCATTTGTTGTCATTTTAACAATGTTCACAGCGCCTTCACCAGTAGTACATTCCATTGTAGGGAACCACTGTCTTTGCTCATCCATAAGAAGCAACTCCTCATCTGTGAAAGTTTTATCACAAGATCACAGAAATTCAGCACACCTTCAGGCTCCGCTTCTCATTCTAGTTCTCGTGCTATTTTCACCACATCTGTAGTGATTTCCTCCAAGAAGTCTTGAACTCCTCAAAGTCATCCATGAGGATTGGAATAAACTTCTTCCAAATTCCTGTTAATGTTGTTATTTTGACTCTTCCCATGAATCAAAAATGTTCTTAATGATGTTTAAAATGATGAATCCTTTCCAGAAGGTTTTCAATTGACCTTGCCAAGATCCAGCAAAGGGATCACAATCTATGGCAGCTACAGCCTTACCAAAAGTATTTCCTAAGTAATAAGACTTGAAAGTTAAGATTACTCATTGATCCATGAGCTGCAGAATGGATGCTGTGTTAGCAGGCATGAAAACAACATTAATTTCCTTGTACATCTCCATCAGGGCTCTTGGGTAATGAGGCACATTGTCAATGAGTAGTAATATTTTGAAAGGAACCTATTTTTCTGAGCAGTAGGTCTCAGTAGTGGGCTTAAAATATTCAATTAACCATGATGTAAATGGATGTGCTGTCATCCAGGGTTTGTTGTTCCATTTCTGGAGCATAGGCAGAGTAGATTTAGCATCATTCTTAAGGTTGCTAGGATTTTCAGAATGGTAAATGAGCATTGGCTTCAACTTAAAGTCACCAGCTGTATCAGCCCCTAACAAGAGCGTCAACCTGTCCTTTGAAACTTTGAAGCCAGACATTGACTTCTTTCTTACTGTGAAAGACCTATATGGCATCTTCTTCCAATAGAAGGCTGTTTCACCTAGATTGAAAATATGTTGCTTAGTGTAGCTGACTTTATCAATGATCTTAGCTAGGATAACTTGCTACAACCTCTCCATCAGCACTTGCTGCTTCACCTTGCACTTTTATGTTATGAAGACGGCTTATTTTCTTAAACCTCATGATCCTCCTTCTGCAGGCTTCCAACTTTTCTTCAGCTTCCTCACTTCTCTCAGTCTTCATGGAATTGAAGAGAATTAGGGGTTCTGGATTACACTTTAACTTCAGGAAATGTTGTAGCTGGTTTGATCTTCTATCCAGACCCTTAATACTTTTTCCATATCAATATTAAGACTCTTTTGCTTTATTAGTCATGGGTTCACTGGAGTAACACTTTTAATTTCCTTCAAGAACTTTTGCTTTGCATTCACAACTTGGCTAATGGTTTGGCACAGGAGGTCTCGCTTTTGGTCTTTCTTAGCTTTTGACATGCCTTCCTCACTGAGCTAAATCATTTCCAGGTTTTGCTTTAAAGGGAGACATGTACGATTCTTCCTTTTACTTGAACACTTAAGAACCACTGAGATATTATTAATTGGCCTAACATCAATATTGTTGTGTATTAGAGAATAGGGAGGCCCCAGGAGAAGGAGAGAGACAAGGGAATGGCCAGTCCATGGATTAGTCAAAAAACACAAAATATTTATCAATTAAATTTGCTGTCTTATATGAGCACAGTTTCTGGTGACCTCAAACAATTACAATAGTAATATTAAAGGTCACTGATTACAGATCACCATACCAGAGATAATAATGAAGTTTGAAATATTGTGAAAATTAGCAAAATGTGATATAGAGACACTAACTGAGCACATGCTGTTGGAAAAATGATGTCAACAGATTTGTTCAATGCAGGGTTGTCCCAAACCTTCAATTAGTAAAAAAAAATACACTAAAGCTGCAAAGCACAATAAAGGTATGCCTGTATTAAACATACTTCAGTACAAAAGAGTGATGGTGTGTTTGTGTGTGTGTAGTTCAGCTATCATCCACATGCTACACACATTCTAATGAGGAGAGCACAATTCCAATGTGCTTCATTAACACCAAACAGGAAGCCCACATTCTGAAGGACACAGGACAAAGGTGAAGCAGACATTCATATTTGCTATCCATATTGGATCAATAACTCAGGCTTTCTTGAATAACCTAGTGAATGTCTGAAATAGTTTTTCAGTGATGAAATTGGCCTGTTAACTAGGATGATGCCAATTAGAAATGGACCCTCTGTGGATAGTGACATTAAAGGTATATGGCTGACTAGAATATTTTGGAGTCACTTTCCACAATGGCATGATTCCTGCAAGGCCTCAGGCCTGTGCTCCCAGCCATGATGCCCTAGGCTAGCATTTGCTTACTCTCTGACCTTGTTTGTGTCACCTTCTTTGCACCTCTCTTCCCTCCCTCCGTCCCTCCCTCCCTCCCTCCTTCCTTCCTCTCTCCCTCCCTCCCCTCCCCTTCTCTCCCTTCCCCTCTCCTCTCCTTCCCTCCCCTCCCCCTTCTTCCCTTCTTTGTCTTGCTCTGTCATCCAGGCTGGAGAGCAGTGGCACCATCTTTGCTCACTGCAGCCTCCACCTCCCAGGTTCAAGTGATTCTCCTGCTTAGCCTCCTGAGTATCTGGGACTACAGGTGTGTGCCACCACACCTGCCTAACTTTTTTTTTTTTTTAATGGAGATGGGGTTTCACCATGTCAGCCAAGCTGGTCTCAAACTCCTGACCTCATGTGATCCCCCAACCTTGGCTTCCCAAAGTGTCGGGATTATAGGTATGAGCCACTGCACCCAGCAAACACCTCTTTTTCTTAAGAGCTAGCTCAGATCTTCCTCAGGGAACAATCATGCTTCTGACTATTTCATTGTTCTGCCTTTGCATGCACAGCTCATGGGTATGGAATGTGTTAGACATGAGCATGTCAAGCATACAACTATTATTCTTGAAACGGGAGAGTTCCCTGAACCGCTCTCAGGACTTGTGACAGGAGTGTGGCTCATTTACTCAGCCACTGTGCACTCAAATCCCTTACGGGAAGGGGAGCATGCAGACAGGCAGGTGCAGGAGCCAAGGCAAGTGCTTTTGGGCTCTGGCCCCATGGTAGCATCTAGGAGTGTGTTACAATTAATGCCCTTTTAGCAGTTGCCATCTGTGGAGGGCTGAATGTTAAACCAGCTCAGTGGAAGGTCAGGGTGACAGCTTTTTACACTCTGCCCTCTTGGTACCTGGGTCCTTGTCCAGCATCCAGGAAGAACCAGGTCACATGGACTTGAAGGATGGTGAATTTGGGGATTTTATTGAGTGATGAAGGTGACTCTCAGTGGGATGGGGAGCTGGAGAGGAGATGGAGTGGGAAGATGATCTTCCCCTGGAGTTCAGCCATCCTGCAGCTGATCTCTCCAATTGCCCCCAACTAAACTCCTCTCCATGTTCAGATTCTTCTGTTCTCTCCTTCTTTGCCATGTTGCTCTGCCATTCTGCCACTCTGCTGCTCTTCTGCTCTTCTGTTCCTCTGCTCATCTATTCTTGAGCCTGGGATTTATATGGGTACAGGATAGTGGGGTGTGGCAGCCCAAAAGGAAACACTTGGGCACAAAAACAGGAAGGCCTGTTCCATTTAGGGCTTCAGGTCTCTAGGCTTGAGGGTGGTGCCTTTGCCAGGGAACCACCCTCTTCTATCCAGTGTTTCCCTGCCTCCTGTCCCTATCACTCTCACCTCCTTTGCCTCCTGTTGCTGGACTAACAGGTGGAGCGACTACTGGGTCTCTCTGTGTTCTTTCTCCATGGGTCTCCTTAGCTGCTGAGTAGTGTGGAGAGTTTGCTGTTCATCCCAACCGTAAGTTATGGCAGGACTGCCTCCTGTTGGCCCAGGCCATGGGGTATGGGCTCTGGTTCAACCTTTGATGTGCCCCTGTACTCTGTGAGTTCAGGGCTCATTTTTGACTCAGAATCTAGCTGGTCCATAACACTCCCTTCTTCCTCAGGATGAGATCTTTTTTCTTTGCTCATCCTACTCATTCTCTCACCTCCTCACACAGTCTGTAGGCAGGGGTTAGGAAGGATTTTTCATATGAGTTGAGTTCCTGGAAAAATACCCTTGGAGGCTCTACTTGTTTCTATTCTCTTTCTATTATCATCTATCCGTCTACCATCCACCTGTCCATAGTCATGGCAAACATTTACTGGACATCAATTGGATACCCCGTTTTTGCTAGTGAAAGGGAAGAATAATACTTTTTAAATTCAGCACTCATAGTTTCTCAGATTGAATGGACCCCTGCAACAAAAGACAGATGAACAAGAGAAAAACAGGCACAAATTAACATGGATATTTCATGTGTACATGAGAGACACCCAGGGAATGAGTAATTCTCCAAGAGGTAGCTTTGAATTCCAAGTCGTATAGCATCTTCAATTAAAAGAACAGTACATTTTTAGAGAAATGAGAAGACAAAGGAAAGGACTGTGAGTCTCTCAGGGCAGCAACTTGTAGGAAGGCAAATACATAGCAGAGAAAGGTGAGTTAGTAGAGCTTGTTCATATAGATTTCTTTGGTGCCATCTCCAGATGACAGGGTCTAAATTTATCTTCAGTGGCACTCTCTGATAGAAGGAGGGAAAGATACCTTTTGACTTTGTAAATCTGGGTCCTGCTTTTAGGTAAATAGAGGGAAGGTGGAGAGCTTTCCTGCATTTGCTTCTTCTTAATTGCCTTTACCTAAACAATGCTTCATCTTTGGGGATGGCATATTCTGATCCCCCATACTAGTAAGACAGGATTCCTGCCCTTGACGAGCACTTTTAGTGGCTTGGGTTGGAGGGAGATATCTGTGGCTGAATAAATAGTTAAAATATTTTGTTTAAGAAATAAAAACAATTAAAACACAAAAGTTTAAAATATTCATACACATGTATAAATGTGGTAAGTGTAATTGGTGGAAGAGATATGCACAAGATATTATGGGCTCTCAGAGGAGAGTCCCTAACCTACCTGTAAGTGACCTGACCTTACTGTCTTGGGTACTGCATTAAAATTCCTGGACCCCAATGTAGTCAGAATCCTGCCTGAACTTGCTATTCCTTTTGGGCACCCTTCTGAGGAGACTCACCCCCTACCCCAGCCTGCCTGTGGAGCTCAGGGACAGCTGGGGTCAGCAGTGGGGCTTCTGGAGGCAGATGGTCTGACTTTGAAACCCAACTCCACTAGCTCCCTAGCTGTAGCACATCCAAAAACCATGTAACCTACTTTATTCCTTTTTCAGTTCTTTATCTGTGGAAGGGTGGTAATAATGGCCCCTATCTTACAGACATTGCCTTTAAGGCACCTTTCACTGGGTTTATCACCTTAGAAACTTTTTATCACATTTAGTTTTTGTTGATTATTTGTATCACATCAATGCATCACCTCCTAGCCCAGCCTCCCAACCCCTCAGGCCATATTCCAGTTCCTGGGATTCCATCGAATTCTAGACCTCTTGCCCACACACTTACTTCATGTCCCAGTCACTAAATTTCTCTGTTGGCAGATCAGAAAGGGGAGGATTTTTTACCCATTTGAAACTACTTTACTAAAAAAAAGTAAGTTTATTCCCAAAGTGCTCAATTAATAGAGTTAAAATAGATTTTAATTTATAAATATTTAACTCACAAGCAATTCTTTGTCCCATTCATTCTTTGAACAAATTTTTTTTAATGAACACTTACTATGTAGTAGGTTCTGGGAAGATAGTGGTGACTCAGATACATGGTTCCAGACCTCAAAAAGCTGAGGATATTGCAGGGTATGCAGGTAAGTAAACCAACAGCACCGCTTACCAACAGCACCACTTAATTTCTTATGTGCCCCAAAGGGAAGTGGAAGGCATATGGGAATATGAGGAGGGGCTCCGGAGTCAAATAGGGGCACCTATAAATTGTACCACTAAAAAGCTCCTTCATAGTTATTTACTCAAATAGGATTGAGTCCTCCAGAGGTTCTGTAAACTTAAGTTAGGTTTAAATGTTCTGTTTCATTAACTTCAGGACAAGGTGTAGTTCTAGGTGATGTACACTGTAGGTGTTAAACAATTCATTGTTCTCAAAATGTGGCCACGTAAGTTTCATCCTATGGATAAGTATAACACAGTATTATTTTTAACCCTAAAGTTGAAATTAGCAGGAAAGAGTTTGAAATGGGACTGCCTAAAAATAATAAAAAAACCATTATTAAGACATCCTGACAACTGCAATTAAGGGTTCAAGGAAGAGTCTCCTTTCTATTGCCCTGGTTTGGAGAATCTGCAGAAGCCGCTAAAGCTTCAGAGAGGGGATGACTCAGAGGGACAAGTGCCCACAGGCATATGCCTGCTGCATTGGAACAGAAGGAGGAAATCCAAGTGTTCTAGCTGTGGTAATGGTTTTCCTGGATTTGAAAGCAGATATCAAGATATCTCAGGAGAGTGAGTGTGTTTTCTTTGAAGATAGATTAATCAATGTATCTAGTCCCTTGATTTCTTGAGGAAGGCTGTTTATGCTCCAAAGCCCCTTTCTCTGTGTTGGTGACTCAAATCTATGAGAGATTTACACTGATTTTTCTCCATGTACAAAAGAGTTCGATTTCCTCGAGTGCCTATGGGATCTTCCATGTTTCAATTTGGAAAGTGCAATGAGCAGAGCTTCAGAAGAGAGTGTTTGCTTTCTGTGAAGCTCTCTCTCATTCACTTGGCTTAGACACTGCAGGGAGGGCTCCATGATCACAGACAAATCTTATGTGGCTGGAAATGCCAGTCTTTCTAATTAATGAGTATCACCAATTTCACCCCCTAGTTGGAGTGGGTCTGCAAATGACAGACACTGGACTGGTGGGAAGCATATGAACTGCAGAGACCTGTGCACAGTGCTGCCCCTGCCTCCAGCCATCTGTGTGGTTCTTGTCAAGTTCCTTAACCTCTCTGACTTTCTGTTTCTTTATCTGTGAAATACAGATCATGTTCGCTTTCTATGGTTTATAGTAGGAATGAAATGTTAAGAAATGGAAGGCAGGCCGGGTGCAGTGGCTCACGCCTATTATCCCAGCACTTTGGGAGGTCGAGGCAGGCAGATTACCTGAGGTCAGGAGATCGAGACCAGCCTGACCAACATGGAGAAACCCCGTCTTTACTAAAAATAAAAAATTAGCCGGGCGTGGTGGTAGGCACCTGTAATCCCAGCTACTTGGGAGGCTAAGGCAGGAGAATCTCTTGGACCCGGGAGGCGGAGGTTGTGGTGAGCCAAGATCGCACCATTACACTCCAGCCTGGGCAACAAGAGCAAAACTCTGTCTAAAAAAAAAAAAAAAAAAGAAAAAAAAAGGAAAAGAAATGGAAGGCAAATGGTACATGTCAAGTACTGGAAAACTGCTAATTTCTTTCCCTCCCTCCCTTCCCCACTGAAAGTATCAATGAAAGCAGACAAGAGCTATATTTGCATGTGTATAATCAAGTTCACTAAATTGGAGAAAAATATATAGACTGAAATTAGTGAAATGGTTGAGATAGTTTTGTGAATTAACATGATACCAATATAGAAACTGGGCAGAATTTTCCACTTTCCAGACACTAGTTAGCCTACTTGGCGAACATAAATCTTAAATGAAGGATTAGGTCAATAAACCCTTCAGCAGACAGACAATGCTATTGCTCTCAGCCCTGCCTCTCACCCTACAGACTGGAGAACAATACCTTATCTTTGTCAGATCCCTACAAATTTCCACACATTATTTCATGCAGCCAGCAAAAAGGGTTTCTGAATTAGATCGGGGAGGAATTATTGTCTCCATTTTGCAGATGATGAAACCGAGACACAGACATTTGGGTACAAGAAGAGAGGCAGCAGAAAGTAGAATTCAGGTCTCAGTTTGCTGGCTTCTTGACTCTGCTGTTATCAGGCACTTTTGCTTGACTATATAATGTCCACACTCTCTGCTTTGTCCCTCTCGACATTCTACAAATTTTGTTCACTCACTCATCTTCCTATACTTATCCATGAGTCTGACAAGGTGGGTCCCACTCCCCCACATGTAAAGCCAGTTTTGGGAAACATTGAAGGAAAGGGGATGCTAAGTAAATCTGTCTAAGTAGTGGCTCTTGGAGGCATTCAGGTGTAGTGCTTCAGGCTTCCTGTGGCTGTGTCAGCAGTGGCCCTGACCAAGAACCTAGGGGGGCACATAGAAGACTTGTGTCTTGGTCTAGGGCAAGGGTTCTTAAATTTGAATGGGCATCAGAATCACCTGGAGGGTTTACTAAAACATGGATTTCTGGGCCCCACACCCAGAATTCCTGATTTCATAGGCCTGGTGCGGGCCTGAGAATTTGCATTTCTAACAAGTTTCTAGGTGATGCTGATGCTGGTGGTCTAGAAAACACACATTGAGAACCGTTGGTCCTAAGGAGGAGTGGGTCTTAACTTTGAGGATTAACTGAGGAGTTTTAAAAATTCCAAAGCATAGCCGAGTGTGGTGTGCACCTCTGTAGTCCCAGCTACTCAGGAGGCTGAGGCAGGAGGATTGCTTGATTGAGCCCAGGAGGTTGAGGCTGCAGTAAGCCATGCCAGTGTCACTGAACTCCAGCCTGGATGACAGAGTAAGACTCTGTTCCCCCGCTCAAAAAGCAAAAAAAATTCCAAAGCCAAGGCTGCACTCCAGATCAATTTCATCTGAATCTCAGAAGGGGACCCAGGCCTAGTAGTTTCTAAAGCTTCCTAGGTGATCATGGTGTATACAGAAATAACTCTAGGGAGTTTAGAAGGCCTGAGTTTAAGGCCCGCCTGTGACTGAGGGGTGGTGGTTGGTGCAGTAGATCAGTGATTCTGAAATATGTAAGGGGAAATGCTGTCACATTGTACAACTCTTTGTGAGCAGATATCAAACTTGCACTCAGTATAGTCCTACTATTTTATCCATTGTGAAATTTCAAAAACTCAATAAGCATGTGGGATATTTACATTTGTTCCAAGAAAGCATGAACGGTGGCATGCAGGAAAGAGTGTACATAGCAGGCTTGATGTGGCTGGTTCGATGGGCTTGCTTTGCAGTAGACCATTGGCTGGCCTCTGGGAACCTGGCTTTGGAGTATTCCCTATGTTATTAACTGATAAGACTGTTTTGTGTGCCTAGGGCACTGTACCAGCTTGCTAGACTTTGTATTCTGCTTTCTTTAGTGATCAGATGCCTGGGTGACCAGCCCCCCCGTGAAAACCTTGGACACTGGGTCTTAAGTGTGCTTTGTTAGGCAGAAACACTTCACATACATTGCTGCATTTCATTGCTGGAGGAAGGAGCACATTCTATATGATTGTCCCCTTGAGAGAGAGAACACATAAAGCACACTAAAGCAAGGATGCAGGTACAACTGCCTCCAAGTCCCATGAGTCCTTGCAGCCAAGTCACCAAATGGGTGGGTGTTTGTGAAATGTCCAAAATAGATGGGTGAAGTTTTTGTGTAAAATTAGAGATAACTTTTTGTATGGAATGTAGACAAAAATAAGATTTCAGGGGCCTCTAAATTTATTATGCTAAGGAAGAATTAAGCCCTGGAGATTGAGTCACAGAGCAGTTTTGCAATTCTGTGTCTTAGATGATAGATTAACTCACTTCTTCATTGTTCTTATTCTGTAACTGACTAGGGGAGACCAGAGACCAGGCCCTCCCCATTCCGGTCAGTGATCTTTGTTATAGATTAACTGCCTCCTTTATTGTCCCATTCCTAACTCCGACTAGACACTGCAAAAGACCCCATGACTGCTACACCTTCAGTGTGAAATGTTACATATACATTTCCTGAAAGAAAAAAGACTACTTAAACTAATTAGATCATTGTAACTATACATTAAGCCTTATATAGGAAGATGTTAAACTTTGTCTACATAAACAATCTCAAACTTCTACCCTTTGAAACACCGACTTCCATTTTTTGGAATTTGCCTTTCCTGGGTGGCTATCCTTAAACAATTGCGCTTGAATAAACTCTCTTTAAACTAGATTCTGACCCTTTTGATTATTTTAAGTTGATATAAACATATACTGAGGAGACTTTATATGTAGCCATGCATGTTTAAAGATCTTCTGTATGTGAAATAGAATCCAGTTAACAGAATTAGAAAGAGGATATTAAGCAAATTTGACAGTCCTAAAATCACAAGAAGAATGAAGATAGAACCTGAAAACGTTTGCGCAGACAGTGGAGAATAACATCATCTGCGGGGAGACTCAGTGATGGATAGATGGCTTTACTGAACCTGGGAACTCGTACCTCCTGCTGGCGTGGCCATGAACACAGTGGATCAACTAAAAGCTCCTGAATTCTTATTGCTATCCTATGCTGTTTCTCACCATTCCTGCATCTATATGTGATCGCAGAGCCTGCTTTATAACTCATCAGCTACCATAGCAGCTGACTTTTTCTGCCACACTCTCAAGAGTCAACAAAGAGAGGCCAAGCATTCTCCCCCACTCCCCACTGAGAGAGTAGGATTGAAGGAGAGAGTGTGAACAAAGGGTCTCAGAAGGTTGAGAACCACTGAACTAACATTCTCTAAGGATCATGATGACCCTGAGATTCTATGATTCTGAGTCCAAGCATTCTGAGTCTTGGTTCCACATCTGTAAGATGGACACACCCCTGTTGACTCACAGCATTGTTGGGAAGATTGGCAGAAAGTTCTAAAGAATAATGGTGGCCGGGCACGGTGGCTCACGCCTGTAATCCCTGCACTTTGGGAGGCTGAGGAGGGCAGATCACGAGGTCAGGAGATCGAGACCATCCTGGCTGACACGGTGAAACACCGTCTCTACTAAAAATACAAAAAATTACCTGTGCGTGGTGGCGGGCACCTGTAGTCCCAGCTACTCTGAAGGCTGAGGCAGGAGAATGGTGTGAACCTGGGAGGCAGAGCTTGCAGTGAGCTGAGATTGCACCACTGCACTCCAGCCTAGGCAACAGAGCAAGACTCCGTCTCAAAAAAAAAAAAAAAAAAAAAAAAAAAAAAGAATAACTTGTCAGAACAAGGAAGGAGGCATGGGCTCCAAATCATCCATTTTACAGAGGAGGAAAAGGAAACACAAGCCATAACTTGGCTCTTTTGTTCAGTTAAAGTCAGAGTCAGGACTAGAATGCAAGTCTCCGGACCCCTCTGTTTGGCCATTTGCATGCATGTTAAAGTTCTTTATTAACTTTTTGCTGCTAGGCAAATACAGTCAAGTGTGCTATGTTATATTGAGTGCCTACTGTGTGCTAGATGCTTTATGTATATCATCTCTTTTACTCCTTACAGAAATTAAAGATGGGAACACTCAGAGACATACAGGACTACTTAAGGTCTATATCAGTCCTGAGTTTAAAACTCAGATCTAAGTTCTCAATCATTTTCTCTCATGTAATCTTTGCTGCAGTAATAATAAAATAAATAGCATTTCCTGAGTGTTGACTATATTCCAGGCACCATAGCAAGCTCTTCATGAATTATCTTATTTAATCCCTGCAAGAATGTTAGCATGAATCGTGATCTCATCAGCTGATTTCATCCATTCCTAAGGCAGCAGAGTCTCTGTTAAATCAGTGCTGAGTGTGTGGTAAATTATTAAATCTCAGTGCCAGTCCTAGGATTCTGAGACCAAGCCAAATGCTAGTGATTAAGATTATAACTCTGATTTAGGACAGTGTTGAGGCTAAAGCCATTTGTAACTGGACAGTCAAGTCTACACTGATCAAAATCAGCCTCTGCCCCAAGTACTCTTGGAAATGATGGTTTTCATTTCATTCTCAAACTGCTAAGTTGTAAGAGTTTGGTAGTAACATTGATTTGAGTTTGAATCC
Source organism: Homo sapiens (assembly GCF_000001405.40). NCBI lineage: Eukaryota > Metazoa > Chordata > Mammalia > Primates > Hominidae > Homo > Homo sapiens. The sequence continues at coordinate 16,467,064 of NC_000004.12, forward strand.
TAGCATTGATTCTACCAGGATTCATGCAAGTTATTTAATCTTTCTGAGCCAGCTTCCTCATTTACGTAATGGGGATATATACAACAGAAACTGCCTTCTTAAATATTCAAAGTATTTAATAACTAGCCCAGCAAAGACACCAAGCTATTAGTGTGAAAACCCCATGGAAGTTCCCTGCTGAGCTGAATAACCAGAGCAGGGCAGTTCAGGGGGTCTCTGGGGAAGGTTCAGGGTAGTGCTGCTGGTCTAGCCTTTCCTCTCCGTTTGTCATGTTCTCCACAGATGGATGTGGCAGTGAACTTGGAGTGGGTGGGGAGGATTTTGGAGACTGAGACAAGAAAAAAAGAAAGCTAGGAAGTTGGTGAGAGGATCTGATATGGTTTGGCTCTGTCCCAACCCAAATCTCATCTTGAATTGTAGCTCCCATAATTCCCATGTGTTGTGGGAGGGACCTGGTGGGAGGTAATTGAATCCTGGGGGTGGTTGTTTCCCATGCCATTCTTGTAATAGTAAACAAATTTCATGAAATCTGATGGTTTTATAAAGAGGAGTTTTCCTGCACAAGCTCTCTTGCCTGATGCTATGTAAGACATGACTTTGCTCCTCCTTTGTCTTCCACCACGATTGTGAGGTCTCCTCAGCCATGTGGAACTGTGAGTCAATTAAACCTCTTTCCTTTATAAATTACCCAGTCTCAGGTATGTCTTTATTAGCAGTGTGAGAACAGACTAATACAGGAGCCCACGAGGCCCACAAATGTGGAAGTTCTTGCCTCAAATCACCAAGAGGAGGTTGCAGCTGAAACTAAGAAACTAGAGGTAGTGGAGGACAGTGACTCTGTTGAGTTACCACTATGTACTAAGCATGTTTTAGAGGGTAGTTCTAAAAGAGAGAGTGGTTTCTAGAGGTAGATGTCCTAAGTGTAATGTTTGTTCCATCACTTACTTGCTGTGTGGCGTAGAAAAGTTTCCTAGCCTCTATGTGACTCACTTTTTCCATCTGTAAAATGGGAATAATAATAGTACACGTCACATTTAGAAGTGAGAATTAAATGCTGAGTAAAATGCTAAGAACAGTATCTGGCAAAAACAGGGCACTTATATGTGCTGACTATTAATATTATAATTAATATTATATCTGAACATTTTATTTCTTTGATTATATCACAGATTTTATATTATGGTCTCCATTTCATAGATGAAAAACTCGAGGTTCAGAAAGATAAGGCAAGATAAGGCCTGATTCGGGGTTAGAATCCAAATCTTTCTGATTCCAAATTCAAACTCTCTCCCCAAGTCTTAGGAAAAAGTGGTAAATCATGCTACATAATATGAGATATTAATGAAAGTGTTCTGATGATGTATATGACAACCAGTTCATAGTATCTGACCACGTGCTATTAAGTAAAAACACAGAACAAAAACAAAGGCTCAGTGCAGCTTACTAATTCTTGTGTAAAGGGGGCATGGGAAGACAGGTAGACGTGTTCTGGAGGAAGTTTGTACCAGCTTGTAAGGACTGATTGTTAAATTTTCAGGATTTGTTCCGGCTAGTTGGCATACACATGGTATTTTGAAATTGACATGGTAAGGAATATTTACGCTACGGAAACAGGCAAACACTATGTTGGAAAGATAAAAACTACTACAGAATGGTAAACTACGAAAGAGGGCAGATGGGGTAGAATAAGGGGTAGAAACAAGATTTTTCTGGGTAGAACTTTCTATATAGTGCAAATGTATTACCATTAATAAAATCTAAAAATAAAAATACCTCAAGTCAAATACCAAAGTCAGATACCAAACTGTCATCAGAGTGAACAGACAATCTATAGAATGGGAGAAAATTTTTGCAATCTATCCATCTGACAAAGGTCTAATATTCAGAGTCTACCAGGAACTTAAACAAATTTACAAGAAAAAAAATAAACAACCTTATTAAACAATGGGCAAAGGACATGAACAGACACTTCTCAAAAGAAGACATTTATTCAGTCAACAAACATGAAAAAAAGCTCAACATCACTGATCATTAGAGAAATACAAATCAAAACCACAATGAGATTACATCTCATGTCAGTAAGAATGGTGATTATTAAAAAGTCCAGAAATAACAGATGCTGATGAGGTTGTGGAGAAAAAGGAACACTTTTACATTGTTGGTGGGAGTGTAAACTAGTTCAACCATTGTGAAAGACAATGTGGTGATTCCTGAAAGATCTAAAGGCAGAAATACCATTTGACCCAGCAATCCTGTTACTGGGTATATGCCCAGAGGAATATAAATCATCCTATTGCAAAGATACATGCACACATACGTTCACTGCAGCACTATTCACAATAGCAAAGAGATGGAATCAATCCAAATGCCCATCAAGGATAGACTGGATAGAGATAATGTGGTACATATACACCATGGAATACTATGCAACCATAAAAAGGAATGAGATCATGTCCTTTGCAGACACATGGATGGAGCTGGAGGCTATTATTAGCAAACTAATGCAGGAACAGAAAACTAAATATCACATATTCTTACTCATAAGTGGGAGCTGAATGATGAGAACACGTGGAATCATTGTGGGTGGGGAGGAAAAATACACACTGGAGCCTGTCAGAGGATTGGGGATGGGAGGAGGGAGAGCATCAGGAAGAACAGACAATGGATGCTAGGCTTAATACCTGGGTGATGGGATGGTCTGTGCAGCAAACCACCATTGCACACATTTACCTATGTAACAAACTGGCACATTCTGCACATGTACCCCTGAACTTAAAATAAAAGTTGGATATTTTAAAAAAGAATACATGATTAGAGAGAGAGAGAGAGACAGAGAGTTCATACACACATTCACACATGCATCCACACATGTACATGCATTGTTTATTGTAGCTCTTACCATGGAAATAGTAGCAATGAGCACCTCTAGAATCCATATTATGATCACTAATTCAATTCCACAGTGAAAGGAACTAGAGATTCCTAGAAAAATGGCAAATTTCAGGTCTGAGGCAATCACCCCCCTCCCCCCAAAAAAATGATAATACAAGATGAACTAAAGGCCTTTCATTGTGCTAAAAAGCAAAGAAACTTTCAAAGTTTACTACTGTAACATAAAAAAGACCCAGGAGCCAACTTACAAAGTGTCATGAAATGTTATGAGAATTTGAACATAAAAACAGTAATAATTGTAATAGATTTAAACATTCAGTCAATAAAAATCCACAAGTCTATAGTAATATTTAGAAAATGAAAAGAAAACCCCTATTTCTTATCATTTTAGGCAGTTTAAAACAATTGATTACAGTCTGCCCTTCATATTCATGGGTTCTGCATCTGCGGGTTCAACCAACTGCAGATTGAAACTACTTGGAAAAAAAATTCACAAAGTTTTAAAAAGCAACACATTGTTTGCTACATGATGAGTATTACATTGAATTCACGTAAATTAAGTGATGTGGCAGCATTATATCAGATATTATAATATTCTAGAGATGATTTGAAGTATATGGGAGGATGTGTGTAGGTTACATGCAAATACTATGTCGTTTTAACGGACTTGAACATCCAGTGATTTTGTTCTATCAGGGGTCTTGGAACCAGTCCCCCACAGAGAATGAGAGAGAACTGTACTTTGAAAATTGGTAATTACATGGATAGTGTTAAGCAAGTATCTTTCTTTTCCAGTAGAATCTATGCTTTGGTGTTACTAAATAGCCCTAGTTAAGATATAAATCTCCAGTGTATAAAAGAACATCAGATTAAGATATAAATATCCAATGTATAGGTAAATAGGAAAGGAGTGATTGAATTTTTAAAAACTTTAATTTATAAACCCTCTTGACAATATTGTTTGGAGCGAAAAGTTTCCATAGATGTTAAAGTCATTAGATGAACATTTGATGGACAACTGGATGTTTGAATAATGTCAATAAACACCACATAGGTTGCTTTCTGGATGCAGGTGAAAAATGACAACTAAAATTGAGTTCAGTAGTATTCAATCTTAGCTTCCATAGTGGTGTTTATTAGTTTGCTTGGGCTGCCTAACAAACTACAAACTACCACAAAATGGTTGGCTTAAACAACAGAAATTTATTTTCTCACAGTTCTGGAGGTTAGAAATCTGAGATCAAGGTGTCGGCAGTTGTTTCCTCCTGGGGCCTCTTTCCTTGGCTTCCAGATGTCCACCTTCTCATGTCCTCACATGGTCTTTACTCTATGTGTCCAGGTAACTGTGTTCGTATTTCCTCTTCTTTTAAAGACATCAGCTACATTGAATTAGGGCCTAATGACCTCATTTTAACTCAATTATTTCTGTAAAGACCTTATCTCCAAATATTCCAAGTATTCTGAAGTACTAAGGGTTAGGACTTTAACACACGAATTGTAGGGGTTCACACTTCAGCCCATAATGGTAGGTTAAACAAAGAATATGTATTTTTGAATATGATGTGATGCAACATGTAGTATACTACAATATCCATCATGTGTTCTAGTCAAAATTATCTAAATTAATTACATCAAGTTTACAGGAAATACAAAGAATAAAGGAACAAGCTAAATAATACCCCTAGGAGACAACCAAACAAATTCACCAGCTGGGACAATCTGCAGGACGACGTGTCCAGTCTTTTTAACAAGTAAGATTTTTTTAAGTAATAGGAAATGCTTACAAATAAAAGAGACTTAAAGGAATAAACAGCATGAACTGTGCTGTATTGGATTGGATATTGTTTTAAATGATTTAGATGTAAAGATTGGGGGTTAATTGAGGATATTTGAATATTGCCTGGATAGTGGAGAAAAAGGAACTTTACCAAATGGAAAGGTAATAATTATGGACCCAAAACATTAAGTACCGTATAATTTTACATTGATTTTAAAAAGGGCTCTTTGCTTCTGACCAAGACAGGAAAAAAGAGATCAAATTTACCCTGTAGCCTGAAACAACCAAAAAAACGTAACAAAATATATGAAACAATGATTTTTGGAACACTGGACATTAGAAAAATAGTGACAGTGATCTTCAAGAGACAGTAAACACAATAAAGTGAGCCCAGCTTCTCCAGCTTATTGAATTGAGGGGGTTTCCAGGCTGTAACATAGTGGGAGAGAACCCAGGTAGAGCCTGGCAAACTTCATGAGTTGAGGAGATGAATAAATGAGGTAATGAAGCTTAGAGTCTAAGAAGATCAAAGCAGGTAGAGTTCACAAGATAGCATACCAGAGAGGAGACAGCTGCACACAGAGAGAAAACCAGAGAACTGCAGAGGGACTCCCACTTAAGTATTCAACAGAATTCTGATCAATGCATATTTGTGAGGAAAGTACCTGAGGCCTCTAGGGGGGCGGGGGGGAACAAACACTGGAAAGGTTTAAGGCAGGGATGTCCAATCTTTTGGCTTCCCTAGGCCATATTGGAAGAAGAATTGTCTTGGGCCACACATAAAATATGCTAAAACAAATGAAAGCTGATGGGCTAAAAAAAAGTTGCAAAAAAAACTCATAATGTTTTAAGAAAGTTTACAAATTTATATTGGGCTGCATTAAAAGCCATCCTGGGCTGCATGTGGCCCATGGGCTGTGGGTTGAACAAGCTTGGTTTAGGGAAATCAGTGCCTGGAGCTCAGAGAGGATCAGAATACTGTATGTTCCCACAAGTCAAACTGGAAAAACCTCATGATTCATAGGCCACTGGGTGGAGTACATTGAAGGATTTTGCCTTAGTAATCGCTAATAAATAAGCCTAGACTGAGCATTGTTCTTGTCATATATTAGTAAACATTAAAAGCAATACTGGGGAAAAAAAGCAATACTGGAAAGGATCAAACTATTTTAAGTAAATTAACTGTGTCCTGCAACAAAGTTCACATATATTTATATAAATACAAAAACATCCACCACCACACAGGGTAAAATTAACAATGTCTGGCATCTAATCAAAACTTATGAGACATGCAAAGAAACAGAAAAATGTGATCCATAGTAAGGAGGAAAGACAATCAATAAAAACCAATAGAACTGACAGAGATGTCAAATTAGTAGAAAAGAACATCAAAACAGTTGTAACAGCATTCTATGGGTTCAAAAAAAATTAACTACAGACATAAAATATATAAAAAAGACCCAACATAATATTCTAGAAATAAAAACTACAATGTCTGAGATAAAAAATACACTTGACAGAATTAATGGCAAATTAGATGTTGCAGAATTAAAGATTAATGAACTTGAAGACACAGTGATAGAAACTATTTAAAAATAAAACATGGAGTAAAGGGTGAATGATAGTAATAAAAAAGATGAACAGAGCATCATTAAACCATGCTACAACTCCCCTGGCCTAATATATGTGTAATTAGTCCTGAAGAAAAGAAGAGAAAGATAAATAGATCAAATAGTTAAAGAAATAATGGCTGGAAAATGTACAAATTTGAGTGAAATCTGTAAATCCACAGATCCAAGAACCTCAATGAACCCAAAGCACAAAAATTATGAAGAAAACAGCATAAAGATGTACCATTGTCAAATTGCTCAAAGCCACAGGTAAAGGGAAAATCTTAAAAATATCCATACAAAAAAGATAATTTATATTTAGAGGAACAAAGTGAAGAGTGACAGAATTCTGAAGAAAGAATGCAAGTAAGAAGACAGTGAAGCAACAATTTGTCAATACTAACCCCTCAAAAAAAACTGTTAACCTAGAATTTTACATTCAGAAAAAATTGTAGAAAACAAAGGCAAAGTAAAGACTTTTTCAGATATTCAAATGCTAAAAGAAGTTACAACCAGCATACCTATACTATGGGAAATACTTAAAGGAAGTCCCTTAGGCAGTGGAAAAATGATAACAATTTACGAATGGGAAACTTGTTTTAAGAAAGGATGAGACAATGTTGAAGATAAAGTCCACAGCAGACAAGACAATGTTGAAGATGAACTCTACAGTGGCAGATCACCCACATCAATTTGCAAGAAAAAAATTCATCTTTTTTGTGTTCTAACTGAAGAGGACCAGAAATCAATAGCAGAAACAAGAGCCAACATCATAGACATCTCAATTGGTTCAGCTTACACTATTCTGACTGAAAAATTAAAGTTGAGTGATCTTTCCACCCAATGGGTACCAAAACCACTGTGTCCAAGTAAGCTGTAGACAACAGCAGAGCTTTCAATGGAAATTTTGGGAATTGTAAACAAGTGGGATTAAGATTCTGAAACCTTTCTTTGAAGAATTGTAAGAAGAGATGAAACAAAATTGTAACAAGAGATGAAACTTGGCTTTACCAGTACAATCCTGAAGACAAAGCACAATCAAAGCAATGGCTACCAAGAGGCAGAAGTAGCCCAGTCAATGCAAACGCTAACTGGGCAAGAGCAAAGGCCATGACAATAGTTTTTTGGAATGTTCAATGTGCTTTGCTTGTAGGCTTTCTGAAAGCCCAAAGAATGATAATATTTGCTTATTATGAGAGTGTTTTGAGAGTTAGTCAAAGCTTTAGCAGAAGCAGGGAACCTTCACCAAAGAGTTCTTCTCCACCACGACAATGTTCCTGCTCATTCCTTTCATCAAACTAGGGCAATTTTGTGAGAGTTTCAATGGAAAATCATTAGGCACTCACCTTACAGGTGAATGATTTGGGTTATTCTTTTATTTTTTCATTTCTTAATCTTAAAAAATTTTTAAAGGACACCCATTTTTCAGCTAATCATTTAAACAAAGATGGCATTGACATGGTTAAATTCCCAGGATGCTCAGTTCTTTAGGGCTATACTAAATGGCTGATATCACTGCTTACAAAAGTGTATTGAACTTGATGGATCTTATATTGAGAAATAAAGTTTATATTTTTTATTTTATCTTTTATTCAAGTTTTCCGTGAATTTTTTGAGATCCTCTCATATACATGTCTATATTACAGTGGTGATATTATACTATAGTTTTGCAAAATATTACCACTGGGGGGAACTGGGTAAAAGTATATGGAATCTCTGTATTATTTCTTGCAATCTACTATGATCTAAAAATAAAAACTTCAAGAAAACAAAATTTATTGTTCAAACAAACATAGTAACAAGTCAGTGTATAATTTCTGACACTGTGTAAAAGTAAAATGTAAAAAATCCACAGCATAAAGGTTGTCGGAAAGATAGAGGTATACTAGTGTAAGTTTCTCATGTTATAAATGAACTTTTATAATATTATTTAAAGTAGACTGTGGTAATTTAAAGATGCATACTGTAAACCCTAAGGCAATCACTATACTAACACAACAAAGAGCTATAGCTAATGAGCGAAGAAGGAGATACAATGGAATCATAAAAATGTTTAATCTAAAAGCAGGCAACAAGAAAGAAAAATGAGGCAAAGGAAAGATAGGACCAATAGACAAGGAGTAGGAGGTAGATTTAAACGTAGTCAGGTCAAGAATCATTTTAGCAGAGATTGTCAGTTTATACTGAAAAGGTAAGGTCCATCTATATTCTGAGTACAGTAAACTCACTTTAGATAAACTCACTTTAAAGACACATATAGGTTAAAAGCAAAAGCATGGAAAAATATAAAAGGCTAACACTAATTTCAAAAAAGCTGAGTGTCTACATTAACATCAGACAAAGTAGATTTTAGAGCAAAGAATCTTACCAGAGATGAAGAAGGACATTTTATACTAGCAAACAGGTAAATTCATCAAGACAAAACAATTTGGGACTTTTATGCCACTAATAGTGGAGTGTCAAAATATATAAAGAAGCACCTGACAGAATGGCTAAAGATAAAAACAATCCATAAATATAGTTGAAGATTTTAATACCCCTCTTTCTATAGTTGATAGAACAGGTAGGAAGAAAAACCGATAAGGATATAGAAGATTTTAAGAACACATAGAGGTGGCAGAGGCAGGACTCAAACCTAGGTCGTGTAGCTCCAGAACCCTTGCTCTTAACCTATAGGCATGCTGATCTGTATGTTGTAGCCATCAGGATATTTTGCTGTGTCAGTGATTACCCATTTACAATGGATGAATTCACTAAGTTCTAAGTATTAGCCTTCCCTGATTTTCAAAGATCCTTTTTATCTTTATTAGGTAGAAGACTTGAAGGAGATGCCATTTATGTGGGAGCTTGAAGGGATCCTGCAACAGGCACTGAAGTTGATTTGGTTTCAGATTTTTTCAGTGTCTGGATGAATTATTTTCTTGAATGAAACACTCTAACCTCAAAAGAGCAACTCACAGTAGTTCACAAAGCATATAGAGCCTAGGTAGTAGATCGTCTATGCCCTACCTGTAGGCCAACACGCTCAGAGGGGACCCCTTTGCATCTGATCCCACCTTTTACTTTATCTGTTTGTGCTTACAAGAATTTTCATCCTTCAGTTTCTAAGTGCAGATGTCTTTCAGTTGCATTGATATGTCTGGGCTCAGAACCACATGGTCTAATACAATGAACACTGCACTAGAAGTTCCAATCTCAAATCTGCTTTTCACTAGCCCTAGTCATTTAATGACTATGATCCTCAGCTTCATCCCCTTTCAATAGGGTCCATAATGGTCATTGTGAAAATTGAGATTATGTTTCCTACTCAATACTACTCAGTGTGGACACTCACTTGGCCCTTACCATTGTTAGCTTTCTTCCTTCCTAATGAACAAAAAATAGCAAGGAGCAAACTCAAAACCAGGGCACACAGAAGAGAAGAAGGGCCTGGCAGTCCATGGGAAAGAGTCAGTTTTCTTCATGTAAATGCCTTTTGGGGAGAAACAGCCTTGCACAGAAGTCTATCAATACAAATTATCCAGATTGTAAACTTGTTTGTATCTCACTTTCCGTTTTCTGCTGACATCTACCCTACATCAATAAAATCAGCTGAAATAATTTTAAAAGATGCAACAGAAAACTTTCTCTAAATTATAATCTTCCAGCATATTTCAGAATTCACTCCACCTGTATTCTGCGTATTTGATCTTGGAACAGAAGATTAGCAAAGTGGAATTGATAATACTTCCTATCTTTGAAAGGTGCTGAAGAGTTAATTCACTAAGCAACAATTTAAAAATAACACCTGAGTTATCTCAGAGCCATTTTCCTAAAGAGGCTGGTGGAACTACTGAAACAATGTTCTTAAAAGCTTTTTTAGTCCTTCAGTCCCCCAGAGATCATTCAAGGAGAATATAATTTTATGTGATGAAATGAGAACTGGAGGAGAATATAATAAGTGTTAAGTGATTGAATCAAATTGAGTGTTTGCTAAATGTTTCCTAAATGGGTTGACAAAAAAAAAGGCCATGAGATTCCATGTAGCCCTTCAGGACTGGTGGTCTTGACTAGGTCAGATGTCTGAGAAGTTGTGGGGACCACATTTTTTTATTCAAGCAGTGCTAAAGAAATAATATCTCTTAGAAGAACTATTGATCAGCATTTCATGATTTGATCATTATTCATTCTTAACCTCTCTATGCTGCAGTGTCTTGATCTGTACAGTGGGAACAAAAATAGCATCTACCTCAAAGGTTTGTGGTGAAGATTGAATAAAAAATTAATTAAGATATATTTTAGAATGGCATCTGGTGTACAGTAAGTGCTTGAATAAGTTAGTGATTTTCAATCATATTAATTACTTTCTTCCAGCAAACCTATAGCACCTACTCTGTACTGGGCATTGTGGTAAGACCTAGTGTATCAGTCAGGCTCATAGTTGCAAACAGCAGAATCTATTGTAGCTAATTTAGGCAGAAAATGAATTTTTCAAGAGATATTGCTAGCTGATAGAATCTCTGGTGGGACAGCTACTGGCCAATAGTGGTAGCCACAGTGCCAGTTTCTACTGCAGGATTGCTCTAATGAACCTTCTGCGGCAACCACTGATAAGAAGCTCCCTAGCCTGCGGCCATTGCTGAAAGTCAGACATCCATCTTGTTGGAAATGGATTCAGCATGGTTCCCTGCTTTGGGACACAATATCTGAACATAAGGCTCCCACGAGTTCATCTGACTGGGGGAGACCAGGTCACATGCCTAGCTATTCTAGCTGCAAGGGAACCTGGTAAAGTGAGTTTTAGGATTTTAACTTGGGATAAGACTCTTTGAAAGCCATGACAAATGTCCACTAGACCTAGCCTCTGCCATGGAAGAGCACAGTCTAGTGATGAGACAGGGGTATAAATAATTATAACATTGGGAGTAGGGAGGTTTGTATTATTATCCAGCACATACCTACTCTCACACCCCACAAAGAGGGAGCCTGCTTAACTTTAGACTTGGTGATGTGACCTGCTTTCATTTATGCAATTGTGGGTGAAAAAGATGGTTTGGTAGCTCCAAGCAAAGGTTTTAAGAGGTATTTCAAATTTTCTCTCAGATTTCTGCCCTCTACCATGAGAACTTCACATTTATGATTGCAGGTGGAAAGTAGACTCTCCTTCAGCCTTGACACTTAAATTGAGAAAAGTTGTGGGTCAGACCCCAAACTCAACCACAGTCTGGCAGGGCTATAGCATCAAATCCACAGGTATAACATGAGTGAGAAATAGTTATTTGTATTTGTACGCCTTTAAGCTCTGGAGATTGTATGTGATAAAGCATTATTATAGACAATGCTGACTTATACAAGGAGATAAAGGCAGATACAGGTATATATACCAAATGCTGGAGGAAACTTAGAGGAGGTGATAATTAACTGGAGACTTTTAGGAATGCATCACAAACGAAGTGACCTTTAGGAAGAGTTTTGCAGGCATTTAGGATTTGTCCAGGAAGAAAAGCCCAGGGAAGGAAATTTCAGGATGACATATGCATATGCAAAGGCACAGAGAATTAAAGTGGTCAGACATGTTTTCAGAAATACAATGGGTTAATCCCAGCATATCCCAAATTGTAGTGATTTAAGTATCTTGTGTTATCTTTTCAAACCAGCAGTACAATTTTACTTATTATCTTATTGAAATCAATTTACCTTCTTGCTCTGCTCCCAACCTTAATATCGTTCTAGACAAAAATATTTGTAAAATCTCAAGCCTGATATCTTAATCATTTTTTGAATACATACTAAAATACATGCTTAACTATTATAAGTATAAAAAATAGTTTTCTATGTGTCACCAATGTTATGTGCCCTGTGTTGTCTCTGACTCTGCTAGTAGACTATGAAATATGTCTTCTTCCCTGCTTTATAGTAATAGAAATACATTTTGTTTGAGGAAGCACTGTGCCCAGTTTAAAAATGCTCACCTCTCCAAACTCCTTTGCAGACATCCCTTGAGTTGCCTGTGTGACCAAATTCTGGCCAATAAAATCTAAGTTTACTGGATGGTACTGGATAAAATTTAGTTGGCAGGTGCCTTTTGCATTTTCATCATCCTATCCCTTTCTCCCTTTTCTTCTTTTCTGGAGCCTGGATTCAGTCCCTGGAAGTGTGGTAGCCACCTCTGTGAGGATGAAAGGAATATGCTGAGTGGCAGAGCAGAAAGCTAGACGAAGCCTGGTCCCTGTTGCCTTCATTTTGCAGGTACTGTAGCCCTGCCTGCAGTTGAGCCATTATAGACGAGTGTTCGTTACATGCAGCGTAATATAATCTTACCTGACACATACGTTCTGGCAAACCCTGGGCTAGAGTATAGCGTTCAAGTCTGCGAGGCCAGGAGGTAATTCTGGGAAGGCTGGCAAGGGCCACATCCCAAAGATGCTTGCAGAGCAGACAAACAAGTTTTATCTTTGTTTGTTTGTCTTTTGGCAGACAATGGAGTGAAACAATTTGGAAACCAGGGTGTCATAGATTTAGGGCCCCGTCCAATCACCCGGACTATTTTTAGTTCTTTTCCCATTATCGTGAAACTCATATGGGAGCCAGAAAATCTTATTATTTCTGGACCTAATTACATTAACTACAAGCTGGGAAAATCACAGAAGGTCTAGACTTCACTTTGTTCAACTGAAAAATGCCATAGATCCCTATATTAGTTTCCTAGAGCTCTCATAACAGAGTACCACCACCTGGGTGTCTTAAATAGAAGAAGTGTATTGTCCCACAGTTCCAGAGGCCAGAAGTCCAAAATCAAGATATTGGTTCCAAAGCAGGATTGGATCCTTCTGAGGGCTCTGAGGCGGGATCTGTTCCAGGCCTCTCCGAGCTTCTGGTAGCTGCAGGCATTCCTTGGCTCTGTCTTCACATCATTTTTCTTCTGTGTGTGCCTGGCTCTGTGCCCAAACTCCTTTTCCTAAGGATGCAGTCTTATTGTGAATGCTCTATTTTAAAATAAGGTCACATTCACAGGTAATGGGGATTAGAAGTGGAACAGCTTTATGGAGGACACCATTGAACCCATAGCAATGCCCATCTCTCAGAGTTGTGAATATCACATGGCATGCATTGGCATGGGTTGGAAAACAAGGCACTGTGGGAGGGTGGAGAATTGCGCATCATGTGTGCTGGTGCATTGATGGAACAGAACACAACAGCCTGAAGAAGTGGAATGTGAAAGAGGGACACTGGGTCCTGATTCTGTCATGGACATTGTCACCAGCTGGTGACTGGGAGCCACTTTCTCGCTTTCGTCTCAATCACTGTGAAACGATAATAACCTCAACTGGCCTCTCTCTGCCTAGTTTCTGATACTGTTGGATATTCTGGGCCAGCCATTCGAACTTTCACAGAAACTTTCCTTCCCCAAGGTTTTCTGACTTTAGGCCTTACCTTAGCCGAGTGGGCTGTTGCTGAGGTCTGAGTATCAAAATGTACAATGGTGGTAATGAAAGTAACAAGCTTATAACAATAAAGCCAATTGGACCACTTTTAGAAAGGTCTAAGATATTATTTGTCTAGCTGATGAGAGGATTAGCTTGAGCAGAGAAGGTTTCTGTGGAGCAAAGAAGTTGATTAACTTGGATGCTAGAGAATTCTCTGTAGTGTGAACTCTGTTTGTTGTGGGAAAAACCTTGAGTAAACAAGTAGTGAAAATGTAGGACAAGCAATTTTATCTTTTATTCCTAGAGAAGGGGTCCTAGTTCTTGTTCAGTTTCTTTAATTGCTTTATGAGGAAGATTGTTTCTTGAGAGTGAAATGTTTTAAATATTGCCTGGATTTAAAATTGGGTAAGGAGGTCAGCACTGCCTGACCCAGCTTAAATTTCCAAAGGGCCAATCACAAGTATATTGCACATAGACTCAGCTGGCTGCAAGGCAGAGATTTTATTTTCAAGATGACAGTTTCATTTCAGTTCATTTCACCCACACTTGGAAGGGGAGAGAGCTTCCTATGAAATTAACTGAGCACCATTTCTTATTTCATTTTTGCTTTTCTAATTAAGGATTCAGGTTTGTGGCTGCCTTTCCAGCCAGGTTCATGTTGAACTGGCAGACTCAGCTGTTTAGAAATAGAACTTGAGCTTTGAAGTTCAATATTTCTTGGTTCATTTCCAGGTTCTGCTGCTTACAAGTGCTGTGGCTTTGGGTACTTAATCTCTGGATTCAACTGTAAGATAGGAAAAATAATTACATAAAATAGCAAGTTCTAATTGACCTGTGGAGTAAGGTGCCCAGTAAATTTGTAATTTCTGTTTTTCCCATTACGGAACCTTCCTCCCAGGATTCTGTTCTTCCAGATGAAACTTGAACCTGCTAGGTTTAGCCATTTAGCTATGTATCTATCCATGTATTTATGTATCTATCTATCTATCTATCTATCTATCTATCTATCTATCTATCTATCTATCTGTCTATCTATATCATCTATGTATGTATGTATGTATGTATCTGTCTGTCTGTCTATCTATCTATCTATCTATCTATCTATCTATCTATCTATCTATCTATCTCTATTCTTCCATGCATCCATTCATATTTTGATCATTCCTTCTTCCTTTTTCCTATCACCCAAACTTATTCTTCCTGTATTGTGTCCCATTAGAGGCTCTTTGTATATCTGAAACTTACCTAATAAACTAATTCATGGGAATGTTTAAAGGCTTAGAGAATAAAACATTTTAAAGCTAGAAAGAGCTTTAGAATTTTAGTCCAAATATCTTAATTTACTTATGAAGACTGTGGAGTAATTTGGGCAATGGTTCATGGTTTAGTGGGAATATCATACTAATTTGCGTAGGTTTCCCAGACCTCAAATGCAGTGAAACTAAACAGATGAAACATTTTCCCATACTTGTATTTTACCATGAGGAAAGATGATGGTGATTATGATGATGGTGGTGATTATGTTGATAACAACAACACACATTCTTTTTAGCCTTTCTCCTGTACCTAATATTACACTCATGTAGTACCTCATTTTATCCTCCAAAAATCTTCTTTGATGCATATATTGTGATTTTATAGATGAGGAAACTGATATTTAGAGAGGTTAAGTAATTTGCCTAAGGTAATACAGCTGGGAAGTGGAGGAGCCAAGATTTGAACATTACTTTGAATTTAAAATTCAAATTTAAGCTCTTAATCTCTATCCTCTTCTGCTGGCATAATCAGGCCAGAAAGTGGTGGTGGTGATGATGATGATGATGACAATGATATCACTGAATGTTTATCGAGAATTTACTGTATACTAAGCACACAGTAAATTAACACATATGATCATGCATTAACACACTTAATCATCACACAACCCAATAAGGTCAATGCCTTTATTGTCCCATTTTTTGAATATGGATATGGAGGCAGAGAGAGGAAGTTAAGGATCTTGCCCCACAGCTAGAGATGGTAGATTTGAATTACAGCCCAGCTATTGTGTTCTCAGAGTCCTTACTCCAAACCACTGCTCAGGGCAGTTTGTTTTGCAAAGGCAGGGAGTGTGGCAGACTGGGGTATGAAGTGGGCAGCAAGGTTGTCTACATTTCAGGTTGCACACGGGAATGCACCATGAATATATCCAGCTAATGAAATTATGTACACAAAGGTATTTTGTAAAGTCTAAATCACAATCATGGTTACCATTACCTATTCTCAGCCTTGCCTAGGACATGGCCAACAACAGCTCTGTTTTACCAGTGAGGTCTGAGTCACAAGGACTTAGTGTTTGTCCCTGGGATGAGAATCCCATCCTCTGAGAGCTCATAACCAGAACAGTTTGGAACCAGGGCAATCTCTGTGGCCTGAGTGTCCATAGAGAGCCAGGGAGACAATGTGATTGGGTGAAGATTAAACTATGGGAATAATCTTGACTTCTTGCAAAAACAATATGGCCCACTTACATTATTTCTGATACACAATCAGTTCTTTTTTAACTTTTTCAATGTTTCAAAGTAAGGATAGTGGGATAATCACTTTCTTCATAATTCTACCAGAAGCCAAGGGGCAAATAACAACCCATTTGCTCTCTAGCCTCAGAACTGGGGAGTTGTGGGATCTGGCATTAAAGGGTGAGCTCTGGACACATCAGAGGAGCCAATTATTATTCAACAATTATTAGTACAAACTGTATTGATCAGGATCTATTGGGAAAACTGATACATCAATCATTTCAAAGTGGAGAATTATTACAAGGAATAATTAAACAAGTTAACGGACGGAAAGGCTTAAGGATCACACTAAGATAACACTCAGCTGGTAACTGCAGGATGCTGCTACACTGCTAGTGGCTGGAGCAACAAGAAAGAGAGAATGTGGTTCTTAGAGCCTAGTGCTGCCAATTCCAATACAGAGGCCACCAGCCCCACGTGGCCGTTGAGAACCTGAAAAGCAGCCAGCCTGAATAGGGAAGTGCTGCTATAAGTGCGAAATGCACACTGGATTTCAAAGTCCTAGTGTATAAAAAAGCAATGTAAAATATTTCATTAAAAGTTTTAAATATTAATTACATGTTGGAATAATAATATTTTGGGTGAGTTGAATTAAGTAGCATTTATGGTTGAAATTAATTTCCTCTGTTTCTTTGTGTCTTTTGAAAAGTGGCTACTAGAAAATTTAAAATTACATAGGTGATTTTAATTTGTAGCTCTCATTATACTTCTGTTGGACAGCACTAACTTAAAAGCTTGGAGCAGAGGCCCCATGTTTCAGAAACCCAGACCTCCAAGGAGGTGAGTGGGATGATGGCTGGTGCTTGAATCTCAGTGAAGGGGAGTGACCACGCTAATTTGGGGGCATGTTGAAAAACCACAAATGGGAATCACTACTCTATCAGGGTCAAGAACTTTTGCTTGGGTGACAATGATGAAGAGGAAAGACACAGGAAGGTATGTGTCCTTTCTTTCTCCTCTACATTTCAGACTGTCTCCGCAATGCTTCTTATTAGCAGAACCCAACAGGGAATCAGATGGCAAAAGAGAAATGTTTGCAGAGTTCCAGCATCTGCCTCACGACCGGTGTAAGAAAGGGTGGGCTTGGCATTAAGAGTCAGTGGTTTAATAACCAGCATGACTGGCATTGCAAAAACTACTTATTTCTCAAGAAAGCAGGAATTCTAGATTGCTTTTTAATGCGAAATTTTCCTAGTTCTAACTGATAACTAAATATTTTCTTAAAAATTATACAGTCTAAAGAAAGTACATCTGTAGGTTCCGTTTCTTGTTGGTAATGATCTGGGGACCATGGTCTGGATGTCTCAAGATCCCATGCAGCTCTGACTTCTATGTTTCTATGAGCATTTGATATGTGGGTAATAAAAAAATTGAAGTTCCCTGGGGAGAGACCACTGTGGGCTGTAGTCTAGGAAGACTTCCTGGAGGAGGAGAGGCCTGGAGTGAGTTCTTGGATATTCTTACCAGTAAGCATGCCCTTATACAATACCCTTAGTCCATCACTGGCAGCTTTTTCCTTTGCTTGCCCCCATGTGTCTGCAAATACTGGTCGGAGAGTGCCAGCATTGTTTATAATCAAGGGTGGGGTTTGCCTGGGCCAAAAGCTGAGTTTGTTTAGACCCAAATAAGGCATCCCATTGACAGCCTCTCCAGAGTAACTTGGAGGCAAGTCATGACTTTCAGATGCGGGTGGTGTTGGGGGGATCTTGAAACTGCTCAGGAAAAATGGCTCTTTGTTGAGTTATTTCTTGTTGTTCATATGAAACGGGGGTGAATCTCAAAAGTATACGTTTCCATTTCTAAATGTTGATGTTTGTTTAGTGATAAGGAAAGAATAAGATCATGTAATAAATCTTTCAGAAATTAAAATGCTAATGCCAGTCTTTAAAGTTTGATAAGGAAGAACCTTTAAGTATGCTTGTGAAAATCTAATATGGAATTATTACTGGCATTTTAAAACTCTTTAAAAAATTTCAGCCTGGATTGCAATGTATTCCAGGCCAAGCCCTTCTCTAGGGAAAAAACAATGGGTATGCAACTGTTTACAGGAGAAAGTTGGTGCAGATACACTGATGAATTCCCATCTGACTTTAGTTCTTGAGTCTTGCAGGAGCCCTTCTCTTGGCTGTTCACTCCATCCAGCCATCTCCACTGGAGCCCACTTAAGGAACTTTTCCAACTTCAGAACTTACGGTTTACAAAATCACTGCAGCCCCTAATGTCCTGGGACTTTCAAACTTCTGTTTGTGTTTTAGTTTGTGCCCTGTGGCTACATAGCTTGTTGGAGGCTACTTCTAGGAAGAGCTCACAATGGAGTCTTTACAGGCTTGACGTTCACTAGACCTTGCAGTGTTAGACACTTTGCTTTGGAATCAGGTGCTAAGACTAGTGATATGGAGATGCAGTCAGGCCTATTGCCTGAGCTCCAGCTGTGGACAGTGCATCAGCATAGGAGCCAAAGGTGACTGACCCTGAAGAGTGGCTGTGGGATGGCCAGCCACCTGCTGGGTGGCCTGGAGTGAACTCTAGCTAACAGAGGTGCTCCATGCTGAGTGGTGGCAATGTCAACCATCCAATTCCTATCTTAGCAGAAATATAAATTTATGATAAATGAAGAGAAGGTATCTCATTCCAGATTTCTTTCTGTAGCAATGATGAGTTATTTCTTTGATTTTTCTGTTGACCTACTGTGTACTCCAGTGTCAAAAGAGCTGAAACTCAATGGTATAGTTGGTTTGTTCTTTCATTCAAGTGTTTATTAAGATGCCTAATATGGGGCAATCACTTTACTGGAGTCTAGGGATACAGCTATCCACAAAACAGTCTTTGCTATCATGGAACATACTCACTAACATTGGGAAAGGAAGGTAGTAAAAACACAACTACAAGGTAGTATGTAAGTTCTGTGATGGAGATAAGTACATGGTAGGTAGTATGTAAGTTCTGTGATGGAGATAAGTACATGGTAATATGGAAGCACAGAGAAGGGGTCACTAGCTTGGTGTAAGGGTGTTAGGGAAGCTTCCAGAGGAAGTGTGGGGCAAAACAAGAATTGAGCGATGTATAGAAGTTAGCCACAGAAAGGGGGGGCTTTCTATGCTACCTAGACATCTTTGCAAGAAGCCTCCAATTCCAAAGGTCATCTATGCATGACTTTGGATCCCTGAGCAGTTTTACTCTAATTGACCAGCTCAGAGTTTGTAGCTTAGTGGCCTTAGGAGATCAGTCCTTGGTGTAAGGAAACTGATCCAGGCTTCTCACCGTATCTCCAGCCCACACGTTAGATGTGACTGAAACATGTAATGAAGCATCCAGGGGCAGTCACCATACAGAAGTCAGAAAAAAATGATGGAT
Organism: Homo sapiens; assembly: GCF_000001405.40. Lineage (NCBI taxonomy): Eukaryota > Metazoa > Chordata > Mammalia > Primates > Hominidae > Homo > Homo sapiens. Next base: position 16,486,661 of record NC_000004.12, read on the forward strand.
AACTTGGGCCCCTCACTGACCCCTGTGAATGGAAGTTCTGAGCAGAATTAGATAGTCCAATACAGAAAATAATGTGGCATGCTCTCTGAAATGTAACAGCTCTATTTCTATACTAACCCTCCCCTTAACTAGCCAACAATTTTGCTCTAAGGGACGAGATAAACCACAAACTTAATTCTATTCAATTCCTCATCTTATATCAAGAGTTAGTGTAAAACTCATCTCTTCTCCAGCCAGAAGAACTATCTCTTTCTCTCTGTGTTTCCATAGCACATGTTCTGTGTTCTTTAATATCATAGCCTTTAATCTGTGTTCTGCTTGGGAAGTGGGGAGGTGACTTATGGATGGCTTTGAAACTCTCAGTAGATTGAGTGCTTCTGGAAGGCAAGACCTATTTTTTGTCTTAAGGTCTTGCACTTAGTAGGAGTTCTAAAAATAATTTTTGAAATGAATTGCTGAGAGACTTGAAGTATAGTCACCATCTTCTGGACAGATAACTTGACTTAGGAGCACTTTTCATGCTTACTTGTTTTTGGTTGGGAATGTATCTGCAGGTGAAGAGAATACTGGAAAGAATAGAAACTTTTAAAGGGTTCAACACATATTTTTTCTCAAAACTTGTCTGGAAACCTGCATGACATCTATTGCAAAAAACATTAGGATTCTAGAGAGTTAAACTCTATGCTGTTACCTGTGTCTCGTGCTGTGATGCTGTCAAAGGGCTACTTTCCTGGGTCAGCTTCTTAGGTGACTCTTATAAGAAGAGGACAAGAGCTATTACAGTGGAGCCTGCAAAAGAGCATGCACTCAATACTCAATGTTAGTTAAGTCCTTATTCTCATATTCCAAGTCTGGAGAATTAGGCTTTTATCGGTGAACTCCCTTTACAAAATATGCACGCTTTCCAGGCTCTCTGGCTGCTGCTGTTCTCCCTTCGTCCCCAATACCACAGGCTCTGAAACTTCACCATTAATTACTGATTCCTTTGTAATTAACAGAGCCCTGTATTAAGAGACAGGTTCCCTCTCCTGCAGGGAGCAACAGTTCAGCTCCAATGAATGAATCTCAACAATCATTTTTGTTGTTGTTGTCAATATGAGGGCTTTGGCCTTAGAGGACACAGAAGGAGTATGCTGCCTTGAAATACATCATGGTATTGGAAATTCAAGTCTCAGTACAAAGAAAGTTGGCTTTCCTGGGAAGCTGATTTGTTTTTATTTTTGGGCCCTACTGTTGGTGGGCGGTGGGTAATAGAACCCACTAAGATAGTGCTTCTGACCTCACTCTACCCTCCTGGATTAGTCTGTTCTCATGCTGCTAATAAAGACATACCCAAGACTGGGTAATTTACAAAGGAAAGAGGTTTAATGGACTCACAGTTCCACATGGCTGGGGAGGCCTCACAATCATGGTGGAAGGCGAAGGAGAAGCAAAGTCATGTCTTACAAGGCAGCAGGCAAGAGAGAGCTAGTGCAGGGGCACTCTCATTTATAAAAGCATCAGATTTCTTGAGAGTTATTCATTATCATGAGAACAGCATGGGAAAAACCCTTATGATTCAATCACCTCCCACCAGGTCCCTTCCATGACAAGTGGGAATTATGGGAGCTACAATTCAAAATTTGGGTGGGGACACAGCCAAACCATGTCACTTCCTGTCTGGGCAGTGGAGTGACTTACTGGATCAATGAACTTGAGAAGGGAAAGTGAGTGCAGCCTCTTCCCAACTCATTGCTCTTATGAAGGCAGCACGGGTTCTGTTTGGTTTGCTGTCATATGGCAAAGTAGGCCTCTCTGACAAGTCTTCAGGGCTGCAGGGCCACCTCTGACTGGCTGGCTAAGTCTCTCCAATTCAGTTTAGGAAGGCTTCCTTCCTGCATACATCAGCCATATTTTCCACGTCAGCATTGTCAGTAGCACTATGATATTTGAATATTTACGTAACTCAACTCATATTCAACTTAAATTGATACAAAATTTTGTCAGGAAAGTGGCTCCTTTTATTGATTAGAATCCCTCTCACTCTAACATATAAAAATCACAATTCATGATTCACCCTTTGCCTTGATCTTCAGGAAATTTTCAACCCAAAACATAAGATGGTTAACAAGTGTAATGATACACAGCAAAATATAAACAAAATACAAAGGGACTGGTATAATTTTTCTTTTCCTTTTTTTTTTTTTTTTTTTTTTTTTTTAGATAGAGCCAGTGAAGTCCTTTGGCCAGGCATGAATAAAAGAACTGTCTTTATTTGTTCTTGTCCCAATTTCTCTTCATTTGTTGCTCAGGTTCTGCTGAGTCTCACAGGTCTGTCTCTTATTACTTTTATCCCGGGTTAGCCACCAGCATATGTGCTTTTCTTTGATGATAGACATAATATGAAATTACAGACAAAAATCTTGATTTCTGCATACTATTGTTTAAAAATGCAACTTTAAATACAGACACTCAATGAAAAGCATTTCTGAAAAGGTGTTGCTCTAGGCAAGGGTTCCCTCTGTTTTGTGATAGTACTGTTCCTCTCTGTCTCTGTGAAGGTTCTACCTCTGCCGTTCTTCCTTTTGAGTCTCGTTAACACTGTGTTTATTTTACACTCCTCCACAATAAGAGCTGAGGAGTGGGAAAGCAACCCTTCGACTGGGGTGTGATCTGAAAATGGATTCCTCCTTTGAACAGAAACTCAGAAGTGATTACAACAGCTGTAAAAATGATTAAACATGCTTTTCCCTCTCCCAAACACAGCAGCTGGAGTTTTATTGTTTAACCAATTCATGCCCATTGTTAGAGAGTTTACAGTTTCACCTCCCCAAGCCTCAGGTTTTTCCTCCATGAGGGACCAAATATAGATTCTCTGGCCTCTGAGTCCTTTATTTTTCATTGCTTCCTTTCTAAGTGAATCAGGTATCCATGGAAACAACCGAAGATTAATACTCAAAATAGACAATCATTCATTTCTCTCTGAACCATACAGCAAAAATAAAGATTGTTTTAGCCACAATTTGAATTCTTGCAACAAATTATGAAGTTCAGTTGCACAATATAGGTAGAAAGGAAGAGGCTATCCCTCTAAACATTTTTTTAAAAAAATATCTGAGTGTAAAAATCACAGAAGGCCAGAAACAGTATGTTTATCTTAGGTAGAAGCATCAGCTTTCATGAACACTGGATCTGGTCACTTAATGAAACCTTTTAAAATTAGGTGCTGTTTGACTTCAATGGAACTGAGGTGCCAACTGTATTTTTGTGCTAGTGGTGACCCAGCTTGCCAAAGCTCCCCTACTGTGACCTGGGCCCTGTACCTACAGCAGTTGTAGGTAGGTTCTAGCCTGCTATCTTGTTTGCACTCTTTGTGAACCACCTCATCATCTAATATCTCAGTTATTTATCTTCTTTTTCCCCCAACTACATTCCCTGGGACCAATATTCCGAATGGTCTATCTGGATCACAAGCTGTATTTTTGGCTACAGGAGAGCAGAACAACTGATCTCCCCAAAGGAAACAAGACTGTTGTCTAGTAGAAGAATAGGGAATGGATACTGCAAGGTTGGAAGACAATCCATGTCAGTGACCAGGTTCACATGAGATAGCATGTGCAGATGTGGAAAGACAGCACAGAGCCATGAGACAAGGAGGTACATGGTTGGCAGAAGTAGTGGGGACTGCATTAGAATTCCTCAGGCTGTAAAACTGGGAGTTTGAGCCTAGGTAGATGACTGCACCTGACATTTAAGAATTGGTAGATGACTGTTGTTAGACACTGTATTGTTTTGACTACTAGTGGGGCAGAACATTTGTTGTCTATTTATTCATGATTTACAGTTCTATAATTTTCTAATGTTCCTTGTCTACTTTCTCTTATAATTTTTTCCGATAAAGCAATGCTTTTTATTTTAATAACAATGATAACTATTTGCTTGGTAGATTTGTGATAATTCTCCCAGTTAATAATTTTCTTTTAGTTTGATGTTACAAACAAGCTTTGTATTTTTACAAAATAAAATTGTATTAGTCCGTTCTCACACTGCTAATAAAGACATACCCGAGACTGGGTAATTTATAAAGGAAAGAGGTTTAATTGACTCACAGTTTAGCATGGCTAGGGAGGCCTCAGGAAAGTTACAATCATGGCAGAAGGGGAAGCAAACACGTCCTTCTTCACATGGCAGCAAGATAGAGAAGTGCTGATTGAAGTGAGGGAAAGAACAGCATGAGGGTAACCACCTTCATGATTCAATTACCTCCCACAAGGTCCTTCCCATGACATGTGGGGATTATGGGAACTAAAATTCAAAATCAGATTTGGGTGGGGACACAGCCAAACCATATCAAAAATTAAATAATCTTTTTAATGAAATTTTAATCTATTGCTTTTATACTTGACAAGTCAGTCTACAATCACAGACAAGAAAGATAATACAACTATATTTTCTTCTTATTTTACACTTCTGTTTTACACATTTAGCTGCGTGTTCTAGCTGAAATTTATTTATTTTCTCTTCTGAGTGCTGAGAATTTACAATTATGTCCTCCTCCCATAGTTAGCTAATTGTGTAGATATCATTAATCAAATAATTCTTTCCTTTAGACTTGTGATGCCATTATATTATAAACAAAATCTTTACACATGCTAGAGTTTGTTTTTAAGCTATCTATTCTGATTCAACAATCTGTCAGTTGTCATAAGTACAATATTTTTTGAATTACTGATGCTTTATAATGCATTTAAAGAGAGAAAAACTGCTCTTCACCAATTGCTCTTATTTTTTAAAAGACTCCTTAGCAATTCTGCTTGATTGTATTTCTTAAAGAAATGTCAAATGATATTTGGGAACAAAATAATTTTGGGATTTTGATTGAATATTTATGTTAATTCAAGATAAATATACATCTTTGTAGAAACATAATCATAATAGTACTTGGTGTTTATTGAATACTTTTGATGTTTCAAAAGTGCAACATAAATAATATCTCATTTAATTTCCAAAACAACCTTATGGAATAGGTTCTTTTATGATATTCACTTAAAAAATCAGGCCAAGAGGAATAATTTCCAAAATCCACATCGCTGATTAGAGGCATAAACTCAGGTCTGACTCTACTGCTTATGTATGAGAGATCCTTCCAATTGTGTTCTTTTTCTCTATCATAGTAGATTTTTATCATTTTGCTTATATGGATTTTATACTTTTAAAATTAAAATTATTCCTGCATATTTTATATACGTTCTTGCTTTCATTCATTTTACTTCTCTGCAGTTATTTTTGACAAACATGAAAGGTGCTAATTTGTATATTGATAGTGTACCAGGCCAACTTGGGAACCTGTTGAAAATGCTCTCAGTTAACTGTCTTGGATGTTCACCAGCAAAAAAATGATGTGTTAATATTGCTAACGTGGCAAGTCTCCCCAATTTGATCTACAGATTCAATATAATCCTCATCAAAATTCTACTCTGAACACAGATGCATGAAGGAAATGAAATAATAGAAAATAAAATGTAACAGTATATCATGGAAATAATTTACCACGATCAAGTAGAGTTTAACCTAGTAAAGTTAGGAAATAAATCAACAAAATAATTCTTGTGAATAGTACAACAGGCAAAAGTATACTTGATCATCTCCTTAGTCGGAAAATGGCATTTGCTAAAATTTAACTTCTGTCAGTGATTAAATAAAAAACATTAATTAGAACATTTAATTAATTTATTTTTATTTACTTATTTAATTAGAGATGGAGGTCTTCCTTCCTTATGTTGCCCAGGCTGGTCTCAAACTCTTGCACTCAAGTGATCTCCCAGGCTAGGCCCAGCCCTGGCCTCCCAAAGTGTCGGGATTACAGGCGTGAGCCACCATGCCCAGCCAGAACTTTTTAGAAGATAGTTTTCTTTACATATGATAAGATTGACAACATCATATTAAATGAATAAACACACTAGAATCAATTTTACTAAAACCAAGAATAATACAAAGATGCCTGTTACCACTGTCAACTATTTAGCACAGTTTAACTTTTAGGCAGTGGATTAAATAAAGAAATAAAAACAAAAGATAAGTCCATTGAAAAGGGAGAGAGAAGATCCTCAGTATTTACAAATGAATTAATTATATTTTTTAAAAATTCTATAGAATGGAATGAGAATTACAGAGAAAATTAATTATTAGAATTAATAAGAAAATTCAGTAAAATTGTTCAATTAAGACATCAGTGTACAGAAATGTAGCAATTACTAGAGCATAGAATGGAAAAAAATTCCATTGGTTGGGCACCTGATTATGAGGAAACAATTGTAATGAATCTCATAGGCCCCTGCTTTTGGAATCCTTGTGATTTAATGTGGAGATGGCAAATGGAAGAAACCCCCGCTCACAAGCTCTGCTGCTTTGCCATGGCAGGCGCTGCTGAGTTCACACCTTTCTTCACTCTGAATAAGTTACTACCTCAGAAGCTTTCCCAATGCAAGTTCCCGAGAGACTACTCACCATCTTAGATGGTGAGGAAAACAAAACTTGTTTGATCCCTTATAGGGCCTACGTTTTCCCAAATTTCCTTTTTCTGCAAAATGAAAGTTTTCATTTTTGTGACAATGGATTTCAGCTATATCTCAGAAGCCCATGCTATTAAAACAATTTCATGCTCATTTGTGAATTTTTGAAGATCTCTTTTACGGCATTAATGCTTTCACTAGAACATGACAGAGGAGTTTGTAAACCCCAAAAGAGTAAACTACTTGTAACAAATAATTGAAAGAGAGAGAATGACTTTTTATTACTGGATTGACCTAAATTTGGAATCAGAGAACAGGGCTGAAGATAGAGCATGTCAGCTCTGGAAGGCATCAAAAGGAGAACCAGTTTGCTTATCTGAGGAATTTTTTTTTTTTTTTTTTTTTTTAGACAGTCTCTATCTGTCACCCATGCTGGAGTGCAGTGTCACAATCTCGGCTCACTGCAACCTCCACCTCCCGGGTTCAAGTGATTCTGCTGTCTTAGCCTCCTGAGTAGCTGGGATTACCGTACACACCACCACACCCGGCTAATTTTTGTATTTTTAGTAGAGACAGAGTTTCGCCATGTTAGCCAGGCTGGCCTCAAATTCCTGATTTCCAGTGATCTGCCTGCCTTGGCCTCCCAAAGTGTTGGGATTACAGGCGTGAGCCACTGCTCCTGGCCAGGAATGGATATTTTCAGGAGATTATTTGAAGGCTACTGGAAAGTGAGAAATGTTTCATTTGTCTAGAATGGTAAAGTTTTAGAGTGAATAGAAACTGAGAAAAAAGGTAGGGTTTGGTGGGGCTTTTGATGTTGCTTCACCAATTTCCTTAATGTATAGTTTTGTTTTTTTTTTTTCTCCCGATATGGCGTCTTCCTCTATCGCCCAGGCTAGAGTGCAGTGGCACGATCTGGGCTCACTGCAACCTTTGCCTCCTGGATTCAAGCAATTCTTCTGCCTCAGCCTCCCGAGTAGCTGGGACTACAGGCATGCACCACCACACCTGGCTAATTTTTGTACTTTTAGTAGAGATGGGGTTTCACCATATTGGCCAGGCTGGTCTCGAGCTCCTGACCTCATGATCCACCTGCCTTGGCCTCCCAAAGTGCTGGGATTGCAGCCGTGAGCCACTGTGCCTGGCCAATGTATAGTTTTAAAAACTTTTCAATGTCTTTTTCAGCTCAGTGGCTTCAAGCAAAAAACATCTTTATATAAACACCAACAGTTCAAATGCATTAGGTTTTGTTTAAAACCGAAACTTCCCAATACTCCCAATGATCAGAGACACCATCTTAACTCTTCTGATGAATAAAAGGAGGTGGCCAGAGAGGAACTTTGTGGAAACAACCAGACACCCAGCTATGTGTATGTGTATTAATGTGTTACCATCCACCATCTCTCTTAGTCTTTCCTGACAATACACAATCACAGCATTTGCCTTTTCCCCAGAAATCTGAGGCTTAACAGAGAAAAAACAGATTTTGGAGTCCTGCACTGATTCAAACTTGACCTTGCTATTTTCTGTCTGTGCTACCTTGGCAAATTATTCACCCTCTCTGAGTTTCATATACAAAACACTTGCATCCCCAGGTTGCAGTGAAGGATAAATTAAATGCAAAGTGCTACATGGTAAGTGCACAATACATTTGAGATCCATACCTCTAAACTCCTAGAGCTTTTATCTTCTGTGCTTTGTTGACACCTTGAGTTTATTCAGCCTTATGTATGTGGTTAGCATTTTATGCACTGTCCCTTATCCCAAGTCAATTGAGAGCACCTTGAAGGTGGAGGCTAGGTACAGGAATCTCTAGTAATGCTTCGCATGGTGTTAGGCATATGTCAGATACCCAATAAATGAAGTTTGATTTAACAAACTCTTTTGAACCTTCAACAAGCCTATCAATGATAAATAAATTCTAATAGGATGAAAAAAGGGAATGGACCAGTCATAAATAAGTGGGGTAATACATTACAGGATCTTCCATTAGTGGACCATTATATAGAAACTAAGATTATGTTTTTAAAGAATACTTAATGAGGTAGCTCATGATATATTATTTAATGAAAGGGGTAGAATCTGTAATTGTCTACTCTGAATATGATCAGTATTGTAATGTATGTGAGACAAGAAGACTTGCAGGATATGTATCAAAGTATTAGTATTGATCACATTAGAGCAATGAGATTACTTTCTTATTGTTCCTCTTTGTTCAAATGATGTACAATGAGCATGTATTACTGTACAATCAGAGGGAAAAAGCCTAGCAATTTTTTCTTATGGAGGATGGAGGGGATATTCCATTATAAAATGAATTTCCTAAGGTTGCTGCAAATCCTGCTTTAGGGAAATTGATCTTGATGGCCTTGTTCTCACAGCACCCCACCCCACATAGCACCAATGTGAGTTGTGTTATCCTATTGCATTAAATGTTCACCCCAAGGTTAAAGAGAAATAGAGAAAGAAAGGATTTCCTGCAGGACTGGGCCACTTATTTATAAGTCCCTTGTCAGATGCCCTTGAGATTTCAAGGTGTTAAAAAGGGGCCTCCCTGCTTGTGCCATTACCAGGTAAGCAGAGTCTTGACCTCTGATGTACTCTTTGACAACCCCACAAAATACATAGTGAATGGCAGCAGGGTGGATGTCAGGACCCCTCTCCCAGGCCAGAGGATGCTGACCTGCAGACTGTGTACCTGACATGACAGCAAGTCTAATAAAGTGGCTCAGAGTCAAGATGGCATGTTGTCATTTGTGAGTTCTGCAACTTTGAGAAAACTGTTTAATTGTTCTGTCTTATTTGCAAAATGGGGGATAATAACTTCACCTCACTGTTAAAGACTGAATGTTTATGTCCTCCCCAAATTCATATGGTAAAATCCTGATCCCCAATGTGATTATATTAAAAAGTGGGGCCTTTGGGAGGTGACTAGGTCATGAGGGTAGAGCCCTTATGAATGGGATTACTGCCCTTATAAAAGGGACCCCTGCTGCTCTCTCCTTTTGGCCATGTGAAGATACACTGAGAAGTTGACAGTTTGCAGGGAAAAGACCCTCACCAGAGCACGACTATACTGGCACCCTGATCTCAGACCTCAACCTCCAGAACTGTGAGAATAAATTTACGTTATTTATAAGCCACCCAGTCTATGGTATTTTGTTATAGTAACCCAAACTGACCAAGATACCCACCAGGACATTGCAGATTCAGTGTCATCATGCTTGTCAAGCTCCTAACTTAACCCATGGAGGATAACCATTACTGTGACTCTTATTAGACCAGTACGGTTTCATGAAAGGAGCACAGGCTTTGACCTTGAGGACCCATGTTCAAAGCTCACTTCACCACTTATTAGCTCTGTGACAAAGGGTGTCACTTAACCTGCGTAAGCATCAGTCTTCATATCTGCAAATGGGGCTTATGATACCTACTTCCAAATGTGGCTATAAGGAGTAATGACCATGCATAGAGTGAATGCAGTAGCCAACAGCAGCCAGGCGGGTAGCAAGAGTGAGTGAAACAGGCTGAATGTTACAAGCTGGAGAGCAGCCAACCAGGGCAACTGTGACTCAACACCAGGCAACTGTTACCATCCAGCAATTCAGAAGTGTGAGGCTGTTGTCTGATCCGATTTTTTAAGAAAAATAAGATACTTCAATTTTTATAGGAAATTCATCAGTTTTCAAGTGCTGGCAAATAATAAGAAACTGTTTAGGCAACATTATATAGGCCACCAGTGGTAGATTGGATTCCTAATTGTTTACTTATAGCCTTTGCCATTTGACTTTGCAAGAGGCAGAGTGTATTTCCCCGCCCTACAGATTCTGGGCTTGTCCTTTTGACTTGCTTTGGCCAATGGCAGTGTGAGCAGGTGTGTGCATGTGTGTGTGTGATTTGACATGGTCTCTATCACTTCTGCCCTGTGCCAAGAGAGGAGCATTCCATGGAGGGCCACTGTTTCTGAAAGAAACATGAGGGACAGACCCACAGCAGAGTTGCCCCAGCTGATGAACAGTTAGTTCCATGAGTGAAAAAAAAGAAAGTGTTGCTTGTCATCAGCCATTGAAATTTTGAAATTATTACAAAGCAAAATCCAAGTAATGCATTACACTTAAGTTCCCAGTTTAAGACCACCAAGGTAAAACATCTGGCAAGTGACTGGTAGATAAAATGTTCTTGACGAATGGTTATCATTACACTTATTCTGGTCCGGACAAATCTTATGGGGTTTCTATACTAAAAGGCAGGCTTGGTCCAATCCCTTGCAAAATGTTTGTTTTGTGCTGATTTGAGTTCTGAGAAACTTAAACACACTCATCTCTGTCTATCTCTTGCCACCTTATATACTTACAGGGATAAATATTACCACTAATCTTGGAATTAACCAACTTGCTTTTGATTTTACAGGCTCCTAGGCGGAAAAGACTTGTCTTGTGTCTCAGATGAGACTTTGGACTATGGACTTTTGAGTTAATGCTGAAATGAGTTAACACTTTGGGAAGTGTTGAGAAGGCATGATTGGTTTTGAACTGTGAAAAGACATGAAATTTGTATGGGGGTGGGAGGGGCAGAGTGATATGTTTTGGCTCTGTGTTGCCACACAAATCTCATCTTGAACTGTAGCTCCCATAATTACCACGTGTTGATGGCAGGACTTGGTGGGAAGTGATTGCATCATGGCGGTGGCTTCCTCCATGCTGTTCTTGTGATAGTGAGTGAGCTCTCACAAGATCTAATGGTTTTATAAGGAGCTGTTTCCCCTTTGCTCACTCACTATCTCTTGTCTGCTGCCATATAAGACATGCCTTTGTTTCTCTCTCACCTTCCGCCATGACTGTAAATTTCCTGAGGCCTCCACAGCCATGAGGAACTGTGAATCAATTAGACCTCTTTCCTTCATAAATTCCTCAGTCTTGAGTATGTCTTTATAGCAGTGTGACAATGGACTAATACAATGGCAAAAAGTGGTGTCATGATTTCTTACTTGGAATTTCTTCACTCATTCAATCCAACCATTATGTATGATAGAGGTTAGATATTAAGAATACAGATTACAATGATTAAACTTCTCAGAGCCAAAGAAGTCTAATGGGACAGTGAGGGGTATTCAGCAACAACAGAATTTGAAAGGAAATGCTGGAATGAAGCAAGAATCAGGTGCTTTTGGACCCCAGATGGGGCAGTCAAGCCTAACCAGAGGTGGGGAGATGTCTCAGAGGACAAGAGAATCAAACAGAGTTTTTAAAGACGAGTAGCTTTGGTTACATAAGAAGGTGGAGAATGGCATTTTAAGAGGATAAATATTTAAAGACACATGAGGCATAAACATTTGGTGTATTCAGAAAATAGTAATCTAGGGTAGTGAGTTAATCAGGTCTAAGTGGGGAGGGAGTGAAAATAAAACTGTAAGGTAAGCTGAGGCTGGGTTGTAAATTGCCTTGGTTGTTGTAGATGTTTTTTTCCCAAAGGTGACAGCTATCAATTTCTTCCCTCCTGGTATGCACGTGCCATTTACCCATCATAAGTGTAGTCTGTCCTTTAGTGCCTTGAACCTGGGCTGGCTTGTGGCTGCTTTGGTGGATAGCATACAGAAGAGGTGCTTCAGTGCCAGTTCTAGGCACTGGCAATTTCTATTCCCTACGTTTTGGGATGCTGTCTCTTGCAACACCCTCTCTTAGAACCCAACCATTATATTATGATAACCTCATAGAGAGGCTATCAAAATGCACTTCAGTGAACAGCACTGGTTAAGCTCCTACCCAATAGCTAGCATAGTGAGGGCACCATCTACAATGTCCAGCCTAGTCAAGGCTCTGATGACTTCTCCCCCAGCTGCCATCTGACACTCTAAGGTATAAATCACCTGGCAAAGAGCAGTGAACTCTCAGAAGGGTAACTAATAATAATCAAGTGTTCTCTTGAGTTAATAAGTTTTGGATTGTTATACTATGCAACAACAAATAACTGGAATAGGTGTTAGATAAATTGTTCTATGCATCATCTGTAATGATTGTGCAATAGTTTGAATATGTCCCCCAAATTTCATGTATTGAAAACTGAACTCCCAAGTTTATGTGTTGATGGCATCTTGAGGTGGGGACATTGGGAGGTAATTAGTGTTAAATAAGGTCATCAGGGTAGGGTCCCTATGTTGAAACTGATGGCTTTATAAGAAGAGAAAGAGTGATCTGAGCTGGCAAGCTTTTGCCCTATTGCCATGTGATGCCCTCCACCATGTCACAATGCAGCAAGAAGCCCCTCACCAAATGCTGATACCATTCAATTGGACTTCCCAGCCTCCAGAACTGTGAGCTAAATAAGCTGATTTTATTTATAAATCACTCAGTCTGTGGTATTCTGATATAACAGAAAACGGACTAAGATTGTATATATAAATGACTTTAAAGAATTGATAAAAGAAAACCTAAAATGGTGAGGTGAGGGTGAGGGATGCACTGGAAGTTATCTTAAAAGTACACAGTGGGAAAGCAATAAAGTATCTGTTTCTCTATATTTTCATTAGTTCTGTTGCTATTACAGTATACATGTGTAACAAACCCGCACATTGTGCACATGCACAATAGAACTTAAAGTATAATAAAAGAAAAAAGAAAATAAAACATTAAAACAGAAAAATAAAAATAAAAAGTAAGAATGTTCTAGGAAGGGAATGTAATATTCTAGGAACAAAACAAAACCAAACCAGGCTTTACAGTCAAGGAAGATCCAGGTTAAAATCCCAACTGTTGCATTCCTGATGTAGGAGACCAGGGACAACTTACTTAATGGAGTAAGCAAATTTGTGCCCACATAGATGTCCTTTATTAAGCCAGAACACTGGTCCCAAGATACTGTTACTGTTGCATCTAGTTGGTTTCTTCTCTGTAGAATGCCCCTCGGTTGATGAAGCCATCTTGCTGTGAAGGTCACAAATCCCTCATACATTCTGGGGATGGTTCCCAATCAATGAAGGGTTGATATTGATACAGGTGCCAAAAGGCTGGGCTGTAGCACAAGCGGGGATAACTCTTCAGTGAGGTCTACAAAGCCTTCACCTCATGGATTAGGCCCAGGAAGCTGACTGTGGAGGCCCATAGCTTTCCTTAGTTCTTTCTCCTTCCCTATCCTGCTTTTCCCACTCTCATATATATATATGATCTTATATATAATATATATATAATTTTTTTTTTCTGTAGAACATACCCTTAATAAACCTCATGTCCCTGAATCCCAGCTTTAGGCTCTGCTTCTAGAGATCCGAACCTAAGACACTTAACCTTTCTTTAGCTTCCCCTTTTCAAATCCCCTTCCCAGAATTCAGTGAGATGATAAATTGAAATTGCCTGGCACTTAATAAACAAACACCCAATAAATAATAACAGATTTCCTCTCTCATCTTTCTTTATCATTAGTGCAAAGTGAAAAATATGAGTAATGTTCTTTAAACATAAAAGATCCTCCAGTGAATTTTCCTTACTCTGTATAGAAAAATAGGCAGGTGAGACATTGATTTTTAAAATGGTAATAATCATGCTTATGCTATGGAGTTATCATGAGGATTAATTGAAATAATGAGCCTTAAGTAGAGTTCTTTAGTGCAGAGCAAGCACTCAGTGACTGGAAGCTACTGCCTTTCTACTTGACTACAACCTCCAAGAACACCATCCAGTCTGTCTTTTCATGTTGTATCCTCGGCTAGCACAGGACTCAGCACAGAGAAGGCATTTCTGTGTTTGCTCAAGAAGCTGCAGTGAACAAGGAAAGAAACAATACTTCATAAAAGATGGCACAGGTTGTAGGACAGTGCTTCTGTGGCCTCGAACTGACCCAATTCTCTCCTCTTTCTTGCTCTTAGTTCTCAAGAATAACTGTAGCATGAGCTGGGAATGAAACATCCTAAGATAAGGGGTGCCTGGCTGAAACAGCCTGAGCTCTGGTCCCAACCCATCCCCTCATAGAAACAGGATGCCCTTCAGTGCTTTAGTCCAGCGTGTCACATGACCCCAGGGTATAAAACCCAGGTCCGGCTGCTTTCCAGGTTCCCTCAGCTGTGGTGCAAATGGGGCTTGCACCATCTGCCCTGGGCAGCTTTTCTGAGTCTTGGGGACTAGGTCCCATGAATCCTAGGCTTCTGTTGTTTCTTGATGCCTGTCTGTAAGTAAGTAATAAACCTGCTCCATGTAATTTGTTGCACATAAGTAAGTAAGTGTCTTCTGGCTCACTGGACTCAGACAAGTTGGTAACCAGTGCACAGTGAACTTACTTCACACAGATTTTATGGTTCCACTTCATTTGGAGTCTGGGCCATGAATCTAAGCTCAATACTTCTGATAATTGTGAGCAGATTGCTACACACGTACTCACACAAATAGCCAGATTCACTTGCTTTGGTCATTAACACAGTTTATTATTGGCACACTTATCAGTAAAGCATACATAAAATACAGCTGTTTTTTAACACACGGAGCCACTGTGCCTTTACATGTGTGGAGGAACATATTAATATGCAAATGGAAAAATTAATTCTCTTATAAAGTTTCACATAAATACACTGGAGTTGCCCAAAAACGAAAAGTCCCCATAAAAGAACCAGGTGAGAGCTTTACAAAATATCATACAAGAAATATACTATAAAAAGAAAGGATGGTCAACTCAGGTACAATTAGAAAACACACAAAGGTTCAGGTTTATTAAACTGCCCACAAAACCAATGGATTACATGGCTTGAAAATATTTGGATCAACAGCAACTTTACAAATGCATAAATTCTTAAGGGTCCAATTGTCTTTCTTTACTTAAAAATCTGCCCTGGTGTCTTTGATGAAAAAAATGACATTTCTTGTTTCAGCACTTGGGCTAAATTGAGTCGACTCAAGACAAGAACCAATTGACATCAGCTCAACCATAAATTACCTTGCTGGGCCCTCTTAGCTGTTGCCCAATGAAAGAAAACATAAAGAAAAAAAAAATAAGGTACATTTAAATTACTTTCCAAAGCTGATTTTTTTGTCTTTTCTTTTTTTACTGAAACAAGAAACTCTCAGATGCAAGTCAAAAAGCAGAAAATATTTTACAATATTAAAAAGTCATCTGTAGTTAGGTTCGGCATATTAATGAGATCCTGAGCACTGAGCATTTATGGACAATATGGCCTTCGTTTGATGCATAAAAAGGAAATTCAACACAAACACGTTGTTAAAACCGTGCCAGAAGATGCGCTAGAGTTTTCTCTCATTTTAATTACAATCAGTGCCAGTATCTGTATTACCTGTGAAGGCCTCCAAGAAAGGGTCATGGAAGCTTACTGGGAATAATCCTCTCAATTAGAAAAAAAGAAAGAAGAAAGAAAATCAGATCATTGTGGTTTAGAAATAGATATTTGCATGGAAAAGTTTTTATCTCTTCTGTTTCCTCTCCTGTAAGTAAAGATTTGCAATTGTAATGATCACCCACGGGCCTATTGACAGTGGATTCTGGTGCCGATCATCTTATTGGGAAGCCTGGGGTGGGGGGTTTTCTGATTTGGTCTCTTGAGTGGCGGGAGGTTTACTGTTCCACGGGCTGTTGTTCCCCAGCGCGGGTGAATTGTTGAAGTCCTCCTCGTCGTCCATGCCGTTGGCCGCATCATATTGCGTGTTTTCTAATCTAGTGATTAGCCTTTCGTCCTCGTCCCCAAACTCACCTCCCATCAGAGTTGGCTCTCCTACCACCATCACATCCTGTGAACAGCAGCTGACATTATTACAGGGAAACCTTGGGAGAGAGAAGCTCAGCTTAAAATAACAGTGGGAGGAGTCGGGGAATCTAGGACAGACACACTCGTGTACTGTACAACGGGGTCAAGTCTCAATGTCGGGGGCCGAGACGCATATTTGATTTCTACAGGAAATAAACATCGCCTCCTGATGTGTAACAACCACGCGAGTTTATGTCCTTAGTGCGCAGCCTGACACTGGAGAACGAGCAATGCTAGCAATCTGCAGAAATAAAAAAATGTATTTTTCAAAATTAAAAAAATCCATGCTTTCAACTTGCCGACATTGGGGACTTTTGAGAGGGCTGTGGAACCTTCTGCTGGGTGCTTCTCAATACCTCCAAAAATCTGCCACTTTTATTTAGGGCCTGTGAGTGGCTTTGGAAACTAGCAGTGACCGGAGACACACGTAAGGTGCAATTCTGCAATATTCACACAACTCATTCCAAACGGTATTTTCTCTGTCCCAGGGATGATATACATTTTAATTGAAGACAGAATCTCTCTTTTCTCTACTCAGCCAGGCCCTTTTATGCAGCCAATATCCTTGACATTCTGCTACTTAATTATGGTAATTAATTTAGGTAAAGTTTTCGATAAAAACAATGTTCACACTGATTTGACAATTTGCATAGCTAATTAAGTCATTAGCAAAAACCTGCTGATTGCCAACAAGCCTTGAATTTACCATCTGTTATTTCATGGTGCCTGTCACCTATCACCACACAGGCAACCCTGCCACCCATCTGGGCAGTAAAGAGAACCGGTCTGTCCAGCTGGTGCCATAAAGGGAAGATGAAGAACGCTAATTATAATTACATTGATGAAGCTGGTAGTCATCAGAGATGGAAGCGTGCAAGAAGAATCCATCTAATCACTCTTTTAAGTACAAATTGTCCTTCCATGCAAATAAGTAAGCCACCTACTGTAGCTGGGAGCATGGGGAGGCCACAGCTGGAGAGGCCAGGGATGGGGAAGAAGAATGCATACACAGGGCAGAGCTCCAGCTTCTTTGTTCAAAGGGGACCATATGGGGTTGATGAGGGACCTTGGCATGGGACAGGACATCTGTCAGGTGGATTCTTCTGGGCAGGCTCTGAGCAATACTCCACTTAAAAGTGCAGTAACTTCAGGAAAGTGACCAACTGTGATCAGCCTCCACTGAGGCCAGAGAAGGTAGGGCTAGCCAGATGCTTTTGGAGATGAGAGGGTGGGGTTTCCAGTAGAAAGGCTAATTCAATAAAATATTTTGACAACTGGGCAGAAATTCATTTTACTAGAGCTTTGCCCAGAGAAGGCCTTCCTGGGACAGTAGAATGGAATACTGCCTACTGTCAGGAGAAGGACCAGTGGGATTTTGAAAGTGTCCATTGAACAAATCCCTTAGTTACCCCCTAGTCTTTTACAATGGAAAACCTTGTTTTATTTATTTCTGCTCCCCACCATTCTTGAGTTAGGGGAGATAATTAATAGGTTTCCAAACTATGTTTTCTGACTAATCATTCTTGTGAATAGATAAAAATGATTTTAAAAAGAAATGTCCCAAATGGAGTAAGTAAGTGCCTAAAATGTGAGCTTGGTAAACCCAGCAATAAAAATGCCAGGGGATATTCATCTCTGTGCTTCCAAGATTTATTTATTTATTATGCAATGAAGAACCAGAAATGACAGTGACATGGAACGAGACTCATGAAGACTGTTAAGGTGAGATGCAAAGTAGATACCGTCCTTCTGACTGGCAGAAAGGATGACAGGATTTTAGATGGAGTGTGGCCACCACAGAGGCATGAATGGTATTCAGTTAGCTGGGCAGCTGCAGTGTTACCTGTTTGGGGATGTTCAGGATAAAAGAGTGCCACTGAGTTATAGGCAATTAGGAGATGACACTTATGATCAAGAACAAAGGGAGATGGAAAGAATAGGGCTAGGTTGTACAGAGCATGACCTGAGGGTTAATCTCATTTCATGACTTGTGTCCAGCACACTTGAAGGGCTTGGAAAACACATGCGTAAGGCGTCACAGGGCAGGAGAAGGATGTTAACCAACCAAGTGGGTCTGCATTAGTATCGTGACTCCAAAGTCATTGAGAGAGGATGGGAGAGTATGAGGAAGCATAATTTGAAAGAGGAGGAGGAAAATAAAAAGCAGCCAACTTAAGCATGATATTAAAAGAAAAGCTCTCAACACTCCAAATGCATTCATTGAATTAGAAAACAACAATCATTGAAGAAAAGTACTATGAACATAGTGGTTTGAATCATTTCCAATGGAGCCAACAGGCTTGTAATCTGTTCGGTGAATCTTTGTTCTAGGAGCAGCTGGAAAAGATGTCTAGGCATAGGTGTTTTTAAATGTACTAAATTTCAAAGGGATGCCACATATGTTTTACTAATTATATAAAATATCCCTAGCTAGATACTTAGTTGTGTGTGTGTGTGAGAGAGAGAGAGCGTGTGTGTGTGTGTGTATGTGTTTGTGTGCGTGCATAATTGACAAATGGCAAGTTAAGGGCTTCATATGCACATAGACAGTTAAGGCCACTTAAAAATTTATGTGCATGTTTCTATTGGTTCTTCTAAGCCTCTAGACTAGGATAGTGATTATCTGCTCTGGCAGTCTTGATTTGTTATTCTCACACAAAATAAATAAAGCATGATGCACATTCTAGGCTGCCTCTGATTAGGGGTTGTTAGCAACATTTCCCCCCCATTTTGTTAAAAATCCCCCCAACATTGGCAGTGAGAGTACATTTCCTTCCCATCTCTATCCTGTGTGTCCACGAGAGACAACAGCGAGCCATCTGAGAGAGGTCCATATGCCCTCAGCTCCCCACAAGGCCAACTTCTGCTCCTTGCTGGAAGCCCGGAGGTGCCACCAGCTCTCACCCATTTCACATCTTCTCACTAATCCCCCGTGCAAAGACCACCAACCTCTGAGGAGGACTGGAAGTGACTCCTTTCAGGGCCCCTCAATGCTTCTCCTTAAATTGGCCAGAAGGGGTCACTGCTGTTGAATGACACAGGTCTCCATCCCTCCCAGGGTTGAGGCTGCAGTTCGGGATCGCTCCTAGCCCCTGCTCATGGAGTGAGAAGCAGAATCCAAGGATTAAACCCTAGCCCTCGCCAGACACACACATCGCTGCCGCAGCAGCTACACAGACCACAGCTGTGGTCATAGTGGCACATGCCTTTGGACCAGACAGTGGATGCCTGCAGGTAGCATCTCTAGTTAACCAGTAGAATAGTGTTGATAACTCAGTAGACAGGGTTAAAAGATATGGTCACCACAAGTCATCCAACGCTTATCATTTAATGTCCATTCAACTCCAGGACACATATGAATTTGTACATTTTCCTAATCTGGTTGTTCTTTCTGCCTCTCTGTAACATCTGACAATTTTACTTTATTAAAACATCTTTAACTGCATAGTGTGGAGATAGTGATGGAATCCAACTCTCATTTCCTAACGGTGCCTTGCTCTTAATCACACAAAATGCAAAGGGTCTCTACTTGTTACAAACCCTCTGGATACAGGTAACCTCCAGTAAAATACAGTTGTTGATTTGGAAGACAGGAGCATAACAGAGTACAGAAGCTATATCCTCTTTCAAATGAAATTGAAATGATTCTGACTAGACCATATGTGTCAAAACATATGACATGTAAGCTGCTACTCTCAACTTCTACAACCATGTCAGACATCACTAATGGATGGCCCACCAAACCCAGACTAGACCTTAGAATCCTCCTCAATACCATACTCTGAGGGCTGGCAGGAGAGAGAAAATGTCCTTGCCATCCCTAGATTAGACAGTGAGCTCTTCAATGACAGGGCTTTGTTGTTGTTGTTTTTCACCTTGGTATTGCTAGTACCTGGCACAGTGTGGGCACATAGTAGGAGCTCAGAAAACATCTGTTGAACTGATTGGGATTCTTGCAGCTACAGTGCCTTTAAGTAGCTATATCACCGTTTCAGAATCCTCTGAGATGCACTTTTTCTTATTTGCTAGAGGAAACTAACGAATGTTACTGCCTTTAACTCCAGGATTGGATAAAGAAATGGGCTCCTGTGTACACTTTTTCAGTTGATTTATCTAAATCAGGCCATTTTCTCTATTCAAAATTTCACCAGAAGTGGGCATAACTTGATACTTTTTTAATAAAGAGACTCTTTATTTCCCTCTTTTGGCTTTTTCCCCCTGATCTTCAGAGGTATTAGGTATAAAGCCTAGCTCAGAAAGTGGAGGACCACCTGGAGACTATTTTCATTATTTGAAGACTGCAATTTGTAACCTTGTAAAATGTAACATGGCACCTTCCATTTTAGGCTGGTCATTCTCCCCATGACCCCTTCTTTCTAATGCAGTGGGAATGAAAAGTATACCCCCTGTCTGTGGGAGACAGGAGAAGAGAAACAATGGCCCAAGGAATCCTCAGGGTACTGATGGGGTTGGTTTTGGCCAAAGAGAACTGACCAGTGGAAAGTAGATACAAGTAGGTGGGGGCAGATGTGAAAGACACACTTGGAAGTAAGTGGGGAATCCCTGTGCGAAGGTCCACTCGCACATGGAAGCGATGGAGCAGGATCAGAACAATAAGGGTAAGGATGAGAGCAAGAAGGGTGAGGGGGAAAAACGTGGGAAAGACGGAAAAGGTAAAATTGTACTGGTTGAGGGATGTAACAAGAAATAGGGCAACTTTGGAAAACAGAGTATCTAAAAGGTATCCATGAAGCACTAAGAAAATCTCAGGATTTGAATGATGGCCAAACACCTGGTGATAGGGTGGTATGACAGGGACAGCAGAGAAGGAACAGAAGCACTTTAAAGGAGCAAAGTACTTAAAGGAGATAGTCTAATAAGGGGCTGGGGAGTTAGGAGATGGGAGGGAATTAGGCAGAAGGGACAGAATTCAAGAAGAATGAATAAAAGATGAAGAAAGTTCCTGTGCAGTTTTCACTATATGGGATTACCCTCAGCTGTCAGCTTTGGAATTCAAAGAAGTCCCCTTCCTAATGGTCTTTGTCAAGATAAAGAAATGAAAGAAAGGGGCCAAGGGTTCGAGAGAGTTGAGACCAAACCAGAGGCTGATCCTCCCCCTTAGCTAATGCAATGGGCTAAGCGAGAGCTTCACTGAGCTACATGTTTAGTGGCTGCTGGTTAATTACCTGAGTCTTAAAATAAGAGGGGACGCCCATGTTGGGAAGGCCCAGTCAAATTACAATATGGGACTGAGCCGCTGGGAGCTAGTTTCCAGTGGAGCACAGGGTCTCCAATGATGGTGCTGAGAGGCCTTAATACGCCACCAGGCATGCTGCTAAGTGATATTTTAATTAAACCTTAAGTGACATATCTCCTGTCTGTGACTCTGATGGCTTTTTAATTCAGGTCCCATTGCAGCACGACTCTTAATATTCCTTTCTAATTCCCAGTTTGCAGGGGAAGGTTTCCATGGCAGAGTTCCTCCCTCCCATCCCAACCTCTGTCCCTGTCTTTTATCCCTCCCCCACCTCCAACCTGCCCAGGATTTTTTTTTTTTTTCTAATGAAAAGAGACTTTAATTTGGGCCCTTTGAGTAGGAAGCAGACAGTTAGGATTTCGGGCCTAAGAGGAAAGCGAGACTTACAGGTACCTGACTGGACAGACTCAGGTTTGCAGCTGTGGTCTTCTTCTTGCTGCCAGTGCTGTTTGCATTGTTCCCAGCGCTGCTGTTGGAAGTGCTGCTGGTGGAATTTTTCCTTTTTCTCCGTTTGGTTGTTGGTTGCCTTGTGGGTTCTGCTGCAATATGGAAAAGGGAAGAGGGATCAGTTCTAGGGCAAAAGCAACAAGGCAATCATCAGTATGGTTACTCTAAGGAAGCTGTCTTGGTAAACTGAAGAGTAGACTATTTAAACATTTTCCATTTCTTATAGCTTTAGAAAGAATAAAAGGAGAAAACTGTAGATGTGTTTTTAGCACAAAATATGTGACACTCTTTTCTTTGTGTGTAGATCAAATAATTTTTATTTAATCATTCTCTCTAATGGTATGTATTTAATTTTGTAAAAATATTTTTTAGGTATGTAACTACAAGTACCACTTTCATAATTGGATTTAAAATATTTTGCCATTAGAAAATTTGGGAAACTTTTTTCCTCTGGTGTATCTTCTCTTTAAAACAGAGAGAGGACTCCTGGGATCCCTAGGGTAACTAACTCCAAGGTACGAGTGAAGTATGAACTTTAAATAGCCAAATTCATGAGCCAGTGTGCAACAGCAGCATCTACTGGTGAAATGTCATATTGCAACCCACCTCTATTATACCTTTATAGAATTCTCAAGTAAAGTCAGTTCCATCAGCTGTGGATGTGGAGCTTAGGGATTCCCAAGTTCAGAAGGAATACCCATGGTTTGGGCCCTGCTGTTTAATAAATGCTACTAATTCCAAAATTGCTAGAAAAAAATATGTCTGAGTACATGGTATAGCCAGCATATTACTGAGGGGAAACTAGACCTCTTAAAGAAAGGCCTATTCAGAAACAGAGAAAAATATTTTGGACTTGAAGGATGGGGCAACCCTTTAATAGAAATATAGAGACCCAAGGTAAAGTGTGATAAGAGAAATATTCTTTATTTATTTGTTTGTTTACTTATAAGGTATAGAACATTATGTAATGCTTGTCACTATTCTTAATGTTTCCAATGCACTATTTTATATTCAAAAAATCCTATTAGTTAGGAACTATTATTGTAATCTTTGTTTCATAAATGAGAAAGTTTCAGAAGCCTTCTCCTGCCAGTTACTGAATAAGTTGGAAATGGCAAGTAAGAGCATCCTTTTTGCCAGCTCTATTTTAGACCTGACTGTGATGGAGAGAAGGCAACTCAGGGCTACACTGGAACCAAATAAGAGGGCCTTGTAGCATTTTCTTAAAACACCTATGCTGGACGGGTGCCATGGCTCATGGCAATAATCCTAGCATTTTGGGAGGACGAGGCAAGTGGATTGTTTGAGCCCAGGAATTCGAGACCAACTTGGGCAACATGGTGAACCCCATCTGTACAAAATATACACAGATTAGCCAGGTGTGGTGATACGCACCAGGGGTCCCAGATACTCTTGAGGCTGAGGTGTGAGAATCACCTGAGCCCGGAAGTCGAGGCTGCAGTAAGCTATGATTGTGCCACTGCAGTCCAGCCTGGGTGACAGAGCAAGACCATGTCTCAAAAACAAAGCAAAGCAAGACAAAATCACACCAAAAAAACACCTATGCCACTTCTGGTGGACAATGGGAAGGATCTTCCTCTAAGGCTCATTTCAAAGATCACTTAGTCCAATGAGTATCCCTGACTTCTTTTTGACTTTTCTACTCACCTACTATTTTTTTATCGTCCCTAAATATTTTGTCTCTTATGCTTAAAGATTTTCATCAAATGGTCTATCATTTCCTTCCATCGAGTTCAGGGTGCTTGCTCTGAAGGATGAGAGGAACAGGATATAGAACTGTTCCAGGTCATGGAGTTGAATAAAGGGTTGAGGAGGACATTCTAAAGTCCAGCAGATACTCAGGCCCACTCCTGACAAGTATCTTCTTTCTTTGACCTTAAGAGTATAAATTTGGTGCTCTTTTTATTTATACTTTGACCATGAAATTGGGGCAAGTGTACCTAAAATGCGTATTCTGGACTATTCCCATTACCAGTAGGTGGCTGTGGTAGTAAAATAATAGACTTTGGAGACATAAAAACCTTTTGGTGACACAGTCCTCCTTCATTTGTTAGCCATGAGACTGGCTGTGTCAAATTACTACCCTAAGTCTCAGAGTGCACTATATAAAATGGAGATAATACATTTAAAGTTATGGTAAGGATTCAATATTTTTGCATGCTTTATTCAGTTTTGTAACTCCCAGTGGCTAGAACCACGTCTGGAGCCTAATAAATCTCAATAAATAATTATTGAATGAATGAAGGAATTAATGAATAATATATCAATTATATATGCCTATGTTAGAAAATATAGCACTTGCTGAGTGGATTACGTTTTCTCCATAAAGTCTTATTAGCGTTAAAAGAAAAAATAAAGCCAATTTAAGCACATTTAATATATTTGAAAAATAATATTCCAAAAGTCTAAAATTCCCATAAGATGGGGATGTAACTATTCTACATAAAATAACACTTATTTTCTCAGCTTTCTAAATATGTACTTGATTAAATTTGCTATATTCATTTTACATAAAACCCCTGGCCACTTACCAGCCGAAGGTGACCATTATATTTTGTGATTCAGAAAGCTATGTGCCTCGTGTTAATAATTACTTTTTATAAAAATAATTTTTAGCAAATGGCTACATTTTGCTTTTATGATGAATGAGGCTCAACACACGCCTGGGAGTGAAAGTATATTAGATAGGAAGACAATTAATGATGACTTGAATCGGTGATTTCAGAACCCCAGCAGGAGACTATAGTATCTAAACTGCATTCTAGGGAAGTGAGGGAAATGGAATTGCTTATATATTCTCTTCATGATCAGAACTTTTGATACAATATATCTTTAAAAACAGAGCAAACTTCATTTTTCCTTCATCCTTTCCTCCTTCATTCATCTGTTCCTTTCTTCCTTCCTTCTTTCCATCCCTTCTTTTTTCTCCTTTCCTTCTTCCTTATCTTCCCTTTCTTCCTTCCTTTTCATAATGTCTGTCATTCTTAAAAAACAAAAACCTAAAACATTAGGCCGTGAGAAGCCAGCAGTCTGGCTCAGTGGAAGAACCACTAGATTAGAAGACAGGAACCCCTGGCTCTGATCTCAGCTTTGCCAATGACCTTCTTGATGACCTTGAACACGTTATTTTACCTCTCTGAGTTGCAGGTCCTAATCTGGTAAGTGAGGAGACTGTAGATAATTCTTAAGGATGTTTGCCTGTCACAAATTCATTGTCTTTATGTCCACAACCATGGTCAGAATATCCCTAATAAGCTACTTGTCCTGATAAATTAATGATCACTTTCTTCTTTTTCACATCACTTCATCCCTGGAAGACACCTCTGAAAACGTGTTTAGAGAGAGAGTGAAGAATGAGGGTGTACCTGGCGGAGCCACCATCCTCTGCCACTTCTGAAACAAGCAGGTCTTCAGGCAGTCTCGGGGACTGAGGTTGTAAGTTTTATGTCTCGACATCAGTTCCTGCATTGGCTCCAATATTACACACAACTGCAAGAAGTTCAAAGACATTGGCATTTCACTACTTCATAACACTAATTACAATAAATAATGCTAACAGCTGGAATCAAGTAGACAGCTTTGAGAATACTTTTATTTTCCTGGTTTTGATTTTCTTTATATAAATGTGAGGAAAAATAAATATTACAAAAACTTGATTATATCTACTTAATTATCATTTATAATATATTACAGCTGAATGTGATTCACACGGATACACACACAGACACACACAAACACACACATATACGTGTACACACACACCTGTACAGACAATGGGGTGGATATATGTAGCTCTATTCTGAATTCAAATAACTCTTTCTGGTTAAAAACAAACAAAACAAAACAAAAACAAACAAACAAAAAAAACCCCTCTTCTTTCAGCATGCTTCGATTTCTACTCTGGTTTCTGTTCTTGTTTGTATAACCACACGCTGTGAGTTACAATGCTAGTTTATGCAGATTGGTAGTGAAATCCATCTTTTAAACTGGAGAACAGAGTGGCAACTACAGGCACTTTTTGATCTTAACTCTTAGAAAGGTGGATGGTGAATACTATTTTATTTTTATTCATGTACTCATCTGTATTTTATGCATGATGATACTGTAAATAACATATGTCAACATTCATTCAATGTGGGAGGTTTTTTTGTGGTTCTGCATACAGCCACCTTGTTCCTTCCTTTGGTCAGAATTTTTTCAGCCTTACTTTGGTCTAAGACATCTGATGACAAAGATTAATGAGGAAAACAAGAAGATAAAACCATTTAGGATTGCCTTGGACTTTTCCGAATTCCTTCTCAATTGGAAGCTCATCAGAATACCACTGCATTGAGAATACTGTACTTATGAGGACAGAGACCACAATTTGGAATTGCACATTAATCACTATTGCAATTACAATGATATAAATATCGGCCATGCACCTTCTTCTGTGAAAAAGCATCACCTTTTATGAAAGACATGTGCAGTCTTCAGCGTCATCAGCCTATCTTCCTTATTAGCCCCTCCTCTTATGCAATCCCTCATCTTGAACATGTCCCTAGAGGCCACCCTGCTTTTGGTCCTCTGAGCTCTGAGCCTTGATATCTCTGAAGACTGCACATCTCTACCTGGAATTCTTCTCTCCCCTCCTCTTGGAAAATGCTCACTCATCCTTGAAGACATAGTTACTTCTTCTGTTAAGCCTTCCTCCCAGATGTGCACCTCTCCCCACACAGGCTGAGCTGCGTGCCTCTCTTCAGTTCTCCATAGCACCCAGCTCCTTCTGCTGTATGGACTCACTCATTCATGCTATGAAACCATCTGCTTCTAAGTCTGCCTTTACCACTAGGCCATGAATTCTTCCAAGGCTGAGACTACGCCTTTTATCTCTGTGTTCCTAGTTTAACTCAAACGAATAGATGCATTTAAAGAGTGATTCTTAGAAAGTCTGGAGGATCTTCCTATGCTGACGTTTCTCGAAGTGTGATCTAAGAAACACTTCCATCAGAATCAAATGGGCTGACTGTTAAAAATTCAGATTTCAGGGCTATGCCACTTCTGTTTCATTGGGTCTTGAGGTGGGGTTCCAAATCTGTATACCCCTGTTGGGGCTCAGAAAATGATACCCCCAAGTGAAGGCCTCTGTATAAAGCAAAGTTTGTCTTTTACTTTGTCCTGCCCTACTCTGCCATCCCTCATTCGCCCCCACAGCAAGCCATAGAAACTAGAATGCCTCTTCCCCAAGGAAGGTCATAGAAACCAGAACCTATCCCCGCCAAAGGTAGACATAAAATCTAAACATATTATTCTAACTTTTCCCTGCCTTTCTGTATAAGAGCTGACCATAAAGAAATTCTGTGACCTGCTTTGGAAGTAGGTCATAAGACCCACATTCCAGCAAGGATCCTGTCCCATATCCAGGAGGAAGGAATGCTGAACGGAGAGACAAAGAAGAATCTGAACAGACAGGCCTTGCTGCGTTTCCCTATTCAGTTATTCCCATTAGGTCATACTCTCTTTGTCCAATCACAGTCCAACACAGTTGTGCATTCCTCATTGAGCCTAAACATAAAAATGAATCATTTTTCCTGTATCTTTGGGTCTTCATTCTCAAGGCTCCTGTGTCATGTAAAACTTTGATTCAATAAATATGTTATACTTTTCTCTTGTTAACTTGTCTTTTGTTATAGGAGTGACCCTTATAATAGGTAAGAAAAGGAATCACACTTTTGTATCCCTATGCCCTCACATAATTCTGACAAACACGACTAGAATTTGAGGTCCACTTACCTATATATCCAGGGCTTTCGAACAGATAATAGAGACAGCAAGACTTGCACAAACCCCCAGTGGTGTCCAGTTCTAAATCCATCCTCTTCTCACTTCCACCAACTGTCTCATGTTCTCTTCCTTCCTTCTTAAGTCTAAGCATGATAATTATGTTTACCTAGAAAGGTTCTTCAGTTGTTTGTACCTATTACTGACCTAAGCTTGCTTAAACCACTCACCCCATTTAAGGGCCAGCTGCACTTTTCTTTCATTTGTAATTTCTCTGGAAGACAATAAGATTAAAGCCTGAACAACACAAGGAATATGCACATCACAGGGGCCAAGACACCAACCCTAATAAACCAGGCTGTAAAGTAATGAGACCTGGGTTAGTAATGCTGGATCTTCAATCTTGCTTACTTTGATGTCCTTTTTGAAATCTAAAGTGTTAATATGGAAAAACCTGTGAAAAAGGCAAGATTACTATAGAGTTAACTCCATATTCCAACATTATGAAGACTCTGTGTGCATTACTCTGTTAAGAATTCCTTGCTGATCCCACTACAGGGTATATCCCCAAATGAAGATAAATCCTTCTACCAAAAGGACACCTTTACTCATATGTTCATTGCAGTACCACTCACAATAGCGAAGACGTGGAATCAACCCAAGTGCCCATCAGTGGTGGATTGGATAAAGAAAATGTGGTACACATTCACCATAGAATACTACACAGCCATAAAAAAGTACAAAATCATGTTCTTTGTAGTAACATGGATGCAGCTGGAGTCCATTATCCTAAGTGACTGAACACAAAACCAGAAAACCAAATACTGCATATTCTCACTTACAAAAGAGAGCTGAACATTGGGTACATATGGGCACAAAGATGGGAACAATGACACTGGGCACTCCAAAAGCAGGAGGGAGGGTTGAAAAACTACCTATCAGGTACTATGTTCACTATTTGAGTGACGGTGTCAATAGAAGCCCAAACCTCAGCATCACATAACATGCATGTGTCACAAACCTGCACATGTACTTCCTGAATCTAAAATAAAAATTGTAAAAAAAGATGCTTTGCTACTACAAATCAAAGTGTAAGTTACAGACTACTTCATTGCCTTTCCAAGCCATCAGTGCTCACCAGACCAAAAGGAGTGAAAGATTCCACAGTCATCTGTGCAAGTAGATTTAAGAGTGGGTTATCCCTCAAAGAAGTACCACTGCATCTATTATTAAGCAAGAATGGTAAGAAAAGCTTCAGAGAAATCCTAAAGACTAGGAAACATTTTAGAGTATTTTTTTTAGTATTTAAAACAGTTAAAAATCTTTTCAACATTTTCAAATTATTTTCATTTGGTTCATTTACCACTTATTGTAAATGAGCTTATGCTGGAGATAAAATACATGGGTGGAGTGGAACAAACATGGATTTACAAGCTAAGAAGTCTAGGTATGGATTATTTATTTATTTATTTATTTTATTATTTATTTATTTATTTATTTATTTTTTTGAGACAGTCTCGCTCTGTCGCCCAGGCTGGAGTGCAGTGGTGTGATCTTGGCTCACCGCAAGCTCTGCCTCCTGGGTTCACACCATTCTCCTGCCTCAGCCTCCTGAGTAGCTGAGACTACAGGCGCCCGCCACCACGCCCAGCTAATTTTTTGTATTTTTTTTAGTAGAGACGGGATTTCACCGTGTGTCCAGGATGGTCTCAATCTCCTGACCTCATGATCTGCCCACCTCGACCTCCCAAAGTGCTGGGATTACAGGCGTGAGCCACCACGCCCAGCCTAGGTATGGATTTTGACTCTCACTAGATATGCATCCTTGGGTAAGTTATTTAAAAACACTGGGTTTCAGTTTCACCTGCAAAACAATACCCATCTTATATACTGTTGTGAGAATTTGAGTTAATATGTCTAATGCATGACTATTTAATAATCTGTAGATATTATTAATTATATATTAGCAAGCATGCATAGGTTGCAATACAAACTACATTTCTATTACTTTACATCAACAAACAAACATTTATTGAGCTTCCTCCTAAGTATCAAGCATTCTGCTCGGTGCTGGGGACACAAAAATGAGAATAACACAATCTCTGCCCTTAGAGGGAATCCTTAAAAATGCTTTAAGTATATTAACAAAACTATCCTGTCTTAGGAAATCACATTCTTCCAAAGCAAGTATTTTTCATTGTACGACAAGGTAGACGGTGGGGGTGACCTGTTTGGACCTAGAAAGGACTATCAGCATTGGGCATGCTATAAAATGGGAGAGTTACACTTATTGTGAGGACCCATGAGCTCATTGTCTTTTCCTTTTTTGCAGTGACTTTCCTCTCTGGGTTTTCAGCAACATTTCTTTTTCAGGTGCTAATCCTCAAAATTTATCCCTTTCCCTTTAATGTAAAAATATCTTCCCATCGCTGTAACCCACCCCAAAGGAGCTTGCATCTCTGAATGCTAATCGAGAATCCCCAAAGTCATTTTTCTTCCAGTGGAGAGTCCGGGGCTGGAGAGGCAGCCCTCCCCTTATTCATGTATGCAAATGAGGCTTCTTCTCTGCTGCAAAGATGCAATGGCTTTGCTGGGCTCTGTGCTGTAGGTGGCAGAACTAACTCAGATAAGAGCCTGTCTTCTTTGGCAGTAAGCCAGTGCATCTTGGCAACAGCAAAGGCCTAGGGCATTATGAAATGAAATCAGGAAGCAGGTTTGGGGAGTGGGTTCCCTTAGTTGCTAGTCAAATCCGTTGGGAGCTGCCATTCCTACCCTCCCTGAGGTCTGAGACCCTCAAGAGAATCTGGTGAAGGCTATACAGCCTGTCTTTCAAATTTTGTACAAAATTTCTGGTGGTTGTTGAATCCTCTATAGCCCCATCCATCGACTCTAGGAAGAGTCCCCTGTTTGTAATAAGTATGAGCCAGGTTACAAGATATATGCCTTTTCCTCATTACCCCACTCCACATACACATAAAAAAAACACCAGTCAAATGCACATTATAGAACTGAGCATAATAACACATGGTCCTTTGATGTTGAAAAAAACTAATCTGCACAGTCAGGACAGCTACAAAGTGCCCACTGGACTTTTTCCCTTTGCCTAAAAAGAAAGGCCAAAGACAACATGTCTGCAACATCTGCAGCAGCCTGCATGCAGGCTTGCACTTTTGTTTGGTCTCTTCCTGGGGTAGTACCGGAGTGAAGAATACCATGAGGAATCCCAGGACGCTGTGGAAAGGGAAGGGATCAGCAAGGCCCGAGATCCCTCTTTGAATATAAAACCCATAAACATGGTGTCCCTGTCAAGTCCAGATAGGATCCCTAAGAAAGCCATTGTTCATCCTGGCAAAGTTCCAAGGACACCTTTTTGCAGATTTAGTGAATGTTTTAGGTTGAGCTTGCTCTCCTATGCTTCTGACCTCTTTTTTCTGGAGATTCTGGCCCCAACACTGACCCTTTGGTATGAAATTTTGTAATCACAACAGGAACTTGATGAATGAGTGGATGGATGGATGGATGGATGGATGGATGGATGGATGGATGGATGGATAATAGATAGCTTGGCCAGATTTATAGCAAGGAGTCATTTGTTAATGACAGACAAATCAGGCATGGTCCTGTGTGCTCTGAAGTGATGAATTTGTTCATTTGATGAATAAATGATTGTCTCCTGCATGCAAAATGCTTTGCACAATGCATATGTATGTCCTGGCCAGGCAGGAAGCTCTTAGTTCAGTCCCAGGATTCCTGCCTTTTCATATTAACAGAGGACCTAACAAATGTAGACAGTGCAGTGTTTTGCTCTTGTTTTGCTTTTCATCTGACAGTTCTCCTGGAGAAATTTGATTCTTTTCACTACACACTCATACCCATTCTTCTGGGGCATCTCATTGCCCGAATCTCAGGAACAGGTGGTGCTTGTCAGAGTTGGCTGTGAACTACAAAGCAGTATTTGATTATCTCCCAATCTAGGCTCTGTCTACCATCAACATTTTAATTCCATGTTTTTTGTGTGACATCCTATGGCCTTGAACCCTCTACTCTTTGTATGTAGGTCTCTTCAGAGTTGCTAGGTCAACGCGTTGCTCAGACCTTTGCTTGTGTTGTTTTTTTTTTCGCTTTTAAAAGGCCTTCTCTCCTCTTTCTCAGTCATCTTAACTAGGATTTGGCAAACTATGACCTGTGGACTAAATATCCGTGCTTTCTTACTGTCTATAGCTGCTTTTGTGCTACAGCAAAGCTCAGTAGTTGGACAGCCCACAAATTAAAAAATACTCACTATCTTGTCCTTCACAGAAAGTTTGTTGACCCTTGAACTAAATCGGTACTATTCCAAGAAGGTGGCTGCAAATGACTTGTTACGTCTCCATAATAGGATAAAGAGCTTGAGGCAGAGCATGTTCAATTCACTGCTTACTTTATTGAGAAAGTTTTGCATTAAAAAGGTATCAGATCAACTAAACAATATGCCCAGTGAAATAGTTGAGTTATGTCCTGGAGAGAGCTCCTTTACTTGTTGCGAACCAGTCGCCCACACTAAGTCACACCATCTGAACCATTTAAGGTCCTCCAAGGTCCAGCTCAAATCCCACCTCTGTCTCCGACCATCCTATCCTGCAAGGGACTCTTTTGCTTCTATAGCACTTATCGTGAATCTTTGCACATCCCAGTGTTTATATTTGCATTAGAAATTTTCCTTTCTTGTGGCCTCGTTCACCTCTTATCTACGGCAAGCTATATTTTACTTTTCTTTTTATTTAACACGGTATTAGGTATACTCAAATATTTGTTGAGTCATAACTTAATTAATAATATCTACAGAATGCCTAGTCTATGTCTATCCCTGGAGTATGCACCTTAAATTATTATGTCATTAACCCTCACCCCCACCTTTTGGCCCACTTTTACAGGTGAGAAAACTCATACCCAAACCCATTAAATCATCCAGAACTAGTGATAAAGAATGTGGTTCCTACAGTGTATCCAAGGCAGTACAGCTATTTGAAGGGCAGAGAAGAGGTTCAGTCAAGTTTCTCTGACTTCAACCCTGTACTATTAACTCGTAACTGCTATGTTGTTTACCTCTCTGAATATCAGTGGCTTAAATGACTTCTAAGATACCAAGTTCAAAGCCTTTCACTGTTTTTGTGTTTCTCTTTGCAAATGGTATTGATCGACAGAGCTAATACATGGCAAACTTGGGGGTTTGAACCCAGATGAATCTGGTTCCAAAACCTACACAGAGAGGTAGGTGATGCAGAAGGGTGTAGGTTTTGGAACCAGATTCATCTGGGTTCAAGCCCTCCAAGTCAGCCATTATCTAGCTATGTGTTCTTGGCCAAGAATTTTAGCCTCTCTGAATCTCAGTTTCCTCATCTAGAAAATGGGGATAATACTACTTATCTCTGACAGTTTGAAACAAAGTAAGTAACCCTTAATACAAAAGCCTGGAACTAGGTCAGCACGCAAAAGATGAACACTGTTGTGATGAGAAATGCTATGGCCTTAAAGGCCAGCCCCACTGAGCCAGGCGCTCAATGTATTATGGGACTGAGAAGCTTCTTTGGGAAGTAAGTCACATGGTCTCTGGAAGTCTTAGGGTCACTAGATAACAATGAATGCCCCAAAGAGTAGTAATCAGGCCAATGGCACATGGCATTTTAGTAGCTAACGTCTCCGATAATAACCCATATTTAGAATTCAGTGATAAATACCAAATGTTCAACTCCACAGCCAGGTTTTTTCACCCTCCCCTCCCCGCCGCCCCACCGCCAGTAATTTACTCCTCTGGCTAAATCCGTACCAGAAAGACATCAGATGATGGGGGTGGGGGGAGATTAAAAAACAAACTCTTATCTAAGAGTGAAGGAGTCTCTCTAATTAAGAAACACATAATGAAAAAATATATGGAATCTAAAAGAAAAAAAAAACAAAAAAGCAAATAATCCCCACTAAGAAGCAGATAAGAATGAATAACAGGCATCCACATGACTAAACTCACTCTGCTCTGAAGAGGAAGAACAAGGGATAGAGGAAACACTTTCCCTTAGAAGCGATGCAAGTCCAAAACATCAGATTATGATTGAGGTTTATTTCCTGATAGGATTAAAGGTAGATTGGTTGTCAAATTCAAAACATACTCCTTTTTATCTGAAGATGCAACCGGGGGATGTGTTGCCTTTTCTCAGTCTGTTTGCAAATTGATTACTCATGAAAGTTATCGCGTCCAACCCTGGAGACAGGGTGTCCCTCCGTTCTCAGGCAGAGGAGAGTGGCGGCAGCTGTCACTCCAGTCTTGAAGGGACCATCCTTCTTCCAGAGTGATCTTTCCTGATTTCACTTTTGAGGCTGTTGGGAAGGAGGTCATTGACTGCTTTTCTGACCCACCCAGGGGAGAAGTGCTTGGACTGTTTTCCTACCCTGGGGCAGCCCTGTCAGACTAGCCAAGCTCACGATTTCTGCTGCATCCGTTAGGCCCATGAAGAGACCATTCAAGGCCCCTTCTGTTCTGTTCTTTACCTCTGATTCTACAGCCATAATTTCTCTGCCATATCTTCCTGCCTGGGCACCCCCTTCCACAATGCTTGGGTTATTTGCCTCTTTGCTCTTAGCCCTGTCTCTTCCTTCCAGCTCTGCATGGCAGGAGACAAGCCCCTGCACATTATTTCCCAGCTGTCTTTGCCAACTGGCTTCAGGCGAGGTTTGGCCAGTTGGAGGTACTCAGGGAGATTAGAGAGAAGCAGGTTGTGTTCATTTCTTAGGACTGCCATATCCTGGTACCACAGACTGGGTGGCTTAAAACAACAGGAATGTATGCTGTCTGTTCTGGAGGCTGGAAATCTGAAATCAAGGAGTAGGCAGGGCCGAGCTCCCTCTGAAGGCTCCCATGAAGAATCCTGCCATGTCTCATCCTAGCTGCTGGTGGCAGGCACCTGCAATCCTTGGGGCTCATTGGCTTGTAGCTGCATCACTCCAATCTCTGCCTCCATCTGCACATGGCCTTTACCCTATGTGTCTGTGTCCTCTCCTCTTCTTATAAGGACACCAGTAATTAGATTTAGGGTGCACCCTAAATCCAGAATGATTTCATGCTGAGATCTTTAACTGATAACATCTGCAAAGACTCTACTCCCAAATAAGGTCACATTCTAAGTTTCCAGGGGAATATGAATTTTGAGGGAGCCTATTCAACCTACTCTATGTTTAAGGAAATAAGGAGGGGTATTTCTTGCCTTCTCTGTAGTT
The DNA here is from genome assembly GCF_000001405.40 of Homo sapiens. NCBI lineage: Eukaryota > Metazoa > Chordata > Mammalia > Primates > Hominidae > Homo > Homo sapiens. The sequence goes on from NC_000004.12 coordinate 16,521,624, forward strand.
CAGGTAGCCTTTTCAGCAGCTGTCATCAGACACATCCACTACAGTTCCAGCTGATACCAGGTGACCCTACACCTTCTGCCTTTGTTCTTCTAGCCCCAGGAGTGGCAATTGCTAATCTTAGTGCTTCCTCATCTTCCTGTGATTGTTTGTCCAGCTCCAACATCTTTATAAGCATATGCTATATTAAATTTCCTCTATTAAATTATGAGGTGTGGGTTTTGTTTTCCTGGGTGGACTCTGATTGACATACATAGTTTATAAGAAATTAGACAATATGTGCAAGATGAAGGACTTTGGGTGTCTGGGAGCCTCGTGTGTTGTGGCTAGGTATGCAAATTCAGCTGCGGTTCAAACTCCAGCTACTTAATAAGGGGGTGACCTTGGGCAAGTGACTTAATCTCTTGGTGTTTCAGTCTCCCCATCGGCAAGATTGGTATAACAATAGTAACTAACTAGTGGGGTAACTAGCAGAAACAAGCACATTTATTTGAGGTATTTACCTAGGTTCTGGCTTATGGAAAGTGCTCTATACATGTTTAATATGATTGGACTATTACCAAGAGGGGGGCAGGGGTTTCACAGAAGACACTTTAAAACTTGGCACGACCTACTTGTTAAAATTGTATAGATATTCCCCGCCGTGTGTGTGTGTTTGTGTGTGTGTGTGTGTGTGTATGTATGTACAGTTGGCCCTTCTTATCTGGGGGTTCCACGTCTGTGGATTCAACCAACCACAGGTCAAAAATATTGAAAAAATAATGGATGGTTGTGTCAATACTGAATATGTACAGACTTTTTTTCTTGTCATTAGTTCCTAAACAATGCAGTATAACAACTACTTATTTAGCATTTACATTGTATTAGGTATTATAAGTAATCTGGAGATGATTTAAAATATATGAGCAAAAGTACAAAGGCTATGTGCAAATACACGATTTTATATGGGGGATTATGGTGTCTGTGGGTCCTACAACCAATCCCCTATGGATGCTGAGGAACAACTCTATGTATCTCTGTATATATAGAGAGAAATGTAAATATACACACACACATAACCTGAAAATTAGATTTTGATGATACAATGGATGTCTAAAAAATATTGGTCACTCTGTCTATGGTATATATAACTTGTCCTGACCATTGGGCTATTGCCTCAAATATCCCATCTGTGGGTTCTAGCAGCATCTCTAAATTCTAAGGCACAGTAGTTAGAGGTTTACAAAAGAAAGAGGAATCATCTGCCTGGAAATACACCACAATCATTAACAAACATCTGCGGAGTGCTGTGTGTCACCTAGAGAGGTACAAGCAAATTTATGGTAAGTTTTAAAGATTCTTATTGACGAATTATTGTCCTTCAGTTCAGCCAAGGCACTAAAAATGAAGGCCAGTGGCCCAGAATTACTCTAAATGGCCTCAGACATTGACTGTCTATTGTCTGTCACTATATTAGTCAGGATTCTTTAGAGAAACAGTACCAATGGGGTATGTATATGTACGTATGCATGTATGTACATATTTATTTTAAGAAATTGGCTCATGTGATTTTATGGGTTACCAAGTCCCAAAATCCATAGTTTCCACAGGCTGGAAGCTGTCAATAGTACCAAATTCTATATATACCATTTTTTTTAACCTATATGTAGATACCTATAATAAAGTTTAAGGTACAACAGCAAAAATAGCAAGAATTTCTTTATCTTTCTTCACAATTTCACAGGTAGAAGATTCATTCTTACCGTAGATCTTAGTCACTTCAGGACTCTTTTTCTTCATTAAGTCGAGAACTTTTACCTTTCACTTACAAGAAATACTTTATGGCCTCTCTCTGACATATCTGAATGGCCAGCATCACTACTCTTACATTTTGGGACCATTATTAATTAAAGTAATGGTTACTTGAACACCTGGAATGCCATACTGCGACAGTCGATCTGATAACCAAGCAGGCTACTCAGGGACTAATGGGTGGATAGTGTAGATAGTGTGTATCCAGGCTACTCAGGGACTAATGGGTGGATAGTGTAGATAGTGTGTATCCAGGCTACTCAGGGACTAATGGGTGGATAGTGTAGATAGTGTGTATCCATTGAACAAAGGGATGATTCATGTTCCAGGCGGGACAAAGGACAGTGTGGGGTTTCATCACGCTACTCAGAATGGCAATTTGAAACTTATGAATAGTTTATTTCTAGAATTTTCTCTTTAATATTTTCTGACTGTAGTTGACCATAGGTAACCGAAACTGCAGGAAACAAAACCATAGGTAAGAAAGACCTGCAGCAACTAATATTACGCCCTAGCTAAGTTGACAATTAAAATTAACTATTAGTGTGCTCCCCACTAGACTATAAACAATTAGAGGGCTGGGCTGTATCCTGTGAGTTTATTTTATTTATCTTTCAAGTTACCAAGCAATAGGTCTGATGTTTGTGGAAGGAATGAATGCTTGAAAATAGGGATGCGGTAGGATGGAAAACAAATGGACCAGATCTTGCTTTATCCATTTCATAACTGTAGTAACCTGGGGCACATTATTCAAGCATGTATCACATAGTATTTATCAGGCACCTTCTATATGCTCAGGAAGGAGAGTGGCACTCGGGATGCAATGGTGAACACAGCAGTTGCAGCTCCCTCCCCTGAGGCTCCCTGTTGGAGGGAGAGACAGGTGATAAACAAGGATTCCAAACTGGATGCACATAATAAAGAAGGGCAAAGCGTGTCAGGAAGGGCTGCCTGAGGAATCGATATTTAAGTTGAGACATACAAAGATGAATTAGGAGTCAGCCAGGTGAAAGAGAAGATTCCTAAGATAGAGGTAGGGAGGGTATCTCAGGCAGAGGAAATATACGTGTGAATGCAAGAGAACAGGGCATTGGAAACCACCACATCGTGGAAAGAGAGTATGAGGGAGGGGCTGAGAGCCTGAGCTGCAGTGGACAGGCAGGCAGGGATCCGGTTAAATCAAAGCCTCACTTTCTGCCCCATAGAGGAGCTGAGAGGCACAGATGATGTAGGCAAAAACATTCTGTGTGTGATAAACCCTCTGCAAATGCCATTAGGGTTTACATTAAACTGAAATGTGTCAAACGCAATATTGCTCTTTCATCCGTGTTTCCTGAACATGAGAAAAGCATCAGCATTTTGATGTGTTTGGTGAAACAAAGCACCAAATATCCCAAAAGGCAAACAATGGCTGCTTGGAGACTGACCCCCAGCATAGGAACCCTTTGCAATTATCCATCCTTGCCTCACTGGAAATATACAGCTTTTATAGCATATTGGTTATTCTTCCCAGGGACCTGAGAGACTAGGTACTTACGGTAAGGTAATATTTAAACACTAACATTTATAAATGCAGCTTTATAATTGCAATACTGCAAATAAGGGAATTTGGATATGTTCCTTGAGAGCTGTCAGTGACAGTTTCCAAGGAACATGACTATCTTGTTCATGCAGTTATAATCCCTTCTGAACATTGACTGAATGGTTACACCTGCCTCCTGCCCTGGGATAAGTACCCGCAAGACTGTTAAAGACAGCTGTGTGCTGGGGTTTGGGGCTGTGTCCCTAAGGCTGCTGTTTGGGAGGATTTCGGGGCTGCTGATCAGTGTGGGGATGTGGTCTTCTCTCTCTTGGTTCTGGGCATGCCAAGTGTGGCTGCATTTAGAACAGCTGTCTTCTTGGCTGCTTTCTTGGGAGCTTCTACCAGGCAACAGCTCTCCAGCTCTGCTCTGACGCAAAGGAAAGGAAAGATTTCTCAATAATGCAGCACTCAGCTGCTCAATTGCTCCCCAGCCATTCCATCACTGTGCGCTTGTATCTGCAGCCCTCTCCCCTCCCAGGGATAGAAGGGAGTTTGGTGAAAAGTAAGATTCATGTTGATGATGCCAGCACTGTATGAAAATGGAGTTGGCAGAGGTTGTGGTTCAATTATTCATTCACTAATTCATTCATTCAACACCTACTTACTGAATGTGTACTACGTGCTCTTTATTTGTTCTAGGTGCTGGGGGTGCTATAAGCAGGAAAAAAGAAAATCACTGCTCTTAAGGGAACTGCATTTTAATGAAGGAGTCAGATAATAAATAAATTAAATAAACAAAAGATATATACTATGTCAGGTAGTGATAAGTACCAAAGAGAAAAGGTAACGTAGGGAAGAGGGATATGAAATGTTGGAGTTGGGAGGGTTGAAAATGTGGATACCTTGGCTAAAGCCACTGAGATAGAAAGAATAGTGGCTCTGCAGAGATATCCACATTCTAATGGTTCGAAATTGTGACTACAGCAGGTTCCATGGCATAGGGAATTACAGCCGCTAATCAACTGCCCTTGAGATCCAGAGAGGAGCCTGAATTGTCCAGGTGGTCCCAATATAATGACAAGGGTACTGTTATCGTTAATTTTTGGTGTCAACTTGACTGGATTAAGGGATACCTAAAATCCTGGTAAAGTGGTATTTCTGGGTATGTCCGAGAGGTTGTTTCCAGAGGAGAATGGTGTGTGAGTTAGTGGACTCAGTGGGGAAGATCTGCTGTCAATGTGAGCAGACACCACACAATCAGCTGGGGGCCCAGATAGAACAAAAAGGCAGAGAAAGGTGAATTCTCTCTCGCTTTTCTGGAGCTGGGACACCCTTCTTCTCCTGCCTTTGGACATCAGAACTTCAGGTTCTCTGGCCTTTGGATTCTAGCACTAGGCAGTGCTCCCCCGACCCCCACCTCTCAGGTTCTCAGACCTTCGGTCTGGGAGTGAGAATTACCCCCTTGGCTTCCCTGGCTCTGTAGCTTTGAGACTTGCCATGAGTCACATTACCAGCTTCCCTGGGGCTGAAGATTGCAGATATCTACTGCAGAACTCCTCAGCCTCTGTCATCACATGAGCCAATGCACCTAATGAATTCTCTCTCATCTATCTGTCTATCATCTATCATCTATATATCCATCCATCCTGTTGGTGAACCCTGACTAACATGGGTATTTATAAGTGGAAGAAGGATTCAGAAGGTAGAATCAGAAAGATGGCAGCATGAGAAGGACTTGGCCTGACATTGTGTCTTTGAAAATAAAAGGGTGCCAGGAGCCAAGGAATGTGTACACCTCTAGAAGCTGGGAAAGACAAGGAAACAGATTCTCCCTGAGAGCCTCCAGAGAGGAATATAATCCTGCCAACACCTTGACTTCAGTGCAATGAGATCTGTCTCAGACTTCTGATCTACCGCAAGATCAATTATGTTGTTCCCAGCCACTAAGTTTGTAGTAATGTGTCTTAGCAGCAATAGAAAACCAATATAAGCATCCAAACGGCAACTTCTAAGTGAAGAACTCTGATATAGTTGCCATATTTAGCAAATAAAACTACAAGATGTCCAGCTAAATCTGAATTTCAGATAATAAACAATAACTTATTAAAGTAATACATTATTAATAACTTATTTATTATTTATCTGTTCTCGAATGTAACTGGGCATCTTGTATTTTATCTGGCACCCCAAATCTCAGAGAAAGTTAGACAGCGAGATATTTGGGGAACACATTCCAGGCAGAGGGACAGCATTTCTGCTGGGGCAGAATTCTCAGGAGCAGAGGGAAGAGCAAGAGTGAAGACTTGAGTTCTTTGAGAAACTTCTAGGAGGGAAGTGCAGCTGGAGTGAAGAGAATGAGGGAAACAGCAGGAGAAGATGAGTTCAGAGAGATTGTGGGGAACTATTAGGTTAGTGCAAAAGTAATTGAGGTTTTTACAATGCGATGCCACCTTACTCCCGGAAGAATGGCCATAATCAAAAAAATAAAAAAAAAATAGATGTTGGCGTGGATGCGGTTGAAAAGGGAACACTTTTACACTGCTGGTGGGAATGTAAACTAGTAAAATCACTATGGAAGACAGTATGGAAATTCCTTAAAGAACTAAAAGTAGAACCACCATTTGATCTAGCAGTCCCATGTACCCAGAGGAAAGTAAGTCATTATATGAAAAAGACACTTGGACACGCATGTTTAGACCAGCACAATTTGCAATTGCGAAAATGTGGAACCAGCCCACATGCCCATCAATCAGAGTGGATAAAGAACTGTGGTATATAGTCAAACCCAAAAAGCAGAAATGGTGACTATATTTAATAATACTATATTGTATACTTTAAATTTACAAGAGGGTAGATCTTAAGTCTTCTTACCTCACACACACAAAATGATTAACTATGTGAGGTAATGAATATGTTAATTATCTTTATTTCAGTAATCATTTCACTATAAATATATCAAAGCATCAAGTTGTGTACTTAAACATATCCAATTTTTGTCATGTATACCTTAATAAAGCTGGGAGGAAAAGTGAAAAAAAAGAAACTGTGGTGTATATATATACATGTAATATATATATATATACACTACTTAGCCATAAAAAAGAATGAGTTAATGGCATTAGCAACAACCTGGATGGGACTGGAGGCTATTATCCTAAGTTAAGTAACTTGGGAATGGAAAACCAAATATTGTATGTTCTCACTCGTAAGTGGGAGCTAAGCTATGAGGATGCAAAGGCATAAGAATGATACAATGGACTTTGGGGACTCAGGGCGAAAGGGAGGGAAGCGGGTGAGAGGTTAAAGACTACAAACTGGGTTCAGTGTATACTGCTTAGGTGTAGGTACACCAAAATCTCACAAATCACCAGTAAAAATTTTACTCATGTAACCAAATACCACCCGTTCTTCAAAAACCTATGGAAATAAAAAATATTTTAAATAAGGTAATTGAGGTTTTTGTCATTAAAGGCAATGGCAAAAACCGCAATCATTTTTGCACCAACCTAATGGATTACAAACATCATAATGAGGATGTTGGCCTTTGGTCTGAGAGAGTTGGCTGACATTGGAGGATTTTGAATAGAGGTAGACCAGTATTTGGGGCCTCCTGAGAATGGAGAGAGGCTGACGGTAAGCAACCTGAGGGCAGGGCCTTCGGCCAGCCTTGCTGAAGAGGCGCACACAAGCTGGGAGGGCAGCAGGCCTTCAAATTGGTAGACTTGTGCAGTGCCACCTGCCACCAGAACCAGTAAGGTATAGAGAAGTGCCTGGTGGGAGAGCAGAAGATGTTAAGAGGAAAAAAGTGATTCATGAGAAGAAATCTGGTTTGTGAGCCAATCGTAAGGGACGTGGGCGAAGAACAGACGTATAGGGGCTTCATGAGGCTGAAGACATTATGTTCAAAGCCCAGTTTCATCATTCTGGAACTCAGCAAGAGAGACACGTGTCATGACACCTGTCTACTCAGTTAGTTCAGAGCAGCAGAGTCTACACCAAGATCCCAAGAAGCCACACACATTTCAATCTTCAACCGTACCTGGATTTTCTTGGAACAGTTGCCAGAAGAGAAAAAATGATGACTATAAAACTCTTTTAGAAGCTTAATAAATCACTACCTCTAATCATTACCAGTACTTGGTGTTTACAGGGTACCAGGCACTGGGCTCAGTGCCTTACCCCCGGCACCATTAACTATACAGATGAGGAAAGGGAAACCAGAGGGAATGAGTAACGGGCCCAAGGATGCAGCTTTTTGGGACTCAATAGATTTGTCCTCCTTGAACTTGGGCCCCAGACCGAATCAATTACCCCCATCTTAGTTTTTATGCCCATGCTTGGGAATGTATCTCTATCATCCTGTGGTATAATGAGCTGAATATGTGTCTGCCTCCCTAATGAGCCTGGGATCCTAGTAGGCAAGCAGAGAAACAAATTAATGTTGAATGAATGAATGAGGCAAACCACTGACAGGCCAGGTTGCAGGTGCAGCAGGGCCCATGTCCCTTCATCCTCAGCAGAAATGGGTCGGAGCTGAGGACCCTGCCTTCTGCCACCACTTCTCCAGTGTCATTTCAATGTGCATCACTTCTAATTTCATTGTGTGTTTTCCCACAGAGAGTATTCAAAACTTTGAGAGGGATCAGAGATTGAAGCTTGTTTTTATTTTTCCTCCACCTATCTGCATTTAATCACATAGGGAGCTTCTCTTCCTTGTCTTCTTCCTCGTGTCCTATCTCATTGTTTCCCTTTCATTCTTCCATGCTTTGAGAGCATCCTTGTCCCCTGGGTCCTTTACGGAAGATCTGTATATGGTGTTTGAAAATCTGTTTCTGTTCTAGCCCGTAAATTGATGCAATATATTGCGGCTTCAGCCTCCACTTTTTTTGGTTTCTGTGTGTGTATGTGTAAAGTTTCATGGTTGACATCTGTCTGATGCTGCCCATTCAGGCATTGAGTCTCTAGATGTGAGAAAGAATGTGTTCTTTATGCCCTCTGGAGCAGTGAGAAGCTTGGGGTGAGCATATTCATTGGAAATGGCTGGTCTAATTGACAGAAATAACCCAGGTGCCTTCCAGTAAGAAAGGCAAGAAAACACAATCACAAGTTCACTCTGGGCCACTACATTTGATGGAGTCTCGGTTTCCCAAATTATTTATAAACCAGCAAGCAGATATCATAAGACTCCTAATATTATAGAACTTTGAAAGTTAGCATACTCCTGGACAGTTTTACAGTAGGGACAGCTGAAGTTCATTGGGTTTAAGAGGGTCTGCCTGACCTCGCACTGCTGCCTTGGTGTCAGCCTTGAAATTGTGGCTGCTCTCCTTGTTCAAGGTCTTGTCCTTTTCACCATGCCATGACACATGGTAACACTTTCCCCTTTTCAAATAGGACATTTGCTTTCAGTTGGGTCTAGTCTCAAACTTCCTTGCTAGCTCTTGGAAAGTTCTTGAAACCCATAACTCTCCTATGACATTCAGGACTTTCTGTTTTCCAATGCTGTTATGTATGGGCAAATATCAGTTTGCCCAGCAGCAGAAAGTAAGCTGCCCAAGGGCACACTGAAAGCAAAGTCTGTCACTATGTCCCTCATGATCTGAGGCAGAACCTACTATCTGAAAAAGGATCTAGTTTATTTCTGATTCAAAATACATATTCCTTTCTTCTGAAAACATAAAATAAGGGTTAACATATACCTCCCTTCTTCTGGAATCTTTTGCACGATACAGGCTTTCTTTGAGGTACAGAACCTTCCCAAAGTGACAGTTTCCCATCTATCCTCACAGAGACTCTCCTGAAGTTTGTTCTTTCTGAAATAGATTCACCTGAGCCAACACACAGCCTCCTAAAATGCCATCTACTATTTTAGGGGGCTGGCACACAACTAGTTACTCTGTTACTCCATCTAGACAGCATCATAGCTCTACGACTTGGGTAATTTTATCCTCATTTTAGAGATAAGCAACCTAAGGCTTACAGAGATTTAAGTGACTCACCATTCATAAATGATCTCATTTTGTCCTCCCAACAAGATTAGGACTTAGAATCCTTATTTTCAGAGACCATCATTGGTGTTTTCTAGAGGGGTTAAGTGCTTTGCCCCAGACCCATAGCTAGAAAGTAGTGGAACCAGGTTTCAGTGTAACTTCTTTTGACCCATACCCAGGAAGGTGCTCAGCAAACAGCAGGTGCTCCATAAACACCTATTGAACAAATGGATGATTCTGCAGCCCAAGTTCTTCCCACTACGCTCTACTATTACAAAACTGTTATCCCTCTGTCTGGTACACAGTTCTGATACCAAGGCTGATTAAACAGCATGTTGCCAAGTCCTCTTTTCTCAGGCCACTTTGGGCTGTCCCAGTTCCTCTGGTACTTCCCTGTCACCCTTGCTCCCAGCAGTATCTTTCAGAAACAGGAAACAACAATTTCTCATTCTACCATCTCTCTTCACAATCATGTGTGAAGGTGAAGAATGACATTTCCTTCCTCTTAATTCCTCCAAAAGGCAAACAACATATTATTCAGGAGTTCTGCATCAAATCCCAACACCTGATACGCCTGATAGGCAAACCATTCACTTTCTCTATTTGTGCAGCCATAGGACCTTATCACTATTGCTGTTCTTCCTTTTGATGATGAAACACATCCTCTATCACTCTTCACCTGTGTCCCTGGCAACTCCCTCAGGTTCACATGGCTTCTCAAACCTTAATTGTCTTGTTCAAGTTCTTGTGGGTCCAAAATAAATCATGGATTTAGAGAAATTATCACTGTGTCATTCATGCTTGAGTGCTGGCATGGCTAAATAGATAGATAGACACCTTCAAACCAGGGATATGGTTTAGGAAAACCTTACAGTTAGAATAAATTTTGTCTAGGAATGTTCTGTCCAAAAGCACCCAAAGTAATATATTTTTTCCAGACATTGTGTAAGGAAATATGCCCACCCATAGTTTTTCCATGGATGCTTTGCAGTTCAAACAGATGGAGGAAGGTAGCAGAGGACCTGAGATGAGGGAACACAGTTTCATTTAAGGATAAAACCCTCTAATAAAAGGCTTTTTCTGAGGTTTCATTCTAGCTTAGCATGATCATTTTGTGTACTAAAAATAAACAGAGATTATGCATAGCTAGGATTTGGGCCGGGGGAGGGAATCAGCCTCTCTCTTCACCCTTCTCTTTCCACTTACTCCCTTTGAGTTTTTTTCTTTTAATTTTAGGTATGCCAAAAAAGTAAGGTTTTCAGGAGTGTAACAATTATGGATTTTAGGCACCACAATGTTTTCTTCGGGTCCACACAAACACACACACATATACCCTTCCATATTTCCTTACCATGGCTAAAGCACAAATGCAGTATTTTTCACAGAACTGATGCTATTTTTAGACTGAATTGTAGGAAGTCTGCAGCATTAATAAATAGACAAGAAGCACAGAGCCATTGCGCATGGTGATATGCCAATGCAAAAGCTAGCTTGGCCTTTAACCAATGAACTGTGGTTAGATGTTGCAACAACAAAAGTAAAAGCACCGCTTACAAAGGAATGATTAATAAGCTGACAAACTTCAGGCATTTATTTCCTATTCTTTCGTGCCAGCTATATTAACACTAGCATATTTTCAACTTTATTAGTAAAGTCTTAGAGTCTGGTACTCTTAGGTGTGGTCACGAAGAGCTTCTTAAATCAGCTGCAAATTATTTGGAGAGGTAAATACTTGATAAATGTTGCTTTTTTCCCCCATTACCCTAATAGACCATGTCTGTTTATTTGTCTCCATGACACCTTGCTCCGAATAATAACCATTATGGTTCCCCAAACCCAATGCTGCAGGAAATCATCTACTGTGGTATTAGCATCTTGTGGTAACTGATCCATGCCCCTTGTTGTGGGACTTCTTCGGTCATATTTGCTTCAAGGAATTTCTATCCCTCCCTGTGGCAAATGTTCTCTGTGTGCCAGTCTGACATTCCTAGCATAGGAACCACTTTCTAGAAAGGGAGCCAGTCAACAGACTCCAATATCCTGTCTATAATAAACTCAACATCTCAATCAGCTGAAAAGATGGAGTAAAATGAGGAGTTAGGGGATGGAATTAGTGTGACCAACTTGCTTCAGTTTGCTTGGGACTGTCCCAGATTTTAAAACTAGAAGTTCCAGATCCCAGGAAACCTCTCAGTCCCATTCAGTGGGTTGGCTTGTTACCCTAGATGGAAGAGTCACTGGCCTGAGCCTGAAGGAAACTAGGAAGGGACTTGGCTTTAGAGACAGACCCAGGTTCAAATCCCAGCCAGGTCCTACCAGCTGTGTGACTCTCCTCAAGCCTCGGTGCTATCAACATGTGATTAACCTCTAGTCTGAGGTTAAGGATCCCACTTCTAAAGTTAAAAAACCATTCATGTCTGCAAAAATGGAAATAATAATAGCTACCTCATGGATCTGAGGATACAAAGCAAAATCACATCTGCAAGTATCTACACATACAAGAAATCGCAAACTTCAGAGCCCTGGTTGCTGAGTTCCAAAGTGGATTAAGATGGACTTAAGTGGGTCCTAAAAAAGCAATGACAAATGACACAATGAAATTGTATCCTGGATGGTGTGTCCCTGCATTTGACTCTGAACATGGTTTTATTTTTGTCTATAAAGCTGAGACTTCTCTCAAGAAAGCAAGACTGTGACAGAGAAGGGCAGCTCCTTCACCATATCCCTAACGTTACCAGACACCTTGTCTGAGGGACGTCACCCTGGCTGAACAAATGGTTGCTTATGTAAAAGACCTGCCCTCCAGTAAAATTCCATTTTGGGGTTGCATAAAAACAACAATTCCTGGAAAGGTGAAATTTTTAATTAAATGTATTCAAAGGGAATACAGATTAATGCCTCTAAGCAAGAGAGTATTTAATGCTTCCAGGCCAGTTCATGCCTACCGAAGTAAAAATCTTCATGCCAGTGAGGCTTTTAAGTATTGATATTTCCTGCATTAATAATACTCTAAACCACATTCATAATAATATAATTAGCAATACAATTCATACCATACAGCATGTGAGGACTCTGCATTAATTACAGCAGCATAGCCTTTGTGTGGAATGCCACGATCTGATTTTAGCTCTCAAGGTAAATGATCATAAACTTGGGGGGCAGGGGTGTCCAGCAGAATGATGCACCATGCACAACTCACGTTCCTCTGATGATCACAAAATAACAACAAATATTCTGTGCACAGTGCCTGCAGGGAGGAAACCCATTTTAAAGTCCAAGCTTGAGTGAATTTGGCTGTGCTTCCAAATTTTGTATGTAGCAAAATGTGATTAATATCCTCGATGTTCTCATTTTATCTCAGCCTCCATCCTAAACCCATGGAGTATCATGATACTTTTATGTTGATGAACAAGATGGCTTAGTAGGGGTTTTAGAAACGAACTTTTACCCCAATGGGACTTGCCTCATAATTTCCATTCCCCTCCTAAACACCCCGAGCTGGCCTTGCAGGAATTCTCGTCTCCAGCACTGGGGTAAGGGAAGCGCGTGTTTTATCATTGATGATTTTGCTAAAGGCTTATGCTAGTTCTGAGTAATGAAAAAATGTATTGGAACACATAGCTGTGCTAATTTATATTTCTCAAGTAGCTTAAAAGGGCTTCTGCTTTTTCCGTATCTTTACAAACACTATGTATTATCATTTAAAAAAATAGCTTTGCCCATGTGGTAGACAAAAAGTGACATGAAATTGTTATTTTCACTTTCTAAGATGAATTAGAAGAGCAAAGCTCAGTTGAGATGCCAAGAAAGAAGAGGATATCCGACTCAGAAGTATTAGGACAGATTCAGATGAACTTCTGTAGGGTCTCCCTTGCTATCCATCTATCTGGACGCTACACTTTTTCCATCATAAAGACCTTCACAAAGCCCTCATGTACCCTGAGGTCTCTCAGCTCAGGACATCACATCAGCATGGCCACCCCATCCTAGTGTCCAGACCCAAACTACATACTAAGAAGTGTAATAAAGCCAGAAATGTAATTATGACACATCAGGGGATGAGTTTTGTGCCAGTCTCAACTCTCCCCAAAGTGATACACAGCTGTCATTTTTGACAGGTTGAAAGAAAGTAAGAAGTTCTCCAGCCTAGCAGGCTTTTCCATGCATCTGGAGCAAGGGGCTTCGGGTCAGCTGCTGTGATTGCGTGAGAGAAGGACTGAAGTAATTGCTAGTTCTCGAAAGAAAACCATTTGGATGACCGTGGAAGGGGAGCTAACCACTCTCACAGGCAGGAGAGACCCTCATCTAACATGATACAATATAAAAGGCACAGATGCGATTTAGGGGTAGGAAGACATGCGTAATGGTCCTGCCACCCCTTCTCATCACTGTGCTGCCACTGTACCCTCCGTTTCCTTTAATAGAGCCTTTGGTGCCTGATTGTTTCTTGGGTTCTTCAATATGGCGAGGACCTCAAGCTTTCCTTATAGTCATTCATTTATTCATCCAACAAATATGTTTTGAGTGTCCACATTCTGTGTGCCAGGTTCTATGTCAGATACAATAAACAAAGCAGACATAGTCCCTTCCTTCAAGCCTGGGTGATTTTCACTCTTATGGGGGAAGAACACGGGCTGCGGAATACACCAAGGAAGAATACTCAATCCAGACTAGGGTGGGAGGGCTGTGTTGGCAAAGCCTTCCTGGGAGAAAAACATATCAGAACTGGGACCAGATGGTTTAGTTAGTGACTCTAGTAAATGCTGGACAATAATAGTAAACAATAGTAGTAGCACTTACTGAATGCTTTCATTATGCTAAGCCCTATACTGGGCAATTCCACAGAGCATCTCCTCTATGAAGCAGGTTTTATTATTATCACCATATGTAAACAAAGATACCGATGTGTAGAAAGCTTAGATGCTTTTTCTATGGTCCCAAGTAAGAAGCAACAGAACTGGGAGTTGAACTTGTGTAAAAGGAATAATAAAAAACGTGCATTTCTAACCACTGCACTGTGCTGCTATCCTTTGTGACTTGGGAAAGATCCTTGCAAATAAGCCTCAAGGTGTTATTTGCCAAAGTAGATGAAGCTGCATAGCACAAAAACCCAATCCCAACTATGCTTACTTTGTAAGAAAGCTGGACGGAGCACTAGGCCACAAACGGTAAGGGGAATGCATTTGCCCCTACAGGATGGTCGGCCCTCTCCCCAGTCACTAACTTTGTTTTCTATACTGGACCAGGAGAAGAACAGCCCATATGAAGGATGCCCATGTAGCTCATTTGTGTAGGAGCAGATAGCAAGCGTCAGCCTTTTATCTCCCTGGCTGGGTGTGACTGTGGTGATAGAGCTGCCTTGGGAAGATGAGTAGCTAGGAAAGAGGTTCTCAAATCACTCCTGCTTTATCGTAAATGTCTGAGGGCTGTGGCTTTCCAAATTGATTGTGGTCCACCCCAGCCAAGTCACCTTCCTACACCTCGCTGAGTGCTCCAGCATGCTGTGCTGCTGGTCAGATGTCCAGAAGGCCTCTGCTACTGTCCAGAGAAGTTGGTGCCTCCATTGGAAGTTGATGATTTTCCTTCAGGGGAAACAGACAAAGGACCTGGCAGCTGGGTGAGAAAAGGAGCCAGCATGTGATGAACAGGCATTGTGTTAACTCAAATTGTACTATGGAATGAGCACATTTTTTTCTCACTCAACAGGAAGTCATCCCAGGGTAGAGGGAATCCCAGTTCTGCCACCGTTGGGAATCACATGACTCAGGTGGGTCAGGGGATGGAGAATGGCTCAAGCAGGGAGTGTCAGGGCTGCTGAACACCTTCCCAAAGATTGTGCAGGGCTGGGAGGAAGGCCTAGAAGGATGAGCACAGGTTAGGAGTCAAACAAGTGGGTGTTAATCCCATTTCTCTATTTTTGACTGTGTGGCCTTAGGCCAGTTACTCAGTCTCTGTGTTCAAAAATAAAGCCCATTTTAGGGCTGCTCTAAAAATGAAACAGGATGATGTAAATGAAGTGCTGGGCCCACTCCAGTGCTGGTGCTTTGTCAATCATAATGTTACTCATATTCCTAAACTCATATTTCGGTATTGCCTTTTTGAGGTTTTTACAGTTTACGTTTTTATGATTGGTATAAGCCTGTGTGTGTGGCTGAGTGTCTAGGTTTCTTTTGTGAAAGAGGGACTTCCTTTCTTTTTAGAGTTTTCCTTACTCATGTGGTGAGACTGTTGCAAGAACTAAGGCTCTTAGAAACACCAAGACTTCTAAAACCCTTTTATTCTTTGTGACAAAGCAAGCAAACTATGGGAGAGTTTGACAGGGAGAAGGAAAACACAATGTAGTTTTTACTAAGAAACCAATGATTTCCTTTATTCTCCCTTCTTCTAGAAGGAAATGTGAAGGTTTCCTTAGTTTCTTCCTTCTGGGTGAAAACCCAAGTACAGATCTACTGCTCTCTTGGAAAGAATAATTCAGGAAAAAACAAAGTATGTGTGAAACATATTTAAAACAAAAGCACTTGTAAAATCCTTAACAGTCTCATGAGTTCTCTCCATTCTTCTCTTCTTTACAGAGGAGACCTTTGTTTTGGAAAGAGAACCCAGTGGGGCATTGGGAACTAGGTACAGCACGATGTCTGAAGTCAATGCTTGCCTATCTTCTACAGTTATCTGTGGGCACAAATTACAACAGCTTACAAAGAACTTCATGGAGGGCAATTTAGTGCTCCTAATGTCCTGCTGACAATCCTGAGAGGAGGGTCAATGAGGGATCCTCTACTTCCTTTTAGAGGCATTGAAACTGAGGTGTAGAACTTATGTGCAATACCCCTGCTCCCCAGCTGGTCAATACTGGAGCAGCACTAGATCTGGTTCCTCTGCTGTCTGTCCTTAACTGCCACTGGTTTCTCAAGCTCCGGTTCCGCTTAGATGCCTAAGGTATCTAAGGTATAGGTATAAGACAGGGCACTGGCAAGAAGGTCTGCTTATTACTTACAGGAGTTGCCTCCCAGGGAAAGAAAGTGAGCCAAACTGTCAAGGGTGTTTTACATTTATATTGTACTGCTTTATCCCTTTTGGCATCAGAGCTTAAGCCAAGGTACTTGGGCATGGCTGATCTGGCATTCAGGTGCCTGAGGAGGCTGGCTTGTCAAAGTGGCTCTCAGAGTGCCCAGTGTTTGAGTCACACCCAACCCATGGACTGTTTGGCTCATGTCCTGGGACTTCTTGCCTCCCCTCTTAAAGCAGCAAAAGACAAAAGTGTAATCACTCTCCAGTGAGCCTGGACCAAAGGCCCAGAGCAGAACAACAAGCCCTGTTTTGCTTCCTCCTGGCATTAAGAATCAAGACTGACTTTGTGCGCTGTGCTGCTGAGTGTGGTGTGTGACCTGTGAAATGAAAAATCCCTGCTCTGTGCCCAGAGGCTTCCAATCCTGCTGCCCAGGCTGTTTTCTTTTTATACCTGCTGGAAAGGAATCAGAAAAGTCCAACAAGCAAAAAAACAAAAACAAAAACAAAACAAAACAAAACACAATGACCAAGATTCAGCAGAAGCTAGGAAGTGTTCTTAAGACGTTTCTACAGCTTTTCCCCTTCCCACCATGCTTGTCTTGGTTCATCAGTTCTGATGTTTATTTCACTTGCTTGCTGAGCACCTGCTAGAGGCCACCTACAGCAGCTAGAGGACAAGTTTTAGAGTCAGTCAGTATAAACTAGCTGTGTGAACTTGAGCAGATAATCTTCCCCCAAAGTCTTAGTTAGTTAGCTTATTTGTTAAGTAATACCATCATAAGACTGAGTCAATTGATCAGTCACTCATTCATTCATTTATTCCTTCATTCACCAAATATTTGTTGAGCCTCTACTATGTGTTTGGCACTATTATTAAGTAGTCTGCATGTATTTTTAATTTAATCATCATGACAACCCCAAGTAAGTACCTTTTGCTTTCCTCATGTTACAGATGAGGAAACCGTGGCAAAAACAGATGAAATAAGTCATCTGAAGCCATACAACCAGTAAGTGTTTGATTTGGGTTTGGAATTAATGCATCCTCAAGTCCTGATCCTGTACTACTGAACCAAAAGTAAGACTCAGTCCCCAATCTTAAGATGCTTGTAAGCTAATCAGGGAGACAGATGTGTGAATGGTTAAGTGATATGTAGGCAAAGTTTCACACAAGAGATATGTATGTAGGGAGGTACCCAAGCTGTCCTACAATTGGGGATCAAGGAAAACCTTTACAGATTGAGTAATCTTGGGTTAGACTTTGGGAGACACATAGGTACTTTCTGGGATTAAGCTTTGGGAGACAGGTGGGTATTATCTGGGTAAAGAGAGGAGAAAAGGAGAGAAAAGGCATTATAAGCAGAGGGAGAAGGATGTAAAAAGGTACAGGAAAGATCAGGCATGTTTGGGAAATCATCAAAAATTCAGCAAGTTTGGAGTTCATGGTACTTCAAGGAAAAAGGAGAGACATGGAACTAGAAGGATAAGCAGGGACTTTACTTCCCTCTGGTCACATACACAGACAAGGGCAGTTTCTGCCCCTTTCACTTAGGTGACCATGGTGATGATAGTGGTGATAATGATACTAGAATAGATTTTCACCACACCTAGCAGCTTATGAAACACATCCGCATACACCAGGGCAAATTGCTTGATCCCATGAAGCAGGCAAGGCACACAAAAATAGTTTAGCTTCCAAGTGATTACATAAACTTGTGCCAAATTTATTCAGTTACTCCCCCAAAAGAGGTCAAACAATGGTCTTTTCATCTAGAGTCCAAAACTCCACTGCTATTTCTCTTATCTAGTAAGACAAAATTAATCAAATTCACTGAAAGTCCACCACTACTGTGGCAGAAGTGGTGTTCACCAAATATCCATGTGTTCCCCTACATTTCCAAGCCATCCTTGCAATAAAGTTGGGGTCATGTGACTAATTCTGGACAAGGGGTGTATTAGTCCATTCTCACATTGCTATAAAGGACTACCTGAGACTGGGTAATTTATGAAGAAAAGAGGTTTAATTGATTAACAGTTCTTCAGGCTTAACAGGAAGCATGACTAGGAGGCCTCAGGAAACTTATAATCATGGCAGAAGGCGAAGGGGAAGCAAGCATATCTTATGATGGCAGAGCAGGAGTGGTGGGGGAGATGGTGCCATACACTTTTAAACAATCAGATCTCATGAGAACTCACTCACTGCCAGGAGAACAGCAAGGGGGAAATATGCCTCCATGATCCAGTCACCTTCCACCAGGCCCCTCCTCCAAATCAACATGAGATTTGGGTGGGGACACAAATCCAAACCATATCAGTGGGCTTGGGAGTGGACATGAAGTGCCAGGTTAGGGTGAAGCCTAACTGCTTTACCCTGATACTGCAACCTTGGACATCATTTTGCCATACGGTGTAGTTTCAAGATGAAAGAGGGTGGCCAACCTAAGCCTGACTTTACAAAGCAAAAATGTGTTTATTAAATTAAGCCAATGGAAATTTGCGGTCTTATCTTTACTCCAGCATCCTAACTACTATAGTTCTCAAAAGGTTGGCATTTTTTCTACCTGTCTTTGTATTTTATTTCCCAACAACTGTCCCTTTCCAATTCATTTGTAAGCCTCATTGGACCACTTAGAGTCGCTGGCTATGTCCTTTGAGAATCATTTATTGAACATCTCTTCCTCTCCTACTTGATTGCAAGTTCCTCTAGGGCAGAGCTGTGACAATCATTTTGAAAAATTATTTTCAGGAAGAGTCTGGCACAAAAGAAATATGCATAACTGGATTTTATTTTTTAAAAATCTATAAAAAATGACCATTTTGCTTGGGATACTTTGAGGACCCCAAGTCAGGTTTATTAATTTTAGAAATGATATCATTTCATGTCAGATGATTCTCTGACTTGGGCTTTCAGTCTTTGACAACTTTTTTATCTTTATCCCAAATTAAGAAAATGCAAAATTTACAGAGAAGCATCTTATCTGTGTTCAACAAGAGTTCTTCACTTTCTGTGAAATGCTGGATAAGCTATAGAATGAAAAATAGTGATGTCTACCAAATTAGTAGTATAAGGATTGATTACATAATGATTACCTGTTAAACTTTAACATTGTGCTTATTGTATAATAGAACTTGAGTGTTTTCAGAGTTATGTGGGGGCATGGAGCAGGTGAAATCCAGGTGATCACCATGTGAAATGGTTTGGATATATGTCCCCACCAAATCTCATGTTTAATTATAATCCCCAGTACTGGAGGTGGGGTGTGGTGGGAGGTGACTGAATCATGGGGGTGGGTTTCTTATGAATGGTTTAGTGCCATCCACTTGGTGCTGTCCATAGTGAGTTTTTATGAGATCTGGTTGTTGTAAAGTGTAAAGTGTGGCACCCTCCCTGCCTCCTTGCTCCTGCATTCTCCATGTGATGTTCCTGTTCTAGCTTCACCTTTTGCCACGAGTAAGAGCTCCCTGAGGCCTCCTCAGAAGCCAAGCAGATGCCAACACTATGTTTTCTCTACAGCCTGCAGAACCATGAGCTGATTGGACCTCTTTTCTTCGTAAATTACCCAGTGTCAGGTATTTCTTAATAGCGATGCAAGAATGGCCTAATAAACCATGATTGGGGTTCCTGAATCTGTGGATGACAGTCAAGTCTGTGTCTCCCTGCCTGGGGCATCCCAGGTAAGGGCTGAGCAGCATCAAGAAAATCTGTGCAACATTTGCAACTCATAACATACCACTTATCACTTCACCCCTCAGACTCACAAGAACACATAATAGAACCAATGCAAGAGAAGGATGCCACAAGGATGACCTTAAATCTCACCTCATCTATCACATAAAACATAAATGACAAAGTTTGGTAATTTGGCTACCATGCATGACAGCACTCACAACTGATGGGGTGATGCATAGGAGTTGAGAATTGCTGCTCTGGGGAATGTGTGGGGAGTCTCTATTGAAAAGGTTTTTTTTCTAGAGGAATGAAAATGCACCTAGTTAGGTTTGCTGTACATGGTTTTTTCCCAACTATTTTATGCCTCCTTCTTTTTTTACTTCCTAGAGAAATTTCTGGCAAGAACTTCTGGCAGTCTCCTGTTTCCCAGATGCCCGGCTCCTCACTGACGTGCACATAACAGCAAATCTATAACAATCCTCCTTCCAATTACATCAGGTGGTGGGGGGGGGGGCGCGAGCAGGAGGGCATAAGAAGGTCAGTACCCTAGAAGGCAGCCTCATTTACTCATCCACTAAGAAAATAATGACTGAACACCTACCAGGTTCCAGGCACTTGGGAAAAGGCAGTGAGCAAGACTGATGAAGGCCCCAGCCCGCAAAGCCTCATATTCAAAAGCTGGGACAGAGATGAGAGAAAAGTAAAGAAATAAACAAGACATCCTGGATGGCGATAAATGCCATGAAGATAATAAAACAGGGTTATGTGATAGAAAATGGCCAGAAATGAGGATAGCAGGTTTGATGGAGGTCTTTTCAAGAGGACATGCAATCAGGACCCAATCATGCAATGATGTGTGGGAAGAACCTTCCCATAGGCCGGAGGGAGGGATGGGCTTGGTTTATGTGACAAAGGCTAAGTGGCTGTAGCAGAGAGAACTAAGGGAAGAGAAGCAGAGGCTAGATGATGGTGAGCCTTATAATCGATTCAAAGACATTCCAAGTAAGTGCAAAAGGAGGCCATCAGAGGGGCCCTTGTGGACATTGCAATACAATGTTGAAGTCCAAAAACAATAGTCTATTCATTGACCTACCCTTATTTCCTAAACTCTAAATAATGCTCAATAATTTTTTTTTAACCAATTTACAAATGGTTTTTTTACTTGTGCCTTCGTTTTGTTTTTGTTTTTTGTTTTGTTTTGTTGTTATACTTCTAGCGTACAATGTGCAGGTTTGTTACATACGTATACATGTGCCATGTTGGTGTGCTGCACCCATTAACTCATGATTTATATTAGGTATATCTCCTAATGCTATCCCTCCCCCCTCCCCCCACCCCACCATAGGCCCCAGTATGTGATGTTCCCCACCCTGTGTCCAAGTGTTCTTATTTTCACTTCCCACCTGTGAGTGAGAACATGCGGTATTTGGTTTTCTGCCCTTGTGATAGTTTGCTCAGAATGATGGTTTCCAGCTTCATCCATGTCCCTACAAAGGACATGAATTCATCCTTTTTATGGCTGCATAGTATTCCATGGTGTATATGTGCCACATTTCCTTAATCCAGTCTATCATTGATGGACATTTGGGTTGGTTCCCAGTCTTTGCTATTGTGAATAGTGCCGCAATAAACATACTTGTGCATGTGTCTTTATAGCAGCATGATTTATAATCCTTTGGGTATATACCCAGTAATGGGATGGTTGGGTCAAATGGTATTTCTAGTTCTAGATCCTTGAGGAATTGCCACACTGTCTTCCACAATGGTTGAACTAGTTTACAGTCCCACCAACAGTGTAAAAGTGTTCCTATTTCTCCACATCCTCTCCAGCACCTGTTGTTTCCTGACTTTTTAACGATCGCCATTCTAACTGATGTGAGATGGTATCTCATTGTGGTTTTGATTTGCATTTCTCTGATGGCCAGTGATGATGAGCATTTTTTCATGTGTTTTTTGGCTGCATAAATGTCTTCTTTTGAGAAGTGTCTGTTCATATCCTTGTAGAAAAATTAATTCAAGATGGATTAAAGACTTAAATGTTAGACCTAAAACCATAAAAACCCTAGAAGAAAACCTAGGCAATACCATTCAGGACACAGGCATGGGCAAGGACTTCATGAGTAAAACACCAAAAGCAATGGCAACAAAAGCCAAAATTGACAAATGGATATAATTAAACTAAAGAGCTTCTGCACAGCAAAAGAAACTACCATCAGAGTGAACAGGCAACCTACAGAATGGGAGAAAATTTTTACAATCTACCCACCTGACAAAGGGCTAATATCCAGAATCTACAAAGAACTTAAACAAATTTACAAGAAAAAAATCAAATAATTGTTTTTTTCTCCCTCTCTCTTTTTTTCTTTCCTAATAATTACTCCATACCCAGTCTATTGCAGGTACTGTGCTAGACTTTGGAGACATGGCAACACACAAAAATTAAATTCCTGCTTTTATGTGGAGACAAACAATAAACAAACACATGTAGAATGTGTTTGGAAATGTTACACTTTATGAAGGAAAAACAGAGGATCATAAGCAGTGTCATGCATGTGTGTAGGCACAGTCTGGCTATTTTTGGTAGAAGGTCTTTGAGGAGCAATTGGAGAAAAGACGGGAGAGGAGAGAACCCTATGAACCCTGTGAACAACCAGGGGAAAAGCAGCCGAGGATGTGGGGACTGCAAGTCCGAAGCCAGCGGCAGGGAGCATGCTTGGTGTGTCTGAGAAAGAGCAGCTGGCTTGGGGGAGTGATGGAGACATGGGGGTGGCTGACGGTGACCAGGCCAAGTGGGCTTCATGGGTTTAGGGGAGGAGTTTGGATTTCACTGTGAGATGACAAAACCCTGGAGTTGTTGGCAGAGGTGCTAGAACATTATTCCATTTAAGCATAAAAGGCTCAATCTGCCTGCTTCACCCAGTGGTGGAGAACAACTGAGTGGAAACAGCTGGAGGAGCCATGTTCCTGGGAGAAGGGGAGAGGTTTTGGATCCGGAGCATGGTGTGAAGATGAACCAGCAGGATTTCCCAACAGGGTAGATGGGGCTGGGAGATAAGAGGGAGTGAGGGAAAACACCAGCGACATTGGCCTGAGAGTGTGCAGGAAAAGCCAGTTTGGGAAACCTTGGAGGAACCAGTTTAGTTCTGACCAAGATGAATTTGACATGTCTGTTAGACTTCCAAGTGAAAACATTGAAGAGGCAGTTGGTTGTATCAGGCTTGACTTTACAGGAGAAGTGGAGGCTGGGAATATATTAATAAATGAAGGAGTTGTCAGCTTAGAGATTGTATTAAAATGCATAGGACTCAATGAGATATTCTAGGAAACAGGTATGAAAAGAGATAAGAAGAAATGTGTGCGCCGAATCCTGAGGCAAGAGATGGAGAGAGAACAGCGAGTGAGGATAGGGAGGAGAACCAAGACAGCATGATGCCCATACACGAAGGGAAGAAGTATTTCATGGAGAAACACCAGCTGTAGCAAAGAAAAGGAAGTTTGGATCTGCCTGCTCTCCTTCCTCCCTCCCTCCCGCTCCTTTTCTCCCTCTCTCCCTCCCTGCTTCCTTCCTCCTTACTTCCCTCCCTCCCTCTTTTCTTCCCTCCCTTCCTTCTGTTTTTTCCCCCCTCCCTCCCTTCCTTCTGTCTTTCAGTTTCCCGTTAGTCTGAGATCCTGCAGGATAGATATTTCTGGTGCTCTTCACAGAATGAAGGGCCTTGGGTTTCCTCCTGATACCCCACGATGCATGCAAAGACATAGCAGATAAAGAGATAATCATAATCTAACCGCAAAATGCATCCCTTGCACTCTGTTATTATATTAACAGCGCTGCTGGTACTTTCCTTCTAACTTTTACCCGTGGAGAATTGAAAAGACACTTGGAGTGAAGGTTCAGAATCTTCAAAACGTGTACACCATCAGCATAAATGTCTCATTCTGGATAAATCCGCTTCAATTATATATTTAACTCAGCTGAGAGCTCCCCAAAGAAGGGTTATTCTGTATTCACCAGCAAAGTATTTTTGATACCCTCATGGGGACAATGATTTGCCAAAAATTCATGCAACTTTTTTTATATTAATGCAGGAAAACTTGAAGATTATTAAGTCCATGCTTCTGACAGCCCCTGCAGTTACAAATAAAATAGCTAATGAGAAGAAAAACTGCCCCTACCGGCTTATTCCCAAAGCCCCAGCCATCTTTACGCAAGAATGCTGTGACAAATGGTACTTTTCACATTTCTAACATGCCCCTTCTCCGATTATAGATGTAGATGGATAACATGACCACAAGAGTTAGGCCCCGAAGCAGATGATTGCCTCTGGCACCCGCCGTATGCAATTCGAGGTGAAATTTCCAAGAGCCAAATGAAATAATTGCAACAGGGTAAGTCTAACTCTGCCAGTGGATTTATAAAAATTAAAAGGTCTGAGAGGTAATGCTCATGAACCCATTTGTCTCATTTTTCCTCATTAAGATTTAATTGAAATGAACTCTGGTAACTGTAAGAAAAGTTACATTCTTATTTCAGGCTAGCATTTTTTAAGCACCATACTCTCCTTGGGATCAGTTTGATGCACTGCTATTTCACCATTGATATTAGTGCAAACATACTAGTGAAATAAAAAAGAAAGGCCATTTAATCCTATCAAAAGATAGCCATTTTGCATTTAAGAAGCACAGGTATCTACGTTTGAAGGCGCAATTAAAACAACTTCTGGACGAATTCTAAAATGTGAATTGGCCCCCTACCACGTAAAACTAATTTAAAGGAAATGGAAAGTCAAAATGTTGTCATTTAAAATAATTACCATATATAGATAGATATAGTCCCTCACTTACCTGCCACTTCAACATATTGTATGTAAGAAATTAATGTGAAGTGCACTTTTATGTAAGCATCAGAGAATCTGGAAACATAAAAGTATGACAGCGGTCTTCATTTGGGTTTTTCGAGGCTGCTATTGTGCATACTGCCACTTACAGCTTGCACATGGTATGACAGCACTGGCCACCAGGGTCTTCAGCTCCTTGCCACCCCCTTCCCATCCACACTGCCAAGGTGAAAAAATGGTTCTTGCCAAAGTCACTAAAAGCCCTCTCTTTGCCCACCACTGTGTATGTTCCACACTTCTCAGTGGTATTTAACCTTGCTGTCCATGTCATCCTTTTCATATATAAAACTCCTTCTTGGGTTTCTAGCTCTCTCTTCTCCTGGCGACCTCCTTCAGCTTCTGATAGCTGCTTATTGGCCTCCTCCCAGGGTTCTTTAGCTGTCTCTCCCCCAGTGTTGGTCTTGCCCCACTCTTCTGCTCTAGGTCGACTTGCCTCTTCACTCAAGACCTTCTCAGGACAAACTTGTCCATTGTGGTGGGTTGAATAATGTCCTCCCAAAAGATACACCCAAGTCCTAACTCTGGAAACTGTGAGTGAACACTATTTGAAAATAAGGCCTTTGCAGATATAATTAAGGTAGGGATCTCTAGATGATATAATACTGGATTTAGGATGGACCTTCAATCCAATGACAGATGCTCTTATAAGAAGGGGAGAGGACAAAGAGAGACACAGAGGAGAGACAGCCGTGTGAAGAGACCCGAGGCAGAAATTGGAGTTAGGCTCGCACAAGTTCAGGAGTGCCCTCAGTCATTCTGGAATGACTGGAAAACAGCAAGTTAAGAGGATTTCTTAGACCTTCAGAGGGAGCGCAGCCATTGTGACACCTTGACTTGGGACTTTTGGCCTCCAGAACTTTGCAAGGATACGTTTCTGTTGATTTAAACCATGAGGTGTGGTAATTTGTTACAGTGGCTGTAGGAAATGGATATATTCACCCAAATGAGACCTCCACTCCTACCTTTAAGCCCAAAGACTCCCAATTTTAGAGCTTCAGCCAGTATCTTGCTCCTGAGTTTCAGATGCTTGGTATCTTGACTGGGATGTCTTACAGACAGCTCCTTCTCAAGACACACATCCAGCCTAGGGCTCCTGCCTGCTCCTTATTGATTCAGCTGCCAATGCTGCAGACTGGGGATTCATACCACTACTCAAGAACTACTTACACAACCAACCTAGACCCTAATTATAGAGGCAGCAGTGGGAGGGAGGGGCCCAGCACCCAGACTCTGAAGCCTAGATGTTTGGACTTGAATCTTCATTTAGGCTTAACTTATTATTTGAACTTGGGCCAGTTTTCTGTCTTGTTACCTCAGTTTTCTCATCTGTAATACAGGCCAATAATAATACTCACAAAGGGCTGAGAATACTGCTTGGCACATAGAAAGTGTGTTTTCTTTATTTTTAAATAAATTTAAAAATTTACAAACATTCATTTGGAACTCTCCTGGTTCTTTTTTTTTGTTTGTTTTTTGTTTTTTTTTCCAGACAGAGTCTTGCTCTGTCACTCAGGCTGGAGTGCAGTGGCGTCATCTTGGCTCACTGCAACCTCTGCCTCCCAGGTTCAAGGGATTCTCCTGCCTCGGCCTCCCAAAGTGCTGGGATTACAGGTGTGAGCCACTGTGCCTGGCCTCAACTTTCCTGGTTCTTGACCCCCAACTCAAGGTTAGCGAGTCCTTGTCCTCATCTGGGGATAAAGACACAGGCATGGAGCAGGTGGCTCTGAAGAGTATCTCTGTGCCCATCTGTGCAGTACCTTAGGAGCCCATGTTCCATAGTTCACCCTTTGACTCTGATGAGGCTGCTTTCCTCCAGGTAGTCCCATAATAAGATTCGCCCAAGGCTTCTGATCCCAAATCTTTCCTTCATCTGCAATGCTCTTCCTCTTTCCACTCATTCTTTCTCCTCCTCCCACCTTTCTCCTCAAGTTGGACTTAGCTTTGATACAGCCTCTTCCAGACACTCTCCACTGCCCTGCAAGCTGAAGGGTAATGATCTGTTTATTATCTGCCTCTTCTATTAGATTGTCAGCTCTTCCAAAGCAGAAATTATGTTTTATTCCTATATGTACCTTGAAGACTTGGAATGCAGCCTGCATAAAGTAGGGGTGCAGGGAATCTTTGTGAAATAAATAACCATTTGTTTACCAGTTTCTGCATCCCTCTGGGTGATGAATGACAGGGTAAGCCGGAAAAAGAATCTGGCTACCAAATTATAGTCCTAAAGTTCTCCATTTTAACAATTAGCTGAAAGCCTTTTGGGAAATGTAATAGTCACTCACTATTTATATTCCAACAAAGCACAACACCCTACAGTCTGCTGACTGATTATATGCAGAACACATTTCACAAGGAAAACAGCAAAGTGTGCTAGTGGCAGAGATGTGATCTTAGGGAGGTAAAGGAGAAGGAATAGGATTTCTAGAAGATTAAGAGCATAGAACAAGACCCCAAGACCTATGCCTGGAAGCAAATGAAAATATAGAAGCATGGCGTCTTATATGATTAGGAGGTATTGGAGTACAAAGAAAGATTTTATGCGTTCTGAAACCTGTAGGTCAGTTATGACCTAGAATTATTGAAGGAATCTGGTGTAGGCCATTCTCCTGTTCAGAGCTTTTTCTAGATATCATAGAGCTAACAAGTACACAATTTCTAAGAGACTCTTGCAACCTTAGTGCTGTTTCAAAGTTTTTCCTGGTTTCATCTGAATGCCCAGCACACAGCTTTTAGGAGCACTCAGTGGTTTAGTGTTGATGACAGGTTGACAGAGAAAACCAAGTGTCTTCCATATAGGAGACAGTTAACATGGGAAGTTATAACTGCATTAGGGGTCTACTCTTAACAAGACCAACTTCACTGCTCTGGTTAGCAATTTTCTGAGGAATGAGTAGGAAAATAGGAAGAGACTCAATCTCTCCTTTCAAGCCCCACATTCAGTCTATCAGCAAATACTATTGATTCAATCTTTAAAATACATCCAGGAGAACCATCTCCACTGCAATTATGCTGGTCTAAGCCCTCATCATCTTCTGTCTGGATTTTTGCAATAGTCTCCTGACTGGCCTTCCTATTTCTCCCCTTATCCAGCTTCTGTCTATTCTCAACACAGCAGTGGGGCCTTCCTGCTCAAACTAGGACAGACCAAGGCGCACCTCTGTTGAAAGACCTGCAATGTTACCCAGATTAAAAACCCAAGTACTCTCAGTGTATACTATCTGCCCCTGGAAAGGATTAGAGAAGTTACTTCCTCATGAAATTGGTGCCATTAAGCTCAGATCAGAAGTACGAATATAATAGACTCCCATGAACATACCAGTTCTTCTCTGTAAGAGTTACAAAATATTTTGCTAAAGGGCAGCAAAAAATAAAGAATACAAAAATTAATAAAAATGTTAATGGCTCTAGTAGGAGGTCTGAAGGCAACCAAAAATTCAAGTGGTGTGCAAGTCACCTAGACACGTGGGTGATCACCAGTGTTAGATGTGTCCTTCTGAGCTTGCCCAATCTGTATTTACAGGACTTTGGTACCAATTGAGTCTTCAGGAATTCTTAAACAATGTGATGTCCTGGGGTGTATACTGGCTTTGGAATCAAAGATCTTACCTAAGTAAGTTAAATAAACATGTTAGGCCTCATTCTCCTTATCTGTAAGATGGGATAGTAATATCTACTTTGAAGGATTGTATTTATTCAACCCTCTTCATTCTGAATTCTGTTGGCATATCACTTTCTGTAGGAAGCCTTCTTAGGTCCTACTAGAATTAATCTCCCCATCTCTGCAGTTTCCTTCCCTATACCCAATAAATCATTGTGTTTTCTAGCCCATCTTATCTGTTTTGCATGTCTGCCTTCTCAAGACCCTGGGTTCCTGGGTAGCCAAGAGTAGGTCTTATTCATCTCTGTATTCCCAGTACCTAAAATGATGACATTTGTTAGATAAATGAAAGAATGAGCTCTCAGAAGCAAATGGAGAGTATATTTCCTGTGTGAAAGTCATAATTTTGTATTTCCAAGACATTTTCCCTTATTACATTGGTACGTTACATCAGTAAACTAGAAGAAAAAGAGTAAAGAAGGAAACCAATAATGAGAAACCATTTGATATTAAGATTGGTGAAAATTCCAATACCAAGTGTTGACAAGAATGGGCATGATGAGGACCCACATGTGCTTTTGGTGGGAGTGCAAATTGGCACAAGCCTTTTGGAAAACAAAGCTTCAGATGCACGTGGCATTTTGGCAAATAATTCTACTCCTGGATCTGTGCCTTTGAGGAATTTGGCACACATAAACAAGGAGACTTGTACAAGGGTGTTTATAGTAGCACAGTTTATAATAGCAATAAAATTGGAAACTACCTGTATGTCCACCAGTGGGAAAACAAATACATAAATGTTTGCATATTCCTATAATACAACTCCTTGCTGTACTTAAATGAATAAAAGCAACAGGGATTTATGTAAATACACCTTAAAATCATACTGCTGAAGAAAAGACGAAAGTTGGAAAAGACTTGAACTTTTTTGTACACCATTTACATTAAGTTAAAAATCAGATAATAAATAGAAATTCATATATTATTTCTGAATGTATACATGCATAATTATGCATCAAATGATGCAAGTAATGGTAATTATAAGATTCTGAATGGTGGTTACTCTGGGGAATGAGAAGAGTAAAATGGAATTTAGGAGGGTCGATTGAGGTTGTAATGTGGTTATTTCACAAATAAAAAGACTCAAGTATTCCAAAATGCTGAGATTTTTTAAAGTTGTATTATGGATACATTATTGTTCATTCTATTCATCTTAAAACATTTCATACAATTTTTTAAAAGTTAAGGAAAACTGTATCTTAACTGTGGAAACTGCATGTAAGCTAACTCTATTTTCAAGGCACCTGTGTGTTTGAGACAGATTTCATAAATTTCTTTAGTATGTAACCAAATGGACCAACTCCATGAAAAAGTCCTCTGTAAGTATTTGTTCCCTTACTTCAACTATCTATTTATTTTTATTTTTATTTTTTATTTATTTATTTTTGAGACGGAGTCTCACTCTGTTGCCCAGGCTTTAGTTCAATGGCGCGATCTCGGCTCACTGCAACCTCCACCTTCTGGGTTCAAACAATTCTCCTGCCTCAGCCTCCCAAGTAGCTGGGATTATAGGCGCCTGCCACCACGCCCAAATAATTTTTGTATTTTTAATAGAGAGGAGTTCCACCATGTTGGCCAGACTGGTCTCAAACTCCTGACCTCAGGTGATACGCCTGCCTTGGCCTCCCAAAGTGCTGGGATTACAGGTGTGAGCCGCCGCACCCGACCAACTATTTATTTTATTTTTTCATGTTTTTGCAATGGAAATATTTTGAGGGAACACAGTACATCTGAGTTTCTTAAAGATATTACAAAGTATGTGGTATGCAAATATCCTCTCTTCATTCTTTTTACATAATTTTTTTTCCTTCCGACTTTGTAAGTCTTAGGTGTATAATTCATTCATTCTTCCAACTATCCAACAAATATTTGCTGAGCCTCTACTATTTGTAGGCTGTCTTCTAGGTCCCGGGGGTAGATTGTGGAAAAATAAATCTTCCATTTGATTTGGCCTTTATCCTTGTTGGTTTGTATTATATTTTGTGTACCTGTTTTAGTTCCCTGAAGGCAAGGAAGAAGAACATTTTACTGTTGTTTGTGCCTGATACATCCTAAATGCTTACACACAAATATTAGTTGAACATATCAATGAATTAATGAATATATTTCAGATGGCGGTGACCCAGGAGTGTGTACAAAGCATTAAAAAATCCACTTTTTATTATTCCAATTTTTTTGAATTTTATCTTATTGAGAATGTTCCCATTTTTAAACTAATGCTCTGAATTATAATAAAAGTTTGCTCTTAAAAAACTAAAAATATCCAGGTTTTTCTCTTTCTAAGCATTCAACCATTGCAACTACCTAGGATTCCACCTTTTTTCTTGTTTGTAACGTGGCATACCTGTAAAACAAAGGCTACCATAGGACTGAACACAGACTCCCTCAGAGATAGTTCTAAAATGACGCTTATTACTCTTCTCTTTTTTAATCCCATCCCCTCTTGCCTAAATATCATAATTTTCTGTTTTTAAGATGATGATTTCTGAAGCACAAAGTTCCCGGAAGCTGACTGCTTTAATATCAAATCCAAGCAATAGCTCCTTTCTCAAGGAAAGCAAAGTTGTAGGCTACTGTCAACAAATACCTTTCTACCACAGATCCATAAAGATTTCTTCAAAGGTTTCTTTTTGACACTTTCTGACTTGGATGACTGAAAACAAACAAGCTAAAGTGAAAAAAATGAACAATCACAAGGACTGATGTTCGTCAGTCAGAGAAGGGACCTATCTAAGTAAACACAGCCTAGGACTCAGGATGGGCTTGGGCAGGTTGCAGCCAGAAGGTGGAAGTCAGTGACTCCACCACAGGGCAGGCCTGAAGTGTAGTCAGCCTCCAGATTACCAATCACTCTCACACATCCAGTGTAGACAACACAGCTCCAAATCTCCATGCATTCTGAGGAGCCATGTCAAAGAAAGAAATAGCCCTTCTCCATGCTAGGTAGGCAAAGAAGGATTTTCTTTGGCAGATTTAGTATCCTCAGTAACCTGGAAACAGGATTTTATTATTATTATTTTTTGAGACAGGGTACCTTGCTCTGTCGCCTAGGCTGGAGTGCAGTAGCAATCATAGCTCATTGCAGCCTTGAACTCCTAGGCCCAAGTGATCTTCCCACTTCAGCCTCCTTAGTAGCTGGAACTACAGGTACATGCCACCATGCCCAGTTAATTTTTTTTTTGAATTTTTTGTAGAGATAGATAGGATCTTGCTATGTTGCCCAGGCTTGTCTTGAACTCCTGGCCTCAAGCACTCCTCCCACCTCGGCCTTCCAAAGCACTGGGATTACAGGCATGGGCCACTGCACCTGGCCTGAAAATAGGATATTTTTATTGTCTCCATTTTACAGGTGAGAAAACTGAGGCATGGAGAGGTTTTTTTTGTTGTTGTTGTTTGTTGTTTGTTTGTTTGTTTTCTGTTTTTGTACCTCAACCAAGAATCCTTAACCCGTAGGTACTAATGGAATTGGTACTCTTGAACCTGACCAGGTAAGAAAGCTTCTTTTCCTATCAGTTACCTTAGGCTTAAGTTCTTTCTTAGGAAATGTCCTGCCCTGTCCCTGCCTCAGCAGTTCTTAACAGTGAAGAACAAACCTTTTATAAAGAGTTTTGTTCTAAGCCCTTTGTGTGAAGTAGCTTAAATATTCCTCATAACAAGATAGGTACCACTAGTATCCCCATTTTATACCTGAGCACACTGAGGCCTGTGGGATTAAGTGATTTGCCTAAGGTCACCCACATAGCTAGTGACTGGCCAAGTAGGAATTCATGCCCACACCCTCAAACTCTTAGCCACCACTCTGTCTGGATATGACACCACCACTAGAAACTAAGAATCCATCCTCTAGATCTCTCTCTCTTCCCCCTGACATCCCATTGGACGTATTCATTCAATGGCCTGAATTTTTTTTTTTTTTTTTGAGATGGAGTTTCGCTCTTCTGGCTCAGGCTGGAGTGCAATGGTGCAATCTCGGCTCACCACAACTTCCACCTCCCAGGTTCAAGCAATTCTCTTGCCTCAGCCTCACGAGTAGCTGGGATTACAGGCATGCGCCACCATGCCCGGCTAATTTTGTATTCTTAGTAGAGATGGGGTTTCTCCATGTTGGTCAGGCTGGTCTCGAACTCCCAGCCTCAGGTGATCCACCCGCCTCGGCCCCCCAAAGTGCTGGGATTACAGGTGTGAGCCACTGCGCCCGGCCAGCCGAAATGGTTTTTGAAACTCATCTTTTGTTTCCCATTGCCACTGGGTGCCGCCATTTTAAGACTTTTAATCTACTGTGGAGGTCAGGAAGACTCCTGATCTCCTTCCTGGTCCCTAAACTTTCCCATGAAGCCGGAGTGTTTTTTAAACCATTAGCTCTCAAGCTTGGCTACATGTTGGAATCACCTGGGAAGCTTTAAAATGCACTGATGCATTCAAAAAATAGAACACCATTCAGCACTGAAAAGAAATGAGTGATCAAGCCATGGAAAGACACGGAGGAACTGTAAATGCATATTGCTAAGTGAGAAAAAGCCTGAAAAGGCAACTGCATGATTACAACCATATAACATTCTAGAAAAGGCAAAACTATGGAGACAGTAAAAAGATCAGTGGTGGCCAGAGGTTAAATGGGGAGAGACGGATGAACAGGCAGAGCACACAAGATTTTTAGGGCAGTGAAATTGCTCTCTATGATACCACAATGATGGATTCATGTCATTATAAATTTGTCCAAACCTCTAGAATGTACAACACCAAGAGTGAGCCCTAATGGAAACTATGGACTTTGGGTGATTATGACATGTCAGTGTTGGTTCATTGATGTGACAAATGTGCCACATTGGTGGGGGATGCTGATAGGGAGAGAGGCCATGCATGTGATGCAGCCAGTGCTATATGAGAAATCTCTGTACCTGCACAATTTTGCTGTGAACCTAAAACTGCTCTGAAAATATGGAGTGGTTTTTTTTTTTTTTTTGAAGTTAATATGGGCAAGGCAACTAGAAAAAAAAATACTGATGTCTGGATTCCCTCACAGAGATTCTGATTCAATTGGTCTGGGATGTGGTCTGAGGACCAGGAGTTTTAAAAGCTCCCCAAGTGATTCTGATATTCAGTAGAGTTAAGACAAACGTTGTTCTAAACCAAAAATACAAGTTTATAAGAGGTGTCACATCTATTTAAAGAACTGCGTTACTATGGGAAATTCCTTAGCATGGCAGATGGTACCGCCCTGCGAATGCCTCAACCTGAATTTTCTAAATGTGTCTTTTAAGAATTTTTACCTCAACCTTCCTGCACATGTGTGTACACATACATACACATACACACACCAACAAACATGTGCTTGCATGCACATACTAAATACATGCTAATCACATGAAGTGTGTCATGCCTCCAGAATACACCATGTTCCTTGATCTTTCTAAGCCTTTGCACATTCTGTTCCCCTGGCCTGGAATACCCTTTCTCTCCTTTCTTGAATGCGAAACTTCTATTCACTGTCAAAAACCTCCTTAAATTGTTCCTTTCCTCTGCCTGGAAGCTTTCTCTGATCCTCTAAGGTGGAGGCTCTCCTCTCTGAGCACACATGACAGATGTATCTGCTCTCACTGCCTTAACTGATGCATAGGCAGGTGTTTAGATTATGTCTCCTCCTTTATTGTCAAATTGTTCTGAAGCATGGAATACATGCTCTGTGTCATCTGCCACCAACCACTCCGCCCTCACTCACCCCTGTCCAATTCAATCTCGCGTTACTCTCCCTATCACCCCATGCTCCAGCCATGGCCCTTCTTCTTCTTCTTTCTGCAATGGAACCTCTGTTGGGATTGATTCCTGAGTCAGGATTGATCCTCTAGCATGGCAGAGGAGTATTATGTTCTTCCCCTGTTTCTCCTCTAGCTAAAACCAACTCATCCTTAAAACAGTCCAACTATCACCTTCTCAGAGAAGCCTTCTGAGATTTCTCCCAGACTGGAGGCAAATTTCCTTTGTTGTATTCACTCATAGACTTATTATGTTCCTTTTCTCTAAATTTGAAATTATAAACATATTTTTGTGACATCACTTCACCCAACCATAAGCATATAAGAGCAGGAATGTATTTGTTTTTGCATATGTTTATATTTCTAGCACCTAGCACCAAGTCTGGCATCCAGTAGGCATCCTTTAAACAGTTGATATGAGAATGAATAAATGCCTGGCACATAGTAAGTACTCAATTATTTCAGTTATTATTGATAAGCTTGGTGAGAGCAAGCAATACATCTTCCTTTTTAGAACCCCCAGGCTTTGGAATATAGTGGGCACTCAGTAGGAGACTGCTTTGTGCATTATCAAAGCTAATGATATTCCTTGGACTTCATCTAATAATCAGCATGTTAAGTATGTCAAAGGTATTTTTCTCCATCTTAAAACCACAAACAATAAAGACTGTTTATTCACATAGTCATTGCTGCAGCTAGAAATTGCCTGAAGCCACTGGGAAATTAATAAGGAAGTAATGGTTTAAAGAGGGGTGAGAGACCTCTAATAAGAGAAAACCTAAGTGAACCTATGCCGTTAAAAGTTGAACTGACTCCATGTAAATAAATATAACAACAGAAAACATGGTTTTAACTACGTTTATTTAAATGAGTCAGTCTCGTTACCAGTTTGTAGTTGTACATAATGAAATCAGTCCATCATACATTTTTAAGAAGGGAAGAAATAACATAAGAACATTACTTTGGTTCAAATTTGGGGGAGGCAGATTCTAAAATTTTCCAGAAAACTCTATGGTCAGAAAACCTAAATTAATCTTTTTTCAAGTAGATTTTTAAATAGTAAATCTATGTGTTGATATTATCATATCCACAGATTATTCTAGAGAGTCATATTAAAACTGTGGCCATACTTTCCTTCCATGAAGAATTTGCAGAATTTTCATAAGAAGATAGATCTCGATATAGGAGGACAGCCAAGATGGCCGAATAGGAACAGCGCCGGTCTATAGCTCCCAGCGTGAGCGACGCAGAAGACGGGTGATTTCTGCATTTTCATCTGAGGTACCAGGTTCATCTCACTAGGGAGTGCTGGACAGTGGGTGCAGAGCACCGTGCGCAAGCCGAAGCAGGGTGAGGCATTGCCTTACTCGGGAAGCGCAAGGGGTCAGGGAGTTCCCTTTCTTAGTCAAAGTAAGGGGTGACAGATGGCACCTGGAAAATCGGGTCACTCCCACCCTAATACTGCACTTTTCCGACGGGCTTAAAAAGGCGCACCAGGAGATTATATCCCGCACCTGGCTCGGAGGGTCCTACGCCCACGGAATCTCGCTGATTGCTAGCACAGCAGTCTGAGATCAAACTGCAAGGCGGCGGCAGCGAGGCTGGGGGAGGGGCGCCTGCCATTGCCCAGGCTTGCTTAGGTAAACAAAGCAGCCGGGAAGCTCAAACTGGGTGGAGCCCACACCACAGCTCAAGGAGGGCTGCCTGCCTCTGTAGGCTCCACCTCTGGGGGCAGGGCACAGACAAACAAAAAGACAGCAGTAACCTCTGCAGACTTAAATGTCCCTGTCTCACAGCTTTGAAGAGAGCAGTGGTTCTCCCAGCACGCAGCTGGAGATCTGAGAATGGGCAGACTGCCTCCTCAAGTGGGTCCCTGACCCCTGACCCCTGAGCAGCCTAACTGGGAGGCACCCCCCAGTAGGGGCAGACTGACACCTCACACGGCCGGGTACTCCTCTGAGACAAAACTTCCAGAGGAACGATCAGACAGCAGCATTCGTGGCGCACGAAACTCCGCTGTTCTGCAGACACCGCTGCTGATACCCAGGCAAACAGGGTCTGGAGTGGACCTCTAGCAAATTCAACAGACCTGCAGCTGAGGGTCCTGTCTGTTAGAAGGAAAACTAACAAACAGAAAGGACATCCACACCAAAAACCCATCTGTACATCACCATCATCAAAGACCAAAAGTAGATAAAACCACAAAGATGGGGAAAAAACAGAGCAGAAAAACTGGAAACTCTAAAAAGCAGAGCGTCCCTCCAAAGGAACCCAGCTCCTCACCAGCAATGGAACAAAGCTGGATGGAGAATGACTTTGACGAGCTGAGAGAAGAAGGCTTCAGACCATCAAACTACTACGAGCTACAGGAGGAAATGCAAACCAAAGGCAAAGAAGTTAAAAACTTTGAAAAAAATTTAGACAAATGTGTAACTAGAATAACCAATACACAGAAGTGCCTAAAGGAGCTGATGGAGCCAAAAGCCAAGGCTCGGGAACTACGTGAAGAATGCAAAAGCTTCAGGAGCCGATGCGATCAACTGGAAGAAAGGGTATCAGTGATGGAAGACGAAATGAATGAAATGAAGCGAGAAGGGAAGTTTAGAGAAAAAAGAATAAAAAGAAATGAACAAAGCCTCCAAGAAATATGGCACTATGTGAAAAGACCAAATCTACGTCTGATTGGTGTACCTGAAAGTGACGGGGAGAATGGAACCAAGTTGGAAAACACTGTGCAGGATATTATCCAGGAGAACTTCCCCAATCTAGCAAGGCAGGCCAACATTCAGATTCAGGAAATACAGAGAACGCCACAAAGATACTCCTCGAGAAGAGCAACTCCAAGACACATAATTGTCAGATTCACCAAAGTTGAAATGAAGGAAAAAATGTTAAGGGCAGCCAGAGAGAAAGGTCGGGTTACCCACAGAGGGAAGCCCATCAGACTAACAGCAGATCTCTCGGCAGAAACTCTACAAGCCAGAAGAGAGTGGGGGCCAATATTCAACATTCTTAAAGAAAAGAATTTTCAACCCAGAATTTCATATCCAGCCAAACTAAGCTTCATAAGTAAGTGAAGGAGAACTAAAATACTTTACAGACAAGCAAATGCTGAGAGATTTTGTCACCACCAGGCCTGCCCTAAAAGAGCTCCTGAAGGAAGCACTAAACATGGAAAAGAACAACCGGTACCAGCCACTGCAAAATCATGCCAAATTGTAAAGACCATCAAGGCTAGGAAGAAACTGCATCAACTAACTAGCAAAATAACCAGCTAACATCATAATGACAGGATCAAATTCACACATAACAATATTAACTTTAAATGTAAATGGACTAAATGCTCCAATTAAAAGACACAGACTGGCAAATTGGATAAAGAGTCAAGATCCATCAGTGTGCTGTATTTAGGAAACCCATTTCACATGCAGAGACACACATGGGCTCAAAATAAAAGGATGGAGGAAGATCTACCAAGCCAATGGAAAACAAAAAAAAGGCAGGGGTTGCAATCCTAGTCTCTGACAAAACAGACTTTAAACCAACAAAGATCAAAAGAGACAAAGAAGGCCATTATATAATGGTAAAGGGATCAATTCAACAAGAAGAGCTAACTATCCTAAATATATATGCACCCAATACAGGAGCACCCAGATTCATAGAGCAAGTCCTTAGTGACCTACAAAGAGACTTCGACTCCCACACAATAATAATGGGAGACTTTAACACCCCACTGTCAACATTAGACAGATCAACGAGACAGAAAGTCAACAAGGATACCCAGGAATTGAACTCAGCTCTGCACCAAGCGGACCTAATAGACATCTACAGAACTCTCCACCCCAAATCAACAGAATATACATGTTTTTCAGCACCACACCACACCTATTCCAAAATTGACCACATAGTTGGAAGTAAAGCTCTCCTCAGCAAATGTAAAAGAACAGAAATTATAACA
The DNA here is from genome assembly GCF_000001405.40 of Homo sapiens. Lineage (NCBI taxonomy): Eukaryota > Metazoa > Chordata > Mammalia > Primates > Hominidae > Homo > Homo sapiens. The sequence continues at coordinate 16,559,860 of NC_000004.12, forward strand.
AACTGTCTCTCAGACCACAATGCAATCAAACTAGAACTCAGGATTAAGAAACTCACTCAAAACCGCTCAACTACATGGAAACTGAACAACCTGCTCCTGAATGACTACTGGGTACATAACAAAATGAAGGCAGAAATAAAGATGTTCTTTGAAACCAACCAGAACAAAGACACAACATACCAGAATCTCTGGGACACATTCAAAGCAGTGTGTAGAGGGAAATTTATAGCACTAAATGCCCACAAGAGAAAGCAGGAAAGATCCAAAATTGACACCCTAAAGTCACAATTAAAAGAACTAGAAAAGCAAGAGCAAACACATTCAAAAGCTAGCAGAAGGCAAGAAATAACTAAAATCAGAGCAGAACTGAAGGAAATAGTGACACCAAAAACCCTTAAAAAATTAATGAATCCCGGGGCTGGTTTTTTGAAAGGATCAACAAAATGGATAAGACTGCTAGCAAGACTAATAAAGAAAAAAAGACAGAAGAATCAAATAGACACAATAAAAAATGATAAAGGGGATATCACCACCAATCCCACAGAAATACAAACTACCATCAGAGAATAGTACAAACACCTCTACGCAAATAAACTAGAAAATCTAGAAGAAATGGATAAATTCCTGGACACATACACCCTCCCCAGACTAAACCAGAAAGAAGTTGAATCTCTGAATAGACCAATAACAGTCTCTGAAATTGTGGCAATAATCAATAGCTTACCAACCAAAAAGAGTCCAGGACCAGATGGATTCACAGCCGAATTCTACCAGAGGTACAAGGAGGAACTGGTAGCATTCCTTCTGAAACTATTCCAATCAATAGAAAAAGAGGGAATCCTCCCTGACTCATTTTATGAGGCCAGCATCATCCTGATACCAAAGCCCGGCAGAGACACAACCAAAAAAGAGAATTTTAGACCAATATCCTTGACGAACATTAATGCAAAAAGCCTCAATAAAATACTGGCAAACCGAATCCAGCAGCACATCAAAAAGCTTATCCACCATGATCAAGTGGGCTTCATCCCTGGGATGCAAGACTGGTTCAATATACACAAATCAATAAATGTAATCCAGCATATAAACAGAACCAAAGACAAAAACCACATGATTATCTCAAAAGATGCAGAAAAGACCTTTGACAAAATTCAACAACCCTTCATGCTAAAAACTCTCAATAACTTAGGTATTGATGGGACATATCTCAAAATAATAAGAGCTATCTATGACAAACCCACAGCCAATATCATACTGAATGGGCAAAAACTGGAAGCATTCCCTTTGAAAACTGGCACAAGACAGGGATGCCCTCTCTCACCACTCCTATTCAACATAGTGTTGGAAGTTCTGGCCAGGGCAATTAGGCAGGAGAAGGAAATAAAGGGCATTCAATTAGGAAAAGAGGAAGTCAAATTGTCCCTGTTTGCAGATGACGTGATTGTATATCTAGAAAACCCCATCGTCTCAGCTGAAAATCTCCTTAAGCTGATAAGCAACTTCAGCAAAGTCTCAGGATACAAAATCAATGTACAAAAATCACAAGCATTCTTATACACCCATAACACACAAACAGAGAGCCAAAACATGAGTGAACTCCCATTCACAATTGCCTCAAAGAGAATAAAATACCTAGGAATCCAACTTACAAGGGACGTGAAGGACCTCTTCAAGGAGAACTACAAACCACTGCTCAAGGCAATAAAAGAGGATACAAACAAATGGAAGAACATTCCATGCTCATGGGTAGGAAGAATCAATATCCTGAAAATGGCCATACTGCCCAAGGTAGTTTATAGATTCAATGCCATCCCCATCAAGCCACCAATGACTTTCTTCACAGAATTGGAAAAAAACTACTTTAAAGTTCACATGGAACCAAAAAAGAGCCCGCATCGCCAAGTCAATCCTAAGCCAAAAGAACAAAGCTGGAGGCATCACGCTACCTGACTTCAAACTATACTACAGGCTACAGTAACCAAAACAGCATGGTACTGGTACCAAAACAGAGATATAGACCAATGGAACAGAACAGAGCCCTCAGAAATAACGCCACATATCTACAACTATCTGACCTTTCACAAACCTGAGGAAAACAAGCAATGGGGAAAGGATTCCCTATTTAATAAATGGTGCTGGGAAAACTGGCTAGCCATATGTAGAAAGCTGAAACTGGATCCCTTCCTTACATCTTATACAAAAATTAATTCAAGATGGATTAAAGACTTAAACGTTAGATCTAAAACCATAAAAACCCTAGAAGAAAACCTAGGCATTACCATTCAGGACATAGGCATGGGCAAGGACTTCATGTCTAAAACACCAAAAGCAATGGCAACAAAAGACAAAATTGACAAATGGGATCTAATTAAACTAAAGGGCTTCTGCACAGCAAAAGAAACTACCATCAGAGTGAACAGGCAACCTACAGAATGGGAGAAAATTTTCACAACCTACTCATCTGACAAAGGGCTAATATCCAGAATCTACAATGTACTCAAACAAATTTACAAGAAAAAAACAACCCCATCAAAAAGTGGGCGAAGGACATGAACAGACACTTCTCAAAAGAAGACATTTATCCAGCCAACAGACACATGAAAAAATGCTCACCATCACTGGCCATCAGAGAAATGCAAATCAAAACCACAATGAGATACCATCTCACACCAGTTACAATGGCAGTCATTAAAAAGTCAGGAAACAACAGGTACTGGAGAGGATGTGGACAAATAGGAACACTTTTACACTGTTGGTGGGACTGTAAACTAGTTCAACCATTGTGGAAGTCAGTGTGGCCATTCCTCAGGGATCTAGAACTAGAAATACCATTTGACCCAGCCATCCCATTACTGGGTACATACCCAAAGGACTATAAATCATACTGTTATAAAGACACATGCACACGTATGTTTATTGCGGCACTATTCACAATAGCAAAGACTTGGAACCAACCCAAATGTCCAACAATGATAGACTGGATTAAGAAAATGTGGCACATATACACCATGGAACACTATGCAGCCATAAGAAATGATGAGTTCATGTCCTTTGTAGGGACATGGATGAAATTGGAAATCATCATTCTCAGTAAACTATCGCAAGGACAAAAAACCAAACACCGCATGTTCTCACTCATAGGTGGGAATTGAACAACGAGAACACATGGACACAGGAAGGGGAACATCACACTCTGGGGACTGTTGTGGGGTGGGGGGAGAGGGGAGGGATAGCATTAGGAGATATACCTAATGCTAAATGACGAGTTAATGGGTGCAGCACACCAGCATGGCACATGTATACATATGTAACTAACCTGCACATTGTGCACATGTACCCTAAAACTTAAAGTATAATAATAATAATAATAAAAAGACATTATTTAAAAAAAAGGAAGCTAGATCTCCCTCAGGATTCCAGGATCTCGTTTCTATCTGTGATTTTTTTATTTTTTATTTTTTGTATTAAAAACCTCCATGTCATGTTTGAAGAGTCTCTTTGGGTTCATGGACCAAATTACAAACCATAGTATTATCAAAAACATTCAAAACCATCTCATCAGTCATCAGATTTTTTTTTTTTTTTTTTTTTTTTTTTTTTTTTTTTTGAGATGGAGTCTCGCTCTGTCACCCAGGCTGGAGTGCAGTGGCACGATCTCGGCTCACTGCAAACTCCGCCTCCCGGGTTCACGCCATTCTCCTGCCTCAGCCTCCCGAGTAGCTGGGACTACAGGTGCCCACCACCACGCCTGGCTAATTTTTTTTTTTTTTTTGTATTTTTAGTAGAGACCGGGTTTCACCATGTTAGCCGGGATGGTCTTGATCTCCTGACCTCGTGATCTGCCCGCCTCGGCCTCCCAATGTGCTGGGATTACAGGCATGAGCCACCGTGCCCAGTCTCATCAGATATTCTAAACCAGCATAGCAGAAAGACTGGAAGGCAATCACACCATGGCGGACCTGATCATGGACACACATGGAGGCTCTGCAGTCCCCAGTTCATGGCTGTTCTTTTAGAGGATCCACAGATTATTCCACAGATCTCCAGATCAGACTCCACAGAAGCCCTGACATCAAAGATTCTCAATGGGTAGTAAAATAGAATAAATACTCAATTACAGTGATTGTCCAATGCTGAATGTTAGTTAACACCCTTGCAGGGTTACAGCTGGGTCCCAGGCTCTCTTCCCCTCCCTCATTCTCCTTTCTTTTTGAGCTTCCCCCTTCTTAATGGTCTTCAAGATTTTAATTACCAGATACTCAAAAGACTCACAGCTTATATCTAACTGCCTTTTTGACAACCCTCAGTGTCTCAAATGCCCTGAAATCCAACACATAAAAAAATAAACAGGCTGGGCGCTGTGGCTCATGCCTATAGTCCCAGCCTCAGTCCCCAGGAGGCTGAGACAGGAGAATCACTTGAACCTGGGAGGTGGAGGTTGCAGTGAGCTGAGATCTCGTCACCGCACTCCAGCCAGGGTGACAGACCGAGATTCTATCTCAGAAAAAAGAAAAAATAACAAACAATCAAAAAATACAGCTCAATGCCTCCTTCCATTTAACCACCCATGCAAAAGCCAACTGAAATATTCTTCCTGTCCGTATTCAGTGAAGGGGACCAGCATCCAGCCTGCTCTACAAGCTAAAATGCAGAAGGCATCATTGTCACCCCCATCTCTTGTGAGGTGTCCTTATTCAACTTAATCATCAAAGTGTGCTAATTTTTCTTTCCTAAAATCTTTCAAATGCATTCACTTTTCTAAGGGATCTTTCTTTCAACAGCTTCCATTGCTTTGGAATATTATGTTTTATTTATTCACTGTGTATGTTAAAATATATTAAAGGCAGCATCTTCAAATAAAAAAAATTACCAGAAAGAAACTCTCCACAAAAAAGCCCCAGGCCCAGATGGTTTCACAGGGGAATTAGGGCCATGTAAGTTCTCATAGGAGAATTCTACACAACTTTTAAAAGTGAAATAACTTCAGTGCCATCCAAATTGCTTTGGAGAAAGAAAAAAAAGAATATTACCCAAATGGTCATGAGGCTCGGATATTAGTAACACTCAACACTGACAATGACATCATATAAGAGGGAATATCAACTGAATTTCTCGTTTGAATCCAATTCTCCTTTACAATTACAAGAAATTGTAAATAAATATCAGCAGTAATTAATGTGGCCCAGTAAAAGGAGTGGATTTTTTTTTAGAAATGAAATAATGATTAATTAACAAGAAATCTATCATGACGAAATTAGTTTTACAGACAGGAAAATCAGCATGAAGTCAAATCTCAGACCTACCACTTACTGGCTATCTGGTCTTGCCCAAGTTACATAGCCTGTGAATGTGGGTTTTCTTAACTTTGGAGTGAGAACAGTAATGATACCTAGTTCTAAGCTGGGCAAAGATTAAATGAGTTGATGCATGTAAAGAAATTAAAATACTGCCTTGAGCATCAGTTGCACTGAATAAGCATCAATTATTCTTATTAATATATTTACTCATAATAATAAAAAGAGAAGAGTAAAACCGTCTCCTTGGACATCAGAGATACATTTGATAAAATTCGACATCCATTTTTTTTTTACTTTAAATAGCTCTTAATAGAATAAGAATAGATATTACCTTAACATGAGAAATATGTCTATCTCAAATCTCAGATAATCACCTTGCTTAATGAAAAAATCTAGAAGCATTCCTATTAAAGTCAGACACAAGAGAAGGATGTTAATTATCCTCACTATTATTCAACATTTTTTCTGATGGTACTAGCCAATATAATTAGACAAAAGAAAGAAATAAGATATAAAAATTTTAAAAGACTTAGTAAAATCATTGTTATTTGAAAATGATATAAAAATTTAGCTAGAACATCCAAGAGGGTAAACTAAAAAAATTATAAATATTAAGAATAGTTTAAAGGTGTCTGGGAATAAAATTAACATATAGAAGTCAATAACTTTCGTAAGTACAAACCAAATCAATTAAACTACAAAATGGAAGAAAAGGCCCAATTTGTGATCACGAAAGTTATTAAGAAATGGAAAATATGTACATATATATGTCTAAATATATGCATATGACCACACACACACATGTATCTATACATACACACATATACACACACACAAGAAACTCTCAAAATGTTACCAAGAGACACAAGAAAGATCTCAAAAAGGAGTTCATTGGAGAAGCTATCCAAGATTTTGAACAGAAAGACAAAACATCATCATAATAGCAATTTTCCCAACATAAATTTGTAAATTTAACCAGATTTCAATAAATACCAACTAATTTATGTTCAAATTAGATAATCTGATTCCAAAGTTCAAATGAAAAAAAAGTCACAAGGATTCACAAATCCTGAAAAGAAGAATGATGAGGTTATACAAATTCTAACAGATGCTAACATATATTATAAAGAAATAATAATTTAGCAAGTGTTATATTGGATTAAGAACACAAAGCCAAAAAATACAAAGAATAGAGAACAGGAATTGGAATACAGAAATGGGCTCGAATACTTAAGGTAATTTAGAAATATGCTAAAAATAATATTTCAAATCAGTGAGAAAAGGACGTATCAGTCAATGAATAGTGTTTGGGCAACTGAGTAACTAAACAGTTTCCTCTCATTTTGTAACCCCTAAAATTTCAGGTGGATCAATTATTTAAACATAAAGAAAAAAATCACCCCATTTTAAAGGTGGCATTAGAAAACATAGAAGAATATATCATTGTTAGCTCAGAGGCCTGTTACTAATTACAAAACATAAACCAGATGACATAGGGAAAATACCACATCATCTCACACAAACAAAAACAAAAATATTCAATGGAAAGCAAACTTAAAAAAAGAACTTATGAGCTTGTAATGCAATTTTAGTATATCACAGCAAAGTTGTTTCTTTAAAATATAACATCCTACATATCTGTAAGGAAAAACAACCCAGTTAAAAAATGGATTAAGTATACGAACAAACAATTCACAAGAAAGAAAATAAAGTGGCTCTTAAGTATATGAGAAGATAATAAATATCTCCTGTCATAAGAGACATACATATTAAAATGAAAATGAGATGCTATTTTTCACTGATAATAGTGAAGAAAATTTTAATAACTTCTAGTTCTTGAAAAGTGGGAAAATAGTCATTTTCATATGCTGCTGGTGTAACTGAAACTTGGTACAACCACTATGTTGAATAACTTGAAAATATCTATCAAAATTACAATGTATATATCTTTTCATCTGGCAATTCTACTTCTAGAAATTTCTCCTACATATTTAGTTTTTTAGTTGCTCCTGTGCAAAATCAAATCTGAAAAGATACTTGTACATCATTGTGAATAGTAGAAAAATATTAGAAACAACCTAAATGTCCATCAATAAAATACAGGCAAAATGAATTATGGTATATCTTTAGAGTGATAACCTTCTCTAGGATATATTTCTATTGCTTTTATAAAGAATGCCACTGCTCAACGGTTAGCACTGCAGACATAGAGTGTGTGTGTGTGTGTGCGCGTGTGTGCATGCGTGTGTGTGCATGCGTGTGTGTGTGTTTAAAGCAATATATGCTTGTATATTCATGGAATATCTCTGGAAGAAAATGCAAGAAACTGGCAATGTTAACTGCCTCTCTCTAGAGAGGGGAACTGAGTGTTTGGGAGGCCGAGGCGGGCGGATCACAAGGTCAGGAGATCGAAACCATCCTGGCTAATGTGGTGAAACCCTGTCTCTACTAGAAATACAAAAAATTAGCTGGGTGTGGTGGCGGGCGCCTGTAGTCCCAGCTACTCAGCAGGCTGAGGCAGGAGAATGGCGTGAACCCGGGAGGCGAAGCTTGCAGTGAGCCGAGATCGTGCCACTGCACTCCAGCCTGGGCGACAGAGCGAGACAACGTCTCAAGAACAAAACAAAAAAAAGTTTACATTTCAAGCATTTTTACACACTTTGGATTTTGTGCTATATGAATAAATTACAGTACAAATACTTTTTTTTAACAAAATGAGATAGTGAGGGTTAGTTAAATGGCTTGCAGTGTTTGGCACAGAGTCATCTGGCAATAAATGGCTGTTATATTCACTATTATAATACTGATTAGGAATTGGAAAGTGACGGTGAGAAATGGAAAATCATAGAACCAAGTGGTGGCCTGTTTTGGATAAAGGATCCCTGTCCCTTAAATATTAGAGTGAACCATATCAAATAGTGAATATTTAACAATCTTTGACCTGAAAAAAACAGCAATTCCATATAATTCAATCCAATATTATTTTTGTCTGTGTAAATTAGACTGTAAGGTGATGGTGACAATAATGGTGGCCGTTAGTTCAATTATTTCTCACCATCTGAACCTACTTCTAGATTTAGAGAGTAAGGAATCAGAGAATTAATTAAACTAATGGGTATACTGGGCTGTATAAATCAATTTTGTTCCTTAGTTTCAGATATCGAGTAGCTTAAACGGGAGTACAAAGGATTTATTTGAAATATTACTGAAAACTCATTGATTCCTGAAATAGGATAGAAAGAGAATGGACATTGAGGGTAAGTGAGGGATGTCTGTTTTTGCAAGAGAACCTTATGGCTTAAAAAGCATTTCAATATAAGTGGCGTCATTTATTCTTTAACCTGTGCAGGTAGGTATTAGCCCACTAACCCATCCCGAAACCCATTTTACAGAAGAGTAACTGTTCCTGTTCTTAATTGCAAGCCAGAGTTAGATGCAATGTACTCATCCCTCAGCATACTCAGGAGATTGGTTCCAGGACCCCCACGAACACCCAAATCTGTGCATACTCAGAGCCTTCCCTGCAGAACCTACAGATAAGAAAAATTGGCCCTTCATATACGTGGCTTTCACATCCTGTGATTACTGTATTTTTGAACAGTCTGTAGTTTTAAAAAATCCACATATAGGTGGACCCTCGCAGTTCAAACTGATGTTGTTCAAGGGTGAACTGTGCAATTAATGTTGAAGTAATTAATTGACAAAGGATAAGACCCACTGTCGAAGCCTGACCCCTCTTCAACAGTCAGAGGAATTTCGCAGGCAAGGTTTTATCTTTCCTGCCTTCTGTTAGTGAGATACCAAGAATTCCAAAACTTATGAAGTTACATGTAACAGGGTTCCTGCCATTTTGTGTATATGTGTAAATTCTGCTAATCAGTGTTAATCAACATCATGTAGACCTCTGTTTTTCTACTGAAGGTTTCTACTCATGGTAAAACTGTTCAAGAATTTGGTAGGTGGCCACATATTTTTTTCTTTAGGTAAAGCACAGACAGAATCCAAGGCGAAAGTTGGAAGAGGAAGGATAAAAAATAACTTCTTCAATTCCTAAGGCTACAAATACTTTCGAAAAATAAAATCCACATTGTCAGTTCTCCAGAGTTGACTTCTGCTCTTAAGTCAAAAGTTTCCATAATGATCCATGGCATGATTGAACGGAAAAGGGGTTGCTCCATCCCTACCTTCTTTCACAAAGTTTAGAAATTAGGCTTGAAGAGAAGAGAGAGGAATTAGCTGCTTCTTGAGTAGACTTTGAGTCTTATGCTATGATTGGCCAAGAACAAATTTTAAGGAGATCAGAGCAATATGTATGAGACTCTGAGGAGCATAGACATAAGTAGTATCAAATAGGGAGACCAGAGTAGACCCAGACATACAGCAGATGCTTAGTAAATGCGGGCTGAATGGAAGTGAATGAGTCCTTCAAATGGAATACCAAGAAAAGACCACCCCAAACCATCCTATACCAGTAGGCAGATAAACCTGGGTCAGCCTCCATCCCTCCATCCATCCATCCATCCGTCCATCCATCCATCCAGCTGCTTGGCGTCAGTTTCCTCATTTGCAGCATGGTATTTATTATTTTATATGTGGTAGTTGTTAATATTTCTATTCTGTATTCTTTCTTTTCATAATGCTTAAGTTGGAAAAGGGCTTAGAAGCCATGTTTAGCTGTCTTATTTTACAGATAAGGAAGGCTTATCAAATAAAGTTAATGACACCCCACACCTACCCTCACATACAGGGCTGTTTATGAATTGCAAATAAGAACATCAAGTCTCTGGAGGAAGAGTGCTGCAGGCATTCAGTCCATGATGTCAAGGACAGTTAACAGCCTTCGCAGAAGTGCTCTCAAGTATTCACCCAAAGTGTTTGCTTTTTAACACTCTGACTTTTCAAGGAGCACATCTCAAGTTGAGTAGAATTAAAATGATTGACCCTCTCTATTCACTGCATATCAGGTCCTTGTTTTAGGCATTGGGGAAAAAGAAACACAATGCCTGCTTTCAAAAAGTTTACATCGGCTGGACACAGTGACTCATGCCTGTAATCCCAGCACTTTGGGAGGCTGAGGTGGGCGGATCACGAGGTCAGGAGATCGAGACCACCCTGGCTAACACGGTGAAACCCCATCTCTACTAAAAATACAAAAAATTAGCTGGGTGTGGTGGCGGGCACCTGTAGTTCCAGCTACTGGGGAGGCTGAGGCAGGAGAATGGTGTGAACCTGGGAGGCGGAGCTTGCAGTGAGCCGAGATGGCGCCACCACACTCCAGCCTGGGAGACAGAGCAAGACTCTGTCTCAAAAAAAAAAAAAAAAAAAAAAAAAAAAAAAAAAAAAAAAAAGTTTACATCTCAGTGATAGCCACGGGAGGCAGAGAAACAACAGAAGGGTAAACTGATGATTATGTAAGATAATTCAACTGATGAAAAATACTACAAAAAACAAAACAAATGATGAGGTGTGAGAGAAAATAACTAAGGTAGAAAGGTTGCCTAAGATAAGCTAATCAGGAGAGACTTCTTGGAGGAAGTCACATTTGTCTTGCAATCTGAATAATAGGGAGCCAGTCATAAAAAAAATTTGGTTAGAGTATTCCAGGCAGTGGGATGATGATGATGACGATGATAATCATAAAATAGCAAATATTTATTGTATGCTTACTATGTGCCAGCTTTATCGTGAACACTTTTCTGGTACTATTTTATTTAATGCTCTCAATTACTCATTGAGATAAGAGGCTATTATTATCCCTGTTTTATTGGTGAGGAAATTGAGGCACAGAAATGGTAGGCAACTGCCCAAGGCTCTACAGCTAGTTAAGGATCCTGATGCAGCAAGTACAAAGTCCCTGGCATGATAAGAAACTTGGTATGTTGGAAAAGCAAAAATCAGGCCAGAAGTTGGGGGCAGGGAGCACTGGAGCTTCAAGGAGATGAAGTTGGAGAGGCTAGATCCCGTAAGGTCTTGCAGGCCAAGCTAAGTATTTTGGATTTCATTTGGAGTGCAGTGGGCTGTCACCAGATGATTTTCAGCAAATGAATGGTTTTAAGGTTCTCCTTCGAGGAGTGACACAGCTTGATCTACATTTTTTAAATATATGTGCTGACATTAGCATAGGGATAAGAGCCTGGGTGATAAAGGGTGGCCTTGAAACCTGGGATTTTGAAGTCTCAGATCAACAGGGATGGGAGTTATCGTGGAATGAGTCCAGGAGGGTTTTTGATCCCATTATGCTTAAGCCCTGAGTAGTTTTTGGTGTTCTCGATCCATTGCATCTGTGGGCAATTCGGCAAAAAAAAAAAAGCCTGGTCATCTCAGTAGAAATGACTTCAATCCAGGTCTTTGATCCAGATCTCTTAGGAGGTAACATTTTTGCAGCATGATAGTGAGGAAGGCACTAGGTCAACATGGGATGTAATCCCAGCCTGGCGGTTTACCTTCTGCATGAAGTTAGATGAGTCCCAGGACCTTTCTGAGCCTCAGTTTCTTTTTCTGTAAAACTAGGCCATTAACACCTCCCTCTCAAATGTCTATTTAGGATTAAATGAAGCCAACTTTGTGCCTTGCCCTGGTAGGACTCCAAGATACTAGTTCACTGCCCTTTCTTCTCCATTGAGAGGTATGTGGTGGACACTTTTTAAATTATATTTGTTTTCTCTTAATTATGGTAAACACTTATAGCTGTTCCCAAATTCATTATCTAGATCAAGACCAGGGACATTAGGTTCATATGCCTTCTTCTCTTTCACATATTTGTTTATTACCACCTATAGTGTGCCTTAAACTCTGCTAGGGACAGACGATGAGGCCATAGAATCTACAGTAATAGTTGCTGTCTTTAAAGAACTTGAGTTTTCTGTATTCAGCAAGATGGTACCTGGGCAAAGTGGAAGAGTGATCAGAGACCAGCCACAGAGAAGGGTGTTGACTGAGTTCACTAAGCAGTGAAGCCCGCCAGTTCCTTTTCTGATTTCAGGCTACTTCCCTGCCTATGCCTTAAATCAAAAATAAATTCAAACAACTCCCTTCATGCTTTGCCCTCCCCATTTTCCTGATATACTGTTTTTTTTGTTTTTGTTTTTTAACCATTCTAGACAATTGGGAAGACTGTTTCCTGGGAGCAACAGATCTGAGCTCCATCTGCACTTAACTTGCAATCCCTCGGCTTTCCCTTAGACTGACTGCCAATTTCCCACCTTACCGTCTGTCTTGACTTTCAGTGTCTTGTTAAACAATTTCTTTCTCTTTCTCTAGTGCCTGAGACTGGGAAATTACTTTCTTTAATCTAGGCCCTATTTGTACACTTAAGGCCAAAAATTTTGGCGGCATCTGTAGCTCTGAAATTGTTTTCAGTTAGAATTGCTCTGCTGAAATACTGTTTTTGTTTATTTTGTATATATATGTATTTGTTGTTTTGTATATATATGTGTGTGTGTGTATTTTTTTTAATGTGCTGATAGTCATTTTCTTTGGCCTGACTTCAGAAATCACTGATTTCTAGACACTGACCTGTCTGTAACTTATGGTTATTCACTTCTTTAAGAGTTAACTGCATTAATTCCCTTATCATGTAGTCATATGTACTACTTTTCTATCTCCAAATGCAATTAAAAGTGCCCTTCGGGTGTTCCAAGTTTTAATCATTCTCTGTGTGCCGCATTCCCATGGCTCCAAAGGGCTTTCTCTGCCTCCTCTCAGATGGGGCCTTTCTCCAAGAAAGAGGAGGCGGAGGGGAAAAGAAGGAGGAGGAGGAGAAGGTGAAGGAGGAGGAAGGGAAAAGTAAGACTGAGATCTGACAGCTTTGTTTCAGAGGCCGAATCCTCACCTTCTCTAAAGCACTGTCTCTCCTTTATGGGCCCATGCCAGGGTTCCAGTTCTCAACCCCACGGTGGAGTGGTGTAGCAGCTTCTAAGAACAAGCCAGGCCTGAGCCCAGGAAAACGTTGCTGCGGGATCGGCTTTGTGGCCTTAGGCATTGATGGATTTGTATGTGTAAAAATGGGGATAATGATACTTATCATTCCATTAGGTGCATATAGTTCCTAATATATATATAGAGGGAACTAATGGTATTATGATAATTGTTATTCTGGTGGGTCCTTGGGGACAACGGAGCTGGTTTCTGAATCAGACTCATGTTACAGAGCTCAATGCTGGTCCTTTCCAAACTGCCTGTGACACGTGCTCCTCCAGCCTTAGACTAGTGGCCACTTGCCATATGAGCTCGATAAACCTTGAATTGGTCTATATCCCAGTCAATGAGATGAGTCATGCACTCCCAGTCAATGAGATGAGTCCACTGGTCATGCACTATCAGTCTACCTGACAATGCCGAACAGTTATAGTAGTCTTAAAGTTCTTATTCTCATTTTCTGAACTCATGACAGATTGGTACCAGACAGTTTAAAAGCCAGCAGTGACCCATGGGCCACACTTTGAATAGCAGCTTTTATGCTTAAGTCTTTTGAGGATTTATAGTATCCTGGGCATTGAGTGAGGCATAGGAGATTTTCTGGTGTGGCTTCTGCCTCCTCAGAACGTCAGGGCTTAATGAGGGTTTCTTGCGGCTCTGTCAGAATGCATGAATGGTGAATGGTATACCTGGATTCCAGCCTACTGTGACTACCAGTAACTACGGGTCATCTCAGTCTCTGAGCAGGGATTCCTGTTTCATCCTCAGGCTTGGCTTGCCATTTAGGTGGAAAAGGGGGTTGAATTGTAATGCCTTCTCCTGTCATGTAACCAAGGGAAGTACCCTGGCTGGGAGTCAAAACCTCACAAAAATAAGAAACAAAAAACCTCGGCCGGATTCCAAATGCTGACTTCAGCCACACTCATTCTGCTGCAGGCCACTTTATGTCATTCTGATGGAGGTCATTTTCCAAAGCGAATTGCCCAATTCTTTTAGGCACTGGACTATACTCCTGTTGCTATCAGCGGAGGCTACATGCAGGGACCAATGTTCTTTAAAGTATAACAATAACAACAACGAAAATCTTCATTCACTTGGGAAATTAAAGGCACAGGATCAAAAACCACTACTGTGAAATCTAAATGCTCTCACACTCAGTTGATGATACAGCTTATTTGAAGATTTAGACTTACTTAACAATAACAACAACAAATAGCCTATAGATAGTATCAAAAATATCCCAATGATAATGATTATACATATGTGATAACACTTGTACTGGGGAGAGGTGCCAAATACAGGCACATGTTCCAGCTCCCTCAGGCCACACTTCTTGGCAGACATCATCAATCAGTCACTCCTTCTCTTCTTTCTGATCTTGCCTGCAGCATCAGAATCTCAGCATAGAATTCAAAGCCGCAACCAATGTATGGACTTGGCTTCCTGGAGTAGTAATTTACAGTTTAGGAAGTGCTTGTCACATGCATTATTATTTTCACCCTCAACCTGTAGTTACTGTGATTCAGAATGGACATAATTATTCACACATGAGAGAACTGGGGTGCTGAGAAATTAAGGCAACTTGATCAATATAATGTAAAAAATAAATGGCAGCAGTACAAGTTGAGTCCTGATCTGCTGCACTCAGAAAGTACAGGAGGAGACTGGCATTTATTATGCTTCTTCTGTTTGCCAGGCTCTTTCAAACTGTGGTCCATCTAATCTTCATGCCAAACTTTTGAGACATATTATTCTTTCCAAGTTTCAGATGAAAAAAATTGGATTCGGGGAGCTTAGGAAACTTGTTCAAGGTTATTGTCGGTAGTAAGGGGAAGCATTAGGATTTGAACCTACATTTTGCTGACTCCAAAACACATTTATTTGTCTTCTTCTTATTATTATTCCTATTATTAATGCCTCTGCCATTCAGCCTTCTACTTGCAGAAAACATTGTTAAGAGCAGGACATGACAAAGGTGTTTAGGGGAGTGGTATTAATGACACCAACAATTTGAACATGACTTCCTCGCTCAACATTAGAGAAATGATTAAACACATCATAGCACCACACAGGCATATTTGTAGCTATTTTATGGTTAATGATGACTATGCAGAAACATGCAAGTGTTTACTAAATAACATTAAGAAATTGTACGTAACCTGATTGCATTTGTGCAGAAATTATGCATCTGAATGGATAAAGAGGAAGAGAACACACAAAGAAAATATCTTTTGGCTGAGATACAGGATAAGATGTTTTAAAGTCATGTAAAACATAATGCTTAAAAAAAATAACACCCCACTTTCAGCATTGGACCACTCTTCCAGACAGAGAGTCAGTAAGGAAACATTGAACTTAATCTGCACTAGAGACCAAATGGACCTAATAGATATTTACAGACCATTCCATCCAAAGGCTGTAGAATGCACATTCTTTTCCTTGGCACATGGATGATTCTCAAGGATTGGCCATACGTTAGGTCACAAAACAAGTATTAAAACATTCAAAAAAATTGAAATAATATGAAGCACCTTTTCTGACCACAGTGGAATAAAACTGGAAATCAATCACAAGAGGAATTTTGGAAACTATACAAATACATGAAAATGAGACGATATGCTCCTGAATGACCAGTGGATCAATGAGGGAATTAAGAAGGAAATTGAAACTTTTTATTTTTTTGAGACGGAGTCTCGCTCTGTTGCCTAGGCTGGAATGCAGCGGCACAATCTCAGCTCACTGCAACCTCCGCCTCCTGGGTTCAAGCAATTCTCTGCCTCAGTCTCCCAAGTAGCTGGGATTACAGGCACCTGCCATCACGCCTGGCTATATTTTGTATTTTTTTAAATAGAGATGGGGTTTCACCATCTTGGACAGGCTGGTCTTGAACTCTTGACCTCGTGATTTCCACCTGCTTCGGCCTCCCAAAGTGCTGAGATTACAGGCGTGAGCCAGAAACATCTTTTAAAACAAATGATAATAGAAACATAACATACAAAACCTATGGATACAACAAAAGCAGTACTAAGAGGGAAGTTTATACCTGAAAGTGCCCACATCAACGAAGAACAACTTCAAATAAACAACCTAACAATGCATCTTAAAGTACTAGAAAAACGAGAGCAAACCAAATCCAAAATTTCTAGAAGAAATAACAAAGATCAGAGCAGGAATCAATGAAATTAAAATGAAGAAAACAATGCAAAAGATGAAGGAAATGAAGGTTGGTTTTTTTGAAAAGTTAAACAAATTAGAAAAACCTTGAGCCAGATTTTAAAAAAAAAAGACAGTAGAACCAAATAAATAAAATCATAGTTGAAAAAGGAGACATTACAACTAATACTACAGAAATTTAAAAGGTCCTTAATAGCTACTATGAGCAAGTATGCCAATAAATTGGAAAATCTAGAAGAAAGGGACAAATTCCCAGACACAGGCAACCTACCAAGATTGAAACATGAAGAAATCCAAAACCTGAACACCTCAACAATGAGTAACAAGATTGAAGCTATAATAAAAAGGCTTTCAGCAAAGAAAAGCCCAGGAGCTGGTGGCTTTACTGCTGAATTTTACCAAACATTTAAAGAATTAATACCAATCCTACTGAAACTATTCCAACAAATAGAGGAGGAGGGACTACTTTCAAACTCATTCTCAGAGGCCAGTATTACCCTGATCCCAAAACCAGACAAAGACACATCATAAAAAGAGAAAACTACAGGCCAATATCACTGATAAATATTGATGCAAAAATCCTCAATAAAATACTATCAAGCCAAACTCAACAGCACATTAAAAAGATCATTTGTCATGACCAAGTGGTAGTTATCTCAGGGATGCAAGAATAGTTCAACGTATGCAAATCAATCAATATGATACATCATATCAACAGAATGAAGGACGAAAGCCATACGATCATTTCAATTGATGCTGAAAAAGCATTTGATAAAACTCAACATCTCTTTATAACAAAAACCCTAAAATACTGGGTATGGAGGAACATGCTTCCACATAATAAAATCCATACATGACAGACCTACAGCTGGTATCATACTGAATGGGGAAAAGTTTTAGTCTTTTCTTTAAGATATGGAACATGACAAGGATGCCCACTATTATCACTGTTATTCAACATAGTACGGGAAGTCCTAGCTAGAGTAATCAAACAAGAGAAAGAAATAAAGGGCATCCAAACTGGAAAGAAAAAAGTCAAATTATCCTTGTTTGTCAATAACATCTTATATTTGGAAAAACTTAAAGACTCCACCAAAAAACTATTAGAACTGATAAACAAATTCAGTAAAGTTGCGCAATACAAAATCAATATAAAAGTCAGTCCCACTTTTCTATGCCAACAGTGAACAAACTGAAAAGGAAACCAAGAAAGTAATCCCAATTACAATAGCTACAAATTAAATAAAATACCTAGGAATTAACCAAGTAAGTGAAAGATCTCTAAAATGAAAACTACAATGTATTGACGAAAGAAATTGAAGAGGATATACAAAAATGGAAAGATATTCCATTTTCACTGATTGAAAGAATCAATATTGTTACAATGTCCATACTACCCAAAGCAATCTATAGATTTAATGCAATCCCTATCAAAATACCAATGACATTCTTCACAAAAACACAGAAAACAATCCTAAAATTTATATGGAACCACAAAACACCCAGAATAGCCAAAGTTATCCTGAACAAAAGGAGCAAAACAGGAGGAATCACATTATCTGACTTACACTACAGAGATATAGTAACTAAAACAGCATGGTACTGTCATAAAAACAGAGACATAAACCAGTGGAACAGAATAGAGAACATACAAATAAATCCATAGTCTACAGTAAACTCATTTTCAAAAAAAGTTCCAAGAACATACATTCAGGAAAGTACAGCCTATTCAATACATAGTACTGGGAAAACTGGATATCCATATGCAGAAGAATGAAATTAGACCCCTATTTCTCACCATATACAAAAATCAAATAAAAATGGATTATAAAATTAAATTTAAGCTCTCAAACTATGAAACTACTAAAAGAAAACAATGGGGAAACTCTCCACGACTTTGGACTGAGCAAAGACTTCTTGACCAATACCCCACAGGCACCCCAAAAATGGACAAAAGAGGTCACATCAAGTTAAAAACTTTCTGCACAGCAAAGGAAACAATCAACAAAGTGAAGAGACAATCCACAGAGTGGGAGAAAATAGTTGCAAGCTACCCATTTGACAAGGAATTAATAACCATAATACACGAGAAGATCAAAAAACTCTACAGGAAAAGATCTGATAATCTGATTAAAAATAGGCAAAAGATCTTAATAGACATTTCACAAAAAGAGACATACAAATGGCAAACAGGTATATGAAAAGGTGCTCAACATCACTGATCATCAGAGAAATGCAAATCAAAACTATAATGAAATATCATCTCATCCCAGTCAAAATGGTTTTTAGCCAAAAGACAGTCAATAACAAATGCTGGTGAGGATGTGGAGAAAGGGAACTTTTGCACACTATAGGTAGGAATGTAAATTAGTGCAACCACTATGGAGAATAGTTTGGAGGTTCTTCAAAAAACTAAATATAGTATAATCCAGCAATCCAACTCCATTCCTAAGTACCCAAAAGAAAGGAAATCAGTATGTCAAAGAGATAGCTGCACTCCTGTGTTTATTGCAGCACTATTAACAATAGCCAAGATTTTGGAGCAACTTAACTGTCAACAGACAAATGAATAAAGAAAATATGGCACATATACACAATGGAGTACTATTCAGTCATATAAAAGATGAGATTCTGTCATTTACAACAAAATGGATGGAACTGAAGGTCATTATATTAAGTGAAATAAGCCAGGCACAGAAAGACAGATATTGCATGTTCTCATTTATCTGTGGGAGCTAAAAATTAAAACAAATGAACTGGAGATAGAGAGTGGGGATGGTCACCACAGATTGGGAAGGGTCAGGGTGGCGGAAAAGGAGGATGGTTAATTGGTGCCCAAACAGAGTTAGAAAGAATTTTAAAAATCTAGCACAACAGGGTGACTACAGTAAAAAAATAATTTAATTGTTCTTTTTAAAATAATTAAAAGAATATGGATTGTTTGAAACACAAAAGATAAATGCTTGAGGTGATGGATACCGTATTTACCTTGATGTGATTATGATGCATTACATGCCTGTATCAAAATACCTCATGTAACTTATAAATATATACACCTACTATGTACCCTGAAAATTTTAAAATTTTAACAAAACACAAAAGAAGCATTTGTAACCTAGCATTAAGAAAATGTGGCCAAAGGAAATAGAAAAAGATAATCATTCATTAAAAAATCTGTTTTCAATATTTAGAAGAACGCATTTCCAGTATAATGAAAATACCATAATGACATTTAGAGTAAGGATTAAATACTGATTTAGAGCAAGTAGAAGAAATAATATTAGAATAAAAATTTAACATCGGGAGCTCTGAGTATTTAAGTGGGAATCTGCACCCTAGAGAGATGTGAGGGCCTCATACCATGTTGCCTTTTATTTTCTCAATGCATTCAACTCTTTTGTTCCTCAGATTTCATGGTGAAGTTCTAGGTAGTGATTTTAGAAATGAATCACATGTTTTTTTCTAGATGCTGTAGGGCAAATGAATTCAACTGAGTTTTATTTGTGTGGTTCTTATTGTTGTCATTTGAAATTTTGCCTTCCATTTACCAAACCATCCATCTGCCAAGCATACACTCAAGAGATATCTACTGGGTACTTACGTGTCTTCACATTGCTCAGAGTCTAGTTCAGGAGACAAACGAGTGGGGAGACAATTCTTATATGGGACCTGCCAAGAGTTAATCCTGAGACTGTGCACAGAACTCCCAGAGCACTGGGGAGAGGCTCCTACCCCAGCTGAGAGTCAGAGAGATATTCTCACAGGAGTTGATAGATGAAGGAATCCTGAAGGATGAGGAGGATTTAGCCTGGGAAAATTGGATGATGAGAGAAGGGTAGCAACAGCGTTCCAGGCAGTGGCAGTGAGTCATGCTGTGCAAAGGCATGGAGGCAAGAGAGCATGACCAATTTGGATTAACTGTAGGTGGTTCGTGTGGTCCAGGATGGAGTACTAGCTGGGGAAGGGGCATGGAATGAGGCTGGGAGGCAGCAGAGGCAGGATCACAGAGGGCTTTGTGTACAAATGAAAGAAGGTGTGGTGAAGCAGAGCAATTGATTAATACACTGAAAAATTCAGGTCAAATTTAAGTAAACAAGTAAACAAGTCAAATTTAAGCCCCCTGCTGAGACTGAGAGGATCATGATATCCTTAGGAAAATTAGGAGAGGATAAAAATTCTGGAATGACCTGAAGTCCCCAGATGAGACTGACAATATGAACTGGAAGCAGACTTACTTGTAACAGTATCTTAAATTCCTTTAAAAAAGAGAATGTGCCTTAGGCATTCTTGTAAACATCCCACTCCATCCTTTTTGTGACTAAAATATAGTAAGTAGATGCCACCAAATTCTTGGTTAGCTAATTGATGTGAAATTTATGAATGAAAGCAGACTACCCCAAATCATCAGAGATGTAGACAACTGTATAAAGCAATGCCATTCCTACTGTTTCTTGCATTCTGTTCAGTGAATGCAAGGAATGCCTACTCTATTGTTACAGGAGATAAATGAACATGAAAATGGCACATTTTACTCAATGCCAGCCTGGAAGTTTGTGGCAGCTTGCTTTAAATGTGTAAGGATATGATTTCTGCATTGTCCACCCCTCTTTTCTTTATATTGTTGGAGATAAAATAGACATCAATTACTTCTCCAATTTTAAAATCTTATTCTTTAAAGCTATTTAAAGAAAACATGGTTGTTGCATACAGTAAACATTCACATGCAAGAATTTCATATTAGAAATTTGAAATGATGGCAATTTCAAACTGAGTTAGAAGAAGCTTTCATTTTGATGAAATGAAAGCGAAGAATTAAGGGAGAAGGATCAACTCCCGTGTGTTTTGACCCATGGAGTCCTTCTCATGAGCTCTGCATACAGGGGAATTCAATGAAAGATTCTGATGTGCTCTACCCAGAAAAGAGGACCAGAAGCATTTACAAAGGTACTTTGGTGAATGAGTAATGAAAGCTCTGCGTGCATTTATCCTACTAGAACCTAGCGAGAGAGATGGCGTAGCCCATTTCACAGATGAGAAAATGAAGGCTCAGAGAGGTCAAGCAACTTGCCCAGGGTCACACAGCTAGTAAGAAGATGATGTTCTCAGATACATACTGTTTAACTTACTCCCAAGCCCATGTCACAGTGAGAGGATGCTTGTCTTGACCATGCTGTTACTGGAAAAAAAAAATCTTTTGAATTATATCACTCAGCCAGGGTGTATTGTTTTGGCTCAAAACACCTACTTTTGTTGGTACCTAAAACAAACTTGAAACTTATATTTTAACTATGTGAAACTTCCTAGAGCTCCCCAAGTCACTAACACTCTCCATCCTTCTCTGACCCCTCTCACAGTGACCCTCTCTTTGGACTGTCCTCTGCCTTGTCTGCCTGATGATCACCTACTCAACTTTTAGAATCAATCCAAGGGCCATCTTCTCTATGAAGACTTTGCAGCCTCCTTCTCCTGTCTTCTAACAACCTCTCTGTCTTTTGTGCCTGGAATCAGATCATGGGTCCAGATCCCTGAACTGCCACTTACCAGTTCTGTGACCTTGGGAAGTTACTTCTCTGTGCCTCAGTTTTCTCTCCTGCAAAATAGGACTAAAAATAGTTCTTACCCCATATGGATGCTGTGAGTATTTAAAGAAAAAAAAAAGAAAGACGAAGGAAAGAAGAAAGAAAGAAAGAAAGGAAGGGAGGGAGGGAAATAAAAGAAAGAAGGAAGGAAGGAAGGGAAGGAAGGGAAGGAAGGGAAGGAAGGAAGGAAGGAAGGAAGGAAGGAAGGAAGGAAGGAAGGAAGGAAAAGAAAGTAAGTCCCTGCAAAGCATATAGCAGCAATGCCTGGCACATAGTAAGTGCCCCAGAAATGTTAGCTAGTGCTATGTTTCTCACTGCACCTGGGAGCAATTTCTCTCCAAGAGTGTATTTGTTTTTCTTTCTTACATTCTAGGCAGTGATCACCTTGAGGGCATAAACCTGGCACAAAGAAAGTGTGTCAGAAATGCTTGTGAAATGAACAATGAATAAATGGGCAAACAGGATCTGGTGGGAACTGACAAGGCTCCACAGCCAGGTCTCATTGACCCGGATGGCCCAATGCGCACTAAACTGCACTGCCTTCTCATGGTTGCTGAATTGGATCCCTTCATAAAATGCCAGGCGGACAACAGGACTTCTGCTTCCCAACAAACAAGGCAAAGGACACATTTCCGAGTTCCTGGCTTGCTTCTCCCATTCTAGTGCTCAAGTTCCAGCACCAGAGAGTGCTGCTTACTGAAAGGTGCCATCTCCCCATGTCATGGAACAGTTTTCCCCAGAACACTGAGGACATGCTTCGTGAAACCCACCACCCGGTATCGGAATACCCAACAGCAACAAAATAATGACTTCCCCATCCTGCAGGTCCCTTCCCAGCTCTGGCTTGGATAACTGCTGCAGGGACACTCAGTCAGCAAGCCACAGCCCCCTCTAGAGGTCACAGAGGCAGCCTGTAGAGGAAGTGAGACCGCACTGTGACAGGGCGCCATCTCTGCAGGCTCAGCGGCTTCCAGCCACAGCTCCACTGGGACCACCAAGTCAGCCATCATCGTACCTCTTAGCTCGGGGCACCTCTAACCTTGTCATGCTGGGATGCGACAGGAGGGAACGACAAGAGGGAACAGCAGGTGATTTGATAACCCAAATCAAATGACAATAGTTGTTCTTGTTGTTGCTTCAAAAGCACCAGGTCACCAGAGCCCCCTCCAAAGTGCTGCTGGCCAGCGTCTGTGTTCAGCCCCATCATCTGCATTCACAATGTCCACAGCTCGGCCATCCTCAGGGTCTCGCCTGCTCCTCCCTCCAACGGTGAGAGCTGCCTTCGGTCAGCTCTGTGTATTTCCTGACTGCAGGTCTCCGTGAGAATGATTAGAATTTCATTGGAATAAATGAACTTGTTTTGACGAAGCTAGATGGCTGTAATTGCCTACTTTCTGCTCTGCTTAATTTTGTTACGTTAGACACTGCATATTGAAATTTCAATGGCTGGAGCCTTTAAAATCTCTATCCATCCTTTCCAAAACAGGACGCATCAGTTTTTAAAGTTCTTCAACTGCATAGAAGGCTTTGGATTCATATTTACCAAAGTATCCATCTGACCTCTTTTTCTGATACTGGGAGTGGCATTGAAGCTTCTTGTTACCTTATTTGCACAATACTTCAGTTGACCTTCTGGGGCTTGAGACAAAGGCCAGGCTCCTCAGATGGACGTGGAGGCTTCAGATCTTAAGGCAACTTTATACATGAATGTATTTTGTGACTGCTCCGCTGTCTTAAAAAAATTAGATGATAAGGCTACTAGAAGAATCTTAAATCCCAGTTCTAAATGGAAGAAATGACCTTTGTCTGTCATTCTCAGTGACCTACCCCATATGGATAACCACACGGAAGCCCATGTTCACTGCTTTTGGGCAATGAGTTTGAGATCCGCTCAGCCATGACCTGTCAAGCGGCCCACGTCAGCCCGAAGGATTTGTGACTAGGAGGCATGGCTTCTACACTGAGCTGCTCCTTAAGACCTGAGGATCATTCCCTGGGCTATCTCTGGCTTTGCATCTCCCTCTATTTCAGCACGCTTCGCTGGAACCACAGCTGACCACATCCCACCAGCCTGTGACTACCAACTGAGGACAGAGGCCATTGCTCCACCATGAAGCCCAGCAACTGGAAAACTGCCAGGAGTAATGAGTGAGTGAAAAAGAATGGAACGAAGGCAGGGAAGGTAAATAGCTACTGAATCACGACGCACAAGTCAGGAAATAAAGTAGCATTAGACACCCCCAGAGTGAGAGTAGAGAGTCGGCGCTGTGTTTCTCTACGTGGCTCCAGCACATCAAACAATGATGGGTACACAGAAGGTCTCAATACATGATGAGACTGAACACAAATGAGGCACTTTCTGTCCCCAGGCCCTGTGCTAAGCCCTTTACATGGATTTTCTGACCCAGTCCTGGAACTAAACCCTACAAGGAGCTGATATTATTTTTGGCAAAGTGAATGAAGGCTTACTGATAGATGCTGACTGTCTAGCAAAGGCAAGAAAGATATGACCCAATTCCTATCCATATCATCAGTCTCCCGTGCTCACTAGCAAGAGAGCAGCATTCTGCAGTGAAGCGCATGGATTCTTGGGTCAGGCTGCCTGAGTTCAAGTCCCAGTTCTGCCACTTGTGTGTAAAGCTGGGCAACTTACTCCACCTACTGAAACCCTCGGTGCCTCACTTTGCTACAGGGATGGTAATGGGGCACAGGGTCCATTATGAGACTACTTCAGTCACAAGATACATGGCAAAGAACCTGACATGCAGCAAGCACGGTGTTCGTGTGGTAACCTCGAAACACTACTCCCTACTGCCCAAACCCATACATGATTTCCTTGCTATCATTGTCAGGAGACGGGTAGTGCCTTCTTTCCCTTTTACAGGTCTGACCTCAGTCTTCATGGGCCACAGGATGTGGGGTACCTGGTGGGCCTTGACCACAAGGTGAAAGTCAACCATTTACAGATGACAATAAGAGGAGTGGGGAGAAGCAGGAAGGAAATTTGATGTTTATTAATCTGTGTTAAATGCAG
The DNA here is from genome assembly GCF_000001405.40 of Homo sapiens. Classification (NCBI taxonomy): domain Eukaryota; kingdom Metazoa; phylum Chordata; class Mammalia; order Primates; family Hominidae; genus Homo; species Homo sapiens. Next base: position 16,584,861 of record NC_000004.12, read on the forward strand.
CTAAAAGATGTAACTAAGAATCTGTCCAAGATCTTGCTATAGGGTGAGTGACCAAGTCTAGGATAGACTTCAAAGTCCCAGCTTCCTATGTGGGGTCAGCTGAGGACACACAGTGTGGGACTTCTTTATCTGCAGGAGGAAGAGCATCTTCCCTGTTTTAAGCGAAAACTCTCCTGTTCCCTGACAAGACGATATGCCCAGCAGTACAGAGCAGCCTTCTGGATTGTGGAGAGAACAACTTCATAGACCATCACGCCCCAGGCCACCCACCCGCACTATGTCAGTTGCTCCGCAAGAGAGCCATTCTGACTGCGGAGACCAGAGGTTTGTGAAGATGTAGCCCCAGCTACCCTGGCTGGGAGCACCCGCCGTCCACCCACACTCCTGGGCTGACTTTGGTTTCCCTCTGAGCAGAGACCAGTGGGCTCTTTAGTGGTTCAGGGCCACCACAATGGCAGGGGTGTTAGGATGGGCGGGTGGGGAGCACAGCTGATTCTGCCTCTTGTCAGGCCTGGATTTGGCTCTGGGGAATCTAAGCTGTAGAGAGGAAGAATCTCCTTCTTTTACCCACCACCAAATCTGTTACATGTTGTGCAGAGAGTGCTTATGAAGCCTTAGAAATATCTGTGTTTCAGCACGGGATTGGATTTCTTCAGGAGACTCTATGGGGCAGTATATTGATTCTCCTAAGGGGTGACCAGTGCCTGGGTGGAGGCACTGGGGTAATGAACTCACCAATAACCCATTTGAACTTGAGACAACCACAAGGGAAGCAGCCACAAAGCATTTTGCAACAATGGGACATTGCTAGCCTTTGAATAATTAATTCCAAGAGACATACAGATATAGGACTCAACCCTGACAAATTCCAGGTTTGATGCTTTGTTAATTAAACCCTGTCCTCCATTGAAAACACACACACACACACATACATCTGGTACAGAACATAGACACTGCTATATCACCAGTACCTCATTTTAACTTCTTGGTTCAGGATGCATATAAACCTCTGGAGTACTTTTCAAACTCACCAAAAAATAAAATCATTCGATTGATCTTACCCTGAGGTAGTTGAGGGTGAAGTTTGTTAGCCCCATCCTGGTGATGTTTTTGGACAGCTGATCCAGGACCTGAGGATCTTGTGCCTAAATGGAAAAAAAACCCCACATGTATTTTATCACTACAGGACGGTCCTGAGAAAATCTCAGACTGTGCTACAGCTGCTAAGAAATGCAATCTCGACATTGTTGATTTTATTTGGAGGGCAGGCTGCTGGAGGTAATTTAATTTACATTTTGAAGACACTTGCATATAACACTCAAGGACATTTTCAGATCAATTGTGCAAGACTGGGGAAAAACCAAACTGCTCAGATGTGCTTTCAGTCCTTGGGAGAAATGATGTTACTTCCTCTTGGAGAGGCCTTGGCACTCGGGTCTCCAGCCTGAGTCACAGAACTCTGCCAGGAGAGCTCCAGGTCTAACGCCCTCATTAGAGAAGCCAGTCCCCCTGGACTGGGCAGATCCATGCTTCAGGACTGGCCTTTGTTTCCTGCTGTGATAGCGGTGGTGTTTTTACAGCTTGGGGTTGAGGGCTGTATTGGAAAACTTTGCCACTGTCTTGAAATACACACACACACACACACACACACACACACACACACACAAAACACACACACACACACACACACATATATATGGAGAGACAGAATTCTCACTCTCCTCCCCATTAAGCTGAGTCTGGAAATAGATATCCCCAACAATTTTTATCCTGCAGGACTGTAAGAGTAAGTATCACATTTTCCAAAATGTCAGCCACATTTTAAGAAGGGATATAAAGTACCATGGGCCACACCAAATGTTCTGTTTGGCTAGAAGAAAATGGAAATTCTTTCTGGGATCCATTTTAAAATGACTCTCTTGGTTGATATTCTTTCTTTCTGTTTGCCTTTCCTTCTTCCTTAATTGATATAAGCAAATTGGCACTAAACAGAGGGAGATGGATGTAAACATCCCCTTGTCTCCACGTCTGCCTTCATGAGACTAGATTATACTAATGTGACTTATTCTTTTCTGTACATGCCTTTTCTCATAGTGATACTACCAATTGGATTTGTATATATAAATAAAAAATGCAGGAGAAAACAGAGCATGTCAGTTTCATGTCAATTTCCTAAAAGAGGTCTTCCCTGACATTGAGCCTATATTTATTAAACCACTCTTATGTGCTAGGAAGCGTTTGTTCTATCAAGTAGCCAGGGTCAACCTCAAGGAACTTACATTTCAGTCAAAAGACAGGAAAGATAATAATAAAGAAATGCAAAAATGTTGTTCCTGCTGCTGTGGCTACCGGTGATGATGATGAGAGCCAATCGCCAAAACCTGTAGAGGACACACTATGTGCCAGGCATTGTTCTAAGTGCTTTACAGTCATTAACTCTTAATTCGATGGTCTGAAACATGCTTTATTACTGTACCCATCTTATAGATGAGGGACTACAAGCACAGAGATGTCACATCATTTGCCCAAAGTCACACAAGAGCAAGGGTCCAACCCTATGTGGTCTCAATCCAGGGCCCAGGTTCCCAACTGTTATCCTTTGCTGCCTTTTAGTCTATTTTGAGAATAATAGAAGTGAATATTCCAGACTTCCTCAAAGAGAGTGGAGAATGTAAACTAAGCTTTAAAAACCAAGGGCTTGGAGCATAAACAGCCAGAAATCATGGAGCAGGAGAGTGGGGGTGCAACAAAAAGCATAAGGCTAATGGGAAGGGCAGAGCTTGTGTTAACTAGTCAGAAAGAGGTGGCTGACAACTAATGCGTGGAGAAATAGCCAGGAGTGGGACAGCTGGGAGACAAAGTCAGAACCACCTCGGGCAAAATCTTGATTTTGCTACTTTTGGGCTAAAAAACATGGGGCAACTTACTGATTCTCTGAACATCAGTTTCCTTGCTTTTAAAACAGGAACAATACTAACTCAACTCTCTGCCTGACTGTGAGGATTCAATATCATGAGATATACAAAATGTTTAGCTCAAGGCCTGGCAGAGTAAAAAAAAATCAGTAAATGGTAGTTACTGTTATGCTATTTTCTTTTGATTGTTCAGGGTCTTTAAAATTAGGCTTATGAAGTTTGATTTTGCTCCAAAGATTTTCATGGAAGCATCATGTATTATAGAGGAGAGACTTAAATTTAAGTTGATGCCTTTGACGACTTCTTAAGAGATTACAGCTGACTAGCTCCTACTTACATTTAAAATACATCTCTAGATCGGCATAGAACCCACCCTTGCACCTAATTTGTGCTCAATAAATTTGATGTGATTTATGGTCAAACAAAACCAAGAGAAGCCCAAATATTCCACTTCAGATTTAGCACTGTGATCAGGGAGGACCAACTTCTGACACAAATCTGAAGATAGAGGAGTCCCATGTCTCGTCAGATGGTTCTAATCAAAACTGGAAACTGTTTTTCTAACTTCTTGTTTTATTTCATTCCCCAGTTATACATAACAGGTTTATTAGCCCCAAGCAGAGCAGTACTTGATAATGACTGGATGGAATTTAAGAAAAGTACAAACTGTTTATTGAAGTAACCTCAATTTGGAGTTCAAAATAATAAAATATAAAAAATAGTCTCACAATGTACCAATCTTGGAAACAAAAAGGGGAGAAAAGGGCCTGTGGATTAAAACCGTTGAGAACAAAACTCAATATTTAGAGTTAATTACCTAAAGCGTGACAACTACTGGAATTCTTTCACAGAGAGAGGACTGGGTTTTTCCCCTTGAGTGAAATGAAGGAGGAAAAAAAAGAAAAGAAAGCAAAACAGAAATTAAATTACTTACATGCATGGCTAGGATGCTTCTCGGGACTAACTCTCGGTATTGTCTAATGGTAAAGTGCCATGTTTTGATTCTCATGAGATCATCAAAGGTGAACTCCAAGATCAGTCTGCCTTCTGTACATACCTGGAAGTGACAAACCACACAGTCATTCATTACGCACTTTGTGAAAGCCACATTTTGTAACTCACATAGCCACTCAGCGTGGTCTCCCTTTCTGTCCTTGGGCAGTGCTAGCTCTTGGTAAAGATGTGACACGAGTGATGTGTCCACTGCACACGGTACAAATGTCAGCTCTAAAATCAGTGGGTTCAAGTGACTGTACAGCTGCTTATTGGCCATGATGTGCTAGTAATTCTACTAGTTACTACTGAAACTCTATGACCCTCAGTTTCTTCATCTGTAAATATGGAGATAAAACCCATCTTATAGTGACATTGGGTCAAAAAGTTTTCCTCCACTTTCATCATCCTTCAACCATAGAGGCTTGAGCTCTTATTCTAATCTTGGTTATCCTGCTCTAGGACAAAGTACCCAATAAACTCATTCATGGTTAAGTGTGAGTTACTACAACTTGATCTGACTGGAGGAAGTTTTTATTTCCAAAACGAAATTCCGGAGGGCAATGTTTAACCCAAGGCAGTTATTATCAGTTACTGACATGTAGAAAATAGAAGCATGGTGGAGAGTATTTTCCTTGAATCTCAGCACATCAGCAATGATAAATTCTGCTTGCATAAAAGGCCAGTCTTAGGGGGATGGGACACTTTATCTTTCTAAGAATAATATATATTATTAATGAAACATAATAGAATTTTGAAGGTCTCTTCCTTGATAGAGTAATCAGTGACAGAGTAGCATTTTAATCTTTTTTTGATATTCATAGCATTTTTAGCATGTAGTTCCTATTTTATTTACCATTCCTTTCACTATTAACAACTTTGAAATGAAGGAAAGTGCTATGCAATCACGAACCGCTGAGCCTATTTCAACTATGAGCTAGGAAGTGGTGGTAGTGTATTGGTTCAATTTAAATAGTTACAACTCATTAATCAGACGATTTCTGCCTTAGGAAAGCAGTACAAAATAGCGGGCGGATACTTTGGCATCAGAGGGTACTGGATTTGAATCCCAATTCTACTTTTTACTCATTCTGGAAATTTGGGGAAAATCTAATAAATTCCCCAAATTCCAGTTTTTCTCACTGTAAAATGGAAATAGAAATATCCTTGGGTAAGAATGTTAGGAAAATTCATTAAATAAAGTTATGTACGTAGGCTACCTGGAATTGTGCCTGGCATGTAGTAGGATAGCAGTAAATGATAGCGCTACAGATAAAAAGAATGCTACCCAAGAAAACACAAAGCGCTAGACCAGTAATGGTCATCATGTGCCACCTGAGACCTAGGGCTTCACTAGCGGCGGCTTCTCAGGGGCTCTGCTGGGAGGAGCTGGGCCTCCATCTCGGCTTTGAGATCCTCATTGACTTTCTGGATTTCACTAAGCAGCTTTGATTTTTGTCTGTTTTTTACTGCATTGGGCTTCCGATCAAGCTTTTTGGAGAAAGATTTCCTAGGCTAAAAACAAACATACAACACTCCAGACACTTGAAAAAACACACTCAAAAACAAATAAATGAATAAGTAAAAATTAATTAACTGAAGAGAGAATGTAAGTATTTGTAAAACTATAGTCCACGAAGTTAGTGAACAATTTATATCAGCCTTTTACGAAATATTAATAATCACTTTCCTCTTTGGAAATGTAACACAAAACACCACCACTTACTGAATTGCAACTTGGTCCACAGCACTGGGTTGGGTGCATTCCATGCGCTCTAACTGAAGGTAACATGTTCTTTAAGCAAGTCAAATGCCAGTACAGGAGAATTACTAACAAGTGTTGATGGGACACTACTCGAGAAAGATGCTGTTAACGTGTGCCATCTTCGTCTTATCAAAGATTTCAGAAACACTGTGGGATAATTATTGATAATCTGGGTGAAGACCTTTGCCTCAGATCCAATTAGCAGGACCTGTGGGTAATTTCAGGCATGTGGGCACATTGCCTCAAAACCCCTTGGCTGTGTAGTCTTCAGTGCCTTGTTTCTGGTGTCTCAGCCATGAGAGTTGAGCGCATAGAAAAGGGAGAAGACTTCAGTTCCCCCAAACCTCTCCCCTTGAGCATCATCAACTTTGGAATTAATTTACGAAGACATTAAAAAGAGTTGCATGGAGATTAAGCCACACAATTCCCCCTGGGGTGTCGGCATGACAGAAGCCACCTGTGGTGACAGCTTTCACAAAAGAGAGGTAGCTATGGGGAGCCATCAACAGTGAAGTGTCTTGACAAAAACACGACAGGGATTTTGGATGCTATAATCCTTTTTAAAGGGGGAGATTATTGGATATTTAAACAAATATTAGCTTAGTTAAATGTCAGTGTTTAAAAAATTATCTAATATATTTGTTTTGCATTTATGAACCACAAACGCAGGGCAGGTGAAGGGTCTGGTTTACTTCTATTGGGAGAGAATTTCATAATGAGAAGGCATGTATGTAGTCCTCTGACAGATTACTCAGTTGGAGCATCTGTAAGGTCAACTTAAATTGTGTCCTTTGTTCACGGTAACAGAGCGAGCTAGTTGGGGACCTTTCTTGCAGTCAAATTGTCATGGGCCTACAAATGGAAAATTGCAGCAGGCCTTGGGCTCCTCCTAGTTTCAGTCAAAACCAAGGGTTTAACTGGGGTATACCATGTGCAAGGCAGGAATCCTTAGAATCAAATCTGAGTTGACTACGCTGGATGTTTTCTTTAAGGAAAAATAAATGACTTATTTGAATGAAAGGACAGAGGAGGATTTTGGTCACTGCTGGTCTTCCCCAAGTAATTACACCCACAGCTTCCAGGCCCTAGACAGCCACTCCACACCCTGTACCCAGCATAGAAATTAAAGGAAACCAAAGGCTTTGTGATTTGTTTTACATGCAACAGCCAGCAAATGGAATGGAGGCAAATAAGAAAAAATATATATGTATTTCCTATTCAGAAATGGTAAAAAAACAGGCATAGCCTATAAAAGGGAATTAACATCTTCTCTCTTCAGAAAAATTCTGTGCATTCCTCTTAATCAATACAATTAATGTAGCTTTTATCTGAAGTCGGCCTTTTTTTTTTTTAAAGCTGCCTTTCACTTGGAATCCAAAATCAAAAGGGTCCCCAATTAAGAAAACATTTTCTGTTGTGCTGAATTCATGTTACCGTACTGTGAGCTCTGACATTTTGTTTCTGTGGTAACCAAAATCAGCTGATTAGTTGGCATGGCAACAGAAAAGATGTAATCCCAGCAGACACACTCTAATCAATGCCCCCAGTACAGATGGTCTCCGGAGGATCAACAAGAAAGAGGCTGGCAGGCATTCAGCCGATCACGTGCTAGCTTGAGACTAGGCCAGGAACAAGAAAACTAAAAAAGAACATTTCTCAAACTAACCAGTAGCTTTTTAACCCTTTTCTTTCTTTGGCTAATTGTAACGCAATATTGACTGTGTATATAGCTGCATAATACAATGATTCTCATATAGCTTCGATGAAATCAAGTGTGCTTGTTAAGTGGGAGTGTTTATGTAATTTTCTGAGTTTGTATGCTTGGAACAGCATGCATGGAGTAGTGCTTTTAGATTAACACTTGTGCAAAGCTCATTGTATTTTCCTTAGTGGTACTGCATATGTAAACGCATTCATATGCATTATACATACATATATATATATATATATATATATATATATATATATATATACACACACACACACACAAACACACACATGATCTGATCATTGATATTATAATTTGGTTAGAGTCAGGAGAAGAGAAGAAATTCTGAAATATAATGTAGTATACAGGCTAAGGTAAGAAGGATGAACTGTCAAAGACATAAGTGAGTATTCATATAGGAAAACTGGTGGGTGCATTTCCATGGTACTTCTCTGTAGCAGTAAAAAAATTCATAGTAAACAATTGAGAACAGAGAAAACATAAACCAATCTTTATAGAGATGATAAGGGTGGCCAATAATGGCCATAACTTTGTTTCAGTGTGTAAAATCTAAAATTAACCCCAAGAATGTACCCTAGAAAGTGTTCCTCCCAGAATCCACCAGTGTTCACATCCTCAAATATAAATATTACTCAGAGTCTTTAATTCTGAAAACCTTGATGTCTGCTCTTCTGATTATTAAACCTTGTTTTCTATTTGATTAAAAAACTGAAAACATAAAAGAAAGGCTTTATAATGTGTGTTTTAAAATTCTAATTACACATTTATCCATAATCAATAATGTTCCTGGTATCAGGAAATTGCAATAATGCTCATGATACTCCTGAGGAATAGTTAATATTTCTGTTGATTAGGATTGCGACTGATTTTTGATTCACCAGTTGACCAAATTTTCATAAAAGCAACTCAGAACCACTGGGTCAAATGCTATTTGGGGAATGAGAGTTTATTGATAGCCTAAATTAGAACACTGCGATGCTGCCTGCACATAATATGCTAAGTACTAATAGCAGGCTTCCCTTTAAAAATAAGCATTGGCTTCTGGACCCTTTTTCTTTGTAAAAAGGTCTGAAAGGTCATTAGCCCACTGTTTTGTAGTAAACAGCCATGATATTTTATTACATGTAAATGAGTTATTTTTAATTAATATAAGAAAAACAACATTGGAAAGTTTTTTGAGTATTATAATAATCACCAAGGAGCAAAAAAACAAAAAACAAAAAATTGAGAGAGGAAAAAAAGAAAAAAAAAATGGATCCTTTCAAATTTCCTAAAAATAAATGTGCATAATTAGCATCTGGACTAAGTCCATGAAACTGAGCTCCATTTCCCAGAAAGTGATATTTTTCATCACGGTATGGAAATATTCATTTCAAGAGTCGGCAAATATACTTCCTTGGAGTCGCATCAGATGGGTGGTCCAAACAATTGCTGCTTGGGGCAAGGGAGCTCGGTTCAGGGGAGTGCTCAGGTGTTTCTGGTGACCACCTTAGATACCTGAACAAATCACTCAACCATCTGAGAGGAAAATTTCAGGATAAGAAAGAATGCAACACAGGAAAACCTTAGTTTCTGGATTTGAATGAAAATAACACTTTATCGATTCATCTGAAGAATGGGATTCTTTTCGATCTAAAACAAGTCCCAAATGTTCAGCACTAAACTTTCAGAGCAGCTATGTTCATTTATGAATCAGTTTTGGCCTGAGAAAGAAATTGAGTAAATATATAAAAGGACTACTACAAAATACATTTTTATTTTCAATGGCTACTGGCTTTGGAAGCAGCTCCTTAATTACAGCAAAGTTTTTAATTTAATTATCATGGATTTTTTTTTTCCCCTTACAGCATAAGGAGTTGGTATGTTTCTCTTGAATTACCTAAAAATAACATTAAGCCTAGAGGAAAAAAGAAAAAAAAAACCAATAATGAAGGAGCAGAGAAAGGCTTTCTCTGCAGTGCTAAGACTTTGTAACACTAGAAATGAATGGCTTGCAAAATGAATGGCTTACATGTCCGTCTGATCTACAAGATTATGTAAATGTTCTGCATCTCCAGAATGAAGTGAGACATGGGCAGATTAAACCATCATTCAGGTGATCATTACTTTCCATGTAGCAAAAGTCTCTTGTCAGCCAGGACTTCTGCATCCAGTGTGAAGCTTCTTTGTCTCTGACTGACAACTCTCCTCTCTGCCTGTTAGAACAGGAAGAAAGAAAAACCCTACCCTTTCCTACATTTAAAAAAGTCTACGGACAAAATTAAGATGCCGTAGAATTAATGGTATTTGATGATTTGTTTTTGCATTTTACAACCATTTCCTTTGCCTTTGGTTTCGTACACCAGCATGGGCACTGGAGAGATGAAAGTATACCAAAAAGATCAATGAATAAATAAGAAACATTATATTTTTATTCTTGCAGCAAAATTGCATAAGTAATAAACACATCTTCAGTTTTATACATTGGGCTTCTGCAATTAACCCTGATGATTCAACCTCTCCTAAGTATAAAGAGAGCGTTGTCATTTGTGTTTTGAACTAAAAGAGATAGCTATCATTAATATCACAAATTAGTTTCATGTTGAGTCTTAGTCAAAATGCAGTAAACTAGTGTTCATTAAAATAAACTTCTGTTTGTCAGATTCTGTGATTAAATATTTGTTCTTACTAATTTTCCTACCTGCAAAAGGACATAAAGAGATTATCTGTAGTGTTCCAGAAAGGTCTTTGGTGAGAGGGAATATTCCATATGTCAATTTCCTATGTAGGGCAAGGATCATAGATCTAAAATGTATAGAAGATGAGGTTAAATCTCCATCTCTTCTATTTTTCATTTCACAGCCTTCATGGGGCTTTGAATTCAGCCTCAAACATTGTGATAATCCGATCCTGACACTTGCCCTCCCCTCATTCACTCTTTTGTAAGTATACTTGTTCAGCTGCTTGTTGAATTCCCTAATTTCATTGACATTTTAAAGTTTTTATGTTCCTTACAGATTACAGTTGGGTCATGGTTAGAGGATTCTTCCCTTATTCAAATTTGAATCCAGCTCTAAAAAGTTATTTCAGTAACAAAGCTGAAATACAGTGCTGACCACGCGAAAATAGGATATTTCTTTCAGCTATAGTAGATCTTTTGTATAAAACAACAATTCTAATCTAGCAACTAAAATTTAAAAGGCACTAGAACCTCTCTTCCTCTTAGTTTTGGGCTCCCTCCTCTTTGATTTTCATGTGCTCAGAATCTCATGCACACATCTTAGAACCGTGTTCACCCCAAGAGTCAAGCCATGTCACAAACAAGAAAGATTCTCTCATGGTGTTGAAAGTGTCTGGGAGATGAGCAATCGGCCCCAGGTTCCATAGGAAAACCATAATTATTATTCTTTAATGCTCTCAGAGTAGGAAAAGCCGGGCATGTGACAGAGCCTGTCCTGTACCTTGGTAAACATGGGCTTCCCGTGCTGGGTGACCATGGTACACTGGTCGCAGTCCACCGTGATGGATGAGTTGTGGTATGACTCTTTCGAGTGTTTGAGAATGTAATACAGGTCGGTCACCCCTCCTTCAAACACAGTGCTAAAGTAACGGGGGATGAGGGTCCTGCCGATAGCTGGGAGAGAAACACAGAGAAACAAACCATTAACAAAAATATCCCACCAGCCCCACACACCCAACACCATTGCCAAACCTCCTAAAACCGGATACTGATCATCTCAAGAAACCATACCAGGAGGCAAATTTCTCTTTAAAAACAGCCATGACCCTTCTGGGTTGCAGTTAATAAAATATAATCCCCAACTATTCAGGAAAAATGCGTCCAGTCATCTCTCTAGATTTTGTGTCCACTGCAAGTCAATAAAATAAGGGTTAGTACTTTAAAAATAATAGGGGGGAAATGCATGAACTACTTTGGACCTTGTATACTTTTGGAGTGAACATGTTTATAAAAATAAGACACTTCCAATCTGCTTGGATTTTTTTAATGCATCATGTATGTATAGGCCAGTTACCCAGTCATGTTTTATTTTTATTGTTACTAGTGATAATATAAATTTTAATAACATAATGCTTTGTAGTGTGTAAAGTATTTTGGTATTCTCTCACTGTATCTTCAGAACAATCCCAAGAGAGTGCAGGACTGAGATCCGAAAATGTTATTATGGAGGGGAAATAAAGGTTATTTTGAATGCTTCAAGGTCACGTGACTTGTAAGTAAGTATTTGGGGTCTCTAACTGCATGTCTATAAACACCCAAATAACTGCTCTTCCCAACACTATGTCTCCAACTGCTTTAAACAATGGAAATCTTTACAAAATAATTCCCATCTCCATATACAAAGAGATCCATAACTATGTAAATACTGATTATTCTATCTGCTTTTGGAGCTGTGTAAGATCTCTCTCTAGAATAAAAGGCTAATTTTAAGAGAAGTTGATACCTTTCACTTGGTCTAAATTGGTCTCTTTCATTCCATGTGTCTGGTCCTGTCCCATTTTAGTTTCAGCGATTGTGTAAGTAGCTGGGCCTTTCTGATACAGGATGCTTAGAAATCTGTAACAAGCCCTTTTTTCAGCAGCGATTTGAAATCCTCTTACACTGGAAATCCCAACTCATAATATCAGGAATTTTGCCTATGTGCAGATTTTAAGGCAAAGTTCTAAAGCACTCTCAAGCAATCCAAGGTTTTTAATAAATCTCTTACATTCACTATATAATACCCTTTGAAAGACAAAAATAATATTTAAGATAAATAAACTACCAAAGAAAGCTTTAGCTAGGAAAGATCACCCAATCGTCACTTGAATGTTTTAAAATATTTAATTTCATTTTAAAAGAATCAGTGATAATCCACTTTGTGTGGATCTATATCTCTTTTGTACATGAACTTGGAAAAAATAAGTATAAAGAAAATACCCTGCCAAATTGTTTTCTGAAATGATTTTAAGGAATCCCCATATGGATGACTAGTCTCTAAATAATTTACACAGTTGTTATTGCCTCATATTTGCTGCAGGTAAAATCAGTCAACAAGTGTCTGCTAAATATTCCAGGATTTTCGGTGATTCCATCCTAGATAATCTTTCTACATACATTTTCTTAATACTGCCTAATCCCCAATACTGCATGCTCATTTTCTAAATATAAAATTCAAATGAGAGTAATTTGAGTCCACCATGTCCTTTAACAAATGCATAGCTAATATTATAAAGAAAACTTTGTAATGCTAAAATCCATATTGTACTTCACTAAACAGATAAAATTAATTGAATGCATTTCAAATATTCTAACTTAAAGCTAATTATCACAAATCAGCCTAAGTAATTTGACAATTTGGGATTCATACCGTTGAGAATAAATGCAAACCATAAAAATGCAGATGTAGGCCAAAGAATTGTCACATTAAAAAGGTTATGGCAAATAACCACCATTGGATTAGTAACATTATACTTTATTTATCATGAATCCTGCACAAGTTAATTCCTTTAGAGCACTGTTTGCTATGTATCACCATCGTTTTCATTCATAATATAAGAAAAGTTGAATGGGAAAAAGGTTTGAGAGTCTTTAAGTTTAAACCTAAGTTTTAAATTACTTCCCCAAATCCAGAAAATGTACAAATTATGTAGTAAATACACTTAAAGAGAAACACAGCTTTGCTTTATTGAATAATTTCTAGCACTCTAGGAAATGGTTGCCATGGATACTGGAGGTTTGTTTTCAGCCCTGTTTCCTTTGTGAGCCTGCCCTCCCATTTTCCCATGGTCCTGTTTAGACCATTAGTCACAAAGGTTCATTATCCACCATAGCAGACTAAACCCACAGTTCGGTGCCCCAAGTAAACCATGACAATGGTATTCACGCCCTTGTGTACGTAGTCCCCTCTTCATAAATCTGAGCTTGGCCCTGTGATCTGCTGTAATCAACTGAATGTGGCATGACTATCCTTGTATCAGTTTTGGGCTACGCCTTTAAAAGAACTCGAAGCTTTCACTTTGTTCTCAGGAAGAAGTCAGTTGCTATGTACAAAGTCCTACTACTCTAAGACTGCCATACCATGAGAAGCCCAACCTAGCCATGTGGAGAGGTCATGTGAAGGAGAACTGAGTCTTCCAGCCAGCAACCCCAGCTGAGCTTCCAGCCAACAAACAGCACTAACTTGCATGGGAGAAGCTGTCCAGGAAGTGAATCCTTGAGCTCCAATTGAGCTGCCTCAAGCTGGTGTCACGTGGAGCAGAGATGAGCTGTCCCTGACATACCTTGCACAAATTTCAGAAACATAAGTAAATAAAAGAAATATTTGTATTTTAAGTCAACATGTGTTGAGGTGTTTTTTTAATGTGTCAATAGATAACTGCAGCCCCTTTCAACCACGCTAGCCACAAGTTAGTCAAATAAGAATCCTTCCCTGAAAGAAAGAGGGAAGTTTTGCCAGGAAAAACTTGCAAGTCATGGAAATATAGGAGCCTGAATACAGAAGAAAAGCAAAGCAAATTGACAGAGAGTCTTCATGGGCTGATTTGGGCCCTAGTCTCAGCTGGGAATAAAGCCAATGCCATCCCTCAGAGGTCAGTCTCACTTATGCGAGGTGCGCGCCTCCTTTTCTTTCTTTCTTTTTTTTTTTTTTTTAAATTGGCTCAAGCTAGTTCGTGTTAGATTTCTGTCATTTGCAAATAGAGAAATCCTGACCACTGCAGTCCTGTTCCAGCATGGGCAGGGTGGTAAACACTGAGAGAATAAAGAGGAAGTGATGAGAGCGATCAGCTACAAGAGATATCTGACTCTGTGCAACACACTGTGTTAGAAGCTGCAGGAGATTAAAAAGGTGTCAGAGATTGTATTAGTTTCCTGTTGTTGCTGTAAAAAATTACCACCAACATAGTGGCCTACAACACCACAAACTTATTATTTCATAGTCCCGACAATCAGACATAGGGCTTGCTGGGCTGAAGTCAGGTTGTCAGCAGGGCTGAATTCCTTTCTGGAGGTTCTCAGGGAGAATCTATCTTCTTGTTTGTTTCATCATCTAGAGGATGTTCACACACCTTTCATGTGGCCCCTTCCTCCATCTTCAAAACTCATAGTGGGAAGTTGGGGCCTGGCGAGGCATCATTCTCACTCTGTCTTCTGCCTCCCTCTTGACTTTCAGGATCCTTGTGATTGCCCTGAATCCACCCAAAGAATTCAGGATAATCTGCCATCTCAAGATCCTTAACTTATCAGATCTGCAAAGCCCCTTTTGCCATGTAAGGTCACATTCACAGATACCAGGAATTCAAACACGGATACCTTGCAGGGGGCATTATTCTGCTTCCCACAGAGACTATACTTGCCAAGAGCTTCTGTTCTACAAGGGAGAGCAATAAAAAATACAAGAAACACACGCATACACCATGCACATACGCACGCAATGTGCAATATATAAATAATGCGCAGTGAATGGGACAGACAGCCAGAACAAAATCCCATGTGCCTGAAGAAATCATTCTATTGATCATTCATCAATTTCTTCTGTAAACATTCACTGAACCTGGAGTAGGTATAAAGCTCCATGGTTGACGGTCGATGCTGCAAACACAAACTTTTGTCCCTCTCTTTCAAATTGATTTTTGAATTTGAATTAGATTTTTGTCCCTGTCTTTCAAATTCATTTCTATCAGGAGAGGTAGCAAGTATTTAAGTATCTATAACATGATGTGATCGCTGATAAAGCATAAAAATGGGTTTATGATTTTGAACTCTTTATCAGTATCTCCTGTATCCTGAATTCAGTGTATGATTTTATTATTTCTGAAGCTCTGAGATGAGCATGTTCTTTTACTGCAGTCAACCATGCCACTGCATTGCACAGTCAGATATAAATGACTAAATCAGTGAACATTTCAGATTTAGGTTCAGCGGTCACCTAACTCGACAGCCACACCAGTTCCAAATCTATTTAGATTTTATACTGTTACAATCATATGTCAAAGTTACACTTTACATTTATACTTTAATCCCTGGAATTAAAATAATTTAAATATTGATATACATAAATCTACATTGTGCTCCTATGAAAAGGATTATGTCTTCTGAATTTTGTTGGAGTGAGATTAAGATTATAGTAGATTATAAAGGCGATGGTATTTTTCTGACACATTTAGATCAAAGGTCCAAAAGTTGGGAAGTGTGGAGAGCCAGAGAACACAGGAAGATTTTCTGTGATGTTAGGTGAGTAAAATATACCATACATTATTTATCTATGTATTCATGAAAGATAAAAGAAAATCACACATTAAATTATTCAGGTGTTGAAATGTGTATAAAGAATGTTACACTTTATAGGTAAATATGATTAGTCCAGAAATAGCTAAGATTTAATTCATAGCTAATTGAGCTGTGGATCCCTGCTTTCAAGCTCCTTAGGGAGATTTTCGTTGTTGTTCTATTTTGTTTACATCCATCCCTACTCCCCAGAAATTCTTGCTATGGAAGTTGATAGGGTGACGGTGTGGTGGAGGCAGGATCTAACTTCTATCTTTTCTTGTAGGTATTACTTGTAGATATTAGGATATCTACAGGATATTCATTGATGTTAATTAACTTTTTTCCTTGTTTAGAAACAAAATGGTGTAATACAAGCTGGGAGCTCATAAAGAAGACATAAACTACTGTGCCTCCTCCCCAAAGCAGAAGGTCTGCCTTTTAGAGCATTTTATCTCTTTTAGTAATTATGAAATGCATTAAAAAAAACTTAAGGATGTTTATAAGTAATTCACATGAAAGAAACTGCGTGTAGAAAATAACCACATATGAAAATATTCGAACTAGTTATTGAGGTACAAAGTTAAAATAATAACAAAAGGATTACAACATAAACCTGGTGAGGCTGTGGTAAAACAGATATACACAAATACTTTTAAGGAAATCAACGTAGTGATTATTTCTTATTTTGAGAATTTCTAACTCTCTGGAAGTCTGTTAGGTGGGACTCTAAGCTCTTGGTAAATACCCTTACCAAACTGCAATTCTCAAGTTTATGTTTAAGTGCTCTGAAGTTCTACAAGCCTTTTGAGAAACCATCATCTAATGTAAGACTTTTTAATTTCAGGGCATGAATTACAATTTTAGATGCCTGCAATTTCTATGTTTCAAAGACAATTCACTTCCAAGAAACAGAAGGGGTTGAGAGTCTGATTTTCATAAAATGTGGAGTAAGAGGAAAATTTGTAACTAACAATATATTAATGCCATTTAACATATTATCACTATTTAGCTGATGATTTTGCAACTCTGAAAAGAGAGAACTATATAACCAAGCACATGTTTTTAATTAGGTAAACTTAATTATATTAAAATTATTTACCATACTAGGATTTAAAAAATTTTTATCTAAACATGAAAATAGATAAATTCGTTGGCTAAATCTGGGTAGTTTTATGTGGTTCTGCTAGAGCTTCTGTAATTCTGCTATATCTCAAAAATCCAAATGGAAATTCTATTATTCAGATACATAATAAACACCAAGAGTCATTAAACTTTAAACTTATCTGTATTCAGAAATCAGTAAATGCATTATGCTGACATACAAATGAATATGCTCCTAGGAGTGAGATAAACAAGACTGATGATTTTATTTATGGTAAATAACCATTATATATAGCCAAAACAATGGAAGTAAAATATGCTTGACCTGTGATGGGGGTGATACTAGTTCAAGGTAGATCTTGTTGTTCTTGGTGAAGGGAATGCAAGTCGAATTAATTAATTAATTTTACTTTTATAAATTGGCATGACTTTCATTCTAATATGCCTTTTACTTATTTTCTCAAACTAATTTACTTGAATATTTTCTCTCTGATGACCTGTCTTGTGATTTCAAAGATTCATTTATTTCATATATACTTATTAGGTAACTACTACAGGCCAGATATTGTTCTAGGTGCTAGAAATAGACGAGTAAGGAGACAGAGAATAAACTTGATAGCTCGGGAAGGCCAACTAGTTTAGATTGGCCAGCCTGGAAGGCTGCCGTGAAAAAGTGATGATGGAGGTGAGTCCCAATTGAACAAAGCCGTGCGAAGATCTGGAATTAAAGAGGTCCAGGCCCAAGAACCACAGGGGCAAAAGCCCTAAGACAGGAATGAATTTTGATTGAACGAGTTTAGTGTGCTACGGTATCAGAAAGAAGGCTTTGTGGTAGGAGGGTGGTCAAAGAGAACAAGATGATAGAGATGAGGTCACAGAAAGAGGCAGGGTCAGATTATGTGGGACTTTCTAAACCACGGCAAATGGCTTCCGTTTTATCCTTAGTGCAATGTCAAGACATTGAAAGATTTTAGCCAATGATATAATTTACTCTGTTTTTCCTAAATGCATTTTCCAGCTGCCAACATGGTCTCAAAACACCATGAAAATTTTTGATCCTCTTATAAATAGGCATTTTTTCTTCCACTTCTACCTACCAAATTTTTAATAACTTGACCAAGACTTCAGTCACCCTACCTTGCAGTAGATGCTAAGTGCTAGAGAAACAAGGATGACCAAGACAGACCCCACTCCTGCTGTTACAGAGCTTTGGATCAAGCAATTCTTAGCATCATTAATTCACCAATTAAGGGCATGCAAGATGTGTGTCATGGCTCCATCTTGTCTCTCCTGTTTCCCCATTGTCTGACACACAATAATGAATAAGTCAATGCAATAAATATGTGAATTTATAGGTCTCAAGTCATAGAAGCTTACATGTAAACCTGATAGAATTCATCTCATTTAATTGAACCCATTATTTCGACATATTCAGGTTATTTTGGATCTTGATTCTGTCAGTGATACTATGGGCTATTTCTTCTAGATGTGTGTCTTTCATGGTGACAAAACTCTTTCGACTTTGATCTAAAGTACTGACAATAACATTGTATAGGAGAAGTCCAGAGCAATGGAGACCTCCTTCTAACTGGACTTCTTAACATGAATCAAACACCCTGTAAGTATGAAATTGAAATCCTTTAATGACTTCCATAATAAGTCCATGCTGTGTTACTAATGGCTTGTAAAGATAGTACAGAGTCCATGTGGAGAGAGTGAGGTGTCAGAGAAAGACCTGAGCTAAGGGATGCAGAGATGTTAATCAGGCACAGAGGGCGCAGCAAGAGAGTGGTCCCGGCAGAAGCAACAGCATTAGTTAGAGAAGGTGGTATATTCCCGTGATCTAGGCTGCTGCCTTGGTCAGATGTTATATATTTATACCTTGGAGGATCTCATCTGGATGAGCTACTCCATTACATAGAGCTCCTGCTCTCTCCTTATGACGATACAATAGTCTTTTAGTTATTAAAACTTTAAGATGTAGTTTACGTCTGACAGATTTATTTTTGCCCTCTGTATTACTCTTTTATGTCAGCATTTTCATAACTGTACTCTGTTTTTTATTCTTCATATGAACCTTAAAATAATTATGTTAAATTCAAAAAAGAAATAGGGAGAGAAATTGATTCAAATTAAATTAAATGTACTAAGAAAAAGTTGGCATCTTTAAAATATCCAATCTTCCTATAAAGGAATACGAAATGTATGTCCAGTTGTTTAAATCTTTATTTTTATCTTTAAGAAATTCCATAGTTTTTCTTTGTTCTTTCTTTTAGAAAAAGGGTCTCACTCTGTCACCTGGGCTAGAGCGCAGTAATGCAATCATAGCTCACTGTAACCTCAAACTCCTGGGCTCAAAGAATCCTCCTGCCTCAGACACCCAAGTGGGCTGAGAACACAGGTGCCACCATGACAGGCTAAATTTTTTACTTCTTTATAGAGACGGGGTCCAGCTGGTCTTGAACTCCTGGCCTCAGTAGATCCTCCTGCCTTGGCTTCCCAAAAGGCTGGGATTACAGGCATGAGCCATAGTGCCTGGCCAACAAATATGTTGCACCCTCTGAAGTTTGTAGTTTTCTATATTTGGATACTTAACATTTCTTAAGATCCTTGAATATTTTAGTTATGCTAAATGGTTAATGGAATTTTAAAACTTGTATTTCTATTTGTAACCCAGGCATTTAACTGAATATTCATTAATATTAATAGCTTTTGGGGAATGTTTTAAAAAGTTTTCTAGGCAAAATAATCCACTATTCCCAAATATTGATATTTTTGTTCCCTTTCTCCTTACCTATATATAGATTCTCCTTTCCTATATATAGTCCTGTTCTAACCATTGCAATAACATGAGAATATATATATTCTTATATATATATAGCAATAACTTTGCAATAACATGAGAAAATATATATATTTATATATATATATGTATAACAGAACTTTCAGAAAAATTTTAAATAATGAGGGAAGTAGCGAGCATTCTTTTTTCTCCTTGATAGTTTTAGGGAATGTATCTAGGACTAGGGGAAGTACTAAATGTTGATTTGAGATCTTGTTACTTGCTATGGAAAGAAAAACAAACTATTATCCTATTCCTTGGTTTTATGACTTTTTTCTTTTTAATCCTGATAAATGTCTAATTTGACTGTATGCCTTTTCAGCAATAAAGCAATTTTCCTTTAGAAAACGATTCATTAATATATTTTCAATTATCGAACACCTTTTGCACTCCTAGTATAAACCTTACTTTCTCTTATGCACACATATACCACATTTTTGGATAAATTTAACTTATGAATTAATTCATTCCTTTCACAAATGTCAGTGAAAGCAGCGCTCTATTTGAGCCACTTGCTGGATGCTAAGTTAGAAAGATAAGGCCAGCAAAAGGTTTAGTCCAGTAATTCCCAGCAGCATCTCCTAATCCCAATGGATTCCTGAAGGTCTTCAAATGCAACTTTAGCTAGTTCTATATTTTTTTAAAAAATCATTAAAAAGGAACATACTTAACATGTTTCTCTGATTCGAGTAGGATGATCCCGGTTATGGTAATACTGATTAGCTCTTGATTAGTGATCATGAATGGCACTTAACAGATGTGGGAAAAAATAAAATATAAAATGCTGACAGTTATTTAATAAAAGTAATGAGGTTATCCATGATTATATTCCACACCTTCCTTTTAATAGGAGAGAAATTCCACGATCAGAGAAGTAAAACTACATAGCTTACTTGGAGTTAGGGTGCAATAAAATGGAACACTTTTTGTTTTTGATCAACCAATGTTGGTTAATTTCTATGTCTTGATTTAATTATAATTAGTTTTTAAGTCACATTAGTAATACATGTGCAAAAAACAAAAAAACAAAAAAAACACCATATTACTCTCACAGGTACTCACTAGCTCGTCACAATAAATTTGATTCTTTTCTCCAGGTGTTGAGTTAGACCTTACAGAATTATCAAACTCCCTTTTAGCTCAGTGCTGTCTTATGACAGAGTTGTGGCCAGTGCCTAATGGACACTTCCATTGTTTTCATTTTGTTCAACAGAATAGATGTCAAGAAGGGAAATCCCACTTCCAGACAGGCCAGTAAAATCATTCTGTGTGTAGCTGGTGCACTATCTCCCTATCTCTGACATCCAGACACTGAAGACACAGTGGGCAGATTCCAGAGACCTCCCCGCCCTGCTCACTGCCCTAAGGATGGAGGAGTCAGGAAATGGAGGAGCCTCTGGTTTCCTAAGTTACCACCAGGAGGGGGAACTGCCACATTTGGGGAGAACTCATTTGGACTTTGGAGCAAAAAATACCTTTCTATGGTGTTAAGACATTGGAATATCAAACTTTATTTGTTTAAACTGCTAGGGTTAAGTAAAACAGTTACCAGTAAGTGTAGGTTCCCTGACCACCCTATACCCACCAATCTCAGTGCCTTCACCACTTCCTAGCTCACCTTTTTATCAATGTTCCCTAGCCTTTAGATTTTTAAATTATTTTGTTTCATTGTATTTTGTGTTTATTTACACAAAGTTATATTAAATGTATCTATATGGTAGGATTTTTCTTTTATTAGTCAATAATACGCTTTCAGCTTTAAATATGTTAGTGTACATAAGAAGACTCATTTGTTGATTTTAAATGCAGCATTGTATTCTAGAGTATGGCTCTATCAAAATTATCTAGATATTCCCATGTTGAGGGACATCAGAGATTGTTTTACATTCTTTTCTCAACAGGGTAGAAAGGGAAATATATATTTTATTTTACTAGGTACCAGAAATTGTCCTTCAAAATGCTGTTACCAATTTGCTTCCTTATCAGCCCTGATAGTACCTGTTTCACCCACAACTTTCACCAACACTTAATATTGTCAAGTTTTTAATTTTTTGCCATTTAGATCATAAAGCATGTCCCTCACAAAGTGACAGCCCTCAAGTACTCAAAAGTTTATCTGCATGTAAATGATAAAGGTAAATAATTAATGACAGGCATCCAGCTCATGTGGTTATTGCTCCAAGTGACTAATTTACATTTGACCTTTTCAGATGGTTTGCAGTTTTCTACTCAAAATCCATTCACTTGGCTGCATGGAAAAATTACTCCAGACTAGAGAAGTAGAAAAGAAAATCTACTCCTTTATTTTTCAAAGTTGCCAAACTCTAAGAGTTCTTATAAAATTATTTCAATATGTTTTATCAGGACTTCTCCAACTCAAACCAATGGGGACACCCTAAGTCATTGAATTTTGTGTTTTAATATCAACACGATTCATCTGGGTTAGAGAAATGTTGCCAGAGAAACAGACATATGTGTGTAATTTCCAGTTTAACCTAAACCAGGAATCATCAACCGTTAGCAATTCTAAGAGTGGTGAGAGAGGTGATTTCCTTTCTGTAGAGAGAAGGCAGACTTGGGTAAAACTGGTCCTTTCCTCAGGGTTGGATATTATACAAGACATTCCTTCTAAAGTGTTAAGCAGTTACTAAAATAGAAGCTAATAAAACATGACCCTTGAAAGGGGATTTTGAAGTCAAAAGAAAGGTTTGTAGAATTAAAATAATAAACTGGCTCTCCCCCACACCCTTTTCTCAATGCCATTTCAATCTCATCTACTTCCTCAGTGCTGCCATGCACTTGCATTCTTTGAAACCTTTGCTCATTCAGCATCCGCCACCCAGGGGGGCCTTGCTTCATCTCTTCTGTTTTATCCAAACTCATAGGCATCCTCAAGTCTCAAGCTCCAGAACCATCCTCCTTGCCCTTTTGTCTCTCATTCTCTCCTTTGTATTCTTAAAGTGTTCATAAACTTGAGCACTGCCTTGAAAGTTTCTGATTCACACACTGGCTGTGCTACTTACTCATACTGTGACCTTGAAGAAATGATTTATGCTCTCTAAACCCTAGTTTCTTCAGCTGCAAAATGGCAATACAACAATAACTGCTTCAGTGGGCAGTTGCAAATATTAATAACACTATGCACGTGAAGTGCTTAGCACAATGCCTGACACATGTTAGCTCTACTTAATCACTCCCATAATACCCTGTTTATGCACAGATTTGGGACTCATCACACTGCATTGTAATCATCAATTTTATTGTCTTTCCTTCAGTGACTGTAGTTCCCTGAAGGCAGAGAACGTTTCTTGATCATTTCAGTATCATGGCACATTTGTGATGTAAATAGCTACTTATGAGATGTTTGGCAAGTGGATAAATGTGGACTTGGCACGCCTATTTGGACAGTCTGCGAATCTCAAACCTGTTATGCATACGCACGGGTTTCTAACACAGAGGTAAGGCCACTTTCATTTCAGGTTCAAGAGAATCAAGACCACAAAAAAGGGGAAATAAGGTTTTAGGGCCCTGCATCTGGAATTTTCATATCTCAATGTTCTAGTCCAGAACATGGTTTCTGGTTTAGAGTAATCACTTTAAAAGATTCATTTTTAAAGTTAATTTTGAGTTCTGCTAGTAAAAAATAAAGTCTCCTATCTAAGACAACTTAGTTTTGATGGGGTTTCTACCTTACCATACTGTATGTGTGTGATTCACAAACATCCGACTCCATACAGAAAATCACACTTCTTCAAAAAAAAAAAAAAAAAAAAAAGACTATTTGCATGCCAGGTCAGCATTCCAGGGGCATTTTACAGGAAGTAAAAGTCCTTGGAAATGAGAAGCAGTAAAAAAAGGGTCAGATTCACATTCCTCGGGAGTCCACAGGGGGCTGTGCTTCTGACCCTTGGATTGTCTACAAGAAAAGGAACAACCGTTCCAACAGAGAATTAATGTTGCATAGGCTCTCAGGCAGCAGGACGGAACAGCCCAATTATACCCACCCATGTCTGAAACATTGCCTGGGCACCAGCTGTGGGGTATGACATTCTGTGTGCAGGTTTTCGGCAAGAGAAAGCGGCCTCTGCGCATTCTATGGGTTCTGAAATGGCCCTGGTCAACCTGATCCTTGGACCTAGGTGCCAATGCTTACAGCAGCACGTCACTAATGTCTCTCATAGGTTAAAACACACATAACAAGCGCACCGGACTTTCCGCCATTATCCCATCATTCTTCCTTGAAGCTGTCCCATCACCTTTCAGTGGGGGACTGGGGCTCCATTCCTAAAGATGAATGACATCTCTGAACGGTCTGCACTCCATCACCTCCAGGACGAGAGGAGGGCTTCTGACAGGGAGAGAGGAACACCAGACATCTGCTGGACCACACGAGTCAGGAGCAGGGCTGCTCCATTGCAGGTCACAGCTCAGGCTTCTCTCTCTGGCTTCATTCTCTCTCTTCTGTCATTATTAAAAACTAATAAGAAGGTCTGGGGGGCGGGGCCAAGACGGCCGACTGGAAACAGCGGAATTCGGAGGCTCCCATAGAAAAAACCGTAATAAGCGAGTGAATCCTTCACTAGCAATCAAGGTATCCATGTTCTCTCATCAAAATTGACTAGAAGACTGGTGTGACCCATGGAGAGAAGGAAGAACAGCGCGGGGCAGTGGCCTACCTGAGGGCCACACAGGGAAGGGGAACCACCTCCTCCCAGCCAAGGGAGATGGTAAATGAGCGTGCTACCCAGCCAAGGAAACTGTGCAACCTACAGATCAGAAGATCCCACTTGCGAACCCACGCCACCGGGGTCTAGTGTCCCAACCCCGGAACCAGCAGATTCTTAACAGCCTCTCAGCTGGAATCTGCTTAAGCCTACTGAACTCCCAGGGGAGGGGGCGGGGGGGGGAGGGGAAGGGCAACCAGCTGCCTGCTGTCTAAGCCATTTGAGCTCCTTGGGGGAGGGGCAGCAGCCAGCACTGGGACTCACAGCTGCCTAAGCTCCCTAGGTAGGGGAAGAGTGGCACCCATTTCTATAGCTCCAGGCTGTGCTTTTCCCCTGCTGGAGCCAGGGAGGCTGGACAGCTTGGTCCCAAGACGTGTCCCCACAACCCAACACATCGGCTGTGGCAGTCTGCGGCCAGAGTGCCTCTTCAGGCCCAACCCTGACCTATCCTCCCTCAGGCAGTGCTTCCCTGCAGGATCTCCAATAACTCCAGCCAGAGGCTCAGGGGCAGAATTCAGATCTCCCTGGGCCTGAGCCCCTAGGCGGAGGGGGAGAGGTGGCTGCAGTCTCTGCTGACCAGCAGACTTAGCCTCTCCTCCTAGTAGTTCTGAGGAATCTGGATAGCACAGATGAGAGGGTTTCCCCTCTCAGCGAAACACACTCTCCCCACCAAGGGACAAAGCACTTCGTTAAATGGGTCCTGCTACCTGTGCCACCCAACTGGGTGAGATCCTCCAACAGGGGTTGTCAGACACCCTACTGGCATCCTAATGGCATCAGGTTGGTGTCCCTTCGGGTCAGAGATCCTGGAAGAAGGAGCAGACACCCATCTTTGCTGCTCTCCAGCCTCCTTGAGTGACATCTCCAGGCATGGGAGCGAATCAGATGAATATGGCCTGAAGTGAACCTCCAGCAAACTGCAGCACCCCTACAGAAGAGGGAGTTGACTATTGAAAGAAAAACAAACAAGCAGAAAGTGGCAACAATAGCATCAACAACAAAAAGGCCCCCACAGAAACTCCATCCAAGGGTCAGCAGCCTCAAAGACCGAAACTAGACAAACTCACCAAGATGAGAAAGTATCAGTGAAAAAATGCTGAAAACCCAAAAGGCCAGAGTGCCTCGTCTCCTCCAAATGATCGCAACATCTCTCCATCAAGGGTGCAGAACGGGGCAGAGGATCAGATGGATGAATTGACAGAAGTAGGCTTCAGAAGATGGGTAATAAAAAACTATGATGAACTAAAGGAGCATCTTCTAACCCAAAGCAAAGAAGCTAAGAACTTTGATAAAAGGTTAGAGGAATTGCTAACTAGAATAACCAGTTTAGAGAGGAACATAAATGACCTGATAGAGCTGAAACACACAGCATGAGAACATTGTGAAGCAGACACAAGTATCAACAGCCAAATCGAACAAGTGGAAGAAAGAATATCAGCTTGGAGACCACCTTACTGAAATAAGACATGCAGACAAGAATAGCGAAAAAAAAAAAATGAAAGGAATGAACAAAGCCTCCAAGAAATACGGGACTTCATAAAAAGACCGAACCTACGATTGACTGGAGTACCAGAATGTGATGGGGAGAATGGAAACAAGCTGGAAAACACCCTTCACAATATTATCCAGGAGAATTTCCCCAACCTAGCAAGATAGGCCAACGTGCAAATTCAGGAAATACAGAGAACGCCATTAAGATACTCCACAAGAAGATCAACCCCAAGACACATAATCATCAGATTCGCCAAGGTTGAAATGAAGAAAAAACTGTTAAGGGCAGCCAGAGAGAAAGGCCAGGTCACCTACAAAGGGAAGCCCATCAGACTAACAGAGGACGTCTCAGCAGAAACTCTACAAGCCAGAAGAGATTGGAGGCCAATATTCAACACTATTAAAGTAAAGAATTTCCAACCCAGAATTTCATCTCCAGCCAAACTAAACTTCATAAGTGAAGGAGAACTAAAATCCTTTCCAGACAAGCAAATGCTGAGGGATTTCGTTACCACCAGGCCTGCCCTGCAAGAGCTCCTGAAAGAAGCACTAAATATGGAAAGGAAAAACCAGTACCAGCCACTGCGAAAACACACCAACATATAAAGACCAATGACACTACAAAGAAACTGCGTCAACTAGTGTGCAAAATAACCAAATGGCAGCATGATGACAGGATCAAATTCACATATAACAACACTAATTTTAAATGTAAACAGGCTAAATGCCTCAAGTAAAAGACAGACTGGCAAATTGGATATGGAGTCAAGACCAATTAGTGCGCTGTATTCAGGAGACCCATCTTACATGCAAAGAAACACGCAGGCTCAAAATGAAGGGAGGGAGGAAACTTTACCAAGCAAATGGAAAGAAAAAAAAAAAGCAGGGATTGCAATCCTAGTCTCTCACAAAACACTTTAAACCAACAAAGGTCAAAAAAGACAAAGAAGGGCATTACATAGTGGTAAACGGAGCAATTCAACAAGAAGAGCTAACTATCTTAAATATATATGCACCCAATACAGGAGCACCCAGATTCATAAAACAAGTTCTTAGAGACCTACAATGAGACTTAGGCTCCCACACAATAATAGTGGGAGACTTTAACACCCCACTGTCAGTATTAGACAGATCAACAAGACAGAAAATTAACAAGGATATCCAGGACTTTTACTCGGCTCTGTATCAAGCAGACCTAGTAGGCGTCTACAGAACTCTCTACCCTAAATCAATAGAATATACATTCTTCTCAATACCACATGGCACTTATCCTAAAATTGACCACATAATTGGAAGTAAAACACTCCTCAGCAAATGCAAAAGAACGGAAATAATAACAAACAGTCTCTCAGACCACAGTGCAATCAAATTTGAATTCAGGATTAAGAAACTCAGTAAAAACCACACAATTTCATGGAAATTGAACAACCTGCTTCTGAATGACTCCTGGGTAAATAATGAAATTAAGGCAGAAATCAAAAAGTTCTTTGAAACCAGTGAGAACAAACAGACAATGTACCAGAATCTCTGGGACACAGCTAAAGCAGTGTTAAGAGGGAAATTTATAACACTAAATGCCCACATCAGAAAACTAGAAAGATCTCAAATCGACACCCTAACATCACAATTAAAAGAGCTAGAGAGGCAAGAGCAAACTAATCCAACAGCTAGCAGAAGACAAGAAATAACTAAGATCAGAGAAGAATTGAAGGAGACAGAGACACGAAAAATCCTCCAAACAATCAACGAATCCAGGAGCAGGTTTTTTGAGAAAAATTAACAAAACAGATTGACCACTAACTAGACTAAGAAGAAGAGAAAAAAGAATCAAATAGACACGGTAAAAAAAGATAAAGGGGATATAAACACTGACACCACAGAAATACAAACTACCATCAGAGAATACTACAAACACCTCTAAACAAATAAACTAGAAGAAATTGATAAATTCCTGGATGCATACACCCTACCAAGACTAAACCAGGAAGAAGTTGAATCCCTGAATAGACCAATAACAAGCTCTGAAATTTAGGCAGTAATTAATAGCCTACCAAACAAAAAAGCCCAGGACCGGACGGATTCACAGCTGAATTGTACCGGAAATACAAAGAGGAGTTGTTACCATTCCTTCTGAAACTATTCCAAACAGCTGAAAAGGAGGGATCCCTCCCTAACTCATTTTATGAAGCTGGCATCATCCTGATACCCAAACCGGGAAGAGACAGAATAAAAAACGAAAACTTTAGGCCAATAACCCTGATGAACATTGATGCGAAAATCCTCAATAAAATACTGGTAAACTGAATCCAGCAGCACATTGAAAACCTTATCCACTACAATCAAGTCGGCTTCATCCCTGAGATGCAAGGCTGATTCAACATATGCAACATATGCAAATCAATAAGTGTAACCCATCACATAAACAGAACCAAAGACAAAAACCACATGATTATTTCAATAGATGCAGAAAAGGCCTTTGGTAAAATTCAACATCCCTTCATGTTAAAATCTCTCAATAAACTTAGGTATTGATGGAACACATCTCAAAATAATAAGAGCTATTTATAACAAACCTACAGCCAATATCATATTGAATGGCAAAAGCTGGAAGCATTCCCTTTGAAAACCGGTACAAGACAAGGATGCTGTCTCTCACCACTCTTATTCAACATAGTATTGGAAGTTCTGGCCAGGGCAATCAGGCAACAGAAAGAAATAAAGGGTATTCAAATAAGAAGAGATGCAGTCAAGTTGTCTCTCTTTGCAGATGACATGTGCCAATGCAAAATTCAGTCATCCAACATATGTTTATTTATGAAATGCCTACTATGCATTTATATTCAAAAAACCCCATCATCTCAGCCCCCAAATTTCTTGAACTGATAAGCAACTTCAGCAAAGTCTCAGGATACAAAATCAATGTGCAAACATCACAAGCATTCCTTTACACCAACAATAGGCATGCAGAGAGCCAAATCATGAATGAACTCCCAGTCATAATCACTACAAAGAGAAAAAAATACCTAGGAATACAGCTAACAAGTGATGTAAAGGACCTTTTCAAGGAGAACTACAAACCACTGCTCAAGGAAATAAGAGAGGACACAAACAAATGGAAAAACCTTCCATCCTCATGGATAGGAAGAATCGATATTGAGAAAATGACCATACTGCCCGAAGTAATTTATAGATTCAATGCTATTCCCATCAAGCTACATTGACATTCTTCACAGAATTAGAAAAAAACTATTTTAAATTTCATATGGAATCAAAGAAGACCTTGTATAGCCAAGACAATCTTAAGTGAAAAGAACAAACTGGAGGCAACACACTACCTGACTTCAAACTATACTACAAGGCTACAGTAACCAAAACAGCATGATACTTGTACCAAAACAGACATACAGACCAATGGAGCAGAACAGAGACCTCAGAAATAACACCACACATATACAATCATCTGATCTTTGAAAAGCCTGCCAAAAACAAGCAATGGGGAAAGGATATCCTATTCAGTAAATGGTGCTGGGAAAGCTGGCTAGCCCTATATAGAAAACTGAAACCAGACCCCTTCCTTAACACCTTATACAAAAATTAACTCAAGATTGATTAAAGACTTAAATGTAAAACCCAAAACCATAAACACTCTAGAAGAACACCTAGGCAATACCATTCAGGACATAAGCATGGGCAAAGACTTCATGACAAAAATGCCAAAAGCAATTGCAACAAAAGCCAAGATTGACAAATGGGAGCTAATTAAACTAAAGAGCTTCTGCACAGCAAAGGAAACTATCATCAAACTGAACAGGCAACCTACAAAATGGGAGAGAAGTTTTGCAATCTATCCCTCTGACAAAGGTCTAATATCCAGAATTTACAAGGAACTTAAACACATTTACAAGAAAAAACAAAAAAAAAAAAAAAAAAAAACAAGCAACCCCATCAAAAAAAGTGGGCAAAGGATATGAACAGATACTTCTTAAAAAAAGATATTTACGTACCAACAAACGTGATAAAAAGCTCAACATCACTGATCATCAGAGAAATGCAAATGAAAATCACAATGAGATACTATCTCATGCCAGTCAGAATGGTGATTAGTAAAAAGTCAAGAAACGGCCGGGCGCGGTGGCTCACGCCTGTAATCCCAGCACTTTGGGAGGCCGAGGCGGGCGGATCATGAGGTCAGGAGATCGAGACCATCCCGGCTAAAACGGTGAAACCCCGTCTCTACTAAAAATACAAAAAATTAGCCGGGCGTAGTGGCGGGCGCCTGTAGTCCCAGCTACTTGGGAGGCTGAGGCAGGAGAATGGCGTGAACCCGGGAGGTGGAGCTTGCAGTGAGCCGAGATCCCGCCACTGCACTCCAGCCTGGGCGACAGAGCGAGACTCCGTCTCAAAAAAAAAAAAAAAAAAAAAAAGTCAAGAAACAATAGATGCTGGTGAGGCTTTGGAGAAATAGGAACGATTTTACACTGTTAGTGGGAGCGTAAATTAGTTCAACCATTGTGGAAGACAGTTTAGCAATTCCTCAAGGATCTAGAACTAGAAATACCATTTGACCCAGCCATCTCATTACTGGATATATAACCTAATGGAATATAAATCATTCTACTATAAAGACACATGTACACATATGTTTATTGCAGCACTATTTACAATGGCAAAGACATGGAACCAACCCAAATGCTCATCGATGATAGACTGGATAAAGAAAATGCGGTACATATATACGATGGAATGCTATGCAGCCATAAAAAAGAATGAGATCATGTCCTTTGCAGGGACATGGATGAAGCTGGAAGCCATCAACCTCAGGAAACTAACACAGGAACAGAAAACCAAACACCACATGTTCTCGCTCATAAGTGAGAGTTGAACACTGAGAACACATGGACACAGAGAAGGGAACAACACACACCAGGGCCTGTTGGGGGGTGGGGGGTGAAGGAGGGAACTTAGAGGATGGATCAATAGGTGCAGCAAACCACCATGGCACACATATACCTATGTAACAAACCTGCACATTCTGCACATGTATCCCATTTTTTTGGAAGAAATTAAAAAAAGTGAATAAATAAAATTTTAAAAAAAGAAGGTCTAGGGAACCCTCCTGGGATTCGTCCTCCCAAGGCTCCTTAGGCCTGAGCCTCTGCCAGGAGTGGGCCATGGGGTCAAGAGTGGGGACCTGGAGCAGCCCTGCCTAGGACTTGACTCCGTGCTCTGCCTTATGGTAGCTGTGTAACCTTGGGCAAGTTCCTTAATCACTCTGGTCTCAGGTCTCTTGTTGGATAAATGGGAATTAGAACAGAAGCAACCTCATGGGGATGTTGTACAGATGGTATAAAACCATCCATGAAATGCTCTTGCCTCAGGCGAACTCTACCCCCTTACCCTAATTAACTTTTCTTCCTAACATTCATGGATACTCACATTATATACTAGTTACTGTATCAACCATTCCCCCACAAGAATACAAGCTCCAGAAAGGGAAGAACCATGTCTTTTTGTTACTGGTTATTCTCTCAGAATGCGTAGTAGGCGTTTCATAAATAAACATCTGTTGGATGACTGAATTTTGCACTGGCACATATCAAGATAATGTGTTGACTACTGTTAGTTATTTTATAATTTTATTATTATTAACTTGCCATAAAGATTAAATAACACAGAAAACACCTGATTCCCAGTGTGTGTTCAATACATAGGGAATAAATGCTAGCAAAAGAGAAAGGGAGAGATGGAGGATGAATGGAAAGAAGGAAAGAAGGGTCAATGCATTCCCAAGCAGAGGTGCTGAGAATAAAATCAACTTGATGTCCAGGTAGGCAGTGGGGCAAAGGGGTGGTTGGTGTCAGGAGAGTGAGGAGATGGAAACAGCCACCTGAGTCTCTGGCCAATAACCCATTTTGAGTGAATTGTAGGTTGGGGAGACAAGGCCACCAAGAGAAACTGTGTTTCCTAAGAGTGACTTGAGGCTGCCCTGGTGCTGTATGACTCTGCATTTGGGGTCTGGAGACATCTTTCTGTATCAGAACCTACTCCTTTTGCTATTTCCCAGAGCTAGGAGACCAGGGACATAGAGCTTGGCTGCCTCCTCGAGTAAAAGTCCCCTGACACCACCCCATGTCAATATAAATGTATTATGTACCTAGGCAGGTCAGGGTAATCTAGATCAAGTTCTCCTGTCTGTTATTATTTTCTCAAATCTTTGGAAACTCTTGGTATTATTTTTATAGTTTGCATTCAAATGATTGTTAGTATGTACCTTGCTACATAATAACATCTCTTCAATTATCCTACTCTTTATCCCTCTATCTTTCCCTCCTCCCCTTTCCTCTCCCCCAAGGATTTTGTTATTAGAATTTCACCCTCTCCTCAGAGGGAACATTTTAACAGCATGGGTTTATGGCAACCGTAAAGAAGGAAGTTGGAAAGGCAAAGCCGGACGTGATCCCCAGTTTTATAACAAACTCCTGTCAAAACATAACAAACCCCAGCCAGACATGAGCTGCAGTGACAGAATGCAAGACCATAAAGATGATGGAGATCAGATGGGACAGGCACTTTATAGAAACAAACACCTTCCTTGCAAACAGATAGGGCGAGTGGAATACTGAAAACCCTCCCCGGGAAAAAAAAAATGGTAGGAAGAAATAAGAACAAAAACATAAAATTCAAATGACAGCCCAGCCCAAGGAGATAAACTCGAGGCAGACAATCCAATTTTACTAAATCAAGTCGACATCTCCTCCTGACCTTAATTGACCACAGTAAGCTGGATCCTGAACAAATATAAAATTAAGAAGTGATTAACACCCAGTGGAGAAATGGACCATTCAAGTGTAGGTGTTGGAAGTTTCACTCTCGGGACACACTCGGTTTTGTATAGAAAACGTGAAATCATCCATTCCCTTGGGGATGGCTGCCAAGGAGCCATAGCACCGCAAGAGGTCAGAGATTCAGTGTTCCTAAGAGCTACACATGGAAGGTTTTGTAACTGTTTAGATCCTGCACTGTGTCCAAACACAAATTCAGGTTTCTATGGTATTGTCATTATCAGAAAGAAGTATGCAGAAGAAGAAGAAGTGAAACTAATATATGCAGCTTACTGGGATGCCAAGACGCATAGGAAGATTTTTTCTACTATTAAATTGGAAGCATGATAAATGGAGAGAAGGAGGAACACTAACCTGGCCTGTATTGATGGAGTCCTTTAGATGTTAGGGGTGGGTGCTTTGAGAAGTCTTCCTATAGTCTCTCTGGCTTTCCTCTGCTGAGCATTCTTTCTGACTGCTCTTCTGTCTTGTATTTTTCTGGATAATTCTTTCTTTTTTTGAGCTCCCAACTTGGGAACTACTTCCTCCAGGGTGCCTTCTCTGATTTCCACAGGCCAATTCTGTTAGGCGCACCTCCTGCAAATTCCATTAACTACGTACACTTGTCTATTACAGCATTTTTCACACTACAGTGATCCTCACACTTAGACTACACCTGGGGAGGAGCAGGTTAAGATAACGATTCCCAGGCCTCACCCCCAGCAGCTTCCATTTTCACTGGACCGGGATAAGCCTAGCGTCTGACACTTCTAACAAGTGTCCCAGGTGCTTTGGAGGCAGGTGATCCCCAGATCAGATTCAGAGACACTCTGCTTTATTTGAATTGTCTTCATGGCCTATTAGTGTGTGGGTTCCATGAGGACAGACACCCTATCTGCCTTGTTCGCATTCATGCTCATAGGACTTGTCAGGGCACCCAGCACCTAATAAGAGTGATGCCTTGTATATATGTATATATGTATGAATGTATATGTGTGTACATATGTGCATGTGTGTTTGTGTATGTGTGTATATACACATATGTGTACATACATACACATATCCACACGCACATATACAGTTATTGACTGAACGTGACATGGAGTTGTGTTTGGTAGGTGACAGAATCTGCTCTGCTCTGTTCAACAGAGAGGACAGTGCGGCCGATTCAGGTATGGAATACTGGAAGGAGGTGCAGTGTTCCATAGCCTCCAGTTGCCATCACAGATTTTCTCTGTGAGGGTTTCCAGGTGATATGGTGTGGCTCTGTGTCCCCACCCAAATCTCATGTTGAATTGTAATCTTCAGTGTTGGAAGAGGGGCCTGGTGGGAGGTAAAGGAATCACAGGGGTGGATTTCTCCCTGCTGTTCTCATGATAGTCAGTTCTCACGAGAGATCTGGTTAAGAGTGTGGTCAGTTCTCACGAGAGATCTGGTTAAGAGTGTGTAGCACCTCCCCCATCAGTCTCTTCCTCCTGCTCCAGCCGTGTAGGACATGCTGGCTTCCCCTTCGACTTTCGCCATGATTGTAAGTTTCCTGAGGCCTCCTCAGTCATGCTTCCTGTACAGCTTGCTGAACCATGAGCCAATTAAACCTCTTTTCTTTATAAATTACCCAGTCTCAGGTAGTTCTTTATAGCAATGTGAGAATGGACTAATAACCAGGAGAACCAATGGGATCCTTAGAAAACAAAAACAAAAGCAAAAATTTTTTGCTGTGATTGACAACTAGGTAACACGCTGGCTGCCTTTGTCCTGCCAGAAACTCCTCAAGGCTTACCCTACTGCAGACCACACCAGGCTACAGACCCTGATCAGGAGAACTCCATCCCACCAGGTGAGAACCTCCCCTAGTGGTCCTTCTGCTGAGAGGATAAATATTTCAGTTTTCAAACCACCAGGACTGCATTGATGCCATGTGGTAAGATAATTTTGGAAAATAAATTGGAAAGATGAAGTTTCTTTTCTAACATTCCCAAACTGTTATGTTTCTGAGATGGGCCACACTCCACTTAACATGTTAAAATACGTTGGAGCACTGAGCTTTACCCAAGGTTCATTATAGTGGAGACTTTGCATGATGAATTTGTTGAAGATGAGGGATTTGCAGCAATCCAAGGAGGTAATTCCCAGAGCCACCAGGCCATCGTAAGCATGGCCTTGATAACCAGGGTGATCATTCGTGCAATTTCAGGCTGTGGATTTATGAACAATATCTCACCAGTGGATAATATCGGTTGTCAAGTGTATGTTTTATTACCCCTAGAACTCCCTTTTGTCTTTGCAAGTTGCTAGTGGATATCTCTGTTTTTTTTTTTTTTTCTCCTGGCTTCACAGAAATTTGGAAGGGGTTTATTTTATTTTTCTTCTTTTACCAGAGAAGTTAATATTAATAGTAAGGAAAATTAAAAAGAATAAAATAAAGATAGCAGATAAAACATTATGAATAACCATTTCATCGGCACTTTAAATACTATGGAAAGGATTCTAAATGCATATTTTATTATCTGCAGCTAGTGTAGGAGGATCTTGTATAATATGTCAGAAGCATGCTTTCTCCGTCTGAGTTATTATCAGAGTTGGGATAAAATTTTCTGCTACATGTCTCTAGCCTCCTGTTGTCCAAAAGTTCCATGAAGGAAGAGACCATATCTATCTTGATCGCCTCCATATCTTTAATGTCCAAAACAGTGCCTGGCAGAGTTGCCAAATAATTAATGTGTTCATCCATCACAGTTAGTCTCTAATTGCTGGATGACTGAGCTCACTGGATAGGCTCATATCAAGTCAGGCAGATAGGATCCAGGAAAAAGGATGATCCTAAATGTAAGGTGCAGGCAAGAAAAACCAGACATAAGTAAGTTCTGAGTTGTTAGAATTATATGACTCCTTAGAGTCTTAGATGCTTAGATGTGGGAAACCAACAACAAGCTAAGACAAACATGAAGAACCCAGCCAGGAAATAGGTAAGGATCATCTTCCAAATCAATAGAGAAATGAGTGTTGCCAGGGAATGTTTTTCTTGATTCCTAAGTTTTCTTCTCTGTGGACGAATTCCCATTAAGGTGATACTTCTCGCCTCTCTCTGCCTTCTCATTCACTCCATCTGGGGAATGTGGGGAGGTGAGAAGGGTGATGAAATCTTATCAGAGAGCTTGAAATTTAGAAGGTGAAACTTGGGCATGTGTAGCCAGCCCCTTCCCTTCCTCTTCCTGTTCTTGAATACAAGCTCTACAGGGAATGTGTGTTCTACTCAGCTTCTCCAAGGGGAGCCTCTGTCCTATAGGCTGACCAAGTGCTGGTGACTGGGTGGGTAAGTCTACTTGTTCCTGTACTTGATAGTATAAAAGTTATTTGCCTGAAGACATAAGCCATGTTCTCCAGTAACTGTTTATACCAGAATTATAGATGGCATCTTTTACATCTACCTTTGTCTTATTTCTCAATTGGTTCAGAACTTAAACGCTTTATCACGGTGTCCTTTGTTGGAATCTAGATTCACTGACTAATAGTTGGCAGGTGGCAAATGAACATCAACCCAATTCAACTCCACAAACTCTTTTCACACATCTACTACGTGTACAGCACTGTGTTGTGTTTCAGAGAGATTACAGCAATAACCAAGAAAAATTTTCAAGCCAGGCCAGGGGTACCTATATAACATTCTAGACTCATAACGGGGGAGCATATCTCTGAGGTCATGGCAACTGATTCACAAACAAAAGCCAACTGCCCAGTTTCAGGTTTATATATCCAGACTCTTTAGTTGACCTGGGAACTTGGCAGCCCCAGATGCATCTTGTAACATGAGCTCTGTAAGGGCAAGAACTCTGCCTTAGACTCTGTCTTGGTCCCAGAGGGTAGAGCAAGGCATAGCCTATAGCATGATAATGGATGGTTGAAGAGAGGGATGGATGGCTGAATTCTGCAGGATAGAAGATGTGTGTCGAGAAGATAAAAATTGCCTCCACCTCACGTGATCATAAAGGCAAGTTAGAAAGAGTTTGGGGTCTCCCAAAAATTATGCTTCTAAATCAATTCTATAAACTTATTTATTTTAATTTAATTTTACTTTTTTTCAGAGACAGGGTCTTGCTCTGTTACCCTGACGAGAATGCAGAGGTGCAATCATAGTTCACTGCAACCCTGAACTCCTGGGCTCAAACAATCCTCCCATCTCAGCTTCCCAAGTAGCTAGGACAACAGACCTGCACCACCACCCCAGCTAATTTCTTTTATTTTTATTTTTTGTAGAGACAAGGTCTTGTTATTTTGCCCAGGCTAGTCAATAACTCTAGGCCTCAAGCAATCTTTCCACCTCAGCCTCCCAAAGTGCTAGGATTACAGGTGTAAACCACTGTGCCCTGACCAATTATGTAAATCAAGAAAGAGGTTGTCAAAAATAATATAGTGGGAATTTTTCTTAGATTAAAAACCATATTTCAACACTAGAAGTAAAGATGCTTTGAAATATTATGTTGGTGCAAAAGTAATTGTGATTTTTGCAATTAAAAAGTAACCGCAATTACTTCTGCACCAATCTAATAAAAGCAGATGTCTGCTAAGTAGGTGGAAAACAAATCTATACAAAGAGGCTACTGCCACTTCCTTCAATAAATCTTTTGTTTTGCCTTTGCGGCCAGTGAATAATCAGTGGAATAGTGAAGCTGTTTGATAGGGAAAGCTACTCTGATATTCTAGATAAGTGGGCCGGATACCAGTTGGAAAAGCAACACTGAGTGCTTAGTTAGAGAAACTACAGATTAGATGATATATTTCAAGGGGAACAAATAAAGAGAAAAACAAAAACTATAAATTTCTGGCACACAGAAGATCTTCAATAATTATTGGTTGAATGACATAAATGAACCAGATACTTGCTTACAAAAAGAAAGCCAGGATAGATACAAATCACAAAGATGAGGCAGTGTTTAGAGTTATGGGAAATAGCGATAGCAAAATTTTCCTTCTTCATCCAAGGTCTCTTGAGACTTCAGGATACCTTGGGGATTAAAGACAAGATATCAAGAAGAACAACAGCTATTGGCTGGTTTTGTATGGAGGTTCTGAATGAAAAGCTTTAAAGTTCAGCTTTTCCTCTGCAGATAGAAACTATTAAGGGGTTTGAGCAAGGCAGGAGCAGATCTGGATTTAAATATTTCACAGCTTTAAATGTCTATTTTTTAATAGTCCAGTAGTGCTTAATTTTCCCTGTTAATATTCATGTTGAATTGCTGAGAAACTAAGATGGGATTTTATCGCTCTAGCGTAGAGTGAAAGCATTTGCTTATGGGGGAAACACTCCAATCTCTATGTGCCAAAAATAGTTGCCTGTAATTTTAGATACTTTGTCTTCAAAAACAGTGTCTCCAAAAGCTATTGTCCCAAAGTTTGTGATCCTGTATAATGATCTCAACTCTGATTAACTTATCATTCTGTCAGTGTTCAATTTTACCACGTTTATTTTTCTATATATACCACTAGACACTTTGAGCCAACCCCCAAAAGATGATCACTATTCTATTCCAAAACCAAACCTATGACTAGAATGCATGCTTCAAGAGGGAGGCCCTTGTCTTTTTATTTATTCCTGTCTCAGTATCCAGCCAATTTCCTGGAATGCAGCAGGCATTCAATAAATATTCTTTGAATAAAAAAAGTAAATGATGACTGCTGCAAATTTAGTAAAATAACACACATTGAGAGTAAGTAGAGAAAGCTAGAGGAGAAAAAAGAACATATACAGTAAACAAAAAAGACAAAATGTTCTGCAAAGAAATGCCATTTAATTGCTTTTAAACATATTATTTAAAATAAATGACTATCGGCCGGACGCAGTGGCTCACGCCTGTAATCCCAGCACTTTGAGAGACCGAGGCGGGCGGATTACCTGAGGTCAGCAGTTCAAGGCCAGCCTGGCCAACATGGTGAAACCCCATCTCTACTGAAAATACAAAATTAGCCAGGCGTGGTGCCACACACCGGTAATCCCAGCTACTCAGGAGGCTGAGGCAGGAGAATTGCTTGAGCCCGGGAGGCGGACGTTGCAGTGAGCCAAGATCATGCCACTGCACTGTAGCGTGGCTGACAGAGCAAGACTCTGTCTCAAAAATAAATAAATAAATAAATAAAAATAAAATAAATGACTATCAATGTGCTGTCAATTAAGTGATACTTGAAGATACTTGAATAAGTCAATATGGTCACATTGATACTCAGCTTATTTCATGTAAAATGCATGGCTTGAAAGCTGCTTAAAGTGCTTGAAATATACATACACACACACACACACACACACGTTTTATTTATATATTTAAAGAGCTTAACAGTCCCTTAACTCTACTGCTACCATATTTTCCATTATTCATTTGTAAGCAAACTGTTTTCAGCCCCATAGAGAAAATAATTTCACACTAAATCAGATTCCTATAATTCTGAATTTGAGGTGTTCAAAAAGCAGAGATCCTACCACAACTACAATATGCTGTTCGCAACAGCCTCTCCTTGCCACCTCCCTCCAAACTCTTTTTTGCCAGTTCTAGCTTCACAAAGGTACCAGTACCATTATTGTTATTACAAATTATGTTAATAAAATTTTATTGCATTAGGGATTTTTGTTATCTATGTAGATTTTAGCTGCACTTGTCATACACAAGAAAGAAGTAACTATGTGAGACGAACATTAATCTGCTTCACTATAGTAATCATTGTTACACAGTGTAGCATCCCGTAACACCATCTTAAACCTCAAAACTGCACACTGAAATTTGTGTTTTGTTTTGGTTTTTATAGAGGCAGGGTCTCACTATGTTGCCCAGGCTAGTCTCGAACTCCTGGGCTCAAGCAATACACCTGCCTCAGTCTCCCAAAGTGCTAGGATTACAGGCATGAGCCACCATGCCAAGTTACACAGTAAAATTTTTAAAATAAATAAATAAACAAAAAATAAAAAATATATAAAATGTTGGTAACTACATTTTTTATTATGTGCTCGTCATTGGATTAAGTGTTTTGCCTACACTATCTTCAATAATCTCAATGACTTTACACAGAAGATAGTATTACTATCCCAATTTTATATAAAAAAGACTGAGGCTTAGACAGCTAAAGATCGCACATGTAGAATATCTGACTCCAAAATCAATCATTGCTCAATAATATATCTAATGCCATGTCTCTTACTGTGTAGGACCATTATGTGTCTCTTGAAATCTGATTTAACTTTATTCACAATTGAACCACCACCACACCTATCCAGCATGGTCTCTTCCACATTATAAATGAGCAATGAAAGTTTTGCTAGATTGACACCATTTTATGAATAAAGGCTAAAAAAGTACAATTTACTGTATTTAAAGTAGTAAAAGAATTTGTTTCTCTGGGTAGAATTTCAAAGAAAATACAATAGTATCTGTTTAGGATGGTTAAAATACTCAGAGCTTAAAGATCAATCACCTAGTCTAACCATCTACTAAAGGTATCTGGCCAAGTTCTCTCATCTTTGAAACCTTTCAATGGCTCCCCATTGTGCTCAAGATGAGGTCGGGACTCCTTAATGTGACTTGCAAGGATCTTTCATGACCTGATCCCCGCTTACCTCTTTTGCCCCATCACCTGCTAGTCCCCTGCATCCTCATGCTATTTTCTCTGCATCATCTCATACCTCTCTCTAAGTCCCTGCAGCCCACCCCACATCACAATCAGTCTTGCTCCAGCAGCACAGAACTTCTTATAGCCCCTTTGAATCAGATATCTCTCCCTTGCTTTTGAGTTTTAGTTCATAAAGTTCCATCTGCTTGAAGTGTTTTCTCTGATTAATTTATACTTTAATAACCTCTTCCAGGAAATTTGGAGAAAGGATCACTCAGCAGAG
This sequence comes from Homo sapiens, assembly GCF_000001405.40. Classification (NCBI taxonomy): domain Eukaryota; kingdom Metazoa; phylum Chordata; class Mammalia; order Primates; family Hominidae; genus Homo; species Homo sapiens. Next base: position 16,625,363 of record NC_000004.12, read on the forward strand.
CTTCTGCTATTCCTTCTCCTCAGTAGTGACAGAGCACTTCTCCCACTGGATTGAACTATTGACATGATTGTTCTTCATGAGACTGTAAGCTCTTTGAAGACAAGGACTTCAAACTGTCTGACTCATTGCTGTATCTCCACAATACCAGGGATGGAGTAGCCTTGATACATATTTGGTGAATAAATGAGTTACACCTAAAAGCCCGGATGGCCAGTCAGTACTCTTCCTTGAATATATCAGCTTCTCAACTGCGAAAAACACAAATGCAATAAAGTCTTTGGGCAGTACAGTTTTCTGAATACTGGGAAGGGTTCTTGCACAGAAAGCAGTTTAAGACACCCTGAAAACTTACGGAAGTTTAAGCACACTCCCAAAGCCTGCTAATTTCCATGGCTTCTCTTAGTGATGGAAAAGCACTTCTTGATTCCAGCATGCTGTTTCATCATCATTGTAAAGAGTGTCTCCAATGTCTCCTACTCCTCACAGCCTCTGCATAAAACCACTGGTCCCCGCTGTTCTGTTCCAGAATTGCAGAATGCTCCAGTAAGAATGGTCTTCTTACTGGACCATCCTGTCCAACACTGGTTTGTGTTGGACACAACCTATATCACTGATTTGTGATATAGGTTGATACAGGACAGGGAACCAAAATCCTTAAAGGCCACTAGGTAGAGGGCAGCACACTGCATATTTGATTGAACCATGGCTTTGTGCATTATCTTATTCTATTGATAGCACAACCCTATGAGGTTGGCAGTCATTAACCCCTTTGTATAAATGAGGGAAATGAGAATTAAAGATGATAAGTTGTGCAGTGTCACACACTGGCTAGTACATCTAATGTTCTCTTTCCATCTGCCTCATTTTAATTAGACATCCAAACCACCTCATTTTAATCAGAATACACGTTAGTTACTAGACTACTTGGAGAACATGAGATTTTTACCTTTATCACCAATTGAAGTCCCTGGTTCTTGTTTGCACTTATCTTATTCTTTCTCTCGCTGTTTTGCAGTGGCAGAATGTCACATGTCAAAAAAGTACTGCCATGGGAGACACATCATCATAAAGCCTAAAGTTTGAAATTGGTCACGAATGACCAGCATATGTCAACAACTTTGAAAATACCTATTCCCAAATCACACTAGCTAGACACTTCACTTCAGTGCTTGAAATCTAGCCAGGTTCTCACAGAGAAATCAGGCAAATACAACTTGCACTTATTTCCAGTTCCCAGCTCTGGCTAAGCTTCATTTTATTGTAAATCATCACAGATTTTTTTTTTTCATTTACTAGCTCTGTGACCTTGGACAAGTTGCTTTACCTTGCTGTGTCCTGGTTTTCTCATCAATAAGTAGGAATAATAGTCCCTACCTCAAGTGGCTACTGATTAGATATGGTAACATGTAATGTCCTCATCAGAGTGACTCTCAATGAAGATCAGGTAGTCTTGTTTGTGACATATATGAGCCTCGGCAGCAAGCCTCTCCTACTGCTTACTGTGAAAGGATGCCAACACCTGGATGGAAACGCTGCAGAAGACAGATCCATTAGATAGCCATGAAAGGAGATCTGGACTATAGACAAAGGATTCTCCAGAAACTGCAAGGAGACAGAACACAGAGAACTGTACCTTAGCTATCTTAAAGGTTACTGCTGCTGTGTTAAAAAAAAATCCTTCTGGTGGGGCCATATGAAGTACCCACTCTCAACGCCTCCTTCCCCAACGGCTGCATATTCATAGTCAGGGCTTCTTGGCAGTGAGACACACACCATGAGTCACACTGGGAGGTCAGTGACGAAACCATTATTCCCTTCAGTGTCATCCCCACCCCACCACAATTCCACTTTTGATTTGACACGTTATATGCTTAAAACATCTGGAAGTAAATCATCATCGAAGATACTATAAATGTGTGTGGTAATTATTGATGTGGCCCATACTACTGGGAGCAGTGTGCTTCTGTTCTTTTCCAGTTCAGTGAAAAAGGGGTTATAAATGTTAAAAACATTAGACTCCCCCAGTCCACTCTTCTATACAAGTGACTATTCTCCCAGGTGCTTGTGGGGAGCTCACTCTACCTTCTGGAAAGAAGGAAGGGAAAACTAACATTTATCATTATCATCATCATCGTCATCATTATTTTTTGGCTGCTATCTCTTATGTGTCAGGTCTTTTACATCAACTATCTCCATTTTATGGGTAGAAAACCCAAGCCTCAGAAAGATTAGATTACTTTCCTAAGCGTACACAGACACTAAGTGACAAAGAGTCAGGATTCCTGGTGTGGTAGGCAGCCTCCAAGATGGCCCCAGAGACCCCTGCCTCCTGGTATTCACCACCCTTGTGAAATCGCTTCTCTTTGTGTGTTGGCTGAATTTAGTGACCTGCTTCTAGCAATAAAATAGAACATGAGAGAAGCGATGGGATATCATTTCCAAAATTAGGTTACAGAAAGACTGTGGCTTCCATCATGGGTGACTTAGCACATATTCCACTGAGGGGTGGGATAAACTGACTTGTGAGGACTGGCCTGAACACCTGGCCACTGCTAACACAGAGGGCCAAGCTGCTGGAGTCAAATCAACGTGCACATGGGGTTTATGAGTCAAATTCTGCCCCTTTTCACCATGCCTGCACGGTTAAAGAAATCCACTCTGATTCCATGTGGCCAATTCCAACCACTCATCAGTGAGCCAGGATGTCCCCAAGTTCAACATAAGGAAAGAGAAACGAGGCTGCATTTCAAACGGTTTGGGTGCAGTGAAACTGGATGGCACATCATGCCTAGTACCTCTTCTTTTAACTTCTAAACGCTTGTAAACTCTGTGTGAATCAGAAATATACGGGTTGCATTACTCTGACTCAATTCATCAGAATGTTGTTTTGCAAGGATTACGTGAATTCCAGGAAGGCCTTGAAAAATAGCATTCTTTCATCTCATGCCCCAAAAGCTCCCAACAGGATGGATTCCCAAAACCCAAGATGTTGCCATTTGACTTAGAACTTCTCCAGGAGAAGCTCACCATCTATTCAGCTCCTACAGAGGGCCCTGGACTGAAGGTACTGATTTTCCAAATTGATAGTGTATTTGCATCAGATCCATCTTCCTATGATTTGGGGATGAGAAAGGTAACTTTTGGGAAAGACCCTTCTCAACTTTTTTTGCCTGACAAAACACTACCCGTCCTCTGGTGAGTTAAATCTTTTTTTTTTTTGTCCTGTACCATTCGAGAAAGCCTCTCTTAAATTTGAGTCACCCGGGGTCACTTCCAAGATGGCCAAATAGCAACAGCTCTGGTCTACAGCTCCCAGCGAGATAGACGCAGAAGATGGGTGATTTCTGCATTTCCAACTGAGGTACCTGGTTCATCTCACTGGGACTGGTTGGACAGTGGGTGCAGCCCATGGAGGGTGAGCCGAAGAAGGGTGGGGTGTCACCTCACCCAGGAAGTGCAAGGGGTCAGGGGATCTCCCTTTCCTATCCAAGGGAAGCCGTGAGTGACTGTACCTGGAGAAGCAGTACACTTCTGCCCAAATACTGCACTTTTCCCATGGTCTCACAACCGGTAGACCAGGAGATCCCCCACCCTGTGCCTGGCTCAGTGGGTCCCATGCCCATGGAGCTTTGCTTGCTGCTAGTGCAGCAGTCCGTGATGGACCTGGGATGCTGAAGCTTGGTTGGGGGAGGGGCATCCGCCATTGCTGAGGCTTGAGTAGGTGGTTCTATGCTCACAGTGTAAACAAAGTGGCAGGGAAGCTCAAACTGGGTAGAGCCCACCACAGATCAGCAAGGCCTACTGCCTCTCTAGATTCCACCTCTGGGGGCAGGGCATATCAGAACAAAAGGCAGCAGACAGCTTCTTCAGACTTAAACGTCCCTGCCTGACAGCTATGAAGAGAGCAGTGTTTCTCCCAGCATGGAGTTCAAGCTCCAAAAATGGACAGACTGCCTCCTCAAGTGGGTCCCTGACCCCCGTGTAGCCTAATTGGGAGACACCTCCCAGTAGGGGCCAACAGACACCTAATACAGATGGGTACCTCTCTGGGATGAAGCTTCCAGAGGAAGGATCAGACAACAATATTTGCTGTTCTGCACCCTCTGCTGGTGATACCCACGCAAACAGGGCCTGGAGTGGACCTCCAGCAAACTCCAGCAGACCTGCAGCTGAGGGGCCTGTCTGTTAGAAGGAAAACTAACAAAGAGAAAGGAATAGCATCAACATCAACAAAAACAGAAGTAGGCTTCAGAAGATTGGTAATAACAAATTTCTCCAAGCTGAAGGAGCATGTTCTAATCCACTGCAAGGGAGCTAAAAACCTTGAAAAAAGGTTAGAAGAATAGCTAACTAGAATAACCAGTGTACAGAAGAGCTTCAATGACCTGGTGGAGCTGAAAACCACAGAACAACAACTTCGTGAAGCATACACAAGCTTCAATAGCCGATTCAATCAAGCGGAAGAAAGGATATCAGTGATTGAAGATCAAATTAATGAAATTGAGTGAGAAGACAAGATTAGAGAAAAAGGAGTGAAAAGAAACAAACAAAACCTCCAAGAAATATGGGACTATGTGAAAAGACCAAATCTACATTTGATTGGTGTACCTGAAAGTGACAGGGAGAATGGAACCAACTTGGAAAACACTCTGCAGGATATTATCCAGGAGAACTTCTCCAACCTAGCAAGGCAGGCCAACATTCAATTTCAGGAAATACAGAGAACACCACAAAGATACTCCCTGAGAAGAGAAACCCCAAAACACATAACTGTCAGATTCACCAAGGTGGAAATGAAGGAAAAAATGTTAAAGGCAGCCAGAGATAAAGGTCGAGTTACCCATAAAGAGAAGCCCAACAGACTAACAGTGATGTCTCTGCAGAAACCCTACAAGCCAGAAGAGAGTGGGGGCCAATATTCAACATTCTCAAAGAAAAGAATTTTCAACCCAGAATTTCATATCCAGCCAAACTAAGCTTCATAAGTGAAAGAGAAATAAAATCCTTTACAGACAAGCAAATGCTGAGAGATTTTGTCACCAGCAGGCCTACCTTATAAGAGCTCCTGAAGAAAGCACTAAACATGGAAAGAAACAACTGGTACCAGCCACTGCAAAACATGCCAAATTGTAAAGACCATCAACGCCGTATAAAGAAACGGCATAAATTAATAGGTGAAAACACCAGCTAGCATCATAAGGATAGGATAAAATTCACACATAACAATATTAACCTTAAATGTAAATGCGCTAAATGCCCCAATTAAAAGACACAGACTGGCAAATTGGATAAAGAGTCGAGACCCATCGGTGTGCTGTATCAGGAGATCCATCTCACATTCAAAGATGCACATAGGCTCAAAGTAAAGGGATGGAGGAAGATCTACCAAGCAAATGGAAAGCCGAAAAAAGCAGGGATTGCAATCCTGGTCTCTGATAAAACAGACTTTAAACCAACAAAGATCAAAAGAGACAAAGAAGGCCATTACATAATGGTAAAGGGATCAATTCAACAAAAAGAGCTAACTATCCTAAATATATATGCACCCAATACGGGAGCACCCAGATTCATAAAGCAAGTTCTTAGAGACCTGCAAAGACACTTAGACTCCCACACAATAATAATGGGAGACTTTAACACCCCACTGTCAATATTAGATCAACAAGACACAAAATGAACAAGGATATCCAGGACTTGAACTCAGCTCTGGACCAAGTGGACATGATAGACATCTACAGAATTCTCCACCCCAAATCAACAGAATACACATTATTCTCAGCACCACATCACACTTATTCTAAAATTGACCACATAATTGGAAATAAAACACTCCTCAGCAAAGGTAAAAGAACAGAAATCACAACAAACTGTCTCTCAGACCACAGTGCAATCAAAGTAGAACTCAGGATTAAGAAACTCACTCGAAACCACACAACTACATGGAAACTGAACAACCTGCTCCTGAATGACTACTGGGTAAATAATGAAATGAAGGCAGAAATAAAGATGTTCTTTGAAACCAGTGAGAACAAAGATACAACGCACCGGAATCTCTGGGACTCATTTAAAGCAGTGTGTAGAGGGAAATTTATAGCACTAAATGCCCACAAGAGAAAGCAGGAGAGATCTAAAATCGACACTCTAACATCACAATTAAAAGAACCAGAGAAGCAAGAGCAAACAAATTCAAAAGCTAGCAGAAGACAAGAAATAACTAAGATCAGAGTAGAACTGAAGGAGATAAAGACTTAAAAAACCCTTCAAAAAGAAACAATAAATCCAGGAGCCGGTTTTTTGAAAAGATAACAAAATAGATAGACTGCTAGCAAGACTGATAAAGAAGAAAAGAGAGAAGAATCAAATAGATGCAATAAAAAATGATAAAGGCGATGTCACTACCAATCCCACAGAAATACAAACTACCATCAGAGAATGCTACAAACACCTCTACGCAAATGAACCAGAAAATCTAGAAGAAATGGATAAATTCCTAGACACATACACCTTCCCAAGACTAAACCAGGAAGAAGTTGAATCTCTGAATAGACCAATAACAAGTTCTGAAATTGAGGCAATAATTAATAGCCTATCAACCATGCAAAGTCCAAGACCAGACTGATTCACAGCCAAATTCTACCAGAGGTACAAAGAGGAGCTGGTACCATTCCTTCCGAAACTATTCCAATCAATAGAAAAAGAGGGAATCCTCCCTAACTCATTTTATGAGGCCAGCATCATCCTGATACCAAAGCCTGTCAGAGACACAACAAAAAAACATTTTAGGCCAATATCCCTGATGAACATCAATGCAAAAATCCTCAATAAAATACTGGGAAACTGAATCCAGCAGCACATCAAAAAGCTTATCCACCATGATCAAGTTGACTTCATTCCTGGGATGCAAGGCTGGTTCAACATATGCAAATCAATAAATGTAATCCACCACATAAACAGAACCAATGACAAAAAACACGATTATCTCAATAGATGCAGAAAAGGCCTTCAACAACATTCAACAGCCTTTCATGCTAAAAACTCTCAATAAATTAGGTATTGATGGAACCTATCTCAAAATAATAAGAGCTATTTATGTCAAGCCCACAGCCAATATCATACTGAATGGGCCAAAACTGGAAGCATTCCTTTTGAAAACCAGCACAAGACGAGGATGTCGTCTCTCACCACTCCTATTCAGCATAGTATTGGAAATTCTGGCTAGGGCAATCCGGTAAGAGAAAGCAATAAAGGGTATTCAAATAGGAAGAGAGGAAGTCATTGTCTCTGTTTGCAGATAACATGATTGTATACTTAGAAAACCCCATCCTCTCAGCCCAAAATCTCCTTAAGCTGATAAGCAACTTCAACAAAGTCTCTGGATACAAAATCAATCTGCAAAAATCAAGCATTCAAAAAGTCAGGAAACAACAGGTGCTGGAGAGGATGTGGAGAAATAGGAACACTTTTACACTGTTGGTGGGAGTGTAAATTAGTTCGACCATTGTGGAAGACAGTGTGGCAATTCCTCAAGGATCTAGAACTAGAAATACCATTTGACCCAGCCATCCCATTACTGGGCATATACCCAAAGGATTATAAATCATGCTGCTATAAAGGCCCATGCACATGTATGTTTATTGCAGCACTATTCACAATAGCAAAGACTTGGAACCAACCCAAATGTCCATCAATGATAGACTGGATTAAGAAAATGTGGTACATATACACCATGGAATACTACGCAGCCATAAAAAAGGATGAGTTCATGTCCTTTGCAGGGACATGGATGAAGCTGGAAACCATCATTCTCAGCAAACTATCACAAGGACAGAAAACCAAACACTCCATGTTCTCACTCATAGGTGGGAATTGAACAATGAGAACACTTGCACACAGGAAGGGGAACATCACACACCAGGGCCTGTCATGGGGTGGAGGGATGGGGGAGGGATAGCATTAGGAGATATACCTAATGTAAATGACGAGTTAATGGGTGCAGCACACCAACATGGCACATGTATAGCTATGTAACAAACTTGCACATTGTGCACGTGTACCCTAGAACTTAAAGTATAATAAAAAAAATCACAAGCATTCCTATACACCAATAACAGACAAACAGAGCCAAATCATGAGTGAACTCCAATTCATAATTGCTACTAAGAGAAAAAAATACCTAGGAATACAACTTACAAGTGATGTGAAGGACCTCTTCAAGGAGAACTACAAACCACTGCTCAAGGAAATAAGAGAGGACACAAACAAATGGAAAAACATTCCATGCTCATGGCTAGGAAGAATCAGTATCATGAAAATGGCCTCACTGCCCAAAGTAAGTTATAGGTTCAATGCTATCCCCATCAAACTACCACTGACTTTCTTCACAGAACTGGAAAAAACTATTTTAAACTTCATATGGAACCAAAAAAGAGTCCACATAGCCAAGACAATCCTGGTCAAGAAGAACAAAGCCGGAGGCATCATGCTACCTGACTTCAAACTATACTAAAAGGCTACAGTAACCAAAACAGCATGGTGCTGGTACCAAAACAGATATATAGACCAATGGAACAGAACAGAGGCCCCAGAAATAACACCACACATCTACCACCATCTGATCTTTGACAAACTTGACACACACAAGCAATGGGGAAAACATGCTCTATTTAATAAATGGTGTTGGGAAAACTGGCTAGCCATATGTAGAAAACTGAAACTGGACCCCTTTCTTACACCTAATATAAAAACCAACTCAAGATGGATCAAAGACTTAAATGTAAGATCTAAGACCATGAAAATCCTACAAGAAAACCTGGGCAATACCATTCAGGACATAGGCATGGGCAAAGACTTCATGTCTAAAACACCAAAAGCAATGGCAACAAAAGCCAAAATTGACAAATGGGATCTAATTAAACTAAAGTCTTTTGCACGGCCAAAAAAAAAAAAAAAAAAAGCTATCATCAGAGTGAACAGGCAACCTGCAGAATGGGAGAAACTTTTTGCATTGGAGAAAATTTTTGCAATCTATCCATCTGACAGAGGGCTAATATCCAGAGTCTACAAAGAACTTAAATAAATTTACAAGAAAAAAGCAAACAACCCCATCAAAAAATAGGCAAAGGATATGAACAGACACTTTTCAAAAGAAGACATTTATGCAGCCAACAGACACATGAAAAAATGCTCATCATAACTGGTCATTAGAGAAATGCAAATCAAAACCACCATGAGATACCATCTCATGCCAGTTAGAATGGCGATCATTAAAAAGTCAGGTAACAACAGATGCTGGAGAGGTTGTGGAAAAATAACACTTTTACACTGTTGGCGGGAGTGTAAATTAGTTCAACCATCGTGGAAGACAGTGTGGCAATTCCTCAGGGATCTAGAACTAGAAATACCATTTGACCCAGCAGTCCCATTACGGGGCATATACCCAAAGGATTATAAATCATTCTATGATAAAGACACATGCACACGTATGTTTATTGCAGCATTATTCACAATAGCAAAGACTTGGAACTAACCCAGATGTCCATCAATGATAGACTGGATTAAGAAAATGTGGCATATGTACACCATGGAATACTATGCAGCCATAAAAAAGGATGAGTTCTTGTCCTTTGCAGGGACATGGATGAAGCTGGAAACCATCATTCTCAGCAAACTATCACAAGATCAGAAAACCAAACACCACATGTTCTCACTCATAAGTGGGAGTTGAACAATGAGAACACATGGACACAGGGAGGGGAACATCACACACCACGGCCTGTCAGGGGGTGGGGAGCAAGGGGAGGGATAACATCAGGAGAAATACCTAATGTAGGTGATGAGTTGATGGGTGTAGCAAACCACCATGGCACATGTATACCTATGTAACAAAACTGCATGTTCTGCACATGTAACCCAGAACTTAAAGTATAAAAAAAAAAAATTGAGTCACCCACATCCCTGTCCTTTCAATAGTTGTCACTTACACCAAGATAGTAAATGGATTCCAGCTCATGAATTAAATTCAAATGGTTGGGAGTCAGAGCTTGAGTCCCGTGTTGAGAAGGATTCTGGAGCCAAGACAAGGATACCTTGTATTATCATCAGTTAAAAGAGTTTAAAGATTGACTTTGGGCGTTTGCTTTAGACACAGGTGAAGGGAGTTATCCATGCAAACCCTATATTTGCTGTTCTTGGTTTGTGCTATAATGCAGTCATGCCCTTAAGGACTGTTGAAAGATGTGTGGGGATGTTTTGTCTATAGCAAACCATTACAGAGTTTATGCTTTTGAATTCTCATGCTGGGGGAGAAGGAAAAGAAAAAAAAATAATAAAAATAGATCCCATACCTCTCTTTTTGTTACACCATCACCTGACTCTTTTTGTGCAGGTTTGCCCTTGGTAGCTACTCCACCCTCCTATATGTGCTGTTTCTAATCTTCTATCAGTTAGCAAACCATGTAATCAAGCCCTTTGGAAAGAGTCAATATGATTCCAGGTCAGGGCTCACGGTCTATAGTATAGGTGAAATGTAAGAGCTTTGCCTCGCTGGATTTGTTGTTTCTGTTTTGGAGGCTCTGGTCTTCATTTTTAATGTCCTAGTTTCTCAGGTGTCTTCTAGACGAGTGGAGGCTCTCACTGAGAAGTGGCCAATAGAGATTGATTATATAAGTGATGGGCCATGTAGAACATTTGCAGAGTTAAGGATTGTTTTATATGAAGGCATATGCCATATAAAACACCACCACAAATTACTAAAGACCCAGTTGAGTTACACTGGGGCAAATCCTAAAAGTCATCGTCATGTTATCCCAGTTTTACAGAAGAAACTGCTAAGGCTCAGGGAGCTGCGGTGGCCTGCTTAGGACCACACCACAACGTCAGTGACAGAGCTGAGCTTCCAGTCCACTTGGGTGCATAAGGAAAACCACACAAATGTGTGGAAAAAAAGCCTTTATCATTCTCTGCTGCTCCAGCCACAGCCAGGATGTATTTTCTCCTCTTCTCCCAAATTACTAGACCAAAGAAACCAGAAATGGAGAGCTGCAAAGATGACACCTAACAGGCAGTAGGCCCACGGTATCATACCTCAATGCCAGTCTGTCGAGTAGATTAAATGCCTTATGGTTCTGATGGCACTCTAGTTACTTAGGAGATAAGTTGATCCCTAGACAATAAGATTGTCATTTACCTGCAGAGCCTTCAGGCTGTATGACAACTTATATTTATGTATTTTGTTTTCAACTCTGCATCTTTATTCTCTGAGGTTCATAATAGGAATAATTTCATTACAGCAAATCCTCTTACATTTGGACTAAGGGAATGTGGGGGTGGGGGACAAGAGGGGCAGTCTGAATTGGTGAGAAACCTAAACCAATTCAAGAGATAACATGTTTTTTAAATTTGTAATTTATCTGCCAGCAAAAACAAAAAGAACAAAAAGCTCTGAAGCAGCTGGGTGTCAAAGCAGTTCAAATAGGATTTGCAAAAAGAAGCACTGAGAAGCCATTGAGAAGGAAAAGCAATACAATTGCCCAAGATTTTAAGAAGCACTATCTGTGTTGTATTAAAGTTTACTCTGCAATTTGTACTCCCTGATAACAAAAATTTTCCAGATAGGACTCCAGTTGGATCTGCCTTCATTGAAATCAGAAATCCCCATCTGATCACAAACAATTTAGGTGCGGAAATTCCTCAAAGCCATTTTGCTCTAGGAAAAACAAAGGCTCCTACTGTCTTCTTGCTGTAAATCACTGGCTTTGGAAACACTTTCTTTAGTCTGGCCCAACCCAGGGAAAATATTCACAAATTCTACTTTTGTGGAGTCTAAAGGAAGGAGGTTTAAGTTACAAAACTGGATTGTTTTTCTCCACTTAACATAAGCAATCCCAATTCTTTGTGAGAAAGGCTTGAATGCTCTATGGAAGTTCTTGCCTAGGCTGATTTTTTTTTTTTTTTTTTTTTTTTTGCATTTCCTCTCCTCATAGAGCAGGTGTCTTTTTCTCTAAGTGGTTGAAAGAGAGCTGTTATTCATAAGCAATTATGTGGGTGCTTAAATGATATGATGTGGCCACATAGTAAAGTCAATGATGACTCATTCATTAATTCCACAAGTCTTTACGGAGTACCCACTCTGAGCCAAGTGCAGGGCTGGCTACGTGGTCAACCAGTGCTCCCCATCTGTCCTCTTGGGGTTTAAAACGGACTCAACAACAAGCAGATGTTGCACAAATTAATATATAGTAATTAATTGTAACAAAAGCTACCAAGAGAAGCCCTGGATGCTCAGAGAACATAATGGGGAGACTTAATTAAGATAGGGGTGTCAGGACAGACTACAGAAAGAAGAATGGAAATAATGTGGCAGGGACAACAGCAGGAGAATAAACCATTCTTTAATATCTTAATTATGAAGACTTCTTCTTCCATTCTTCTATTAGAGTCCACCAAGAGAGGGTCATAGCAGATGCATGGCAGATGCTTGAGATTAGAAGTTGAACAAAGCACATCCTCTGTCAAAAGAGAGGGGGCACAGGGTACTGCATTCTGGAGCCAGGTGCCAGGCTCCACATCCTGGCTCTGCCACTTGCCAGCAGGACAGCTTGAGCAAGTGGCTTCACCTCTCTGTGCTTCATTTATTTATTTTTAAAGCACGATATTAACTGCACTCACCTTGTAGAATTAAAGGGCCTTAAGGATTAAACGAATGAAAAACATAAAATGCTTACTAGAGTAGTCCCTGGCACATGAGAAGGGCTCCATGATTGCAAATGACTGAAGAGTCATGAGAATGCAAAGAAGGGAACTATGGATTTTGCTAGAAAATGTATTAGAAAGGGGTTCAGCATTGCAGGAAATAAAAAGCAGGATACTACGCAAAGACAGCCCCACACTTTCACTTGGTACTTCCTGGCTTCCTACTCTTTGTGGTGTTGAATGGGCACAGTGACATCCTCAAGTGCTGTAACTGATGCATGTTTCTTACAAATGAGCGTTCACCGTTCAGTAGCACAAGGGGGTCTGGAGAAAACGCTTTGGAAGTATTTGCTGAATGAACGTACGAATAGAGCTTAGAAGTCACCTTGTCCAACGCAGCCCGATCCAGCTCAGATTGCTTGGAGAGCAGGGAACCTCTGGGAAAGGAGGAATGAATATCTCAAGCAAAACCCAAAGAACTTCAAAAATGAAATGGAGATAGGCACACTTAAATGGGATCCAGTGTGTCAACACTTTATTTTCTAATTAATTTGTATTGCTTCTGTATTTTACAACCCTTTTTATACCGTAGATTTAAAGTCTGCATCTCCTTTCATTGATGTATTCATTCAGCAAAAACATATCCAGTGAATAACTTCTACCTGCCAAGCACTGTGCTGGGTACTAGGACATAAAGGTAGGCACCTCACTCTTCCTGCTTTCGAGGAGTTTATCATCTGGTACTTGGCACAAACAAGGGCACAGATTGATACACTAAGACAAGAGCAATGTGTCCTGTGATAGAAACCAACACGGGTTTTGTGGGAGCACAGAGATGCAATCTCCAATTTGGAATCGGTAAGATCCTTTTTTAATGCTCTGTTAAAATTAATTAAATATTAAGAGGGAAATTTAACATTTCCCTATTAAAAACAGAGAAACATTCCCTGATGTTGCAAAAAGAGTAGTTGCAAAAATAACTCAGGCTTGGATCTTTCAACTTTTGAATCAAGTTTCAGAGCAAAGTTTGAGAGCTTTTATAAAGTTTGCCAAAGGAGAAGAATAAACTAAGTATTATAATCCTTACTTGGTTTCACATTTTTCCCCCTGAATGATTATATGTAGAATTCACTCTAGGTAAAATGTTTCTGATGTTGTCTGGGAGAAAACAATGGTTGCCCAATTTCTGTTGCCATGTAAAATAATTTAAAGGTTAAAAAGCTAATTGTGCTAACAATTGGGTCTATAGAAATTTAGCATGGGCGTGACTTGGCTTCAGAGAGCACTATGAAACAAAACCCAAAGACAGGTGTAACATCTAAATACAAAACTGGCAAAAACAGATCTTTTAGTAAGAAAAGAATAGTAAGTTTGATGAAAGAAAACAGGGGAATCTGAAACCAAAAGAATTATTATTATTATTATTGAGACGGAGTTTTGATCTTGTTGCCCAGGCTGGAGTGCCATGGCACGATCTCGGCTCACTGCAACTTCCACCTACCAGGTTCAAGCAACTCTATTGCCTCAGCCTGCCAAGTAGCTGGGATTAAAGGCATGTGCCACCACACTTGGCTAATTTTGTATTTTTAGTAGAGACGGGATTTCATTGTTTGGTCAGGCTGGTCTCAAACTCCGGACCTCAGGTGATCCGCCCACCTCAGCCTCCCAAAGTGTTGGGATTACAGGCGTGAGCCACCGTACCCAGAGTTATTTTGTAATTATTGAAATGTAGCCCCTGTTTTGCATTAAATTCATTCCTTCAATAAATACATAACCAGGGACCTAGCACTGCCCTAAGGGCAGGAGACCCAGAGGCAATGGGCAGATGTGCTCTGCTTCACAGCGCTCACACTTGTGCAAAACACCTGCAGGAGATAAAGATGACAAATAGCATATGTTGTCCATCTGTTTCCAAACAACTTTACAATATTCTCACACCAGTGAAGTTAGCTAATTCCCAAATTTTCATCTATCCATCTGTCCATCCTTCTGTTAATTATTTGCTAAACATCTACTCTGTGCCACTTTACTTTCTACATGTTTGAAGCACCCTAGCTTTCTCCTTTGTAGTAGTTATGTCAGTTGGAATGCATTACCCAATCATCTGTTTAGTGACTTATAACCCTTCTATTCTACAAGGGATAAGAGGACAAGTATTCTACCTTGTGGGTGTACAAAAAAGATATATTTAATATTTGAAGATTGAACAAACAGATGAACTAATAGTTTTTTGGTGAAGGAGGTGGGTAATAGAGAACTGTAATATAAGCTAGTCAGTGCAATAATGGAAATTCCTTAGATAGTTAGTGGATTATAGATCGTTAACTGAAATATGAAGGACCTTCTAAGTTGCTGGGCTATTAGAGAGGCTTCAGGAACAATCCTGACTTTTTAGGAGGAGGAATATGCCACGAGGACAATATTAGGGATGAATGCTCAGTCTTCCTTCTTCATCATTATTTCTCAGATCCATGGGGTGAAGGGAAAGAATAGTAACAGCTAGCATTTTGTGACCATTTACTACCAGCCAGACACTATTAAAACTACTTGTTATATGTTAAGTAATATAATCCGCACAGCAAAATCTATGAAGTGGGCATTATTTTTATCTTCAATCTCTGTATAAGGAAACTTACTTACAAAGAGGTGAAGTGACTTGGCCCAGGTTTCACAGCTGGTAATTGACAGATACAGGATCAAACTCAGATAGTCTTGCTCTACCTTTTCCTCTGAAAAGAGTAGATTCTATGCCAGAAGGCTGTCAATGAACCATGTATTTGATATCTTAGATCTAAGATTTCTATTTGAAATAGGTCCTTATTAGGAAATATTGTCATTTTTAGTTCAAATTCAACAATTTCAAGACAATTTTGTTTTCATTAAATTGAGTCAAATTTCACTCTAGGCTTGGAGTCCTTGTCCCCATGATGATTACCCATTTAAGACAAACAGGACACCAGTTCCAAATGATGGTGGGAAGTTGAAAACTATAAGGAAAAAAAGAACAAAGCCAAGGAGATGGACATAGATGGAAACTGGAAGCATTTTGGATTTGACTAGGGAGTTTGGCAGTAGAGGAGAAGGAGAGGATATCTCTGTGATGTATGGACAATATTTTAAGAGAAAGAAATGAAAAGGCCATTTTAGGAGAAGCTGACTTTATTTCAGGAGACGGCAGGTAGGAAACTGGTATTTCACATAAAGGAGCTTACCTTTTATTATCTACAAGAGGAACAGGAAATGAACCTATGTGGAAAACAAGGCATGTTCAATGAGAAAGAAAGCAAAGGGGAAGTTTCTAGAGTGAGAGCTCAGGGGCACGGTAACTGTGTTAGTCTGTTTTGCTTTGCTATAAAGGGAGACTTGAGAGGTTTAATTGGCTCATGGCTCTGCAGGCTGTATAGGAAGCATGGCATGGGTATCTTCTCTGCTTCCAGTAAGGGCCTCGGGGGGCTTTTACTCATGGCAGAAGGTGAAGCAGAAACAGGTGCATCACATGGCAAGAGAAGGGGTGCAGGAGAGAGAAGTGAGAGGTCCCAGACTCTTTTTAACAACCAGATCTCCTGTGAACTCAGAGTAAGAAGTCGCTCATTACCACAAGGATGGCACTAAGCCATTCATGAGGGACCCGCCCCCAAGACCCAATCACCTCCCACAAAGCCCCATCTCCAACACTGGATGTCACATTTCAACTTGAGATTTGAGGGGGACACATATACAAACTATGTCAGTAACTGTGTTGGGAAAGCAAGTACTTGAGAAGCAAAAAGGACACACAGAGTCACATTGAAAACAAGGCAGAGAGCTGGGACCAGGGGCCAGGGCACCTGCCTTAATATGAAAGAACATTAACAAAGGAAAGAAAATAGTAGCAAGAAACAATTACTAAAAGTAACTAAAGTGGGGGAGGGGGCATGACTTAGTATAAAGAAAATTAAGTATCCATAAGTATGTAGAATTATTGCCTGTCAACTAAAAATAAAACAGAAAAAAATTAAGAACTGGTAGCCAAAAATAGAAATAAGACAATTCTGAAGTGGAAAGGAGAGTTGCAACACAGCACAACTTCAAAACTTGGTCTCATCTCCCAGAAACCAAATTGCCTCAGAAAGCCAAGTGCTTGGAGGGAAATTCATAGCAGTCCTAGATAATATGGGAGAGAGGAATGAGATCATGCCTACATTACTGAGCTAACTAGTAAGTCTGAACCTTCTAGCATGATTAATATGACAAAGAACTGTATAGTAACTATGAGAATATACTACAGGAAAAGGAAATGTTAAGAAAAGGAGAGAACATAGCAGGTAAACGCACAAAAACCCACTCCTAATGGAAAAAAATGTGAAAAAACAGGAAATACCCATAAAAACTTCATGATACAGAAGTTGATAGAAACATGAATTTAGTAAACTTAGAGCTCAGAGACAAGATGATCAAATACCAGAAGGAGATAAATTGAAAATGAAAAGAAAGAAAATCTCACAAAAAAGCATGAAGGAACAAGATAACATTATCGCTGAACTAATAATAATTCACTGGGCTTCCTTTCCATGGACCCAGCTTCAGGACCCTGTTCCTCCTCAATGACAGTGGCTCTCCAGGTGACCATGATCAATCATTTGGAGGTGGCTCTTGAAAGGAAGCCCATGGACCTTTCTCTTAAGGATATGTTTAATTATTGCCCCTCTTAGATTATGAGCTCCTGGAAAGCAGACATTATCTCTGCCTGCTTGATAGATGACCACGGGTAACTGCCACCCTCAGCAGTGAATAGACATTGGACAAATAAATCATTCACATCAAGATCAACATAGCATTTCATTCAGGCTCAAGTTTGAATAAAAAAGAAAATTGTAGAGGGGTGGCAAGAAGATAGTCTTTTTAATTTTTTTCTTTTTAGGGAATGAGTATGTTCTTCCACCTGAATAGCAGGATTGGTTAAACACCTTAACCTCCATGTATGATGCCTGGCAGAGCCACCTCTAAAGAACACCTTTCATATCATAGACTTGTATGTATATTTATTACAACAATTTCCCGGTAGATGGCAGTAAGCTGTCTTCGTCTACCACACAATCGGTTTATTACAACAATTCTCTAACAGATAGGGATAAAAGTATCTTTGTGGGGTGGGATGGGGTGGGGGGGGCACTTTTTCCTAATTCCAATGGAGGCTCCATATGTGCTAACTGCACCACCCAGAGCATGACATACCTACGTTCAAATCCTAATGCCACACTCCGTTACTAGCTGTATGTTCTTCAAAAAGCAATATAACTGCTCTGAGCTTCCTATTTTCAGATTCCTTATCCATATCAAAGGATTGATAATAGTTCTTTTCTCACAGACAGGTATCAAGAAGTCATTAAGACAATGCAAGTAACACATTTAGCATGGCTAATTGGCACAAAATAAGGCCTAAATGTTCTTTGCTATCATCATTATCATTATTATTTATTATTGTTAAATGGCACTAAAACTCTGATCCCTTTGCATTTTGCAAACCAAGAAGGCAAATTATTCTCAAAATAAATAGAGTATGCAGATCATGCCTAAAAATATAGTAATTATTTCAAGCTAATAAAATACATTTTGTATCTAAGCACTTCAAAATATTTTGTCTATTCCAAGTATTATTTGCCATAGAAACATCTTAAAACAACCTCTTCATTTTGGTCTTTGGTACAGCGTAATTAACGTTGTTTAAATAAAAAAAAAACCCTGCCCAGTAATTAAATGCATCTCACAAATAAAGTGTCACGAATAAACTTAGCATATTATAATACATCATTTTATTTGCTGGCTTTTTTCTTACAGAGTCTTGAGATGCATTCTGAGAAATAATTTTTGTGTGTGTGCAATGGCAAATATAGCACCTAACCATGCTTTTTCATTGTTTCTTTGGTCTCTCCTAAACAACAAACAGCCCTTCCAAGTGCTGCTTCTTGAGTAATTGTTTTTTGTCAATGTTTTGTCAACTTGTCAATTGCTCACACACAGTTTATGAACACTCTCACAGCACAGCTGTCTACGGTCTGACAGAGAAACCCATCCATTTGGAATGCCATTAAGTATGGTACTCCCGTTTGAAGAAGCTCTGTTTATACCTTGGAAGAGTGGGAGAGTGTGTGTGAGATTTATTGCTGCCACTTTGGTAAATTCTGGTTTTGACAGAATATTTTTGAATACAGAATGCCAACCAGTGTAGAGACACAAATGATGGGACTTGCACTTCAATATTTCATCCCAAGCTCCAGGTGTTTTCTTAAAAAAGGGCTGATCTAATGCCATTAGGCCCTAAATCCGGTAACATGTCCATTTCGTTTTTCATGACCAACTTAATCATTAGGTATTTCACATGAACCAATTTTTTTTTCTTTTTTTTTTTTTTTGAGATGGAGTCTCACTCTTATGGCCTAGGCTGGAGTGCAGTGGCATGATCTTGGCTCACTGCAACCTCTGCCTCCTGGGTTCAAGGGATTTTCCTGCCTCAGCCTCCCGAGTAGCTGGCATTACAGGCATGTGCCACCATGCCCAGCTAATTTTTTTGTGTTTTTAGTAGAGACGGGGTTTCACCATGTTGGCCAGGCTAGTCTTGAGCTTCTGACCTCAAGTCATCCACCTGCCTTGGCCTCCCAAAGTGCTGGGATTATAGGCATGAGTCACTGCACTTGGCCATGAACCAATTTTTTGTCTTACACTTTCTGATAAGGTTTCTCTTTCATAATTTCACATTTTAGCTTCCATTATCCTCTTCTATTAAACTAGTTCTTTTCCGATCATCTTCCATATCAGATATTCAGGTCAAGTAGCTTTCAGGCACCCTTATATTTTCCCTCTTCCACTCTCATCCTCATCCTGTTACTATTCTAGGTATCTTTAGGTAACCTCATTTGCTCTTAGTGGCCCAACTGATATATAGACATAAGCATAAACACTTAAGTTGGAAACAGAAAAACTCTTACTATTGTTGAAACAAAATAAAATCACCCCCTGCCCAACTCTCTACATTACCTGTGTTTAATTTAGGCTTTGGCAAAAAGGAGCACAGGCAAATAAGTGCATTGATAGCTATGACACCTTTTAGGCAAAAGATCAAGTCCCGAGGATTCTGACTCCACTAATTCAGAGTCTAAGCTAATTCACACAGTGGCTGAGGTTTCCTTTTACAATAGCTGTAGTAATTTTAAAAAAGGATTGGTGGCCGGGCGCGGTGGCTCACGCCTGTAATCCCAGCACTTTGGGAGGCCGAGGCGGGTGGATCATGAGGTCAGGAGATCGAGACCATCCTGGCTAACAAGGTGAAACCCCGTCTCTACTAAAAATGCAAAAAAATTAGCCGGGCGCGGTGGCGGGCGCCTGTAGTCCCAGCTACTCGGGAGGCTGAGGCAGGAGAATGGCGTGAACCCGGGAAGCGGAGCCTGCAGTGAGCCGAGATTGCGCCACTGCAGTCCGCAGTCCGGCCTGGGCGACAGAGCGAGACTCCGTCTCAAAAAAAAAAAAAAAAAAAAAGGATTGGTTAGGTAGATTCAAATATAAGCAAGACTGACAGAGTAATGTTTTACCTACTTACACTCAAAGAAAACCCGAGAGAAATAAGCAACAGGAGGTAAATTCAGGTTAAGATAGGTATATTCAGAATCAACAGAAGCAGGGATCTTTTTCTATTTGGCACATCCAGGATTGTAGCTGATCACATGAGCTTTGGGTCAGAGTTTAAATTTCAGACCTGTTGCTTGGTAGCTGTGTCTTTACCTTCATCTTTCTAAGTCTCAATGTTTTTGGTTGTATAATGGAATGATAACAGCATCTACTTCAAGAGCTGTCTTGAAAATCAGCAGAATGTAAGTAATTAGTCTGAGAGCCATTCCGGGTGGCTGGCAGACATCCGAGTGGCCTCAGAAAGTGGAGAGCACCCACTCTGGGGCTAGAATCTCTTTTAGCACTTTGCATTGATTCTTTAGATAGAATGAGACATCCTTTGACGCTCTTTATACCCCCAAATTTTGTTATTCTACGAAGTAACCAAGCATTTGAGGACTGTTTAAGCATTGAAATGAAATGTGTAAAATCAATAGACTATCTACAAATTCCTTCACCCTTTCATTAAAGCACATCTCCAAAGACTGGCTTCTAAGTTTCCATGACTTTTTCACAGTTCAGTTTTTTAAAATATGCTGTAATGTAGAAATCTCTCTTTCCGCTTTCTTTTTTTGTCTATTTCTCTGCTTGTTATCTTGATCTAGAACAAGTCAGTTTCAGAGTACTGTAAATTATATATTAACTGTGGAATATTAGATCCTTCTTCCCAACTCTTTACTCCACTCTTTTAATAGGCTTATATAAAAACACTTTGCCATGTGACATTGCAAACATTTTCAGAAAAACAGGTAGAGCAAACTTTCCCATGCGTTCAACTTTGAGCTTAGCTGTGTGACTTGCTTTGGCCAAAGGAATGTTACTGGTTCAACATGGCCTCTTGCACATCTGCCATAAGAAGAATATGGCCTGGGGAGCCACTGGCCCCTGAATGAATCTGATCTGCAGCTTGGAGTCAAGCCCTACCAATCCTAGCAGGGACCGGCGGAGTTACAGCTGACTTGCAGATTTAAGAGGAAGAAATCAATATTTGTCCTTGTAGGTACTGAGATTTGGTGCTTTTTATGCAGTATTATCACAACAAATGCTAACCCCTGTACGGGACCATCAAACAGCAAAAAGGAGCTGTAACTCCTTCCTCTGGTTCTCTTCCACAAAGTTCACATAGTTACAAACAATGGTCAATATATCAGATATTAATAGAAAAGGGGAAAAGCATGCAGCCACTTTGGAAAACAGTCTGATGGTCCCTCAAAATGTTGAACACACACTTACCATATGATTCAGCAATACCACTACTAGCAATACCACTACACAAGAGAAATGCAAACATATATCCATGTAAAAACTTGTACATGAGTGGTCATAGCAGCATTATTCATATAGCCAAAAAATGGAAACAACCCATGTATTCATCAATTGAGGAACAGTTAAACGAAATTTGTCACATCCATATAAAGGACTATTTGGTCAGAAAAAGGAATGAAGTACTGATATATAGTACAACTTGGAGGAAACCTGAAGAGATTAAGTTCAGTGAAAGAAGCCAGTCACAAAATACCCCATGCAGGATGATTTTGTTTATATGAAATGTCCAGAATAGGCAAATCTATAAAGCTTGGGGAAGAAAATAAGAAGGTGACTGCTAATGAGTATGGAGTTCCTTCTTAGAGTGATGAAAATGTTCTAAAATTGATTATGATGATGGTTGTACAGCTCAATGAATATAGCAAAAATTATTGAGTTGTATACTTTAAATAGGTGAATTGTATAGCACATGAATTATGTCTCAATAAAGCTGACATATAAGAATAAAAATGAAAAATTATTTCTGAATAGTGTGCATAAGAATATATCATCATAATATGCAGCCCCTAGTGAATGATCACTTTTGCAAGGCAGTGGGTCCCAAGTTCCATGCTGTGATGCCTCTGGTAACTGCATTCGATCTGACCCTACTTTGCCCCTCCTGAAGTTCTCAGGATGAAATCCAAGCTCCCGAGAAAGACGATCATGTTTCCCCTCAATCTTGCCTGGTGCTTCATTCAGCTCAGCAACACCAGTCATTTTATTCCCACTGACTCCATGTCTTTGCCATGTCACTCCCTCTTTCCGACACCATGTAGGTGAATTCCTATTCAAATACCAATACTTGTGTTATGAGGTTCTCTCTGTGAGACCTTACCTGACTCTCAGGTCCTCCTTGAAAGAGAAAGAATGCATTTCCCCAATTTTTAGAGTATTTATAACCAAAGTTAGTACACCTTACAGGCTTATTCAGCTTTCTCCTATGCTAACCTACACTCTGAATATAATGCATCTCTTTCCCACAATGCATCTCTAATCATTGCTCACTAGTCTGTCTTCCCCTAGTGGAAGAATTCCTTGAGAAGTGTAACTTTTCTTGTATCCCAAACACATCACATAGCATCATAGCACACAGTAGGTATTCAATACATGTCTGTAAATAAAGCAGCTGATTTCAATTGCTCTCCACAGCTCTCTTAAATGGCAGATGTTCTCTTCTCATTTTATACACAAGGAAGTTGAGTCTTGGAGAGGGTTAGGTAGCTTGCTGGGCTACCTACAACTTTAGCCCAGAGCTCCAAACTTAAATTCCAGCTCCTTTGCACTCCGTCATCATAAAGGAAGACGGTGTCAACCAGATCTGATAAGAAACACCATTGTAGATGAAAGTGTTTTCTAGCCACTTCTGCCACAGACTTTCTGGGGAAAGAACATAGTCTAAGGTGTGTGCCCTTGGTCAAGCAGGCATTGTGTATACATTTTCATCCCTACCTGTCTCATTTTCTCAACTCTCTAGCTTGATGAACCTTCTTGCCAACTGGCACCAGGCAGTAACTATATAACACATCATGTGGTCATTCCTCACATTGATTAATTTCTGCAGGTCAAGTGAGAAAGATACTCTGGAGTTTGGCAAACTCTGTTCTTTTCACCTTGACATAGAGCTTATAAGCTGATTTGCAGAGTCTTAGAAACTAAGTATATATACAACACAAGCCCAACATTTTAATGCAAAAAGACTCTATTTAATTGCTTCTCTCAACTTAACTTTTTTTTGCTCCCTTAAAATTTCTCTATTTTTTTTTTAACTGAAAACTCCAAGTCACTCTAGTTTTTTGAACCCAGCCATGGCTAGAGCAATTTCATTTATATTTATAGCTAAATTCCAACTGCACATACTCCACACATGATTAATTCACAGATGAAGGGCTCTGAAATTTGAATGTTCTAAGTAAGTACAAAGCAGGGCAGAGTTTAAAAATGGAAGCTGAAGCCAATAATTTGATTTTTTTTTAAAAGTCAGAAATTATAGACAGTCACTGGTTTAAAAATGTATGATCCCTTAGAAAACTACTTTCTTATGTAGTAAAGAAAAATATTAATTCTATTTTAACTAGACAGTGGCAAGAAGCCATGTCTCAGCTTACAACTTCACTTCTTTATATCTGCTCTTGGTAGAACCCTAGTGGGAATGTTACCCTGAATTCTTTTCTGTCAAGAGGTAACTACAATATTTGGCTTTCAGGGTAAGCTGAAGTAAGAACTGCAGGTCTTGCTAGGTTTATACTGGGAACGAAATGCTTCCATTTCTCATGATGATGTGCATATGTTTGCCCCAAGTGTTGCCTGTAAAATGTATGACCAAAGTCTAATTGCTCTACTATATTGTAAACATTTCACTTTCCTTAGGTTTCTGAACACATAGGCATATTGGCATATGAGAGAGAGAGAGATGAGAGAGAGAGAGAGAACTAAAGTGCTTAACAGATTTTTCTTACACAAAGCAGCATAGCCATTACATACCTTCTACATTTGAGTAGATTAAGTTAGTACACAGAGGGCATTATTTTACTCTTTCTCCATTACATATGCATTAAGACATACCAGAAATCTTGGGAGCTACCGCAGATCCAGACTGCTTAGATTCCAGCTCTACCACTCACTAGCCCTTAACTTCTGTACCTCAGTTCCCTCATTTGTAAAATGGGGATGCCAATGACTGTGCCTACTATATACATCTGTATAAAGGGCTTAGAATGGCCTGGCAAATAGAAAACACTGAATCCATTTGAACTCTTCTTATGATCCTTATTGACAGAACTTAGAGACTAGCACAAAACACTGAAAACTAAACTGATGATGCCATGCTATTAAAGTTCCTCTGAAGTCAGAGCTACTCGAAACAGGGTTTTAAGGAATTGATAGAGCTGGTGGCTGAAACTGGCTGAGAAAATATCCGCAAGTAATATTCATATTTTCCTCCTACCTGTCAATAACTGGTGAGTGGAGAGTGCCTCCCTTTGCTCCCAATTCTGCTCCCAAGGGCGGCTCCTGGATCTTTCTGACATTGTTCTTTAACAGAGGAGAAAACATTCTCCTTTTGAGATAAAACTTTTCTGCTGTTTAATCAAGCAAGGAGTGTTAGAAGAAGAATCTCTGGAATCAACATGCCTAATTTCCAATCCTGGCACCACCACTTCCAAGCTCTGTGACCTTGAGCAAATTTTCTAACCTCTCTGTGTTGGGCTTTCCCAACTGTAAAATGGAGATAATGATAAAACTTGTCTGATGGGACTGTGTGAAGGCTCCATGAGTTAATACATGCCAAATACTTAGCATTGGGTCAGTAGCACAGTAATTGCCAATAGCACGTTTTTGATTATTATTATTATCTACCTTCTTGAGGTCTTGTTGGTTTGCTTGGTGTAATTTTTTCATTCACCCAGTAAGTATTTTTGAGAGTTGACTATGTTTTGGGTTCCATGTTGTGTGCTGGGGTTACAAAGAATCTGAATTCAGGACAATTTTTATAAGATATACAGTCATTTATATAAGATTCCAGTCTTTTTCTGTAGTCATTTATACAACTTAAAAACAACTGTGTTCTGGAACTCTACTTATAACATTTAATAACTGTAAACACATTTGTGTTTATGTTTTCAAATACCAAACCTGCAGTGTATAGCAATAGTTGGTATCTTCCTTGTAGCACTGGACTACGACATGGCTCTGCAAGTGAACACATTGAGAGACACCCCCAAGACTACCAGAGCCATCTCAAATGAGGCTCCTGCTGCCATTTCAGTTCATATGTCAACTGTCACAAAGTAGCCCCATTCCCTTAAAAAGTGGGAGTCACTGAAGACTGTCATATCAATGGTCACTCTCCTTTCTCCTAAGACAGGTATCACTTCTCTCTCAAGTCAAGGGTCTACTTCCCAAACCCAAATGTGAAAACCCTTCTAGAATCTTGATTTCTCTATCCCTAATATCTATGGGTTATCATGTGTGGGGGAAATTCAGTATCAGCAACTTTCCTCCTTCTTTCACCCTATATTTCCCAAAATGTCACATATTCCTTTTGTCAGTGAAATTAAAACAAAATGAAATTTTGCCTAGGGACTATCTGTATTGTTAAGCAATTTTGAGAATGACTATGTAGTCTAGGTTTGAGGAGAACACACACTTTCTTTTTAACTTCTCACCTGGGATCACTCATCCATTCACTCCATAGAGTCCATTATGTCCAAGATACCTGTCTTTCAGTGGTTGCAGGGAGTAAAAGGAGGCTAGTGTTAGAAGCAGCAGCAACAGAGATCAGGTTCAGCAGGGCTTTGTTGCAACTCCAAAGTCCAGGATAATCAGATGCATATTTTAAGCATTATTATTTGGTTTTACTTAATTCATTAGTGCCCATGAATAAATTCAAATGACTTTGATTTTCCATAAATATTTTCATAAATATTTTCACATGGCCCTCCAGGAAACACATTCCAGTCAATGTTCCCCTTGCAAGTAAATATCTGGAGAAGAGCTGTGTCTATGTCTGGAGTTAACACAGGAACGGCTAGACTGAGATGCCTCACTCCCTCAGTTGATTTTCTTGGACCCTGGGGTGATTTTCATCTTTTTTTTTTAATGTCTACGCTTATAATAAAATTTGGAAGCTATAGAGTTTTACCCCAAATCATGGTATTTACAATAAATGTGCAGTCTTTCCTCGGCTAGACTTTCCTAGACTCCTGTGCGGTCTTTCCTTCCCATGACTAGGTCTAACTATGACCCTGTCTTCTTTGTTGGAAAAGGGATCAACATATTCCCTTCCAATAGACTTGGTCACTCAATCCTGATTAAAAAATATAAGCAAAATACATGCTTTTAACCAGGTGGGAGGTGGCGTGCCATAGCAAAACAGGTGTCATCAGAACATGTTACTATAGAGAGCTCTTACTTAGGTACTATATCCCAAGAATTCTATAAAACTAGGACTTTCCTTTCATTTCTTTATTTCAGACAGGATTTCACTCTGCTGTCCAGGCTGAGTGCAGTGGCATGATCATAGTGCACTGTAACCTGGAACCCTTGGACTCAGATGATTCTTCCCCCTCAACCTCCCAAGAAGCTGGGACTACAGAGATGCGCCACCACACCCAGATAATTTTTTATTTGTAGAGATGAGGTCTCTTTATGTTGCCCAGGCTGGTCTTGAAATCCTGGCCTCAAGTGATCCTCCCACCTTGCCCTCCCAAAGTGTTATGTTTACAGGTGTGAGCTACCATGCCAACCTGTACTTTACTTTTTAAAGTAAAAAAGAGTAATTTATTTTGCATGTTAAGGATACATACGCAAAGCACATGAAACTAAAAAATCTTGATGAAACAAAATACAATCCACTCTTCAGAACTGAAAAGCTACTTAAACAGATTGGTTTATTTTGGGACCAAGAAATGGAATGTGAAGTTTGAGTCCAAAGACAAAGCTTAGTTGCCGAGTGAGAAGCCCTGGACAATTCTGAATTTATGTTCACCACGCTGATAGATATTTAGCCCGTCCTGGTCCTAATGGACTTCTGCCACCCCATTTGTGGGGTAAAGGCGGGGCTGTCCTGCACAGAAACAGCTCTGGAAGGAGATGCAAAGATGCTGCCATCATCCCAGCTAGACATCGGGTACCACTTTAGGAGATCAAAAGCCGTCTGTCTGTGGGCTTTGGAAAAGAAGAGACCACTTTAATAAAGTCATCTCCAAAATACACCAGGTGTGAAGCCGCAAGCCTCAGTGACTTCCACTTTTTAAGGGAATGTGGCTACTTCACGGCAGTTGATTATATTCAGTCATTCACGCAGCTCCCCCGAGGACAGGATTTTTATTTTTAGAGAAGCCTCCATTTGCTGACTGTCGTGAAGGGAACACTCAGGAGGAGCTATTAGCAGTCACTTGTTTCAGTAAACACTGAATATAACATATGCCTCTCAAGTAATGTGTATCCAAACATACAATTTACAAATAATTAACATCATGTTAATTAGTCACATTAATTTATGCCACTTTGTGGAATTATTTCCTCAGAGTGTTTAGGAACGCTGCCAGGAGCTTGAGCCAAACAGTGTGAAAATGTGCTTGAAGTTAACTGTTGTGAGTGGCTGTGAAACACAGCTTGAGCAAGTTGTTGCAGGGGCCCTGCAGCTGATAGAGCCACCGGGTCTTCCAGCTGCCCTGACTGGAGAGAACTAAGTCGCATCAGCTGCTGTCTCACCTTTCCTGACTTGCACCCTCTTTTTCATTTTTTGGCTTCTGCTAATTGTTGCTGAGTGGCCATTCTCCCCACCGCCAGCCCTGCACAAGCAGGTATACACCAGGGTGGACAGCAGGTGAACTGGGATGAGTTTTACATGTGGCAATATCGAGCTGACAATTGGCATTTGGTGATTTAAAAACAACGATGACAACAACAACAAAGCAACAACTAGGGATCATTTCCTGTAAACGAAGTTCTGAAAAAGTAAAAATGGCAAAAGTAAGGTGTTAATATTGCCAAAGAAAGGGGAGTCCTCAGGAAGGCCTCCTCTGTCTTGAAAACATTGGCATCTGCACAAAGATCAAACCCCACTCTTCTCCAAAGTGTTTAAAGCAGGCAACACAGCCGAGTAGTTCAGGAACAGAAAAGAAAGATCTTCAGAGGAAACAGACTTCGTAGACAAGTGCAAATTCAGTGAGGAGAACAAATGAAAGCAAACTATAAAATTAAGTGGAAGTAAGAGTGCCTACCTCGAGGGACTTGGGCTCATTCCAGTGGACAAGAATGGGAGCCAGACAGCTTTGTTGCTTTGCTGGGTGCACCACGATTTAGGAAACAAATCTGAAATATGCCAGGATTGTTCCTTCCCAAATCCACTCACTGTCCTCGAGGAGCCCAGATGTGATTATATCTAAGGTTTCTTTGATTGGGGTAACAAATTTGGTAGGAAGAGATGAAATTCAGAGGCATTTTCTAAACCTCACATTAAAAAATCTGGAGAGCTCGGACAAGCTGTGGAACTTGGTCGCCACTCTGTTTTAGGCATTCCAAAGGTGTTCATGATTCCAAATTAATCACAGATATCAAGACTCAAACGTCTATAAACAAGTTATATTACCAAGGTCCAAATATCGGTGCAAAGGACTTGCATGAAAATTTAGTGCAGACAAATATTTGAGGGTGAGAACCTTGAACAATATAAGGAAATTATGAACACAGAGGAAACAGTCACCCAGGAACTTCCCTGACACTCTGTATGTTTGTGAAAATAAGGAGATTGGAGTTGATTTTTCCCTCCCTCCAAATCCCTGTTTTGTCTGTTGATTTTTGCAGAATAGGTCATTGCAAGCTGTGCTACCCCATCCGAATCATGGGAAATTTAGAGTAAGGCAGGGGAAAAATGATAAAGAGTGTGGAAGGGCACTGGAGAGGCAACTATGAGATAGTAACACCCAGCATCAGCCCCATCCTTATGGAGTTGAGTAATCCCATAGGAGAAGCAGGTCGGTGCATGAAGAAAAGCAAGTTAAAATTTGATATAAATGCCAACAAAGCATGCCAAAAAGGAGTTCTAGAAAATGTGTTGTGGGACTCAAAGGAAGCCCTGGTCCATTCAGGAAGTTAGGAAAATTTAGCCAACCAAAGTTTAAGTTTCTTTCCTGATATCTGTCCCTTGCTATCTTAAGAGATAAATGTAGAACTCTGTTTCCAAGTGGACACATTGATATGTGAAAGAATAGGGCATTTTTCCCTATAAGAAACCCTTGACTTATTAGTATGAGACTCATGTTAAGTCTATAACTTCCTCAAAAGTCTTGGTTAATAACAATACGTTTTTAAGGGTTACTTTTAAAATTTTATTTAGGCACTATTTGATTCACGTTAACTTCCCTTCAATTTGGTTCTCTTTAATATTTATCCAATAATGTTTCAGAATCCCAAAGATGTGAATACATGAAAGCTCTTCCCTAATGTCCACGAAACCATTGAGAATACAAAAGCAGAAAAAAAAAATTATCCTAGGGTTTAAGGACGTTTTGAAACTTCAAAGAGATTCGAACGAAATCTGCACCTATTTTGCCCGATCTGAAATTGCACTCGGCAGGAAGAAGCACTTCTCCCCATGCAGAAATCTGAAAATGCATTTGAAAAAATAGATCCATATTTTAATTAAAAGGGGCCATTCTGAGCCCAGCATGTGGAAGCACCGCATTAATATTTGTGACACTAGCCATGGGGGACAGAGAGGCCAAGAGGGTCTTCCATCAGCAGCAGGAGGTCAAGGTTGATCTTTCTTGAAATCCAGATTCTCACAGACATGAAGGGGTCTGTTTATGCTTCAAAGCACTACCCAAGGACAAGGCACGCTGATGGCAGGTCTGGAGACCTGCCAGGGGAGCTGTGGCAGGATCAGAGTTTAATCAGGGGAGTGTTTCTGATGAAGAGAAATGCTCATGGGTGTAGATGAGTGCAGCAGTGTGTGTGAGAGACAGCCAGGGACGACCCCACCCATCACAAACACATTAATAACCCACAATCGTCCGTTACACAAATTTTAAAATGAGTGTCATTTGCTCCACAGACTCCAGAAAGTCTTATGGACTACTGAATATCAATGACATTTATTGGCATTATCTGTTTGATGGAGTGCAACAGTCATCAAACAGCCCCATATTTGGCATTTAACAAAAATGAACACATGGAGCCAGCTTGTGGTAGCCCCTCCTCGATGCCACAAAGTGGACACCAGCTTATGGCCAGTAGCCAGTCTTGGCATGCTCAATACTGCCAGAGTGATAGACATGTGTATTTCAAACATAGCAGGTGAAAAAAGTCACATGTTTGTGCAAGTCAGTTTTTCTATGTCAAATAGATTATTTCCTTCTCATAAAGAAAACGTTGGTTGTTCTGCAAGAAAACTTTTTTTTTTTTTTTTTTTTTGAGATGGAGTCTCGCTCTGTCGCCCAGGCCGGAGTGCGGTGGCGCAATCTCAGCTCACTGCAAGCTCCACCTCCCGGGTTCACGCCATTCTCCTGCCTCAGCCTCCCAAGTAGCTGGGACTACAGGCGCCTGCCACCACGCCCGGCTAATTTTTTGTATTTTTTAGTAGAGACGGGGTTTTACTGTGTTAGCCAGGATGGTCCCGATCTCCGGACCTCGTGATCCACCCGCCTCGGCCTCCCAAAGTGCTGGGATTACAGGCGTGAGCCACCGCACCTGGCCCAAGAAAACGTCCTTTAAAAATGTAATCTTGTTCCTAAAGGTTGGGTTTCATATTGCCTTAATTTGTTTCTTAACTGAATGCCATAAGCAAGCCCTGATATTTGGGTTCTGAGTACCACAGAGTAGAAAAGCAGGGAGTCAGAAGGAGAGCACAGTATTTAGGAGTCCTGTAGCGCAGCCCCTTCTCTGGCAAGTGCAGGACAACTCAGTCTAAGTTGCACTGGAGCTGTGCTGTCCAATACGCCAGCCACCAGCCACACGTGGTCATGAACACTTGAAATGTGACTAGTGCCACTGAGGAACTGAATTTAAAATTTTAGTTCATTTTAACTCTTGTAAAGTTAAATTTAAAAACGGAAGCAGCTCAAAATACTTTTCCACCAAGCATGACTTTATGGTGTCGGCAAGATGACATTTCCATTTAACTATTTCATTACATAAGATGTTATTGTCATTTGCAGTGAGTGTGTTGAATACACACATGCTTTGTATTATTAGACATAAACACATCATGCCAATGTAAGTTTAGTCCCCGTAAACAGATTGATTCAGCGTGATTTTTTTTCTTTGTACTATATAACATTGTAATGTGCTTCCTTTAATATATGATGGAAACAGCATAATTTATGAGGATACCTATGTAAATCATAATTGATAATTAAATTAAAATTATTGTTTTAATTATAAATTATTAACTTAAGTTCTAACAAGTAAGTATAGACATGTTTTGAAATTTAGTGCTGTTGAAAAATTGAGGTGAGAATCACAAGCCTATTCTAGAACTGAGAAAATTAAGGTAAAACAGATTAGAGGAAGGAATATCACAAAACTCAGTAGGAATGTCAACTATAATTTCCTGCAGAAGAACACAACAAAGCTGTTTGTTGGGTTGAAACATTTAAAGGTAATGAAGCGGACAATATAAAGAGATATTTTCAGCAAAAACAGTACATTTGAAAAGACATTTCTTCTCAACACTCAACACAAAAAGGCTGTTACTGGGAAATGTGGTTCCTAGAATGTGGTTACTAAAAAATTTAAAATTATACATGTGGTTGGCATTATCTATCTGCTGGATAGTGCCATGATGCCAATCAATACTCAAGCTTCGAATATGTCCAGAATCAGTCCCATCATCATCATTATTACCCTGTGATCATTACCTATCACCTCTCATTTGCTGTCACCACCTAATTGGTCGTGATGAACTAAAATTTAAAATTCACCAGTCACCACCTAACTGGTCTCCTGGATTTGATCCTGCCTCCTTGTCATCCATTATCTATGCAGCAGCCAGCGTGATCTTTTAGAAATGGAAATCAGATCTTAGTTTCATCAAACTTGGAAAATACACAAGTCTGCCACAAAGCCTACAAGGCCCTACATTATCTGACCACTGTTGTCATATCTAATCACTTTTTTCACTCTCTCCCCACAACTGCCCTGGCTTTCCTTCTGTTTCTTGGACCATATCAAGCTTATTCCCACCTCAGGGCCTTCGGATTTGCTGTCCTCTGCGTCTGGAACACCTTTCCCCAGTTCCTTATATATTTGTTGATTAAACGAATGAATGGATGTAGATGAAGGGGTGAATTAGATTAGACATTTGAGTGTCATCCAACATTCATCCATTCATCCATTTATCTCAGTGAACACGCTTTACTTAGTCCCCACTATTTGGGAGTTGAGAAGCCACATATTTTAAAAACCTTCTCTCTACAGAAAATAAGAAAGACATGTTTCTGTGTGTGTTCTGTTCTCCAAAATTTTAAGAAGATGAAATTTATCTACAAATAAGTCACTGTCGCAATTTTATGTTACGAGTATATTGAAAACAAAACAAAACAAAAACTAGGGCTCAACTTGATGATGTTGTAAGCATAATATAAAAAGTTAATGATATTAGGAGTTTCAACCTGGATTGGAAACAGAAAGACAGAAATTCCAATTCAATCAGTAGGATGGAAGAGGTCAGTATGGCAGATTCCTCTTGGGCAGGGGCTGTATCTTATTAAGTTTTCTATTCTCAGTGCCAAGTCCACAGTAAGAATTCAATAAATTCCTGCTAAATTGAAATCATCGCTTACAATAAGCCCTTAATAAGACTGTGAATTCCTTGAAGGCAGGTCTACACTGGTAGGTCTCTGCATCCTTGAGGCCTCTCTTATACCAGTGTCTCCATAATAGTTTATGTGCATCGTGGCTAAAACCTTAAGCCTTAAACCTATCAGGAAAGTAACATAAGTAAGTGAAGTAGACCAGATGCAGACATCAGGGAGTGATGGAGTTTGGAGGACTCAGGAGAACACACTCCATCTACAGGGACACAATGTTTCTAGATCTGATTTTTTTTTTCCTAAAGCCTGAAATTTTAGATTTTTATTTGAAAGCTCCTGATTTTTAAACATTGGCAATTAATTTAGAATGTTCAAAAGCACATTTCAGGACAAACAAATATGCAGGCCACATTTGGCCCACAGGGTGGTCCGATTGTGACCTCAGTGTTAAAAAAAGAAAGCAGGAATAAACACTTTTTAAGCATCCACCCATGTAGCCCACACTGTCTAGGTGTTTTCCATGTTCCATGTCCTTGCATTGGCCTAACCTCCCTGAGGGGTGTATCTTTAGCTCCGTTTACAGAGGAGGACAGTAAGGCTCAGAAGGGTTAAGTAGTTTGCCCAAGGTCTCGAAACCTAAGGACTGAAAGTCAAAGCAGGAGATCTTTTTACTATATTGTGCTGTCTTTTAATTACAGATACTAGGCCAAGTCTTAAGCAAGAAATAAACAATCAAACAAATAAGCAAACAAACAAAATTTCTTTACTGAGAGACCCACCAAATGAGCCTGATTTTAAGGTTGGGGTTCTCTTTGAAACATGAATACGAGCACCACCTGGGGAATGTTCTCCAAAGACAGACACATTCTTACATATACGAAGGTTCTGCTCCACTTTCCTGGAGTGTATAAAGACCAAGACTGTCCTTAAATATGAAATTGCATGTGTGGAAAAGGCCTGAGATGTACTTGGCAGCTTGATCTTTCTGTATTTGGTTTGCAAAGGCTCATTTTCCAGACATGTGTTTTTGCTTAGAAACACACAGAGGTGGATAAATCCCTGGGTCGGCATCCCCGGAGCCGCTCCATTAACTTTCTTGGCATGGCCTCACCACTGAAGTCAACATGACTTAAGAGTTTATATAACATTTTATTAGGCTTTAATTCCATACTTTTCCTGAAGTTCAGTGTTCATGCGTTGGGTAGAAAATAAATGTTGCTCATAACTCAAAGACCAAAGTTTTCTAACTTTTAATTTGTTTTAAATTAACTTATTCAGCTAATTGTGATTTTAAGTAGGCAGGAGGGAGTTTTGAACACTCCTAAAGGAAAAAAAATCTAATATATATGAATTACACACACACACATACATAGTTTATATATATACACACACACATATGAGTATATCTATGTGTGTATATATATATATATATATATGTATGTATGTATATATGTAACAAGGTAATCGGCCTTCTGAGAAAAGTGAGTGAACAGATTTCCAAAGTTCAGGAAGACAAAGAAAACAGAATTATTTTACCACAATAGGAGTCATGTGACTCTGGAAATCACATTTGACTGGCTTTGTCTTCTGATAAATCTCTCGCTTTGTGATCCTTACAAAGGCTTTTGTAACTGTGGAGCTTTGTGTTCCCCTTAAAGAAAAAGAAGAGTGCTACCAAAACACAATTATTTGAAAATGTACTATTCATACAAAATCTTTAGACCAGTGGATGTCAGCAAGAGACTATTTTGCTCCGCAGGGTACAGTTAGCAATGTCTGGAGACATTTTTGGTTGTCATGACTGAGGGACTGCTACTGGCATCTCAGGGGTAGATGTATACCACAACACACAGAGAAAGAATGACATAGAGATACCCTAAAGATAAAGAGATAGTGCCTACATTTTTCATCTCAGAGGGAAAAGAGGGTACATATTTCTTCTGGTTCTCTGATGCAGAATCCTATTTTGCAGTTAGATATTGGCAATGTCTCTCACAATTGTAGAGAAGGCACAGAATTTGGGAAGGCTGAACACAAAACTCATATTTTGTACTGGCCATCAAGGGGCCTTAGGCAAGGTTCACAGGCTCACTGAAACTCAATGTCCATACTTAGAAATAAGGGTAAAGAGGATGGTGATACCTGCTCATCTGACCTCAGGAGATATTGAGAAAATCAAATCAGTTAATGACTAACAAGGTACATATAGATAACCACAACCACCACCGCCATCACCACCATCCAGGAGAACTGAAAATGTCCATATGGAAGTAGCATGGTTTCCTTTCTCATTTATTCATTTCTTCAGCATTTACTGTGCGCCTACTACATGCCAGGCACCTTGCTAGGTTCTGGGGTCATAAAGATGAGGTAGACATCAAGACTTTATCTCCTTACTGCATTAATTTCTACTTTTCATCATCTTACTGTTACTGCTGTACAGAACAAGAGAAACAGGTTTGGGGATAAATGACATCAACAATCCCTGGAATCCTTGTTTCAGAGTCTCTTTCATAGTCAGTGACCCCAGTGAAGAAGGACACTGTAAGATTAGGAGTATCTGAGTACATATATTGGTCAGTGTTAGGAAAAGGATTGCATAAATCAGTTGGAGTGTGGCCCAGTCTAATTCAGCCTCAGGCCCACCCACTCCTAGAAATACCAGGAATATAGGCATTGTCCTATGCGGACTAATAGGGAATACGTTCACATGAGAGCAAAACTACCAAAGATTTAAATTTAATTCCCTGAGGATTTGTCAATAGACTTTTGATTATAAAGCCAAATTATACCCTGTTCTTTCCAATCGTTTTTCTAATACCACAGAAATAATTACTTTCCCCCACCTCCCTACACTCACCCTGTCCCCTCATAGTACATTGTACAAGATTCATTACTGTGTGCATGGTGTATGTGTCTACAAAGGTAGGTATATTTAATATATCTGTCCCCACTGCTAGACAGTGAAATCAAGGAATGAAAAGAAAGAAGCAAACAGTTTTGGCACAAAAAGACAGTCAAGCACTATGTACCAACACATGCCAAGTACTATTACTTTGGCCCATGGCTTTCAACTTCAGAAATACAGCAGAACTTTCTGGGAAACTTTACAGAAGTACAGAGGGCATAGAACTGGTTGAGAAATGGACTGAGAGGGTTAAATCCCATCTCAGCCACTTACTAGATATGGACCTTGGGGAAGTTACTTAATCCCACCATGCTGCAGTTTCCTCATCTTCAGTGGGGATGATACAATTACCTACTTCCTAGGGCTGTTGTGAGAATTAAATGAGGTAATTTATGCAATACAGAACAGTGTTTGGTACCTACTAAGTGTTTGCTGTGGCTATTAGTATGGCTATAACCATTTTTTTTTAACGTTGTCCTCTTCATCAATATCATTACAGATGCCTTTGGCCCAAGTTCACATGTGTTCTACCAGTTTCAAGGACTTAGGGCCCAGGCATCAGTATTTTGAATGACTGAATGAATTGAAAATCACATGCAACTGAAGAGATCCAGAGGAAAAAGAGAGTAAAGAAGGAATGAGAGCCAGAAGCATTTAATTAAACCTGAGGAATTTCTTACCAGTAAGAGCAGTCAGACTTTCCAGGAATTAGTGAGAGAGCACATGGAATCTTGTTCCCTGGGAACTTTAATTACTGGGGCAGGTAGCACTCGCTCTTGGAAGATCTCAGCACAGATTCCAGTCTTGAACCAAAGGAAGTCTTTAATGACCACTTGGTCTCATTCTAGCATTCCAAGTATGTCTTTTCCCTTTCTATAGGGCACAGGTGAAGGAAAAGAGGGCAACTGATTGCCAGAAAACTCAGCATTAATTCTATGCAAATTCTCTTTGTAAATACCTTTCTGTTTAAATTTTGCCTTTGAATAGCTTGGTTTCTACCCGACTCATGCCATTCCTCACCACAGTGCCCATTCCTTCAGTCCCTACTCATCAGACCCTGGCCCTTGCTCACATCCTACCTTGCCCTGGGAATTGGTATCTTATTGACTTTTGCTCCAAACCCAACACAGAAGACACTCAGTAATCATTTGTTGAAAGATGAAAATAAACAAAGCTTAGTACAGAAAGTAGCTAAAAAATAAATATTGGACATCAGCTTCTGAAATCCCTGTTCTCCCATTCCTAATTTTTGTAAAGTCCACCCTCCCCTACACAGTGCCTTGCAAAATTAATATTTGGTAAAAATATATCATCCAATCATAACAAACAGTGAGGAAGATTTTAAAGTTAAACTCATATATTGATATGGTTTGGCTGTGTCCCCACCCAAATCTCACCTTGAATTGTAGCTCTCATAATCCTCATGTGTCATGGGAGGGACCCAGTGGGATGTAATTGAATCGTGAGGCAAGTTTTTTTTTTTGGGTGTGTGCTGTTCTCATGATAGTGAATAAGTCTCATGTGATCTGATGGTTTCATAAAGGGCAGTTCCCCTGAACATGCTCTCTTGCCTGTTGCCATGTAAGACGCGTCTTTGTTCCTCGTTTGACTTCCACCATGATTGTGAGGCCTCCCAAGCCATGTGGAAATGTGAGTCCATTATACTTCTTTTTCCTTACAAATTACCGTCTCGGGGGCTTCTTCATTGTAATATGAAAATGGACTAATACATATATGTTATATAGTTTTATTTTCCTTGAAAAATAGAATCATTTGGAACATTATAATAACAAATGAATGAGAACACTCCTTCCCCGAAAATCTGCTACTGACTCTTTCAGGATCCTGAAAGAATCATAGAACCACTCCAAGTATTTGTTTCCTGGGGTCAAAGAATAAAGAAAATAAAGCTTTTCTTCTAGGGAGCTCAAAGCACTTCCTCTTGAATACTTCCTTTGGTTCTCACAGCTTTCCTAAAAGCATATGGAATTTTTCTGGGCACCAAGATGCTAAATGGTTCACTCTAAAGTGAATTGGCAGTCAAAATGAAAGTCAGAAGAAGAAAGCCCTACCCTGACTTTTGTGGTGTGCTGGTAAATGTTTAACATTTGGTTCTCTAGAAACAAAAAGAAGCCCTGATTTACAGCACTTACCAATTTCTGTGGTGTAAATTCTCCCACCATGGCTAATTTCAAGCTATTAATTGGGACGTAACTGAGTACAGAGTTGGGAAGAGAGGCTCATAATTGGCAGTCATAAACAATCATGAAAGTTGGCTCCAGCACACCACTGCCTGACTTTTTCAACCCAAGAGTTCATCAGTTTCATAGATGTAAATGGTTGGTGACTCAGCCTCCTCTACATCACCTTGATGACATGTGCAAATATAATTTGGATGGTTTTGTTTCAAAGCACAATGCATGTTTCCGTGAAGCTCCTTGAAGGCAAGATGGTAGCCTGTTTACGTTTGTGTCCTTGGTGTTGAGCACAGGGTAGCTAGTAAATAAACAGCTGCTTCTAAAGAAAATATCTATTCGTAATCTAAGATCTTTTAGAATGAAACTTGCCTTGCTAGTTTCTCATTATCATAACTACATAGATAGATTCTAATTTATCCCATTTTGACCTGATACACAGTCTAACCTTCCAAGACTGTCAAGTTGAAGGGAATAAATTCTCAGGCAATTCCAATGAGTAGAATCTGTCTTTTAAGATTGCACAATTTCCTCTAGTGACAGCTATCACCCTGGAAAAGACAGTCCAAGTAATGACCACACATTAACACAGACATTCTCAATTTCCTCCCAGCATACTTGGCAGACAGCTAGAGGGTGGAGGGGCAAAGCAATGTTAAGTTTCAATAAAAGAGAGAGAGAAAAAAAGGGAATAGGAAGAGATGTCTTCTATAGTCTGAAGGTCTGTGTCCCCCAAAATTCATATCCTAACTCCCAAGATGATGGTATTAGGAGGCTGGGTCTTTGGGATGTGATTAAGTCATGAAGCTAGAGTCTTCAGGAATGAGACTAGAGCCCTTATTAAAGAAGCTTCACAAAGCTGCATTGCCTCTTCCACCATGTAGAGACACAGAGAGAAGATACTGTCTGAACCAGGAAGCTGGCCCTCACTAGACACCTAATCTGCAGGTGCCTCGATCTTGGACTTCGCAGCCTCCAGAACTATAAGCAATAAAGTTCTGTTGTTTATAAGCCACCCAGTTTATGGTATTTTGTTATAGTAGCCTGAAGGGACTAAGACAATATGGAACACAAAATTTGCTCAGGGCAGGATGGCAGGGGTAGTAGGACACTAGACAGAGTCAGGAACACTAAAATGAAGACGTTAGTGGGAACTAAGACCCCCGTGTTGATCTGAACTGTGAAAGGGTTCTTGATTCTCCATTTAATTAGTTATCATGAGTCTGCTTGTTTTTAAATCAAAAAAGACCGTCCAATAGCTTCATTACTTTTGTAAATGTGATTACTAAAAAAATCTCCCTATTTAAGTTTACATTCCTGGGGGACAAGCCTTCCCACAAGGCATAAAATAATGGATCAATCTGAATTACCTTCCATTCTTTCCCCACCTTTCAGGTGCCTGCATTGTAATGAATGTGGAATAGGTGCACATTTGTACTCTCTGCATGTTTCGGGTGTCGGCTGGATGCCAAGGCTTAGGAACCAGATGCATCAATGTTGGGTCAAGAGAACTGCAAGAGGGAGAGGGTAGATGAACAGAAAACACACAGGAACCTCCAAAGCTCCTATGGAAGGACAAATGTACTTTCTGCATTGGCTAGGCCTAACTAGGGTCTCCACTTTAAATATTTGCCAGGCCCAGATAATACAAAGCCACTCAGCCAAGTATGAACTACCCCATCATTTGCACCTCACCTACCTTAGACTCTGGCAAAGAGTGAAACAGCAGCTGTATGGGAGAGGGGGAAAAGAAGGTGAGCAGAAAAGAGTAAAAAGAACAGTGCTTTCCTTCCCCACTGCAGCCTCCAGTTTGGATCGGGTCTGAGCCACAGAGGAGGGAAGATCTAACTCCAAAAGATCAAGCTTCATCAGTTCCCCAGAAGTAGATATTCTCTTTTTTTTTCATTTCTTTTTTTTTTTTTTTGAGACAGAGTCTCACTCTGTCACCCAGGCTGGAGTGCAGTGGTGTGATCTTGGCTCATGGCAACCTCCGCCTCTCAGGTTCAAATGATTCTCCTGCCTCAGCCTCCTGAGTAATTGGGACTACAGGTGTGTCCCACCACACCCGACTAAGTTTTTGTATTTTTATTAGAGACGGGGTTTCACCATGTTGGCCAGGATGGCCTCGATCTCCTGACCTCATGATCTGCCCACCTCGGCCTCCCAAAGTGCTGGGATTACAGGCGTGAGCCACCGCGCCAAGCCCAGAATTAGATATTCTAGTTACTAAATTGAGACCTTGTTGGTAACTTAAAGTGGCTGAATCCTACCTGAGCATGAGCAGAAAAGTTATGGCTAGCATTCTCCAGGACAGGGGGAAGAAAAAGAGTTATAACAGGTTTCAATAGTAGCCCCTAAAAGATATGTCCATTTGGAACGTGTAAATGTGACCTTAAATGGAAAAAAAAAGGGGTGTCTGAAGATGTAATTTAGAATCAACATGAGATCATCCCGGACTGGGGCAGGCCCTAAATCTAATGACAAGTCCTTATAGGTGAAGAGAAGGGAAAACAGATAAAGACACAGGGAAGGAGGCCATGTGAAGAAGGAGGCAGAGATTGAAGTGATGGAGCTACAAGCCCCGGAATGTTGAAGATTGCCTACAATACAAGAAGCCAGGATGGGGGCCTGGAACAATCTCCCTCAGAGCCCTCAGAAAGAAACAACCAACGCTGCCGACACCTTGATTTTAGTCTTCTGGCCCTGCAGAATTGTGAGAGAGTACATTTCTGCGGTTTTAAGCAGCCTGGATTGTGGTACTTTGTTATAGCTGCGACATGAAACAGAAACTACCCCATAGAAACCTAAAGAGATGATGGAAAGCACAATAGGGCTGTGTTTTATCAAAATCCA
The DNA here is from genome assembly GCF_000001405.40 of Homo sapiens. Taxonomy (NCBI): domain Eukaryota; kingdom Metazoa; phylum Chordata; class Mammalia; order Primates; family Hominidae; genus Homo; species Homo sapiens. The sequence goes on from NC_000004.12 coordinate 16,666,213, forward strand.
CAGGACAAGCTCGCACTGCTGTGCAGGTTACAGGTGTTTTTATTTTCCTTTCTCTGGCTCACACGGGAGCAATAATCAAGAGTTGAAGCCTCGCCAAGCTAGCTGTTGTCCCAGAGTGCTGCCCAAGGCAGAATCAGAAGGCAAAAAAAAAGGCTACGCTGAGAAGAAAGGGAGCCTCGTGAGCCTGCAGCTGTCCTCCAAACTGCAGCCTCACAACGGTAGTGACTCTTCCTTCATGCTCCATTTTCTGCCTCTGGAAGGAACCAGGCTGCTGCTGCATGTGGAATAAACATGAGCTTCCTGCCATCTAAACCAGTTACTTCTTTGCTGGTTCTTCGAGTGTTGCTTCATGTTAAAGAGAACCAGGGTTCCACCAGGCTTCTACTGCATGGATGTCCATAGAAGCTTGGGTTTTATGCTGTTTGTGGCTTCACACCAGTTACCTGCTGCGAGGTAACAGTTTTGTGGAGACATGCCCTTGGAAAGAAAATTCACAATATTTTGCAGAATCTAAAAAATGAAGAGAATCGTGGTATTTGAATGACAACAAATTGGACGTGTGCCAGTCCAAAAGTGACAGTGCAGTTTTTCCCCCTTGACTAGATTTGGACAGAACAGGCAACAGTTGTTTTCTGACAGCACTTCATTGTGTTTTTTTAAAATGGAGGAAAACAAAGAAAAAGACCTTATTCCCTCCACATTGGTCAGCTCAAGGAATTCCCTTTTGAACAGGGTGGGGGAATGGAAAGGTGAGGGTATGCAGAGGTTGATTAGTTAACCTCCTGAACACTGTGTCTATCTGCTGGATTAAGTGCATCACTGCAGAGCACCTGGGACTGTCAAGGGCCACCTGAACCTTATATATTTATTTAAGAGGATAAAGGAATGCACAGAGAGTGTGTGTGATTTGCCAAATGACACACAGAGACAGAGAGAATACTGCTCTTCCATCTCTAGGCCTGGCACTGCTGACGGTTCTCAAAAGATCTTGAACTAGTATCTTCCAGAACCAAGGAAAGGTATTTTCATCACACCATGGGGTCTCTCAATGTTTCCCAAGCTTCAGACAGTGAGAAGGGGAAGGAAGTGAGCGTGTGCAGAGTCCTTGCCGTGCACGGAGCCCTGGGTGACATTGTTTACCTGGAATGTTCTACACCATCCTCTTGACAAGCCCATGGGCAATGTGCCATTATCATTTTCATTTTAGGGCTGAGGAAACTGAGATCTAGAGGTGGGACAATTTGGCTAGTTTCTACCAGACCTGGGATCTCCTGATTCTCCATTTGATGCTCCTGCTACACCTGTTGTTTCCACCCACTGCAAAACAGGAGAAGGCAGGAGTCAAAGAAAAACGCAAAAAATTAGGCAGAGCTCCAAACTCCAAATGCATGCAACTCACAGAATCTCAATTTCGCTCATCTGCAAGGCTGACTCATGGATGGCAATAGGTTTACTCATGGGGAGCAACCGCATAGACAGACAGGTTGAGAAGGATTCAGAGGCATGCTCAGGCCTGGAGAAAAGGATTGCTGGGATCAATTAGCAACTTCTGCCTGAATAGGGTTGAGGGGCCAGATGTGCCTGCACCTCACACAGCTGTCCCTGGACTGGCCTCAGGCTTGGCATGCTCTGTGCACTTGTATGTTATGGAAGGCCATGGCATGGCATGTGTGGCCAATCACCTTCCCTCTCACTCTGGTCCTCTGCTCACCTTCCACGATCACCACAACCTCTCATCACAGACAAGAATATCCTATATAACAGAATTCTTTAAATACAGGCTGGGATCCAATAGAGTTCATGAATCCAAATTACTAGGTCAAGACCAACATCTTTAAAAAAATGAAATGCACAATTTAAAATAGAGTAGAATAGAAAGTTAAAATGCATTTCATATGATAAAAGGATAGTTTCATAAATTTTTAATCAGATATACGATAAATATATATATATATATACATGTACTGGGTCACTTGTAAAATATGTTTATTACTGTGGGTCATGGTCAAAATGGCTTGAAAAACACTTTGGCAAAGTGTTGGTTCCAGGAGAACCCAGACCCTGGATGGACACAATCACTGCTCTGAAATTGCCTGTTCCCCTCCTGGTTGAGGAGCCCAGCCTAAAGAAACTCCTGATTTGGCTGGAGTTCTGCCCTCTGGGGCGACATAGCACAAGGTGAATCCCTCTCCGTGATAGCTCTCAGTCTCTTCAAATCCTGCTGTCTCCCAAGCTAAGCCTCTTCCCTTCTTTTACATTTGTCTCCTCTGTGCAGGGACATTTCTAGACCACCAAGTTTCTGTTCACATGCCATGAAGGCCACTACACTTTGGTTTTCTAACATCCCTCCAGCATTTTTTTAATGAAATACTTTCACAAATAAGAAGAATAAAAGCTATATTATCCTAAGCCCTTACTACATGCCAGGCACTGTACTAATTACATTGCATGTTCTATGACTCCAGATTCTTTAGAGCAAGTGATAGCAGCATAAATCAAAACAACCTCAGCAGAGATGTATTTTCTCATGCAACTGAAAACGCAAGAGATTTAGGTGCAGTTAGATGCAAAGAGAGTCATTACAGCTCTGTCTTCTTTGTTCCCTGTCTCACCTCTGCCTTAGTTCATTTTGACCTCCTCTAAGGGTGACTCCCCCAGTGCTTAGGACCTACATTCTGGCTCCCTATTTGGAGTGGAAAAAGAGCTTCTCTTTTCCAATCGCTCCTGCTACAGTGTGGATATGGTTCCCACTCGTCTAACTTGGGTCACATGCTCATCTCTATACTAGGAAATGGGGTCAATCCCCCTGAGCTTCACAGACTGAGCATAAGCTTAGGTGGTGCTCAGAGGAAAACTAAGAGCAGGGAGCTGTTACCAGAAAGTGGAGAATGAATATTGAGCAACCAAAGCAAGAATCATCTACCAGGGACCTCACAATATTGTAAGCAAGATATTATTCTTAGATGTGGAACTGAAGGTCAGAATGATTATGTAATTTGACCATGACCTCATAGTCAAGAGGTGATAGAAGTGGGACTCCAGCCCAGAATTCCCAGTTCTTGTTCCTTGCCCTATACTGTGCTGTTCTGCCTGCACTAGCCTCCTGGCTGCTCATTGGTTTGGGCTATGAGCTATCAGTTCCCTTCATCTCAGCTCCACAGAGACAGGTACAGCTGCCTCTGGAGAAGCCAGGCCACATGGCTGATTCAGTCCACTAAAATCTGGACCCTCATTTTTAATCAAGTTCTTCCAGCCTATACCCTTGTTGATTATTTTCTAAAAGATAAATGGAGGGAGTCTACCTTTATCCTTTTATACTTAAAAAGCATCTCATATACGTTGACAAATATAGTAATATATTTTGACCTTTACATGGATCCACAGAGGAAGGTTAAGAATTGTCTCTATTTTATGGAAAACACATGTGAGTCAGAAAGGTGAAGTTACTTAAGTAATTTGTCTAAGATCACATACTAATTAGTGACAGAGCCAGAATTCTAATCCAGCTAGTCACACAATTTCTAATACTTAAAACCTGGGCTTGTCCTGTTCCATGGAGAGCTTAATGAACCTTCACTTTCCTCATTCACATTTCATCCAGCCCTCTTTCCCAAATTTTTGTCACTGCCAGTGTAATCCCTCTGCCTGTGTCTTGATCTAAATCAGAGATCAGCAAACTCGTTGGAGGTCCATCTCATTGGACTGGTCCCTTGCCTGGTTTTACAAATAAAGTTTTATTGGAACATAGCCATGCACATTTATTGAGAAATAATCCATGGCTGCTTTCGTGCTACAATGCTAGAGTTGGGTAATTTTAAGAGAAATCTAAGGGTCTCCAAACCTAAAATATTTTCTGTCTGGTCCTTCACAGAAAAGTTTGCCAACCTCTGATCTAAATCATTGATGAAGAGCTGAACCAAACGTAGAGATCTACTCTGCTGCCCAACACTCGAAACCTTTGTCAGGTGGCCAGTGATCAGCACTCCTTGTAGTCAGTCCTCATGTAGAACCAGTATGCAAGGACAGTCTACTGGTACAAGCCAATCTAAGTAGGTCGCTTAGATATTTGGTACCTACCTTTGGTAGATATAGGTACCAAATATCTATCACTTTCTTCTGCTTCTGAAGACGTCTCTTTCCTCCTTTCTATGAATGTCCTATTTCAGAGGCTGAGTGCTGTGTTTATTCACAAACAAATATTAAGTCCCCACCACTGGGGTCATTGCTGGGCACTAGGCAACACTTCTCAAGGATGATGCCCTAACACTTTGGCCACAAAGTGATCTGTGAAGCATCTACAGTCAACACACTAATAGCAATAGTTAAGTTCCAAAGTTTAGAACTAGTTATTAAATAAATAAAAACAGAGTCAATTCAAGTTCACAATAAAACATGACATAATGCATAGAAACAGTTAAGGACCACAGGGTTAAACCAAATCTGCCTCAGTTTATTCTGCCTGCATGGCCTTGGGCAAATTACTTAACTATCCTATGCTTTAATATCCTCATCTATAAAATGGGCATAATAATAGTACTTGCCTGAAAAAGGTTTTGTGGTGGTTGAATTAGTTAAAATATATGTCGCTCATAAGAGAAGGCTTGACATGTAATAAGGGGTATGTGAATTAGCTATTGTTATTTATTGAGTGTTTACAATATGCAGTTGTATGCTAAGAGCCTTGCATGGATTATCTTGAACCTGTAACCCTGCCACTGTCACCTGATTTATGATCTGCTTCTACATGAGAAAGAAGGAATTAGTTACAGCTGGTGTGTGGGGAACTGTAGAACCCACAGCCTGTCTTATCTGTGCCATATTCAGAAATAGATCTTTAACTGGATGATATTATTACTCAAGTGCTTGGAAGAAAATTCTTTTTAAAATAGCACATACAAAAAAAAAAAACAAAAAAAACAAGTGCTTAGAGCTTAAACCCAATTTGTTTAACTCCCTCTTAAAATTTGGAAGTGGGGGGATATTAAAATCTAGGTGTACCCTTGAGAGTACTTCAACCATGTGAGCATCGTTCGTCAAGTGTATCCTGGAAGAATAATCCTTGCAAATCTCTATTCTGGGGTACTTTGAATCACATTTCCCTTTCAGTCCGTTATGAGTTTCTTCATGTGTAAAAAGCTAGTCTCCCAGGTTTGTTGTGAGGGGGAAATAAGATACTCCGTGTAAAAAACTTTCATGCAGCCTCTAGCTCCTGATGTGCAGGCTACTGTCACCCCCCAGAAACCTCAGCTCACCTGCCTTTGTCCCTCCAGGTCCCTACTGTCTCAGCAGTCAGAGCCCAAGCCTGGTCCAGTCCAGCAGCTCAGCCAATTCCCCAGAGAGTGAAACAAACCAATAATTAGAATCCTGGGCTTAGAATGTGCAAATGAATGAGCCTCTGATGCCAACATTGATGGGAACTTGGACACAGAACTCAGACCATTCGGAGTCAGAAGGGGCCAGGTAGGTGGATCATGGAGTCCCTTACTCTGGGCTGGGTCCATGCCATTGCAAAGTCTGCAATAGCTTGGGGGTCCTGACAAAGCCAAACAATGCCACCACATCTCATTAACCATCCACCGAGAGCTCCTCCACAAGCAGCTGGGTGACTGGGACTGTAATGAAATTACACTGTCCAGGCAAAAGAAGTAATAGTTGCTTTCCACACAGAATGAAAGTGGGCTGCAGCTGAATTGGCTTCATTTTAATGATTCACCAATTTATTTATCTCAGCAGGAAAAATGCTGCCTGGAGTCCACTGGGACGCAATTTCCAGAGCTGCCTCCTGGCTCTCTGGAGAGGTGCATGGAGAAGATTTAGACTCCAGTGACAGAACACACCTGGTAATAACAACAGCAACCATGACCCTTTACTGAGCACTTACCAGGTGCCTTAAAGATGTTTCCTCATTCATTACTTGGAGCAACACCCTGTGAGGGAGGTATGACTGTCATCCCCATTTTCATTGCTGAGAAAACCAAGTCTCAGAGATACTAACCAACTCACTGAAGGTCACACAGCGTGTGAGTGGCAGAAATCTATTAGAAGCCAATTCAGCTTGGATTCAGAGCCTGCAAGTCTAACCCCTAACTCTACTGATTCCCAGAATGCAGATGTCTCCAATACCCACATTCTCTTATGCCTAGGTTGCAGGAAGGGAACAGATGGGAAAAAAGCTGGAGAGGAGCTGCTGAAAGTTCATTGGCACCATCTGAGCCAAGGATGGGTTCAGGAAACCAAGCCCTAGCTCAACCCTTGCCCAGAGAGGCAAGAGTTAAATGGGAACTGAGCCCTTACTTTCTTGTGTTCTAGTTTCTTTTTTAAACTATACTACTGGGAAAGACTACAAGACTTTCTTGCTCCTTATTAAAAACAGAAAATCTGTTTAGGCAGCAGCTACAGCACAAAGGCAGATAGATATATTATGGGCAAAAAAGAGCCAAACTACAGGCAGGCCAACATCAATGGAAACAGGGCCTGCGGATCTCTAATTAAACACAGTGCCTCTCTCAGGTCAGGAAAATCACAAACAATAGCAATCCTCTTTCCCTGCAGTAACACTGAGAGAATGTTTTCTTCAAGGGAAGAGAAGAACTGCTTGCGTGCCTGCCTGCCTGCCTTCTTTCCTTCCTTCCTTCCTTCCTTTCCTCCCTCCCTCTCTTTCTTCCTTCCTTCCTTTTTTTTCCTTCCCCCTCTCCTTATCTTTTTTCTCTTCCTTCTCGCTTCTCTCCCTCCTTCTCTCTTTTTCCTTTCTCCCTCCCTCCATCCTTTCCTTCTTTCCCTTCCTTTCTTTCTTCTTTCTCTCTCGTTCCTTCTCTCTTTCTTCCCCCCTTACTCCCTCCATCCTTCTTTTCTTTCACCAGCTCACTGAAGATTCTGGTTTGTGACCAATGGGATTGTAATTCTGAAAGAGAGTAGTAATTATTGTGCTTTTTCTTTTCAGGGAAAGGGGCATGAATCCACTTCACAAGAGATATCTCTGCTAAAAATCTGGGAATAGGAAGTTGTTTATATTGATCTGACTGCAACATCAGCCAGACATCTTACCTTCGAGGGTTTCCAGGTCTCCAGATTATCAGTATGCACACACTAAACTGAGACTATGTTCAAAACACTGTGGAACTGAATCCCTAATTGTTGACTAAATGAATAATTATTAGAAGTAGTAGAACTCCAAAGTCAAGGTTACTCCTGCTGCTTCCGTGTTTGATCTTGGAGGTGGGATTTTGTGTCGCTTTTGAAACGGGTCACAACGCGGAAAAGGCTTAGGTCTTCTCACAGTGCTTCATATAGGCCCTCTGTCTAAGAACACATTTTCGCTAGCTCTGAAAATTGTTCCATCAGATTTGAGGAACTGTCAAATTTTGGAACAGGGCTTAAAGTTAGGAGAGCACCCTTCTCCATGCTATTATAATAAGTGTCTTCTGGCATTTCTTTGGCCTCCCAGGGAACAATTGGCAATGTCTAGAGACATTTTTGGTTGCCACAATTGATGGGGTGCTACTGGCATATAGTACGTAGAGGCCAGGGATGCTGCCAAACATCCTACAAGGCACAGGACAGCACCTGCCCCAACAAAAAACTATCCAGTCCAGAATGCTACATGCCAGGGTTGGGAAAGCATGGGCTACCCTGCTCTGAGATGCTTGTTGAAAAGGTGGGGATATAAATATCAAAATGAGAACATTTCTCCCTCTTTTACATTTCTTCTCCACTATCAAAAGACCCATTAAATTCTGTGGGATATCTGTGCCCAGAGCACTGAGAGAGCCCATGGGGAAATTTAAGCAAAGATCAATAATAATCATAATGGGAACAACTCGCATTTGTATATCGCCTTAGTGTTTACCAAGTGCTCTCTTATACGTTAACGCAACTGAAGCTGTGCTGGGGAAGGAAGTTGGAAAGATTTCCCTGAGAATATTTCCCATTTTACGCATTTCCAGAATTCACGCCTTAAAACAAATTAGAAATAGATTAAATGAGGTACCTTTGGTCAAACAGAAAAGCAATTACATGATAGGAAATTGTAATAATCCATCACAGGCATCTGGTTCCGAATCCCCGAGCTGGTTGCAGTTTCCTCTGGCATCTGCCGCTGAATGCACAACTGCAGAAAGACAGTGCTCTTTGTCTCTGAGATGCAAAGATAAGAGCAGTTGCCCTGGAGGCGGTGTTAGAAGCAGGGACCCCAGCTCTCTCAGTGATAATTCAGGAGCACCCATCATTCATTGAGTGTCCACGTATTGGGCTCTATGTGGCCTATAGGGTGGATGCCTCCATGCTTATTATAAGTTCATTTCTGAGCATCATATTTTTGAAAGGTGAGGATTATTAATTACTTGTGTGTGATGGCTAAGGAAACTGAGAAGTTATACAGCTGCCTCAGAGAAGACAGCTAAGGACAACTGGTAAGCCAGGATTCAAACACTGGTCCGTCTGCTCCCCAATTTACGCATTTTCTATTACATCAGTTGGGATCTATGAATACATGGTGCCTGGCACCCAGAAGGCACTGAGTAAACTTGTTAATGTCATTTTTAGAGAAAAAATTAAAGAAAGAAAAATCTACCGAAAGCACACACACACACACACACATATACACAGACACACACACACACATCCCTCTCTTCTTCGGTGAATTTCCCACCAATGTTAAGGGAGTATACTTGGCTTCTGTTCTTATTCAAAACTATTATACCAAAATATCTGCTTTATTATCTAGGAACCTGAAAGCGAATTCCCTGTTTGCTCATGTTTACATACATGGAAGCTCTGTGAACACTGGGATATTCAAATTTTTACCTCATGTATGCAAATCTAAATATTTTCACTGTACCTTCGCAGTATCTTAAATGCAATCATTTATTTTTTAAAAACTTTTATTTTGAGATAATGGTAGGTTTAAATGTGGCTGCAAGAAATGGTGCAGAAGGGTCTCAAACACCTTCCACTCAGCTTTCCCCAATGGCAACATCTTTCATGACTATAGTACAAGATGACAACCAAGGAATTGCCATTGGCATCCATCACACCTGACTTAATTCAGATTTCACCAGTTTTCTGTCCACTCGTTTGAGTATGTGTTTAATTCTATGCAATTTTATCACATGCGCACTTATTTTATGGCATGATATGTCCTCATGTGACTTCAATATAAATCAAAATACAAAACAGTAATAAAATGCATCTCTAATGTAGACACAGTACTTCAATTGATTCATTGAGGGTCATCTCTATGCCAGCCACTTTTATTTAAAAAAAGAAAGAAAGAAACAGAAAGAATACACAGCCCCTGCTGTCACAGAACTTCTAATCTCATGGGAAAGGCAGGGATATAGATAATTATAGGACCAAAATGGGTACAAAATGAAAAAAAAAAACCCTTAATTGGTTGCAAAAATAATCTAGATAAATAAAATTATATATTTTGGTGCTTATTATGTTGGCCTTGATCCCAAAGTCACTCGTACCTTTAACACTATCTATGTCTTAATATATTAATAGCACTCATGTAACATATGTTTAACATTTTAAAATATTAGCTTTAATGATCTATCAATATGCTGTCTGTGTATCTTTTCCCATTGCAACAATTCAATTCAATGTGTTGAAACATAAAAATAAATCAACTTCAGTGTTGATTTATTCATGCATAGATTTCTCCATTTCTTTATTATAAGATCACATGGAATTCCATTAAATGACATATATCTGTTTGTGCCTGATTAAACAAAAGTACTTGTCAGAGGAAGAGGGAATATTTGGCATATTGGTAGGTGCCCTTTAAGCTTTTATAAGTAATAATAACAGTATTTTATACCCACATGAAGGCCTCTACTGGGAGAAGCCAGAGAAAAAATGTTTTGTAACTGGCTAATGTCATGTCTGAACACCTGACACACTTAATTTCCCACCGCAGGGCGTGGAGGAGAGGTTGTGTGTGTGTGTGCATTTGTGTGTTAAAGCACTTCACATATAGCTGAATCTAAATGAATTTCTTCTTTGTTGCTACATCTAGCCCACTTTGTCCTGGAGTATGTTTCTAACTTAGTGTTCAGGACCCATGTGAAAATTCTGGAAGATGTTGATGGAAAAAGAATAAGACAGCAAAGTATTCTGTCTCTGTGTCTATTCCAGCTCCATTATTGCTAGAAAGTGGAAAGCTAATCCAATGCAGCTGTGACTGTGAAGGCTCTGAGGTATCTTAAGGGGAAGCCCCTTCGCCAAGATCACGGAACACCCTGGGGATCTGGCCTGGATTAAGGCATCCATTATTGAGTTCCCACTCTGTGCAAGGCACAATGTCAAGTGCTGTGGGGAATTACACAGAAGAGGAAAAAAATCTATCAACCAGTAAGCAATATTCACCACTGACTACAAACAGGGCAATGTACTAACTTCTGACAATACAAACAGCTCTATGAAATCATCTCTACCTTTGAGAAAAGTATAGTCCAAATGAGAACTCAGGAATGAGACACGTTTCAAGGGTGATGTAAGAATGGGACACTTGCTTTCAGAAACAAAACAAACCAAAACATATGGTATAAGCTATAAATACTGTAGGAATACCAAAAAGAAAGGAGGAAAATGAGATCCAAGTCAAGGAAGAGTTCTGGACAAGGTGGAGTGTGAGTTTAGGCATTGAAGATGAGTAAGATTTGCAAGCATGGGAGAGTAGGGCAAAGGGCAGAGGTGGGAACAGTCAGGTGCCAGATGGTGAGGCCAGAACAGAGACCCTGCTTTTTGGTATTTGAGTCAAACAAGTTGAGATTGGATTCTTGGCCCCTCGCTTAAAAGCAGTGAATTTGAGAAAGTCCCTTAACCTCTTTGAACCTCAGTTCCCTTAAGTGGGGAGAGGACAGTTAAGTGGGGAGAGAATAGCGCCTATGTGTTGGAGTTATAGTGTGAATATCTGTGAAGTTCTTAACATGGCCAATCAGCACTGAAGGAAAATAGTCATGGGGCACTGGGGAGGAAGAAGATGAATGGATAACAGAAGGATGAACAGAGTTCAGGGTGGCCTGAAGCCAGCCAAAGGAGTTGAGCTTCTTTCCCAAGCTGCCAAGGGTCTTCTGAGCTTACCTAACAAAAGCAAAACAAATAAGCATATGTGCATAAAATACGTTAACAAATAAAAATGTATTCACAATCAACAAAACAGAAGGGAGAAAAGCTCTGAAGTATGTGGTTAAGAATTGCAAAGGATAAATGGCAAGAGGGATGACTGGATTGGGCGGGAAAGGTGACCAGAGGTAGGTAACACTCATCAGGCAGAAGAACTGGATTACAATCCACATCCCCCACATTCAGAGCTTCAACCTAGCAGCATTGGCTCTGCTGATCTCCTGTTAGACAAGACCCCTCCTTGGGAAAGGATCCAATAGCTTACTAATCTGAGATTCTAGTCAATTCCATTTAACTCCAGAACATATATTGTTTTTAGATCAAATATCTTGTTCCATGTAATTAAGGCACTCATGTAATTTATTGTCTTAACTGGGAGAGTTTTGTTCTGACAAATGCTAAGCCAGATGGGCTGCCAGGAAAATGGAGATAAACTGAAACTGTTCAGCCAAGCCAGGACATGTGTTTCCATTTCATACCACCCACACAAATAATATTCAATTTCTGCATGTTAGTCTATTAAGAAACACTGGGAAATGGCTAGGCCTATTTTTGCCAAATTTGGAACTGCCTGAATTAGAATGTCAGTTTCGGCAAAATTTACATTGAAGGGTCTGAGAGACACCTAAGTGTGTAGACCGTCTTTCTCTGCAGCATCTGAAACTTGATTATGAGCGGTATTGGTGACTTCCATTTGAAAGGAAGTTCCCATTGTCTTAGGACCAGCAGTAGATCAGTAGATAGAGAAAGCAAACAACGATTTCAAAGATCAACCCCAAATCAGAAGCACCAAGGACAGACTGGCCAACCCTAAAAAGGAATGGCAGTGGGAGGCATAGCAAGCTGTTTCTTGATTATGAAGCATTTAGGACAAATAGTTGTAGGACTTACCTTCTTCACAGTAACACAGTAAAGGTAAAGGTCAACTCAAGAGTTATTAGTTGTTAAACAATTATTTTGTACCAGGCCCACTGATAAATTCTTTTCTTTTTTATCAGCTATATTGAAGTACAATTGACATACATTAGACTGGACATACTGATTTTGGAGTATTCTTACTCCTAGTTGTTCATCAAGTGTCTGATTTATGTGTGTCCCAATCATGGGACAGGCAAAATGCAGTGTTGGGGACTAGTGTGGTTTCAGGGGTGAAGGGGGGACCTTGCCCAGAGCCTTGGGATTCTAAGTGGAGTGAGCTTTCCTAGTAACACTCTGGGCTACTCTTGGGCCCCCTCCACACTTTACCCCAAGAAATGTGGAATCAGCTATTTGATAAATTCTAGAGGAGTTACTAAGAAAATCCAGCTTGGTTTTATTCTCTCTTCTTTGGGAGAGAACTGTCTGCAGAAAGGATTCATTCTCTTCTCCATACATCTTGATATGTGGTATACAAGGGCAGGGCCTGGAGGCAGATGCAAGGTGTGTTACTCCAGCTCATGACAGGGTGAGAAAATGGTCTTCTCTGCAGCCCCATAAGGGAAATCTCACTTAATCCACTCATCTAACAACCTATTTTCCCACCTAGACTTCACCTCTATAAAGAAAATTTTCTATTTCTACCTGATTGAGTCCTTTTATCTTCAAACAAATATAGGGATGAAGGGTGATATTTATCATGCTTTCTCAAGTCTCAACAATAGAGAACCCAAGAAATACAAAACAAAGTCCCTGACCTCATTGTTAGGTTATAGAGACAAATCATATATACACAAATTTACTGAGACTATGTAAAATATGAAATTGTTTGTTATTAATGCCTTCTAGTAATATAAACGGTGCAAATGTAATCTTTTTAGTCTTCAGTTTTCATCCTTTTTATTCATATGTGCAAGAACTAAAGGATAGTGTATAAAAATAAAACAATTTTATCAGAGTGACTGTAATGAATGATTCTTTTAATTTTTGATGTGATGTCAGTGTATAAAGAAAGGGAATAACAAAAAGTGAGAGAAGAAAGGAGGAGGAGAGGGAGGAAGGAAGGAAGGAAGGCAGGAAGGCAGGAAGGAAGGGAGGAAATCTTTTCTGAGTTGACAGTAAAATAATAAATGACAATGATAGTGATGAGTGCTAACGTTTTTCTAGCATTTACTATGGGCCAGGCACTAATCCTTTACCTATATTAACTCATTGAATCCTCACAACAACCCTATGAAGTGGGTACTACTGTTGTTACTCTCATTTCAAAGGTCAGGAAAATGAGGCAAAGTTAAGTGACCTGATCACAATGGCATGATCTACAAGAAACAGGAGCAGATGTGGGATTTGAATGTCTGTGAGCCGCCTTCAGCACTTAACATTACACTCCATAGCTGCTGGTGATGGGCACTGAGAGTGGCCATCACCATGGCCTCAGGGAAGGCCATGAGGAGAAAATGGTGGGGGCAGGGGAAGAGAGTGTTCGTAAAGGAGGAGCTGATGTGAGTAAGGCCAGAGGTGAGGGTGGGCAAGGGGCCTTCATCAGGAATGCCAGGTGCCAGCCCGGCCAGAGCACAGGGTCAGTGCAGGGAGACTGGATGTAGCTCAGCCACTTATGTCTCTGCATTTCTGCAGGAATGATTGTCCCTTTCTGCTCAGAACATCTTTCTCTTGTCCCTTTTCCTAAATGAAACTAATTTCACCTCTCACTGTCTGCTATAGATGGAATCTTTATAAGCCCCCCAAATTCCTGTATTGAAGCCCTAATCCCCAGTGCAATGGTATTTGGAGATGGGACCTTTGGGAGGTGATTAGATCATGAAGGCAGAGCCCTCGTGAATAGGATTAGTGCCCACATAAGAAGACAGGCAAGAGAGATGATCTCTCTCTGTCATGCCGGGATACAGCAAGAAGGCATCCTTCTGAAAATCCTTGCCAGGAACCAAATGAGACAGCATCTTAATGCTGGACTTCCCTGCTTTCAGGACTTTGAAGAATATTTTTCAGTTGTTTAAATCACCCAGTTTATGGTGTTCTTGGCATGGCAGTGCAAACGAAGACACCTTTCTCCTGACTCAGTGAAATGGAAGCAGGGAAACACCATCTGCTTCAGCCTGCTCTTTGTTTTACCAACTGCATCTCAAGACCACCTCTGGCAAAGAGCATAAGTGCTTGCCTTCTCAAAACTCACTATGTGAGCTATTAATAGTAAAATAATCACCATTTACAGGGTCCTTATGGTATGCAGGGAACTGCACTGAGGACTTACTTATCTCATTTACTCCCCTTACAAAGATCCCCTGGAAAAACTTTCCGTCTAGTTTAAAGATGAGAATATTGAGGCTCAGAAAAGCTAAGTGGCATGCCCAGTGCCAAGCAGCAAGTAAGTATAGAAGCATGGGTTTCAGTCCTGGTCTGTCCAACTCCAAAGCCACGCTCATATTCATTGTTGTATTCAGAGCCTTTCTCTACTTTTTAAATAACCTGCACAGTATATAGAACTGGGGGAAAGAAAAAGGCAAATGAGAGCAAAACCAAACAACAAACAAGAACCCTCCTACAATGCAACATGTCTGAATTCTCTTAACTCTTCAGAATTAATTGTCTGTGATACTTACACAACCAAAGAAAGAAACACCCACCCACAAGTCAATTAAGTAGTAAATCTGGAAATTTACCATTAAGATGAAAAGTCACAAGAAAATAGGATTGTGGTAGGCAAAATTCAAAGATGCGCCTCAGGACTACTGGCCCTTGGTTATTCAATATAATACAAATCTAGGTACTGCTATAAAGAGATTTTACAGATGTAAATGAAATCCCAAATCAGCAGTCCTCAAAATATGGAAATTTTTGAAGTGGGAAATTTAAAGTGACCAATTACATGAACCCTTTAAAAACAGAGTTTTCTCTGGCTGGTTGTAGAAGAGGAAATCAGAGAGATTTTAATTGTTCAAGGGATTCAATTTGAAATAGGTTTTCCCTGACTGGATAAAGGGGATGTGGGTGACCCCCAAAAGCTGAGAGGTGTCCCTGGCCAACAACCAGCAAGAAATTGGGGATTTAGTTCTATAACCATAGGAAATTGAATTCTTCAAACAATCTGAATGAGCTTGCAAGTAAAATAGCCCCAAGACCCTACAGATAAGAGCCCAACCCAGCTGAAACCATGACTTGGGCCTTGTGAGAACCTAAACTGAGAACACAGTTGAGCCCATTTGGACTTCTGACCTACAAAACTGAAAGATAATACATAGGTGTTACATCAAACCATTAGGCTTGTTATAATTTGTTACATAGCAATAAGAATGAATTCAATCATTTTGTTGTAGGATAAGGCAAATAATTGAATTGTATTCTATTCTTTTTTTTTTTTTTTTTTTTTTTTTTGCGACAGAGTCTCGCTCTGTCACCCAGGCTGGAGTGCAGTGATGGGACTGCACTGGGCTGGGACTACAGACTCCCGCCACGAGGCCTGGCTCATTTTTTTGTATTTTTAGTAGAGACGGGGTTTCACCGTGTTAGCCAGGATGGTCTGGATCTTCTGACCTCGTGATCTGCCCGCCTTGGCCTCCCAAAGTGCTGGGATTACAGGCGTGAGCGACTGTGCCCGGCCTCTATTCTTCATTTTAACAACATACATTGATTCCAGTTCTGCAACTTGAGAGCTGGAGAAATCTCTTCTACTTTTAATGGCATTAAGTTAAACCATCAAGAGACAGAGGACGGGTGCCTATTTATAAATGAAGATTTACAGTAAAATGCAGAACTGACTGATTTTCCAGGTGACTACATACCTTTAAAAATTAATATCATTTGAACATTGCTCATCATCGTGTTTATTTTATATAGACAGAGAGAAGATAATTGTTTAAGATAGTTGATGGATTTGAGTCTTAAATAAGTAAAAAGCACATGTTCTCACACTGTAATAATTTTAATCTGTCAGGGAAAAAGCAAAGCCTTAGAAACAAGTCAAAAAGTAACTAGTTAAAATTTAAAAAATCCCAATTTAGATTCTGTCAGCCATAAAAAGCAGTTTATTTTATTTCTCTGAGGACAAGGATTATTAGAGATAGAAAAATAAGTACAATAATGCCTGTAGGAAATGGAGAGACCAGGCATCGTCAGCTGGCTCCTCCCTCATTTACCAACTGAACGCTCTGCCTCCTCACAGCCCACTGAGCCTCAACACAAGGTGGCTGTGACAATGACCAATGTTATTTCATAAAGCACTTAGAATAATGACAAATATTGTTAGATACCCAGTAAATGTTTATTCTCACCCTTCTGAACTATCCACCAGTTGGTTGGGAATGCTGCCTCCCCACGCCTGATGTTTCTTTCCTATGATGGCAGCTCAGTTAATTTCAGAGCCCTGGTATGCTCAGCTTAGCACCTCCCTTCTTCGTTCCCCAGAGGTCAACTTAGCTCCTGGAGGGAAAAGACTTACCCCAGTGCAGCTTTGCCTGCACCTGGTTCTGAGGCTCAGAATTCTGAGACAGACTTCATGTTGAGTCCTCCAACCAAAGGTAACATTTCAGACTAATCTTTAATGCTGTATTTTATGTCATTACTTGTTCACAACCAAGATGGGAAACAGCGTGCTAGCTATTGAGGCTTGTCTTCTGAGCCCCCAGTAATACCTCTCAAGAAACTCTGATTCATCCCACTTTCATTTTGACATACAGGATTTTTCTACCAAAGACATGTAACTCTGGGACATGTCCTTTAATGAATGCCTTTCCTATTTACAAATCTCTCTGGTAAATTGCACTAATGCAGTTTTTCAGCCTGACAAACTCAACCCACTTGGGAGCTTTCTATCTCAGAGATAAATGAGAGGTAAACTTAATTAAATGTTTATGGAGTACCGCACCTCCCCCCGCAAAAAGTGTAACTTTAAACAATCCATTACAAAACCAACAACTGTATTTATCTCTAAATACATTCATGTTTGGAAAATTCCCCTTGTAGATAACTGTACAGCTGGAAGATGTCACATAGGCGTACTTCCTGCCTTAATACTAATATTATGCTTTCTCAATCCCAAGAGCTAACATAATTTCAATTATAAATTCACATAGTCTAAAAATGTATACCATGGTGAAATTTTTAAAAAATGGAGCTTCAGGAGAATCAAAACACTTGCAACCTAGAGCTAGTGCTACCATTAATTACAAACAGGACCTTGACCACTTGATACCATTTATAAAACTTATCTGTAAAAGAAGTTGCTTGGACTGTAATCTCCAAAGTTTCTTTCAGCTCTAAAATTGTGTCATTTTTCAGGACCAATTAACAAAGAACACAGGAGTAAAACTGCTCAGAAATGTGGAGAAGTATTTTTCCAGAAGAGGGTAAACTTCTATCAGTGAAGACCATTGCCACTAGAAATTGTTCACCTTACGAAGGTGCCAGGATAGATAAAAGTAGAATGATGGATTAGCATATTCGTTAATGTTAGATTCCATAATAGATGAACCTTCAAGGCTCAGCAGCTTAGCACAACAGAAATTTGTTTCTTGTTCATCTACTTTCTGACGGGGAGGTTCAATAGGAAGCTTACCTTGCAGGGATGCAAAGACCCAGCTCTTCCTTCCTGTGGCCCCATCACCTGCAGAGCCTCTAATCCTTCTAATCTGGGAAAATAGAGAAGAAGGCTCACCTGCTTCTTAACCACCCAGCTGGAAAGCAACACACATCATTTATCTCACTTTCTATTAGCAGTAATGGATCAGAAGACCTGCCTAGATATAAGGGAACATAAAATAGGATGTTGGCATTATAGTTCCTGAATGGGCAGCCAGCTGGCAGCAACTACTTTCCTCCATGGAAAATGGGAACTGATCTATTAAGAGCAATGCCACGTCTATCACAGTTAATGTGATGGGCTCCTCAACAGATACAAACTTTCTCTTTTCTACAGCAACTTTTACATCAGCAACTAATTTCTGCTCTATCTGTTTTTAGTGACGTGATAAAAGTCTGCTAAATAAACAGCAACAGTCATGACTCGAAGCAAGCTAATCTCAGCGGAAATTTCGTGTGAGTTTTGCTCTGTGTGCCTTTTGTTTTTAATGTGTGCAAGCAGAAATACAAGCCAGATGACTCTAAGAGAAGAAAACATGACTGCAGTTATTTCTGTCCAATCATAATAAGAACTAACAAATGAAGAATGGCTGGATTTAGGTAGAATTCCAATCGTCAAGAATTTTCTACAAAATATGTATATATTCCCTGATTACTCATTCATCATATTTTGGCTTATTGAGCTGCTGACAGAGTATATTTCTTGTTTTGTGGGAGAAAAACACTTTGAAAAGGTGGTGTGTTATTATCTAGATAGCGAAACCTTGTTTTTAATTTGCTCTCTAAGATGAAGAAAAGTCTAGATCTAATATATTCAGGTTTTAGCCCAGTAGAAACATTTGGACCTTTGGATTTTGGATTTGATAACATCGCCACCACACATTATCATCTATGAGGGAAAGCAAAACTTATTAAAGAATATAAATTCAGAACTCTAGGCCAATAACAAGTATTAACTAAAGCAGGGGCTGGAAAACTTTCTCTGTGAGGGACCATATAGTAAATGTTTTAGGTTTTATGAGCCATATTGTCTCTTTTACAGATACTCTACTTTGTATTTATAGCTATGAAATGTAAATAAATGGGCATGGCTGTGTTCCAATAAAACTTTACTTACAAAAACAGGCGATGAGCTGCATTTGACCCACAAGCTGTAATTTACTGATTCCTAAATTAGAGATGAAATGGCAGAAAACCCAAAATGGAAAATCTTGTCATGTATAGCTTGGAAAGGGCCTCAGTTTTCCTCTTCTATTTTGGAGCTATGTCTTTCAGGTTTATTTAGAACTTTCTGTATAAAATAAATAACACTTCTATCATAAACAGTTGATGAAAGGAAAGGATATTTACCAGCTGCTAATGAGCAGAGCTTGAGTCCCAGGAGACCAGGTTCTAATTTTGGCTCTGCCAGTATGGAGGATGCGATCCTCACTCGCTCCATTTAACTTCAATAGGTCTTTGTTTCTGCCTCCCTAAAATCAGGGAGTTAGCTGAGGTTACCTCAGATACCTTTTACATCTCTCAAGTTTTTTTTGTTTTGTTTTGTTTTTTGTTTTTTTGTTTTGTTTTGTTTTGTTTTTGCTGGAAAGCTAACTGCTCTAGAAAAAACCTTTGACTTGACTCAGAGGACACGGTGAGATGAGTTACATAAACTCTATAAGGCTCCATCTCCTCACCTGTTGAATGGACCTAATATTCTCTACCTGAAAGGATTAAATAAAGTCATGTATGTGAAATTAAGTAGCAGGGGGAAGGAAGCAGATTCGATGTCCCAATGTGAATGGAATCCAAATAACGTGATTTCATGACTAGTTTAAAGGAATCTTCTTCACTATTATCCTAACATCACAAGCAAAGCTGCCCACCCTCAGAATCCGGAAGCATTCTCTACCAAGTGGTCACCAAAACACAGGCAAAAGAGGCCAGGCGCAGTGGTTCATGCCTGTAATCCCAGCACTTTTGGAGGCCGAGTCAGGTGAATCATTTGAGGTCAGGAGTTCGCAACCAGCCTAGCCAACACAGCGAAATCCCGTCTCTACTAAAAATCCAAAAAAAAGTAGTTGGGCATGGTGGTGTGTGCCTGTAGTCCTAGCTACTCTGGAGGCTGAGGCAAGAGAATCACTTGAACTTGGGAGGTGGAGGTTTCAGTGAGCTGAGATCGTGCCACTGCACTCCAGCATGGGTGACAGAGAGAGACTCTGTCTAAAAAAAAAGGCAAAAGTCAAAATATGTAAACATGGCAGATCAAAGCTAATCACAATATTAAGAATTCAGTTTCCCTGGCCAGAGAGCCACTCGAAGCAGAGAGTAACCATAAATGAGGATTTCTTGACCCCCTTAACTAGATCCTCACAAAGCAATAGCCCAAATTCTCCCTTCCGTGTGACTATTTATCCCATACTAAGCCAATAACCTACATCCTAAGAGATGGCTGCAGAATGCACAATTAGGAAGAAGTTTTATTATTTTTACTGTGCTAGTCATCACATTGGAATCTTGTATAATCATGATCCAAAGTGGGTGGTATTACTCTCATTCTTACTGATGCAGAGGCTGAGGTTCCAATGGCTTAAGCAACTTGCCCAAAGACAAAACATGCAAGGAAAGACTACGTGACCTCACAGATTGTGCTCTTGCTCTTGTGTGTGACTCTCAAGAAATGATAAGAATCTTTGGGCAGAAATGCTGACAACTGAGGCAGAGAATCTGAAAACAACCTTCCCTTCAAACCTAAAAATCAGAGACTGCTTCTTCCAAACCACTGAGCTGTCAGAAGATGAATAAGGCAGAGAGACTGTCAGAATCCAAGTCAGGAGTACTAGCTTGTTCTTGACATGGTTACAGAGCCTAGGATACTGCAGGTGAATTCCACCTGGTTCTGAATGAATGAATGAATCAATCAATCAATGAGGAATTGCTCAAACTCAGGTTGCCAGTAGCATATAGGTCCATGGGTACAAAAAACTGTCATTCTGATTTTTTCTTTGTTTTTAATGCATATCCTTGCTCTTGCTACAAATCATAATTTTGGTGGGGTTGGGGGGATCCTTATTCCTCCAGCTTTCACTCTTTCAAAGTCTGACTTCTTAGTCTCTTTGGTCTCTTATTCCTCTTCCCTACTTTCTGCTTTCCACCTCTCCTTTTTCTTCATCCTAATGTTTCAGAAAGAATGCTTGAGAATATATATTTTTCTTTTTACCAGTGAAATATGGGGTGAAAAAAATACTGTATATACATTTAGATTGCCTGACTTTCCTCTATAAACTTGAAAAAAAAAACCATTAACTTCAGTTCATTAATGTAATGCCATGAGTTTCTTGTTATGAATTGTTATGGTCGACATGTTTATGTTTTCTGCAAATTCCTATTTTGAAATCCTATCCTCCAATTTAATAGTATTAGGAAGTAAGGGCTTTGGAAGGTAATAAGGTTATGAGAGTGAAGCCCTCATGAATGGGATTAGTGCCCTTATAAAAAGAGACTTGAGAGCTTGCTCTCTCTCTCGCTCTCTACTCTCTGCCACTTGAGGACACAGCAGGTAAATTGCTGCCTATGAACCAGGAAGCAGGCTGTCACTAGACACCAGATCTTCTGGCACCTTGATCTTGGACTTCCTGCCTCCAAAATGGTAGAAAATAAATATCTGTCGTTTAAGCCACCCAGTCTGCACAGCAGCAGAAACTAAGATAAGGATCATATTTTTAATGATGGAAATAATAATAAAGAAGAGGAATAAGTAAACTAAGTCTGGACTTCTCTAGAAACCAAACACTATCAGACCCAACTGGGAGATGTACTTACCCATATCAACTAATGTGCTATACTCATCCAATGTAAGGAACTCTGCACCCTCCCACACCCACCCTGCCTTTTCTCTGTACAAGGTACCATGCTAGGCCTGGAGCAAAAAGGAGATCAGGAAAAAGGCTAACATGTAAGAATATGTGATTCTAGGAACTGTCTTGTAAATTCTCAGG
Source organism: Homo sapiens (assembly GCF_000001405.40). Taxonomy (NCBI): domain Eukaryota; kingdom Metazoa; phylum Chordata; class Mammalia; order Primates; family Hominidae; genus Homo; species Homo sapiens. The sequence goes on from NC_000004.12 coordinate 16,687,824, forward strand.
AAGAGAAGTTAGCACGTTTTGGAACTGAAATTAACCTTATTCATCATAAGCAAAAATATGGGGGCAAAACTGGTAGAGAAGGAGCTCTTATCCAATTCAACACACATTGCCTACAGTGATTCAGAAAAGTAGTATCCCACTTGTTCAGCACCTAACAAATGGCAGGCATTGGGCTAAATTTTTTACATTGAACGTTAGCTTCTGAACCACATTATGAGTCAGATAAAGAAAATAAGATACAAAGACTTACGTGAATTATTCCAAGTTACAAGGTATAGAAATGCACAAATGGGAATTTGAACTTGAAAAACCTGTTGGACCTTAAAGTTCGCATTGTTTTTGCAACTACTCTGCATACATGAGTGGCCTCCCCACAGTAGGAATACAGAAGTTCAACAGCAAATGGATTCAGGAACTTGGAATAAGACAAAGGAAACCCTCATGAAATAAAAAATTTTTGAATAAAGTGGATATGGTTTTGGGGATCCTTCATCCCATCAAATTCAGGCAGGTGCTTAAGCAGCCTCCCAGGCCCTCATGTCAGAGGAGGCAGGGCTTGGGCATTGATGGCAGCTGCCTGAGTCTTGCAGCACTGAGAGGCCAGCTTCGGCCACTGTCCATGCACTGGACACATAAGAAATGATAGATTCTTCCTTTCTGTTTTATTCCATTTTCTTAAAAAAGCACAAAATGGCATTTTGTTTTATGGCAGTAATTACTGTTACAGCATTAGATTATAATATGGGATCTGATAATAATAAATTATAATAAAGTTTTGCTTCTCTCACAGAGTCTTGAATGACTTGTCCAGGAGACCTAGTTTGGAGCTTTTTCAATTCAGCTGTGTTCAAAACAGAGAATGGGCTGAATTTCAATGAGGTGCTGATACTATGTAATGTTCTCCACACCAAATACCAAATCTACAGGCTCAATGTCAAGAACATACAAAGTCTTGTAAACTAAATTCAAAATCTCTAGCTTCTATTCTTGCTCCTAGCAGTCCTTCATCTCTCCTAATATGTATGTTATTTTCAATGTGGTTTTTCAAAACAGAAAATGAATATTAGTTTTATAGTTGTGGATTCTGCATCAGGCAAAGTCTATCCAAATAAACAACAACAATAACAAACACTTTATTTATTTCAAACAGAGGGAATATAATACAGGGAATTAAACAGATGACAGAGGAGCTGAGACCATCGCTAGGGGACTGTGAACACTCTGGAAATTACTAACAGCAGGATGCTGCTACATGCCCTGGTGATGGAAGGGAAAGACAAGAATTTAGACCCAAGGTCACTCAGTGGTAGGTGGAACCTTTAATGAGCTGGGATATGGAAGGAAGAGCTGTCCTACCAGAGCTGGATCACCGAGGGTACAAAGCTGATGTTGGAGACAGCACCCAAATCCACAACACAGGGTGGGGGAATATGCTAGCTTTTCCCTTCCTCCGCTCCCCAATTTTCTGCCAGTTCCTACCCTTGCCTAGTAGCCAGAAGGAAACAAAGCTAAAAAATTCCTACCGATTCCTTAAGATCTGACTGGCACACTACTTCCTCCATGAACCCTCCCTTTAGACTTCCAAATCTCTTTATGTAAACGTTTCATGATGTTACATTTGGCTATCCAATACAGTTATGCATATTTAACAGCCTGTGAGCTTTTCAAAGATAAGCTCTATGGTGGAGTCTTTGTGGTATCTCCAGGCCTTACACAAAAGAGATAAAATTCTGGTAGGCCTGGGTTCAAATCCTAACTCTTCCACTTAGAAGCTGTCTGACTCCTGTTAAATTCTTCAATCTACTTCAGTTTCCTCATCTATAATTTGAGGGAAATAAATTCCTCCATGTAGAGCCAGTCTGAAGATTTAAAAATATGGGACCTAGGCCCCTGAGCATAGTAAATGAGTAGCTTCTTATTGGAATGTGGTCTTGCTTGGATTACAAGTGAATAATGATGCATTCTGGTGAGCTAATGGCTTCTATTTGCTCATTTCTGTAAATCACTTACTAAATATTATACAACCTAATGACATTGACCGTGTCTTAGAAACTTCTAAGAATAGTTAGGCCTTGAAGCCGTAAATGTGAAAATCTATTTGCAGAGCTCTGCCTTCCTTAACACTACCTCTAATGAGAAAATCCCAGTAGAAAGCAGCCTCAGAAGGAGGCTTCAGAAAGGGTCAACCCAAATTGGGTGATACCTATGTGTGCACTTAGTCAACTTCAGCTAGCCAATCAAATAAATAAAGATGGTTGGGCTAATTTTTAATGGCCATGATCTTAGAAAAGGAACACACTGTCCTCAGTTTCTAACTCATGGGGAAGTTTATCACAAGGGTGTGTGGTATAAACAATGCTACACCAGCTATTGCCAAGATTTTCCAATGAAGAACCATCAGGCACTTGAAAGGTCTATGGTTTTTTCAGGAGCTTAAGACTAGCCTGGGCAACATGAGAAAACACCATCTCTACTAAAAATACAAAAAAATTAGCTGGGAATGGTGGTGCACACTTATAATCCAGCTACTCAGGAGGTTGAGGTGGGAGAATCACCTGAGCCCAGGAGGTTGAGATTTCAGTAAGCTGAGATCACACCACTGCACTCCAGCCTGGGCAACCGGAGGAAGACCCTGCAGGAAGGAAGGAAGGAAGGAAGGGAGGGAGGGAGGGAGGGAGGGAGGGAGGGAGGGAGGGGGGAGGGAGGGAGGGAGGGAGGTTGGGGAAAGGAAGGAAGGAAGGAAGGAAAGGAAGACAGGAAACGAAGGAAAGGAAAGGGAAGAAAGATGTATGGTTTTTTATACCTGCTCTGATCATCTAGGAGCTGAGGTTGGTCTTTCTAAACCAATGGACAACCCTCAGGCTCAACAGAGCAAACAAAAATGTAAATCCTATCAGTTAAGTTTGATTAGAACTTCTACCTTGAGAGCTGAAGTATGAGGTGGGAAAGAGACAAAGTTATGCTTCAGTATTTAAGTCAAACTGTGGTAAACTTCTTAAACCTTAAACTCCATTGTTGACTGAATTCTAGAAGTATTTTTAATACAGTTAAAATGACTCTGCAATTATCTAGAAATAAGCTTGAGTCAGATAGACCGTTTCCCCTATGTCTCAAGGAAGCCATCTCTGATGTCCTGTTGTATCTCTTAAAAATGAGCACTCCACCAGCAGCATTTATTAATCATCTATTATAGTCCAGGCAATTTATGTTCTTTAATGATATCTAAGACTTGTTGCATAACTACAAGGTGTGCTTCATTATCCAAATCTTAGAGGTGAGGAAACCATGATGAGATACATTAGATAGGTCACCAACGTCAAATAGCTTCTTGGTGGCAGGGCTGTCATTCTAATCCAGGGCTGCTTGCCTCTAAGGCTCTAAGGTCTTTTCTCTTTCAGCTGGACTATGCTACCTCTTTTATGTGAAAAGGTAGTACTTACCCTTTCATTATTCATTCAACAAAGAGTTAATTAGAGCTTACCATGTTCATGGAACTGTACGAGCCACTGAAGTTACAGGAATAACCATGACATGGAACAGCTTTGCAAATATGAAAATTCACTGCAACGATAATATTCTTTGCCCGAAGAGAAATAGGCTATTCTGTAAATAAGGACTATGCACTATTAGAGGCATTTATATAATGCTACTCATTAAGTAGAGGTAAAGAACAGTGTAGACTAATTAACCACAGGGCAAGAACCCAGGACAGAGAGAAGGAGATGGAAGCAGGGATGGAAGAGCAAACACCATTGTTTCGTGCATGGAGGAACAGTTCAGTATCTAATTTCAAGAATGAGAACTCTGGCCAACACATGTGAGATCAATCTCAACTTGGACTATTAGCTTTGGCAGCTTTAGTTTCAGGCCTTCTTTGGGGGAATAGAGGCAGTTCCACATCTTCTAAATTCTGATTCTACCATTTTCTCACTCTAAAATAAAAGGGAGAAGTTAACTCATTTTCTTCTCATGATGACCATCATCAAAAGGAGTGTAGGTGTCTGACACATACAGGTTTTCATTCCTTCTGTTAAGGACTCCTTCTCTGCTTAAATTAATAATCCCTTGAGAAGCTGCTTCCTGTCCTGAATTTTATTTACATCTTTTCTCTGCAGGCTAATTACTGATGCTATTTGCGATTACACAAAGTTGAATGCCTGACCTTTCCTCTTTGATATTCCAGTGACTTTATTGTGCTGAATCTGTGGCATTGGTGACATCCTGAGAACCACAGTACAGTATTGAATTATCATAAACACAGATTGAAAGTAGCAGCCTTTGATTCATCACGAGGCAAAAAAAAAAGTGTTCTTAGAGGGACAAATTCTACATGGAAAGGAGAATCATGTGAGTATTAGGACATCAAAATGCAGATGCGTACATAAACTTATGAGTTATACATCAGAATTTGGATGAAGTACAAGTTGGATATACATACATTGACTCATGCCCAGAGGCTATAAAGCAGAAAATGATCTTTGATTAATTGCTGAGACCTTCAGAATAAGCATATCTGACGTCTTCTTAAGTCCCTCGGCAAAATACACAAACAAAAAGTTAGGTATGACCTTGCCCTTAGGGATGTATCTAGTCTAAAATCTGCCAGCAGCAGCAAAAGGGTTACTTCCAACTTCACCTTGGAAAGTAGCGATGTACAGGTACTGGTGCCCTGAACATGTAATATTTATATCAGTCATACAAGTTTAATTTTTTTCTTTTCTGTGGAAAGAAAAAATACTTTTTTTTTCCTCTTCTTTTTTGGTAAAGCTCTGCACTGCAGGGGGAAGAAATAAAAAGAACCTCTTCAAGTTTGGAATTTTCCACTCCCCACACCCCCTCAAGCTGGTCAGAGGAGCATAGCAGGAGAGACAGAGCCAGGAAGAAAAATGCAGATATGATGATTTGTCTTGGTGAGTCTCAGAAACCATTCGCAGTCCATGAGGCTGAGTTGACCTGTGCTAAGTTGGTGATTATGGCTTATTCGCTTTTGTGTTTCTCACAGATGCATATACTGGCCTATATGTACACATGAAAAGCATGAAGCTGATGTCTGCTATAGAAATCCAAGGCAATTTATTCCTCTGCTGTGAGTGTGTGCATTAACTCCTAGTTTCCTTGAGGTAGAGATTATTACAAAAGTGTTTTCTCCTAATATTTTCTTCCCTGCCCCCCAGAGCTAGCTATTTTTAGAGTGGGAATTAGGTAATTATCTGGACCAGGTCCCCTGTAATTCTCATAAAAGGCAAGCAAATAAAATGAGTTTCGAGGGCCTTGGCTTGGCTTCAGGCAGGATATTGGCAGTGGAGACACCATGTCCTGAGATACACAAGGAGTGAGTCTCTAAGAATACAGTGTGAATCAAAGGCCTTTATATTTATGAATCATGATTTTTATTTGAGCCTCAAGAATCTTGGTACCTAAGAATCCATAGGGAGAAGAGCCAGGCAACTGTCATAGTCTCAGAATCTTCTGACAGGGTTATGCCCTTGAACTATGGGCTACTTGTTCCCTAGAGCAATAGTTCTTTTTTTTTTTTTTTTTTTTTTGAGATGAATTCTTGCCCTGTTGCCCAGGCTGGAATGCAGTGACTGACGCCATCGCGGCTCACCGCAACCTCCGCCTCCTGGGTTCAAACGATTCTTCTGCCTCAGCCTCCCGAGTAGCTGGGACCACAGGCGTGTGCCACCACATCCGGCCAATTTTTGTAGTTTTTAGTAGAGACGGGTTTCACCATGTTGGGCCAGGCTGGTCTTGAACTCCTGACCTCGTGATCCCGGCCTTGTTTATTCTTTTCTTGCTGAATCTGATCACCTTCTGTGGTGTGTTTCTAGTTCTGTGACAAACCTGAAGCACAGCAGAGAGGTTAAAGAGGGACACAGTGATGCAGAGGCCAAGAAACTGTGCCATGAGGCATCCATGCCACTGTGCAATGCGAATGCAGCACTTCCCTGCAAATACACATCTTTTTCTTTCTGCTGAGGCACATGTTCCAATGCTGACACTAGCCAGAATGGGGAAGAATTCCAGGAATTCCAGGGGAGACCTGACACACCATCCTTTCTCTCCCTCTCAGCGAAGGAAAGTGAGATGCAAATTTATGGCAATAACCTTAAGTCCACTTCATTATATACAGAAATCATTCAAACTTTCAACAGTGTAGGTTACCTGTTGTCGCTCCTCCTGGTTGATCTCATGATAGCACTGAGACAAGTAGAAGCAGAAAAGTGGGGCTGCAACGGACCCCTTCTGGGGCTGCCAGTGTAATTTGTGGCTGGTTTTATTTCATTCTGCCTGAAAGCTGCAGAGCTTAGCTGAATGCCCACACTGTGAGAAAGCTTCTTCAGTTGGGATTTGGTCCGCACATTCGGGATAACTTACTGGAAGGATTTTAATGGATTCCTGACCCTGATGGTTGCTTGTGAAAACAGCACTTTACAAACACGTTGCCATATTTACTTGCGCATTCACACTTTCCACCAATTTGGAGAAGAAACTCAGAAGAGAGGCTTTCTCTGCATCCTCCTCCCCCTTCTCTCCACACTTCTCTCTCCTCTGTTTTAAGAACATTGACCGATCACAGCTGGTGCCAGAACATAAGGCTGAGGGAATAATCGCTGCATTAAATGGAAGTATCATTGTAGTTCATGTTTATTTTAATGGAGGATGTTTCTACAAAGCACAACAGACTAAATTAGGCATCTGAATTCTCCCTGTCTGGGGAATGTCTACCGAGGTGGCTCATGCCCACCTCCTGCAAGGCCTTCTTCCCTCCCAGCCCTTCCAAATCTTAGCTGGACACAGCCGGCTTGAAACTTATGATGGGGTGTGTGCGGGCTCTGGCAAGGAGATGAAATCCATTCGTTGTTATTCATCATGAAGGATCTAGCATCACATGGCCAAGAGTCATAGCTTTATTCTCTCTACCACCATGTACTCGTCGGCTACATGTGTAGCAAGCACCTACCTTCCAGAGTTGTGGAGAGGATTTAAAGTGCAGACGCAGGTAAACACAGGACAGTGCCAGGAGTGTAATCAACATCTAATGAATCCTAGAGTTATGATTATAATGCTGATGTTCTATCTATCAATGCAAGGAGTTCATGGCATCTTGGCCCCAGTTTGCCAGGGAAACAACAACTCTTTGTAGAGGAATTTGTGTACTTACCTTTCCTTCTTATCTGTCTTTCCTTTCTCATCCTGCCTATTGTTTCGTTAGTTAGTTTTGCAAGTTGCATTTCACAGATTCCCCTAGCATGGACTTGTAACTTGAGATCCAAGGAACCTCAAGAGGGGGCTTCAGCCATTACTCAGTGCCTTGAAATGCATGCAAATTTCTGAATATGTTTGTGTGTTTTTCTAGGTACGGTACCTACAGTTTTTTGTCAGAGCTCCAAATAGATGCAGGCCACAAAAAGTATAATTATTGCTCTAGGCGGGGCGCAGTGGCTCAGGCCTGTAATCCCAGCACTTTGGGCGGTGGGCGGATCACCTGAGGTCAGGAGTTCGAGACCAGCCTGGCCAACATGGTGAAACCCTGTCTCTACTAAAAATACAAAATTAGCCAGGTAAGAGGCTGCAGTGAGCTGAGATCACACCGCTGCACTCCAGCCTTGGCAAGACAGAGCAAGACTCTGTCAAAAAAAAAAAAAGAAGAAGAAAAAGAAAGCCTTATAAAACATTGTAAAAAGAAGTTATACAAAAACATAGTGCTTTAAAATATATCTCAACATTTTTTAGCAAAAGCACCATCTAATCAGAACGGATTGAACTAGGGATTGTCAATTTTTTTCTGTAAAGGATTAAATACTAAATATTTTAGAGTCTGTGGGCCATAAGACCTCTGCAAAGACTATTCAAATCTGTCCTTATAAAGCAAAAGCAGCCCTAGATGACACAACACATCCATGAATGGGTGTGGTTGTGTTTCCAATAAAACTTTATTTATAGACACTGAAACTGGAGTATCATAACTTTTACATGTCATAAAAAATTATTCTTCTTTTGATTTTTTTTGAAACATCTAAAATGTAAACATCATTCTTAGCCTGCAGACCATACACAAACAGAGGTTAAGCCTGATTTAGCTTCAGGCTATAGTTTCCCACTTCCAGGATTAAATCACCAAAATGGCAGTATCTGTGTCTTCTGTGTCTCATGGTTGCATATCATCATTGCATTGCTCTGAAGAAGCTGAAAATGCAGAGCAATGGGATCCCTGACTTGACTGTGGGCAGAGACAGAGTAGGCAATGAAAGTGCTGCAAAGGCCTTGGGGAGAGAGGAAAGTAGGCTAGGACAATGGGACTAGTCTTGGGGAAAAAGGACTTCTCTGTGCTTTTTAGCTCCAGAGAAGGAATGTAAAGCAATTTTCACACCATCATCTGGGCTGTAGCGGAACAGTGAGTATCTCTGATGAATGATGGGCTCTATATGTGGTGGGCTGCCCTTCCAGCTGGATCAGGTGCTGCAGAGCCTAGAGACAGGCTAACCCATCGTCCCTTAACCAGCACAGCTCAAACTGCGAGTAGACAATTTTTCAGTAATGCACTAATGACGATTATATTAGCCAAAATGAAGAAAAAATAATCCAAGTTGCCATTTACATTCAGAACATTTTTTTCAAAGGAGTTAGTATATATAAAAGAAAAGGTCAGCTCTAAGAATCAAAATTAGTTGTCTCTCCACAGCCTAATTTGGGTCTTTTAGGAAGCAGAGCTATGATTTCTGTGAGGAGTGGGATGGAGACATTTGAACCCACCATCATGACAACAGAACCCTGTCAGCAAAGGGCCTGTACTCTCTCTATTGTAAACTGGTCACAGCAGAAGATATATTTATTACCGGTTTCTGCACATTAGGGTGTTATTTTGTGCAAATTATGGTTGTGAGCAAGAGTTTTTCTTAGAGCAGTGGTCATACTCATTCCATGATGGGTCTAAATGCTGTCACTGTGCTGCCAATGGGCTGTTTCTGCAAGCCCAGAATCTGCATTAGACTCCCTTGCAGAGGTTTGTAAAATACAGATTTCCAGGCTCTACCCAGATTGCTTCAATTTAGTAGGTCTGGAGTGGTGCCGGAAGATATATATTTTGGGGAAAAAGTCACCCAGGTGATTCTAATATCAGCCAGATCCAATGCTCACTTCTCCAGTAAACAGGATAAGCTATTTGGGGAGGGGACAGAATATGGAAATGGTAACTTGGAGTCTCCACAGACATCAGAGTGGCCTTAAGCACAAAAGGAGCCTCAAGAACTGCCAAGCACTATATTTCCATCTTTAGTAAGAATAAATTACAAGTTCTTCAAAAATCCTGTCTTTGGCCTAGGAACGGTGGCTTACACCTGTAATCCCAGCACTTCAGGAGGCTGAGGCGGGCGGATCACGAGATCAGGAGATCGAGACCATCCTGGCTAACACGGTGAAACCCCGTCTCTACTAAAAATACACACACACACACACACACACACACACACACACACAAATTAGCCAGGCGTGGTGGTGGGCGCCTGTAGTCCCAGCTACTAGGGAGGCTGAGGCAGGAGAATGGCGTGAATCTGGGAGGCAGAGCTTGCAGTGAGCAGTGAGCTGAGATCGCACCACTGCACTCCAGCCTGGGCGACAGAGCAAGACTCCGTCCCAAAAAAAAAAACAACTCTCCTAAGGCTCCCTGTGAAATTCCCCACCACGGCTTCTTCCTACCTGTCTGCCACCTCTCTGTGTCTCCTTGGCCTTCTCTACTCCACCTTTCCTGGACCCCAGCTCTTCAGTTCACCCCTGTTTCCTGCAACTGCTTCCTGCCTTCCTTTGCTCTTGCCTTCTCTTTGCCTCAGCCCTCTTCTTCTAATCCAGATGGTGTTGCATTTCCATCACTGGTTCTCTCTGCTCTACAGGGAGGCTCCTCAATTCCCTTCCCTAGTGTTGGAGGAAAAGTGGTGGGCAAGACAGACAAAGTTCCTGCTCTGATCAAGTTGACACTCCAGTAGGGAAAGACTGATGGAAAACAAGAAATATATATATGTAAGTCAGATTGATTTACGTAGTAGTAAGTTAAAGCAAATTAGAACAAGATGAAGTGGTAGAAATTTGTTCACCATGGCAGTGCTAGCAACTATAAAAATGCTTGGAACGTTGTAGGCATTGGATAAGTTATATTTTTTAAAAAATGAATTCCATTTTGTGTGTGTATTCGTTATATAAACAAAATGATAATTTGTGCCCTGTTCAACGTTCTACTTTTTTCAGTTAATAATATGTCTTGGAAAGTTTTACACATAAGCATTTGCAGAACTACCCCATTACTGTTTTTGTCCCTTTGCCTTGTACAGTTTATTTTTATTTACCCAGTTTCTTGTTGACAAATCATTTTCCAGTTTTGTTTTTTATTTAATTACAAACACTTCACCGAACATTCTTGAACATGTGTCTTGATACACTCAATACTGCATTAGTAAAGAATATTCATGGGGGTAGAATTATTGTATCAAAAGAATATCAGCAATTATTGTATCAGAAGAATGATAGATATTGCCAAATTATCATCAAAAACGATGTCACCATTTGCACACCCAGCAGTAGTGTATGATAATACTCTTTCCACACACCTCACAGGTCCCCATTATGATCAAACTTCTGATTTGTCAGTTTGAAAGTTTTCTCCTTGCTGTATTTGATTTGTATTTCTTTCATTATGAATGAGGTTGAGCATCTTTTCATATGTTTATTATTTGCATTTCTTTCTGAATTTTTTTAATATCCTTTGCCCTTTATTCTACTGGATTTGTTAATTTTTTTATTTCTTTCTGTAGGTTCTTTGTAAATTAAGAAAATTTGTTTTATAATTCACATTACAGATATTTCTTCCTGATTTGTCATTCTTTTCATGTATTTATGACATACTTATTAGTGTATTTTATTTGCCATACAGAGAAGTTTGTAATTTAAGTAAATGCAAACTTATTATTTTTCTTCATGGTTCCTACGCAATGGTTTATTGTTTATGTATGTTTATGTAACAAGCATCTTAGTGATCTTCTCATGAGCAAAGTTATATAGAATACAAAATTCCTAAAGTCTCAGCAATCAAAGGTCTTTTGAAGAAAATAAGGAAAAGTTTTGAATTAATGACCAGATCTCTTCCATATTATCTCTGATGGTAGCTCAGCTAGCATTTTTCCTTCAGCCTGTCAGGAATTGGGCATCTTATTTTAAGAGGCAGCTCTTTATATTGTTACACAGCTTTTTTACCCATTTGTTCAAATAAGCGGTAGAGGAATTGTGGTTTAAGCAGAGAGCAAAATAAAGAGAGGTCAAGAGCAGGAGATGATGGCATCTTCAGGGGACTGCACATTCTTCATCTTTAATCGTAAGATAACTCCTTCTAATACAGAGCCAAAATTGTCTCCTAGTGTTTTCTCATGACGTTCTGATAAAGCAAACACATTGGAAATAAAAGATTCTGCCATTCCTTTTTGATCCATGTTGGAAAAATCCAACCAACGCTATGTGATAAGGATCATCACTAACTAATTGCGTAGTAAATCCTGCTACAGACTTCATTCCCTGATGATATTGTCAAGTAATAAGTATTTCTTTCCGGTTCATGGAGATAGGATGTTACTTCTGTGAGTTTGTCTATAAAACTAGTTCTGTATACCAATACCATTTTCCACTGACTTTTATTGTGTAATTAGGTATATGATGGCCTTGTATCCATATCCATTATGCAAATAGATATATATTCACATGGAGAATATGTGAGGTGGAGAAGTATATAGAGTATTTAGAAATATAAAGAAACTACACTGAGAATTGTGAGAGGAATAAGGCAATAATTGCAACTTTCAAAAATAAAAACTGTAGAGAAAAGGAAGAAGGAAGAAAATGCCAAAGATAGATTTATAGCTCTAAATGATCATTTATAGCTCAAAGAAAAACTTCAGATTTTCATTGCTCAGTTCTCTCCTCTCTGAGTAGGGAACACAGACATGTGCCTCAGAGGGACGAGAATTCCCATAATGCACTCCATTCCCAATATGGCGAACGCTGCATCCACTTAGAACGCATGTACAGTAGGGGGGCCAGATTTAGCAAATAAAAATCCAGAACACTCAGCTAAATTTGAATTTCAGATAAACAATGAATACAGGTCAAGTATCCCTTATCTGAAATGTTTGGGGCCAGATGTGTTTAGGATGTCAGATTTTTTTTCGGATTTTGGAAGGTTTGTGTTGTACACTGAACTGTAGTTCAGCATCCCTAATTAAAAAATCCAAAATCCAGAATGCTCCAATGAACATTTCCTTCGACCCTCACATCAGCACTCAAAACATTTCAAATTTTGAAGCATTTCACATTTCAGATTTTCAGATTAGGGCTACTCAACCTGTAATAATTAGTAGTGTAAATATGTTTCCAGCATTACTCAAGTGCCCTGTATTCTATTTGGCAATTCTAATAAATGGTCAACTTCTCATTTTTTCATTTGGAATTTCCAAACTCCATGAAACTGACTCTTGAAGCAACCCAAAAATATAAATGTTTTAAAATATTATATGTTAGATATATTTGGTTGCTATGTAAGAAGATATTCTTATCCTGAGAGGTTTCAAATATCTTAGTAAAAAACCCAGCCCCCCATTTCACTTACACGTAAACACATTCACAATTATCACTTGTTTTCTTGCTAAAAACATCCGGTGTGTTTATTTTATTTTATGTTATATTTATTCTGTTTTGCCTGGCACTTCATATTCAATCACATTACACCTGCAAAGCTGGGCTTGAATTGAATCAAGACAAGATACGCTGGGCAGAAGCCAGACCCTGTGGTGAGAAAGCCATGGGATTCTCTGACCAGTGTCCCCTTGTAAATATACAAAGTGGGAGGACTTGAGGTGAGAACAAAATCTCACTGAATTGTGAGTGAAAGTGATCACCGCTGACACCTCCTGGGCCAGTTTGAATACAAAAACAATTTAGGTAATGACTTCATAAAAAAGTTAAAGCCCCCTATTGAATAGATCAGAATAAATGTTCTCATCAGCTAAGGCAAGTAAATATACAAATGAGTGAGCAAATCACAGCTTATATTGAACAATACTAATATAAATAGCTCTCATTTTGCATTGAGTGTGTGTTTTACATATATGAACTCATTTGTTACTCAAAGCAGTCCTGTGAGAGAGGAACTTTACTTATCTCCATTTTACTGCTGAAGAACCCTGAAGCACAGAAGGGTTAAATAATGACCCAAGGCTACACTGCAAGGAAGTGATTGAAATAGAATTCAAACCTTCTTCTTAAGATGTCACCTGCCCTTCAGATTATCTGGCAAGCAAAGGGCAAAATAACTTTTTTCTCGATTGTGATTCTAATTCTACCTGATTCCTTAGAAGGCAGCCTCAGCCTTCATAACAAAGATATCAGTGCTCAATAGATAACCCTTGAGTAGACAATCATGTTCTTAGTCTACTGACCAACCTCAACACCCATTTTGCTCCCAGAAGTGAAGAAAGGTGGATCACAAAAGAGTAGAGTAGATTGAGTGTCCAAGACCTGCCTGGCACCACGCAACTTTGGATAGGTCATGGGCCTCAACATCATAGTTGTTTCCTTATCAGAACAAGTAATGATGAAATGATAATGGTAGCCATCCTAGAGTGAGCTTCTACTCTTCATTAGGCACAAGGCTAAGCATTTAGCATATATAGCACCAAGAACACTGTGATCGTAACCCGCATTCTTGCCTCCACTTTATAAATGAGGAAATTAAAATGCAGAGGAGTTAAGTAACCTTTGGAAAGTCACACAGGTAAAAAGAAGCAAAGCAAGGGGTTCTACCAGTTCTAGTTAACTTCTGGGGGCAGCTGCAGCCTGTGAGCTAGGTGCACGGCTTGTGGCGTTCAGGCTGGCTGGGATCTAGTCCTGTTCTAACACTGAGTAATATTGTTCACATTACTTAAACTTTCCATGTCATGTTTTCCTCTTCTGTAAGTTCGGGATATAGTACTAGTAGTGTCTACTTTAGAATTCAAGAAGACCAGATATATAATGACCAGAACATTGCCTGGCAGAGAGTAAACACCTACACAAGCTAGCTGTTATCATCACTATTACTATTGTTATTGCTATTACTTTACTGTGGCTACTACTATTGCTATCATTATTGCCACTGCTTTTTCTATTACTATGAATGCCTTTCCTATTTCAGCACAATGTTCTTGTCTTAAAAAAGAAAGAATTTATAGCTCAAGAGTTCCATAATTCTTGCAACTCTAGAAATCTATAAATGAGAGGAGGAGAAAAAAAGAAAATGAAACAAAGACCAAAGTTCCTTGAGGAGAAAAGAAGTCCTTGAAGGGCTGCTGGAAAGAGATCAGAAGGAAAAAACATCTGAAATATCCAATGCTTTGAGTTTCAGATACTTTATTTCCATTCGGTTTGCAATATTCAAGTTCCAACACTTCCCATGAACTTGGAAAGTTCTCTTATGGTTGTCAACGTATTTCCTAAGAAGGACCCATGAAATGAAAAGTCTGAACTGCATGCCCTGCATGCTCCCGTTCCCCTCCCACTCCCCTAACAGGGACACCAGCCTGAATCACCTGAACATGTATCATTTTAGGCCTCAGCCCTGAAGCATCTCCCCGTCCCTCTCACTCAATGTGCTCCTCCAAGGCCAGTTTCAAGAAGTAGGTAAGGAGAAATGAAGGTGAAAGAAGCTGCTTCTGTGTTTCAGGCTTTGATGGACTTTATTTTCCTTGTCCAAGTGCCTCTCCCTTGCAGACCCTGTGATGTGGGTCATCTTCCTCTTATTTACTTCATTCAGGGAAGGTGAACACAATGGCTGTCAAGGTCCATGCATCCTGTTGGTCTGCATGGGGATGCATGAGTGAAGCTCAGTCCCACCAGCCTTTGCAGACACAAGCCCAAGCAGGAAGACTGCCCACACGGCTGGGGCGTCATTCCTCACCATAACTTATGGGCCACTCATGACCTTCCCATGACGGACCTCCAGCCCTATCCTTCCCACTCTGCCATATTGAATTGCTTATAGCCCTTGAATGCCTATGTACTCTCTCTACCCTCATCCATGCCCCATGCACCCTCCTCACCTGTACTTACGCTGAATATCTAAGTTTAAATGTGGATCCTCTAGGAAGCTGTTTCTGACCACACAGACTGGGTTAATTGTCCTTCCTGTGTATGTCTATACACAACCAACCCTCATTTATCCAGCGTCTTCTGTGTGCCAATCCTCGCTCTAAGAAATGGAGAAAATAAATGTCGAACAAGTCAACATGGAGAGAGAAATGGCAACATAAACAATATTCCAGAAAGTGATATGGGCCATAATAGATGAAACAGGATGACCTGGTAAAAAGTAAGGGGAGGCAGCTATATGAAATTGGGAAACCAGGTATTTTTTCTGAAAAAGGAACTAATATTTAAGCAGAGTCATGAAGGCAGAGAAGAAGCCAGTCGTGGAAGGAGTTGGGGCAGAATGTTCCAGGTAGAAGAAATTATGCAAAGATGCGAAGGCAGGAATGGATGTAGTGTGTAAGGTAGACAGAGAGCTTCCTGGGGGAGAATGATGTGGTTTATGGACATGCCAATAAGGTCATTGTCATGGCCAGTTTTTATCCAAGGGTAATCTCATGGGTAGAGAGCAGTTGGACATATGACAAAGGCTTTAGAATAAGACAGCTGTGTCTACTGCCGATTGGCTGTACGGCCCTGAGCAAGATTTTTTAACCACTCTGATCATTATCTTTTTCAACATATGATAATGCTTAAAAGCAGACCTTAGAGTTATTCAGACAACTTCTCTTTTGCTAATTGGGTGGCAATATATTTACCTTTTCTGAAGCTAATTTTTCCTACATGCCAAGTGGGTCACATATAGAAAGCCTAGCATTTAGTGTATGGCCAATATTTTGGGTGCATTATCAATGTTATTGTTACTCATTTGTGTGCAAGTAATAATACCACCAATTGCAGACTGTTTGAAAATTAGATATAATTTATGTGCAGTATTCCAAATTTAGTAAGTTTACAACATTAGTATAGTGGATGTTTCTTGTTTTGCATTTACTTAGCAACCATTTCTCTATCTAACAGCAACTTATTTCCTTTAGGGAAAGATTTCTTTCAATTGTATATACCTGATGGGACTGTTATCGGGTGCCCCTCTTTTCCCCAACTGGGTGACCCATGCTAAGCCAAGCAGATACTTCCTCCCTGGAATCTGCATCTTGAGTAGAGTCAACAAGACTGAAAAAAAGGCACTCATTCATTCTAGCACTGATGCCTGAGAAAGTCTCTTCCTGTACAAGACCATTATTGTGATTTCTGTTTCCTTTGGCCTCCAGAACTACAAAAACCCCTGTCCCTTTCTAAGACCTGGTCTCCTTTTTCTACCAATTCTAGAAGTTCCTGATAGCCTTCCACTAGATTCCCTTTTGTTTAAATTAACCAGGGTTATTTTATTTCTCTTGCAACCAAAAATTGTAACCAATCCAGATAGCTATATTATTGTTACTTCTACTGTTATTAAGAAGGAAGGTTTAACTACTAACATTATTGTTAATTATTATTTTTTGATGGTATGGGGAGTATAAACTGCCCACAAATTTTCTGCCTTAATTGGGAGTAGATAATAAAATCAAAAGCAAGCCACATAAATCTCTCTTGTTTTCCCATTCACACCCACACCTGCTCTGTATATGTATCTATTCCCATAGCTTGTATGGTTTGTAGTTCAAGACTAAATCCTGGCTACAGCTCAAAGCAAGAAAAAATTTACAAATGATAGACTGGGCTGTTGGTTTAATGTCTGTTTTCAAGGCCTATGACGTAGTCACATAAAAAAGCCTCTGATAAATTATTAATAGACAATGATGCATGCTATGTGTGTTCTCTATGGTGAGGACAAGGACATAGATTCAAAACTCATAGATGATACTTAACTTCCCTCCACGTGGAAGCCACAGACTGCTTGCTCACTTACAATTGATTCTAATGCAGCAGTGAAGGAGGCAGGTAGAAAATAAAGATGAATAAGGTAACATACCTGAAAACCTAGTGAGGTCCTGTCTGCTTCCTCTAGGTCTATGATTACATGATTCTGTCTAAGAAGTTATTAATTTTTTTGATGCATGAGGATCTTTGGCTTAAGAGGAAATTTCACCTGCCTTCACTACAATCTTTAACTTGCTCAAGTTCCCCATGTCTCTAATAAGAATAAAATGATTTCTGTTATTAATTATGAAATAATAATTATACATAATCCTTTCATAGTTTACATAAATATGTCATATATAATTTACAAAGTTGTTGTAAAGACTGAAAACAGTCGTGTGCCCTTCCTACTTCACTTCATAGAAGAAGTGTGCTCACTCCAATCAGTGACCACACTTCTTCAGCCCCTCTTTGGAATAGAGTTCACATCCATGCCCTATGGCTTCTGACTTAGTTTAGCTCCTGTAAAAATAGGCAGGGTCTATTTTTTCACCTATTGAAGTTGGGTGTGACCATGTGACATTTTTTGGCTAAGGGAAAGTGGATAGAAGTGAGCAGGTGCCTGTTCTGAGCTGATGTCTCAGGAGGCATAGCGAGGTTCCACTCTCTCTGTCCCCTCTAGTAATTTGCTGTGAGAACAACATGACCTAAAGCTGCTATCCCAAGGAGAATGAGAGGCAGGAAATTCAATCTGTGGCCTGAGGGCAAGCCCAGCCTGCCTGCGCTTAGTACAGGGCTGCCCTAGCCTACCACAGTCCCATGAAGAAAAATATAGAGGCTTTTTGTTCTAAGCCACTCTGTTTTAATGTTATGCAGCAATATTGGGACAACAGCTGAGCAACGTGCTAGTCCTTTTTACAAATTTCATTGTCCTCTGCATGATTTTAAACTCTGTAAAGTTAGGGTCTGGGTCTGTTTGGTCCATTGTTATTTTCCCCACTTCCTAGGAGAGTTTATAGTGAGTAATATTTAATGGTCTATCATGAGTTCCTTTTGTTAGTCTAGTCCCCTCTCTCCAATCAGATATAAATTTAAGATAAAGAAACAATCCTACTTAAGAATGATATCCACAAAATACATATGAGATTACCTTTCACTTTTCTCAGTCACTATATAATCTTTTTTTTTAAGTGAACAAAATAAACAGGCAAATCTTGTGGATAATAGCCCAGAGGCTAGTTTTCAAACTATTAGAGACAATATTTACTATTTCTTTGTATAGTGAAGGGGCCAAAATTGCTAGTAAAAATAATTCTGAATTCTTGTGTTCCTTTATTTACTCAGCAGGCCTTTTGATGGCATTTCGTGCTAAGCCCCATGTTAAGTCCTTGAGATATGGTGCAATGGATTTAATGTTTATTTCACTACTTCCACCCCCAAATTCATATGAGGAAGTCCTAACCTTCAAGGTAATGGTATTAGGAGATGGGGCCCTTGATAGGTGATTAGGTCATGAAGGTGGAGCCCCCACGAATAAGATTAGTGCCATTATAAAAGAAGCCCGAGAGAGGTCCCTTGCCCCTTCTGCGACCTAAGGACACATCAAGAAAGTGGCCATTTGCAAGCCAGGAAGAGAGCCCTCCTCGGATATTTAATCTGCCAGTGACTCAGTCTGGGACTTCCCAATTCTAGAACTGCGAGAAATAAATGTCTGTTGTTTATAAGCCACCCAGTCTATGGTATTTTGTGATAGCAGCCCAAATGGACTAAGACATAAAGAGCAAGATCATGATTCTGGGTGTTAAGTTATTTATGCGATAGTAGCAAACACAATTCCATAGACATCAGAAGTTTAGTGTGTTAAGTGTTTGCATTGATAGAAACAGAGTTCTTCCTAGGGGGACATAAGAGAAGGAGTATTTAACTCAAACGTAGAAGAAATCTGGGGAGACTTTGAGCAGGTGATAGCTGGCTGTATTTTAAATTACGTGTAGGAGCCAGCTGTGTGAAGAAAACATTCAGAAAAATAAAATAGCAAGTACTGCAGCTCTCAGATACCTCAAGGCAGATAGGGTGACAGGGATCAGTCATTTAGGAAGTAGCTCATTATTGCTAAGTAGTGTACGAGCATAGCCTTTGTTCCATCTACCTTTACTGACCACAATTCTGTACCCTCAACATCCCGATCTCTCCAGGCAAATGATTAATTTCACTTTGGCAAACAATCCAGGGTGAGGCAAAGTCTGCAAAACTTTTAAACAAAATATTCATCATTTTAATTCCTTTGCCCTTCTCAGTAAAATTAATAATAATCCCATTTACTTAATTTGGGAACAGAAGCTACACATGAAAGCCTTAAAAAAAATTGATGAAATAAAATCTGCTAATTCATGTGATTATCTCAGAACCCAAAAGACAATGTTTTGGGTCATTTTATGCCACTGAGAACTTTACCTGAACACTTGTGACAAATAATAGGACTACTATCTTTCTATTATACACATTTTGGCAAATAACTGAGCATAATAATGAAATACAATTCTAATACTGTGCTCTAACCTTTAGAGCACAAAATTAAAGGAAGAAAAACCCCTATAATTAAAATACTACAGAAAATGGCCAAATGGACATGGGAGTAATGTAAAATAAATCCTGGAATTTAATCAGCTTTTTAATCATCACTAGTTAAGACAATTGGTTGGGACTGTTATTGTCAATAGCAAACTAAAATCATTTCACGTGATAATTTCGAGGGTTAATTGTTGCAGTTTATTCAATGCAATCTTCTCTACCGGCTTCATTTTTATTTGCCAGTACACCAATATACCATGATTAGCATAAATTAAACTAAGTCAATTCTGTGGGTTACTAAATTATTTTACACCTGTCTTTTTTTTTTTCTTTTCCTCCCCAAACATTTAAAGGTTAGAGATGGGTGAATGGTTTGATGGCAAATTCCAACATCCAGCTGCTCAGCCTCAGCTCAAAAAAGAAATGCTTAAAATCTGGGTGATTGATTTTCAGAAATCTTGGGTAGAAAAATACATCGTGAAAAAATGTCATCACGAAAGATGTTGTATCATTATACACTGACCTTTTACAGAGGCCCATGCGACTCACAGCTGGGAAGCAAGGAGCTCTACATGCAAACTTAGATAATACAGAATGGGAAAGACTTGCGTGTGTGCCTCAAATGAGCCAT
Organism: Homo sapiens; assembly: GCF_000001405.40. Taxonomy (NCBI): domain Eukaryota; kingdom Metazoa; phylum Chordata; class Mammalia; order Primates; family Hominidae; genus Homo; species Homo sapiens. The sequence goes on from NC_000004.12 coordinate 16,707,985, forward strand.
TTCCCGTGTTCAAACTGACACACAGTGACCTTGGATGGCTCCGGTAACATTTGTTCTTAACAAAGTGAGTTTTATCTAATTTGGAAACTCCATTCTTTTAACAGTGGCTCACTGGTGGTAATTCATCTTTCACTGAGAAGCTCACCACAGGAATCCTTGACTTACACCCAACTTTGGGGGAAAAAAAAGTCACTTATACAAAATGGTCAGCCCAGCAGGGTGTGGTGGCACACACACCTATAAACTCAGCTACTCAGGGAGATGAAGTGGGAGAATTGTTTGAGCCCAGCAGTTTGAGGCCAGTATGGGCAACAGAGCGAGACCCTGTCTTAAAAAAAATTAATAAATAAATTTTGAAAATTAAAACACACACACACACAGAGAACCCCCAATGGTCAGCCCATTCCAAGACCTGCTTCTCATCTACTTCATTACCATCCAGGACACTTAACTCCTCCTGTCTACCCATATTGCCCCTGGACATGTCCTCTTCCCCTCTCCTCCTCATTACTTCACTTTTGTGGGAATTTACCCACTACTTACCACCTACCACCTTCCTCTGCAAATACGGCCTGAGAGAAACTTCTTCTTCAGCCAACAACAATCATGGTGCATCTATTACAAACTAGACTGTTAATATGGAGCTGAGGATACATTCTTGGGACCAGGTAGACATGATTCCTTCATCACACAACTTAGAGTCAAAAGGAAAGACAATTATGATATAGTGGATAGACATAATTATATTAGGGAAGTACAAAGACCTATAAGAACAGAAGCCTCTCTTCTCCCTCTTCAAGCTTCCTGTGCTCTCTGTGGGAGCTATCTTTCCCCCAACACCTGCTTTTCTCCTCAGTGGGAGTTTGGAGTATGCAACACATTGGCTTTTATTGAAAGGGAAAATGACAATAATCTTCTCCTCACTCTGCAGGTCTCTACCCTGCAAGCCACCTCATCCTGCCCTGGGGCCTCTAACACTTTGGATGCAGAAGGTGTCCACTCCCTTCTTTACTCCCAAGCTGGGGTTTGAAATCAATGACAGCTCATCCTTGAACCATCTGCTCAGCATCAGGCTTGGGTAGAAGTCTCTCTATGCTAGAGAAGCTGTCTATTCTATCACCGAATTCTCATTTCTTTGCCCAGTGCCTAGCTCAGAATAGCTGCTCAATAAATATTTCTTGAATAAGTTAAATTTTAAAAATGTATTTAATTAATGAGCAGTTTTAAGATAATGATATATTCAAATATGGTAGATGATATTTGAGTAGAAATGGTGATAACACAAAAATTATTCTGCAGGTTATAGTATAATATGCAGAGAGAGGTTCAAAACTATTGTGAGTCTGCCTCAAGACCCAATGGGAAACTCCATCTTTTATTTATAAACCAAGTGACTATGACCTAAGGGCCTCACTTCCCAAAGACCTGACTTAGAATATCATTCACATGAACACATGGGGTCTGTCTTGTCTAGCACTGAGTCCATATGATTTGGCACACAGCACACAAAGGTACTCAATTAATATTCATTGAACACACTCAATGAATTAGCTAAGATAAACTTTTAACTCACAAGATATTTGTAGGGTAAGAACCTTCTGTACAAGAATTTATCAAAGGATGGCTTGCAAAAGTGTTTTGTTTGATTTGCACATTGTCTTTCTAAATATTGAATTTTTTGCCAACGTAAAACATTTTAAGATAATACCATTTTACATTAAAAGATTTCAACTTCTACTGAATTGGAGAATTCAGAAGAATTTTCAATTTCTTCTGAAATATCAGAGGATCTTGAAATACTATAAGTGAGAATAATCCCAGAGGGAATGTCACCTGCAGCTTTTTGGGAATGACTCATTTAAATGGGGCATGAACTCTCCAGTTCACCAGGTTCTCTACCTGGCCAATTTTACGCATCCATACACCCCTAGAGATATTTGGCCATGTGACCTTGATCTATACAAGCATATTAAGGAAGAAGTAAGAGAGGCCATTTGAGATTAGGAGCCCTAAGCCTCTTTTAAATTCTTAATAATTTATAGCTTAAATCCTTTGGCACATACACTACCAAGTTTGCCATAGATAATGTGTCATATATAGCTTAAATCCTTTGGGATATATTCATACATATAAACAGAGAGTTTAAAGTGGAGACTGATGGGATGGGAAGAAGAATAGTTTTTAAAAATATTTCTGCCTTCATAAATAAAACTCAAGACACTCCCACACTTGCCATATCAGCTGAAAACAGCAGGATGGGATTAGATATTTTGTTCTCCACATGTTCTCTCCTGGCCTGTGAGGAAAAGAAGGGATGGCCATGAATACATACAGTCTGAAAAATACTAGAAAAATGCCTTGTTTGACAGTCAAATCAACCGACAGCTTTAAAACGTGGAGTGTTTTCATTCAGATTCTGGCATCTGACAGTCAAATCATTCTTCCTGGAGTTGGCCTTGTCAGTAACATAATGATGTGAAAATTACTGAGAGTTTGTGGAGGATCCAGGCTTCCCGAGGAATCTGAAGCTATTTATTTGTGGGCAGGACCCCAGAAGGTGGAATAAAAGACAAATAATAGCTATTGAGATGGAATAAAATAGACTCCCAAAGTAGAAAGCAACTTGAGAAAGCCACCCCTGTGTAGTCAACAGGAAGGTTTTATTTAAGAAAATACAAAAAAAAGTGTGTCTCTAAGGATATGAATTTGATTTTCACAGGGGCATCCAACTCAGAAACATATCCCTAAACAATATTTAGACTGAGCTTTATTGTTAGGCCAAGGGTCATCCTTTTTTAACTTTTCCACTCTTCTCAATTCCAGCCCACTGTTTACTGCCCTGAACCATCTCCCAATAATACATTGAGTCAACAGGGAAAGATGCAAAGCTGTGGGTGGAGATGATGGGCTAAAGTACCGAAAGGCAATTGGCTCTGCCCTTATTGCCTGTGGCTGGGAAACAATTTTACTGCAATCAGCAATGATCTACACCCCACAAATCTAAGGTATTCTTAGCTTTTTATGAAATTTCAAAACATACATTAATCTGTCCATTCATTCAACAATGCTATTGAGTATCAGGCATCATAATGGCCAATGCTGACACTCTTACAATCTAGGGGGATGGATAATCATGTAAACCTATAACTCTGATGTAATACAGCAAAAGTACTTCTAGGGCACCTAAAGTGCATTACAACAGGGAAGGATTTGGTCAGAGAAAACAGAAGGAGTTAACCAGTTTAAAAAGAAGAGCAAAATGGTGTTTAGGGAAGAATCACGGCATTATGGTTTGTTCAGCCTTAGGTGGTGGAGATCTACTTTGTGCCAGGCACTGAGCTTGGCCCCAGGACACTGTGCTGGGCTCTCTCGCGTGCTCAAAGAAGGTAAAGCATGTGCACCATTGGGCAACTTGGGTAGCTCAGTCATGCTGGGATGAATGAAGAAAGAAGTGAAGATGGGAAAAAGTGAGGATGATTGTGTTGGCAGGGACAAGATTGCTAAGGTAAAATTAGACTTTTTATTAAGGCTGGGGCAAATGAAAGGCTTTACACAGGGGTGACAAGTCTGATCTGGGTTTTAACAAGGTCTCCCTGGATGCTGTGCATAGAATGAACTGCAAAGGGCAAAGAGTGGAGGCAGGGGACCAGTTAGGATGATGGGCTAGTAATCCAGGAGACCAGTTAAGGACCTGATTTCAAAAATTACTACAAAGCAACAGTAATAAAGACAGTATGGTTCCAACATAAGGATAGACATATAGATCAATGGAATAGAATTCAAAGTACAGAAACAAACCCTTTCATTTACAACCAACTGATTTTAGACAAAGGTGTCAAGACAAGTCAATAGGAAAAGAATAGTCTTTTTAACAAATGGTGCTGAGATAACTGGCTGTCCACATGCAAAAGAACAAATTTGAATCCCTATCTTACATCAAATGTAATAATAAATTTAAAGTGGATCAGAAACCTAAAATAATAGAACTTTTAGAAGATAACATAGGCCTTAGGTTATGCAAAGATTTCATAGATATGATCACAGAAGCACAGTCCATAAAAGAAAAAAATTAACAATTTGGACCTCATCAAAATTTTAAAAAATTGTGCTTCAAGAGAGATCCTGAAGGAAATGAAAAGACAGTACACACGCTTGGAGAAAATATTTTAGAATCATATATCCAGTAAGGGAATTGTATCCAGAATATATAAAGAACTCTAACTCAACAATAAAAGGCAACTCAATTTACAAATGGGCAAAGGATTCACTATACATTTCTCCAATGAAGAAAGCTATACAAGGCTCAAGCCTGTAATCCCAGCACTTTGAGAGGCTGAGGCGGGTGGATCACGAGGTCAGGAGTTCAAGACCTGCCTGGCCAACATGGTGAAACCCCGTCTCTACTAAAAATTTGAAAATTAGCTGGGCATGGTGGCAAGCGCCTGTAGTCCCGGCTACTTGGGAGGCTGAGGCAGGAGAATAGCTTGAGCCCAGGAGTCGGAGGTTGTAGTGAGCCAAGATTGCACCACTGCACTCCAGCCTGGGTGACACGGTGAGACTCTGTCTCAAAAAAAACAAAAAGAAAAGAAAAGAAATTTCTACAAACGGCCAAAAAGCACCTGAAAAAATGCTCAACATCATTAGTCACTAGGGAACTGCAAATCAAAACTTCAATGAGATACTACTTCATACACACTAGGATGGCTATAATCATACAATCACAACTACTGGAGTGAATGTGGAGAAAGTGGAACCCTCATACATTGCTAGTGGGAATGTAAAATGGTGCAGCTGCTTTGGAAAACATTTTGGAAGCTCCTCAAAATGTTATGCATCAAACTATCATATGATCCAATAATTCTACTCTTAGATATTTCTTCAAGAACAATAAAAACATACTTCTATAAAGACTTATACACTGATGTTTATAGCAATTGTTTATAATTGCCAAAAAGTGGACATAACTCAAATGTTCATAATTGCTGAACAAATAAATAAATTGTGGTATAACCATGCAATGGAATACTATTTGGCAATAGAAAGGAACGAAGTAATGATACATGCTACAACATGGACGAACCTCAAATATATTAGTCAAGTAAAAGAAGCCAGAAACACAATATGATTTCATTCATTGAAAATGTCCAAAATAAAGAAAATCTATAGACATAGAAATTACACTAATAGTTGACTTGGGCTAGAAGTAGAAAGTAGGAATGCAAATGTGCAGTCTGGGTCTTACTGGAGTGATGGAAGTATTCTAAAACCGAATTGTGGTGCTAGTTGCACAACTCTGTAAATATGCTAACAAAATTTATTTAATTGTACACTTAATGGCAATTGGTGAATTTTACAATATGCATAAAATAAATAGTAAAGCTTTTTTTTTTTTAAAGAACAGATCAGAAATGAAAGGAAGTGATGAGGGGAACTAACAATAGGAAGCAGCATCAGCAGAACTTGGGAACCTAAAGGATTTGAGGGTGGGTGGCCAAAAGGATTCTAGGCTTACAAGTAAGAACAATGGAGATTGCTAACCTCAACTGAGTAACAATTATGTGCCAGATGCTATTATGTGCCTACTGTGAATCATTGTGTAGTCTTCATTTTAAAAGCTTTATTAGGTTGGGATAATTATTTTCTATGTTTTATGTAGTAGAAAACCCTAATGGGGGCACAGAGAGGTTAAGAAATTTTCTGAAGGGCACACAGTAGAAGCCATTTCTAGAGCTAGTGGGACAAGAGGAGGGATGGATTTCATAGGCTGCCCTGGAAATTCTTTCTAATGTTAGACAATCCTCTACTCCCTGACATTCTCATAGCCCATCTTGATCTGCCTGAGAGAAAATGTTCACATTGCTTCTTTTCTAGCAATAGACTCTGGCTAGGGCGAGTTGATTCCAGCTTTGCCATTGCATTCTGTGTGGATGTCCATTGATAGATTATTTCTGTCTGAGATCATCAGAAATGACAAATGTTAGGTCAAGGACACTAGCCAGAGAGATATTAAGAGCAGGTAGAGCTCATTCACCGGCGAGAAGATATTTAAAAAGCATTAACAGCTTCCTTCTGACAAGTAGCCAGAAATAGCCACAAAAAAGTCATTGGGTGGAAACTGGCCTCCTCTGAGCAGGAACCAAAAAGGTGTCTAATAGCAGTTCCATGCTAAGAAGTTTATCCTAAGAAACTGGAGGGGTTTTTTAAATCTTCATTCGAATGAGGGTACTGTTTTGCTTGGAAGATGACATTGGAAAGTAGCATGTGTTTGCTGTGCTTCTTCAGCAAGAATTTTACTTGTTCAAGAAAAGCACAGGTGAGCAGTACATACATGCTCAACTCAGCTAGCTGGATGTGAGGAATCCCACTCCACTGGCTTCAGCTGGCCTGGGCAGCCACAGCTTTCTTGGGGACAGTGGCCTGGCATTGTTCCCTGGAGGACTTTTTTGCACTTGAGGTGCTTTTGCTGCCAGGACTACTCTCTGTGTAGCTTTGGGCAAGCTCTATCACCCCTCTGGGAAAAAAATGAGAACACTAGAACAGGTGGCTTCCAAGGTCTCTTCTATCTTTAAAGTCCTTCTCTTCTACTTGAGTCTATGAAACAGCCCAGCCTGGTAGTTTCCTGTCTGCTATCACATATTACAAATGGGGTGACTTAACAGAAATATATTCTCTTACAGTTGTAGAGGACAGAAATAAAAATTTTGGCTGGATTGATTTCATCTGGAAGTTCTGAGAGAGCATCTGTTCCATACCGTTCTCCTAACTTCTGGTGGCTGCTGGTAACCCTTGGAGTTCCTGGGCTTATAGACACATCACCCTAATCCCTGTCTCTGTCTTCACTTGGCTTTCTCGTGGTCTTCCCCTTCATGCCACACAATATCCTCTCCTTTCTCTTCTGGGGACATCGGTCATTGGATTTAGGACCGCCTTAAATCCAGGATGATCTCATCAAGAACTTTACACCTGCAAAGACCCTATTTTCAAATACTATGGGTTAGGACTGGGGTATATCTTTTTTTGGGGGCACAGTCAACTTATTAACAAATAGCTAATATTTAGTGAGATGTCATATGTGACCAGCTTGTTTCTAAGTGCTTCATGTGCCTTATCATGCTTAACCCACACAACAGCCCGATGTGATAGAAGCTTGTATTGTATGCATTTTACCAATGAGGAAAGTGAGAGGTTGACTAACTGGCCCACATTACCCAGGTATTAAACCAGGAGGCAGAAGGCCTCTAGTACACACTCAAACAAGGATTCCATGCTGCCTCCCATACAAATACAACCATACAAAGTGCCAACCTTATGCAGATTATAGGTACTATCATATTTCAATCATTAATTCATTAACAAACAGCACAGTAGGCACTCAACACAGCTTTTTGAATGAATAAATGCTTGAAATGTCTCAGGTTCCATACTGGTCACTGGACTATAGATGTCAACATGATTCTACTATGCTTTTCTTGCTAAAATTAGCAATGACTCTTCTCTATATTAGACCTAATTTGGGCTTTGATTAAAACTAGCAATAAGGCAGAGAAATTCAAGACACTAAGGATCAGAGATATGAAACAAGACTGAGAGTTATTCCTTATCCATTTTTCCTCTGTTAATAAAACAACATCAGAAACACAAATAAGTGAAAACATTACATGACTTTCACATATTGCCACATGGATTCCAGCCATCTGCTTGTGAAATCTCTCTTTCATTTTCATACACTCTCTTTTGCTCTCTCTTTCTCATACTAAGAGGATCTCCTCAACTTAATTTTTTTGGTGTATGGGGAAGTCACTAGTATTCAACCCACAAGAAGGAGTCAACCACAAGGAATACGTGTGCATGGAAGTGGTGGTGCTGCTGCTGTAGACCTTTTTTATAATCTCTTCGAGGCAGACTGAGTGGCAACTATGATATCCTTAGTTCACTTAAGGCAGAGTTTATAGCTGGGTCCCTCTTGTTCTTTAGTAGTAGCATTTAAAAGCAAGCTAACATAATTTCTAAACACAGATTTCTCCCAGTAACTTCTTAGGCTTATATGTCCCATTTACTGGAATATGCAAAGTTTATATTTCTAAGTAAGGCTCATGCAGATCTTGGTGTGACTTTCTTGAGAGTAACAATCATAAAGAAATGTTTCTATCTTTTTCTTAAAGGAAAGAAGGAACAAACCCTTCTGATGTACAGCAAATTTCTGGAGCTTTAAGCTTTCAAAGAGGAATATGGCTCAGGCTGTCCTGCAACAATGCTTCTTGCTTCTCAGTATAGTGGGCCTTCAGCAAACCCAGGAGTGGGAGCTTCAAAGAGCTGGAGGGAATTATACAGTGAGCAAAGGTCAGGCTCAAAGCCCGCATTCACGGAATAATACATAGAATATTTGGGATGAAGTGGAGAATTTGTTTAGGGAACTGTGTATTTTAAGCCTGGAGAAGGAGGTTTGTAGAAGGCTCTGAAAGCCAGGCTCTGATGTGGGAGCTATTTACAAAATGTGGGATTTGCGACACCTGAAGTAGCAATGCTTTAGTATATGAGGCCTTAGGGAATAAAATAAACTTTCGTCACCAATGATCAGTGGTTTTTAAATCTAGAATTTGGGGGTTAGCATTTGAACTCTTTTCCTCAAATGAAATTTTATCCATATAAACTCCAAATTACAAAATATGAAAACTGGCTTGAAGACTAACCAAAGCCCCTTGGCCTCTTCTTAAAGCATTTCTCCCTGTCCCATCCCATACCGTACCCTAGAATTTCTCAGAACATGGATTGAATCCTTTCACCTTTGCCCCATGGAACAGAGCTTTACAAACATGGCACTTGTCCCATTATAGTATATGCAGTAATTTAGTACAGGTACAGATAAATATTTATACTAAATTTTAATATTCATGTATTTATTTTAATGTGTACTAATCTATCAAGGCCATGATTTAGTGGATATGGTGGTTTAAAATGAAGTTAAACATAAAAGGGGATTTAATTTAAAATTAATTTGAAAAAATGCTAATAAGTAATGGTGCAGATAAAGTTTTTAAAAGACTTTAATATATTAGCTGTTTCTCAGTTATTCAAAGTAATAGATGGTTAGGTTAGCACAGAAAAAGGGGAGTCTGAAGATAAAATCCATCCATAGTAGCTTTAGTTTCTTCACTTTTTGCCAAAGCTAATAGCAAATAATAATAATAATAATAATAATAATAATGATGATGAGGAGGACTACATTTATTTCACTCTCTTTTCCTGTTTCCTTTTTAATGGAACTAGAAATAGTTGAACAGAAGATGACTCCGCAGGGGAAACAATAACTCTCGTTATTCTGCAGGTCAGAAAAAGCAGGCCTGGTTAATTGGGTAGTAGCTGGAGAAAACTGGATTGTTACTTTGAATACAAAACATATTCTGCCTCCAACCCCAATCATACCCCCTCCTGCATTTTAGATGCATTCCAGAAAAGTCGTGGGTAATGAAAATAGCTGCTATTGAGTCATTATTCACTGACTTGCTTCCACTAGCTGAGAAGTTTTCCCAGAGGAGAAAAAAATGATCTCAAACTATGATTAAAACTTATACTTTAAGAATCTTAATAATCATATAAAAAGTTTTCTGTATGTCTCAAAGCATCAGCATTTAGCTGCCACACAGACCAGCAAGTGAACAATGAATCCATATGATAACTTTATATGCAATTATTATGTTTCCTTATACACAAATCTGATAAACACCTCCCCTTGGCTGGACTGATTGTATCGCTTGGTATTTCGCCCAAATTTCTCCCACGCATTTATGCCCTTTAAGTCTTCCTGAAAGTGGTAATGGGGGCTTCCCAGGCTCAAATCTTCTTAAACACATCAGTTTTCCTCAAAATATGGCTGCCAATGTCAAGTGAAATAGCAAGTTTCTTTGCTTTAGGCAGGAATTTTAGAAACTCAGTATGACAGCAATACTTATCTCTTGTAATCAGAAGCTCTATTTTTCAATAGCAAATAATGGAAATACAAGTTAATTGCTATGTAATAAATACAGTATGATAGACAAAAATCTTTCAAAATGCGGATCCCAGGGTGAAATTAATAAAAGATATCCATGTACATTAAAAATGCATATAAAAGTGAATTTTATTGGTGGGGGGTAGAGTATTGATAGTGTTACATCTTTACTCACTCAACCCACCAAAGAATGGTCTATTCAGCTTCTAATGGGTGCTGGGTATTGTACAAGGTACTGGGGAAATAGAGACAAATAAGACTTGAGTTCTGTCCTAAAGGAATTGCCAGCCTAAAAGGGAAAATATTATAATATATAATTATATATGTAACCTACATAACTTCACAGATATGTATGTATGTGTATATATTTTTCAATCCATTGAATATGTCGAGTCTAATGCAATGAAAGAGAAAAATGAAAACAATTTAAAGAATTTTTCAAGATGAGACTGAGTTTGAGTTTTTCATGGCTTTAAAAATTTCTGATGACTTTTACTCTTGCTGCTATCTTTAACCCACATGGGCAAAAATGAGAGCTACAAATTGAGTCAGCCAACCTGTATATGTGTAGTCATTGACCTAAGGATTGCTCTGTCATTTCTCAAAGTTTGCCCTGAAGATCATCATTCCTTGAGATATTTCTCCAAAAATCAGAGGAGAGTGTCATGGTCAACAATTTGAGAATCACGGAGTACTTCCTACCCTAGAGATTCATGACAAACCCTCGCATAAGAGCTGTACGAAATATTGTATCAAATAACCCAGTTTAACTTAGAGAAATCAGTCTTTCCCAATCTTACTTGATCATGGATGGCATTTTTATCTATTGACATCCCATGGAAATAATACTCACAGAATGTTCTTTTGGAAATGCTGCAGTAATAAATGACAAACAGGTATCAATTGTTCTTAAAAGAATATCTGTAGACTACTTGTACTATTTTCCCCAGTGACATTTTACAGAGATTAAACTTTGTTGCCCTGTTCTACATATTTCCAGAATCTAATGTTTACACGTTGTAGCAAATTGTACAAATTGAAACTCAAAATAAATAGGCATATAAGAAGAAACAACCTGTAACATGAAAAGTCATGACCAAATGCAAAAGAAGAAAAAAAAAAACCTATTTTCTACTCAGTGGACAAACTGCTGTTAAACAACTTTTATAAATTGCTTGATTTTCCATATTTTTTCTTCTTGACATAAATATGATTCAAGTGTTTGAATCAACTCTTATGTGACCACTTTGTTAGCTTCAACTGGTAGATTACTCCTTCAGTAAAGGCTAAAATAATTTAGCAGAAAACATAACCAACTATAGAGAGATTTTTTTTGTTTTAAAGAAAGTGTGTACATAGAGCCATGATAAGCTCATTAGCTTGACAGAATATATTCATAAGATCAATGTAGTCAGTCAAAATAATTTTATTTTTACTATGTCCGTTCCACAGAGGATGACCATCCCTTTGACGCTTGTTCTTTGAGAAGGCCTTCTGTAGCATCAAAAATCACTTGAAAATATTCGTCATGGTCCATTGTTCTTCCCATTCATCCTTTTGAAGATGCTAAAGTGTCTTAGAATCCTATCTTTCTTGTTCCTGGACCACGGTAATTTTAGCTAAATTTTAGGAAGTAATATGGTTGAAATATGTCCCCGAAAGTTCATGTGTTGGAAATTTAACCAATCCCTAATGCAGCAGTGTTGAGAGGGTGCAGCTCTTAAACAAGGTAACCCAGGTAATGCATTTATAAGTGTCTGACCCAGAGTAAGTGTTCCTAAGTGTTGTTTTTTATCCCATAATTATGCATTATTTGTTATCATATATTATATGACTTGCCAGTAATTTTAAATTCAATCTCTCCTTCACTTCTCACAATAACACTATTGGCTAGATATTATTATTCTGCTCATTTTACAGATGAGGAAACTGAAATCTAATGACACTAAACAACTTGAAGCAAAAACCAACCAGATACAGATTCTAGAGATTATTTTAAGTAAAATCAAAGCTAATTTAAATATTTATCTTCCTTTAATTTATTAAACTTCAACTATTATAATCTCTCTTAAGCCAAGAGAGACTCAATAACTCATTCATGGTCATATAAAGTCCATGGTGGAGCCTGATGTGATGGTTGATTTTATGTGCGAATTGGCTAGTTTCTAATGTCTAGTAATTCAATCAAACCCTAATCCAGGTATATGTTCAAAAGTATTTTGTAGATGTGATTCAGTTCCTAATCAGTTGACTTTAAGAAAGATTATCCTAGATAATGAGAGGTGGAGGGGTGGTGGGGGCGGGTAGTATTAAATCAGTTGAAAGGCCTTAAGAGCAGAGCTGAGGCTTTCCTGAGGAACAGGAAATTCCACCTGTGGACTGCAATGTCAGCTCACACCTGAAAGTTCCAGCTCGCTCATCTCCATTGGCCTGCCAAATAATTTTCAGATTGCTAAGCCATCCCCAACAATCACATAAACCAATTCCTTGCAATAATTCTCCTAATATATGTCTCCTACCGGTTTTGTTTCTCTGGTTGAACCTTGACTGACACACCTGAGTTCAAACACAAATCTCCATGTCCAGAGACAGAGGCCAGCTCTGATCTTCTGGCATCATGGCAACCATCAATGTTCAACTCATCAAGGTCAATTGGTTCAATTGACTTTGTCAGGTCCCCATTAACTTAATTAGGAAGCTTTAACCATATGCACCATAAATAAGCAATATGGATGTTCGTATATTTATGTAACACTACTTCTACTATTTCTAAGACAATAATAGTAATATTAATAGTCATTAACATTTACTAAGGAATTACCATGTTGCAGCAAAGGACCAAGATCTTTAAAATCGTTATCTTATTTCATGGATAGAAGCTATAAAGCGGTAGGATCCTTCTCAATACAAGGAAGATTTTCTAAGCACAAGAGCAGTCTAAAGATAGACTAGGCTGATCCAAGAGATGGAAAGCTCTCCATCTGTCATGGAATGCAAGCCCAAGTTCAAGTCACTTGACAGGGAAGTTAGAGAAAAAATTCAGCATTGGATGTTAGCTGAAGTTGACAAACCATAAACTCCCTTATTCCAAAACTATGTCCTCTGGCAATTTACATATTTAATCTCCATCATATTTTTAAACTGTTGATAAAACTGTCCTTAAATGACTGAGTAAGTGTATGCTTGGACTGTTTGTAAAATTGGAAATAAATCAATGAACCTTATCTTTCCTTTTATAGCCTCCCATGAGGGTATAAAGATCTATAAACAGGCACACAATACATGCAAGTTAAATCAGGGTCAGTTCTTAATTATCCACATTGATAACTGAAGCAAACGGATAGATAATCCAAAATATAAGGGACAGCATGTTTTGCCTCTGGTCTTTAAATTCTGTGTCCCCACCTTTCTATGATCAGGAAGAAGTAGCTCTTGGCTTAAAAAGTATTCACTTCCTAGATAGAATTCCGGTTCTCCCTTTCACTTTTAATATCTATGTTAATTTTTTAGAATTATTAATTAAACTGAGTCCATTAAAATTAGCATCATTTTTTTAACAAAAATTTCCCCTGGGCTCTCTAAAATTCAGATCATCCAACAAAAAAACTGAGGGGGAAAATGGCAAACTTATTGCACACAAATGTATCCATAGGACATGGAGCAACAAACCTAAATTGTGAAGTGTCAGCAGATGAAAAGTACTTTGCTTCTTAAAGGAAACTCACACTGATCTGATCCTAACCACAGAGGAAGTCTCCTTGTCTCATCTTGACACTAAAACTACCCAGTTACTCTGTCGATAGGGTTGGGCACAGGCCAGTTAGTCTAGATAATCTAAAGCCGAAAGAGGGTGAAAGTACAGTGATGTTTGTCAAATGCTTCCAAGAATTTAAGAGAACTAGAGATAAGGTATGAATCATTCACTTTCTAAGCCACAGTCCATGGCTCGGCAAAGTAAATAAAAGTTTCAAATTCATTTTCATTTTGTTTAAATAAAAAATTAAAATACCATAAACTAATTTAAGACAGAATGAAATGCTGTGTCCATGAGAGGCTGCTGGATTAGAAAGTAGAACAATCTGGGTTCTAGATTCAGGTCTGTCAATAATTACCTAAGAGACGGCAGGCAAATTATGGAACTTCTCTGGGCCTCAGTGTTCTTAACATAGTAGCAGCTACTACTTCATGAAAGCTTTCTTCCATGTATTTTGGTTGTTTTTCTAAAAGCACTTTGCATTTTAGTTCAGAGAATCCTTCCAACAACCTTATAAACTAAGTACCATTAGTAAACCCACTTTACAGAGGACAAAAGTGAGGCACAGAAAGTAGCTTGCCCAGCAGGGGTCATGTTAATGGGATCAAATGGAATTCCAACCCACATTTAACCACCTGCTACACTGCCTCTCAGCTGGAAAACATGAGAGATGAACTGGGTGCCCTCTCAGGACACCTCTCAGGACCCTTTAGCTCCTTTTTTTCTGTGATTCTACAATATAGCAAAATATCTATTAAGCAGATATTTTTAAAGGGCTAGCCTCAGAAGGAAATTCCATTTGAATACATTCATCCTTTAAGATGTGTATCAACTGTCATCTCTTTTGTGCCCTAGGCAAAGATGCCATCGTATCCTAAATGAGGTGAGTATGGTTTAAATTCTTCTCTCGGCACTCACCATACTGTCTTTATCCAATCTTTCTTATCTAGTTGATTGCCAACTTTCCTACGTCAGGACCATGGTTTGTTCATCTCTGTGTGACCCAAGAAGCTGTAACATGATAGGTAATCAATAAATACTGTATTTGTTTATAAGAGGACAGAAAACTCAAGGTTCTGAGGGTAGGGTCTGTTTGGCATGATGAGAAACAGCAAGAAGGCCCAGACAGTCCTCACCTTATGATGGTTCCACTTATGATTTTTTGACTTTACAATGGTGTGAAAGCAATACATATTTAGCATGCTCCTCAATTTCTGATAGGGTTATATACAGATAAACTCTCATAAGTTGAAAATATTATAAATTGAAAGTGTATTTTTGGCTTACAGTGTACTCAACTTATGATGGGTTTTCCGGATGTAACTCCACAGTAAGTTAAGGAGCATCTGTACTGTGTTTAATATAGCATGTAAGCTGCACAGAAGGTAAGACACTTCCTAATGATGACAAAGTTTTTGAGAAAGAATGTTTAAGAATAAGGTATTAGGATAACCTAGCTCCCTGTCTGACTTTGGTTTTTGTTGCTGTAACAGAATCCACAGACTGGGTAATTAATAAAGAAAAGACTTTTATTCAGCTCACAATTCTGGAGGTTGGGAAGTCCAAGGACATGGTGCCAGCACCTGGTGAGAGTCATCCCATGGCGGAAGATGGAAGGGCAAGAGGGACAGGAGAGCAAGTGTGAGAGAGCTCGCTTTTAGAACAAAGCCACTCCCAGGATAAGAGACCCACTCTCATGATAACAGCATTAATCCATTGGTGAGGGTACAGCCCCTGTGACCTAATTACCTCTTAAAGGTCTCACCCTGTCAACATGGCTACACTGGGAATTGATTAAATTTCCAATACATGAACATTGGGGAATATATTTAAACCATATCACTTCCTTGCCCTGCCACACATGAACTCACCCCATCTTATACCTCCAAACTGTCTTCTCTTGATTTTAACCTTATTATCTCCTGCCACAGTCCCCTGGAGCCACGTGGACCTTCTGGATGTTTCTTGTCATGCCAAGCAGACCCCACTTTCAGAAACCTGAGTTTTCTGCCCTCTTGCCTGAAATGTCCTTCAGATCCACATGACTCATTTTCACACTTGCTTTAGATCCCTGCTAAAATGCCTGTGAATGAGAGAGCCCTTCACTGACCTACAGTAAGAATCAACACCCTCCACTCCCAGATTCCTCCTCCTGCTACCACCTCTTCTTGTCAATGACACTTGCTACCACCTGGAATAGGACAAATACGTTTGAATAGAGCCAATTTTTCATCCATTCAAACGACAGTGCCATAAAGTTAGAATCTTTCATCAATTCATCTCCTGCCATCTCCTCACTGCCTACAGCAGTGCCTAGTGCAGTGCAGCCAATCAAAAACTGTGTAGGCAAATGAATGAATAAAGGAAAAAACTTATTGTCATACAAATATAGAAAATGCTTTTTAAGGGGTTTGTTATGACAACAATAAATTTAAATGTGACACATTAGTTTAACAACCCAAAGTCCATCTCTGGTCAGCTTTCTGTCCCAAGGTCTGTTATATTTGAAACTACCAAGATAATGTGAAGTTCATGTCTTTGCTGTACTATCTGGGTATCTGTGTTCTATTACTAAGAGGGAGAATGGGTAACTGGAGTGTGTTGGATGCAGGGAGATTTGTGGGCACCTGGGTACAGGGAAAATCACCTTAGTTTGGCAACTAGATAGTTGTGTTATTAAACATTTGCTTCTCTCTGCACTTATCAAAGTCATGAATCCTGTCTCGTTCACCTGTGCCTCCAGGGCTGGGACCTGGAAGGCAGAAACATGCTTGTTGAGTGAATGAAGTCAGCACTAAACTCAGGCTTCTCTCTAGCCCCAGTTCAAGTTACCCTTAACTGGGCTATGGTAAATCTATAGTATCAAGTTCAGATGCCCTGTGAGATTCTCCTTCCAGAACCATGTTCACAGATTGTACCTTCTGAGCCATGTCAATACTTTTCAGGTACCCTCATCTCATTGATTAGCAAGCCCAAATTACAGTGAGCAGATATTGTATCCAAATCTGAATCCAAACCCTATGCAAACTTTGGCATTTACTCAAGACTCAATAAATGTTAAATAAATGAGTAATTAAACAATTCCGAAAGAAGTTTTCACAAGAGGAGGAAGAGTGCTTAGGAGGTACTCCCCAGTGCACATACACATTATTCTAGTCATTTAGTTAACTGATAGGCATTAGAATTTTTATTTTAGAAGCATAGGAAGGTTAAGTCCAGACATAAAAAATGATTTGCAGATGGAGATACCATGTCATTGGTAGAAACAGGAAAAGTCTGAGATCTATTTACTCTGTGTCCGAAACTAGTAACTCCAATTTTAATAAGGACTTATCCACTTCTCTCTTTTGCAACTGCTTGTCCACATATAGAAGCAGCAGAACAGTTCTCTTGGATAAATATATTAAAGCTAGCCCCACCTATTCACTGACATGAAACTGAGTTATTAATCATGCTAAGCCATTAGTATATAAAATATCTAAATAGCTGTCTACCTCTTGTGTGCATACACAAGTTCACACACACACACACACACGCACACACACGCACATATATACATCTGGAGAGAGAGAAAGACAGAGAGAGAGAGAGATTGAATATGCCAATAGACAATGGCCAGACCATACATAAAAGTAGAACTCTGACCTACAGCATGCAGCCACCTGTCCAGGAAACCAACCCCTTATCTGCAATAAACAACCCAGGAAGACAACCTGCCATAAATCAGACTTGCAGGAAGCCGGATCCCGCTATCTCTAGTAACAATCCAGGAAGCTAAACAATAGCTTCTGTAACAATCAGCCCAAATTGGCCAGACTTTAATTAATAACTGACAGCTTCCTCAATCTTTGTTCCCACTTTCTACTTAGAACCGACCAGAGGATGCCAAATACGTACCACTAACCAATCACATTGCATGCCTGCTCCTACTTAGCCCCTCTAAAGAGTCCCCAGATCAAAGACCTCTCTCAGGGACACACCTGAAGCCTTCCCTTTTTCCCACTATGAAGTTTTCCCACTCCTCTGCCTGCCTTTGAGTCTCTACCAAAAGCAAGTGACAGTGGCTGACTCCCTTGCTACAGCAAGCTCTAAATAAATAGCCATTGCTTGTTCTCATTTGGTTGGTCTTCATTTATGTGCATGTATATATATATTTATGTGTATATATATATATATTATGTATATATATGTATACATAATGTATAAATATACATTATATGTATATATCATATATTTATGATATTAGTACATAAAATATCCATTATATACTTATATATAATTTTTATGTGCATGTAACCACTGAATTGTTTAACGTTTTCTTTAAATATACATTTCATATAAAATTTTTATTTTAACATTAATTATAATACTTTTATCTTAAACAGAAAAATAGTAATTTCCTAATAAGTACTAAAGTAAGTACCTATTAAATCTATTTACTCAATTGCCACCTAAAAACATGTCACATGCTACTAACAATGCATGTAGCTTAGTTAAGGCAAATGCTCAGTTTACAGTAAAAACCTGTTCCTGAATTCAGCTTCATCCCCTCACCTGCTGTGTGGCATAAGACAAATGATCTAACGTTTCTGAGTCTTGGGTTCTTACCTCTGAATACCAATGATAAATCCAAACTTGTAGAATTACAGTGCAGATGAAATTCAATGGTATTTATGCATGCACCAGATCCAGGCAGGTGCTCTATCCTCAATAAATACATTTATATTTTAGTACATGCAAAATAACAGGAGGCAAGGAATATGAGAAGAAAACTGCAGCGCCAGAATCAGGTTCCTTGAATTTGTTCAAACCCAAATGAGTATGTGGAGTTCACCATTGGCCAACTACACAACAGCCAGAAAACGTTCATGTGCGTTAAGTAAAATGCTGACAACGAAAAGCTGTTTAAGCCACCTTAGCCGAATCACAATATATTATTTATAAGGAAGACTTTAAAGGGGAGGGAGGACCAGCCTGTGGCCATTTCCAATCAAACAGAATCATTACCAATAACATGTTTTCAATGGCTGCATAGGGGGTTTTTGAACGTTGGTTAGAATTAAAGCTCAGAAAGAGAAAAATATTCAGCAGATGACAAAACAGTCCCAAATCTATTTTCACACATTTTCCAGAAAAGACTGGGTCTCTTTCAAAAGCTTTAAATAGACACTAACAGTAAGAAATCTGAAACGCAAAAAATTACATATGTACATTATGTGTGTGTGTGTATAATTATTTCTTAACAATGTTCACATTAACATGGGTCGGTTTGCTTTAGAAAAATGGTATAATTAAGGTGGCTTGATGGTAAGTTAGTTCCTAAATAACTGCACGGATTAAGAAATTGATGAAATGCATTTAAAAGATGGGTGAGAGAGATCAGTTTCCTCTCAGGGTGGCTTAGAAGTAGAACTAGTAAGTTCGGTAGAGGCTGCCAGGGGCACGATTCCTGATTCATCAACTCAAAGAGCATGCAAAATCCCAGGACATTAGAAGATGGATCAGAAAGTGTAGTGTTCTTAGGTTTTTCTCCTAGGAGAAGAGCAGGGGAGGTTCTTTTCTGCAGAAAGGAAGAAACAACCTCAGCAATTTCCAAACGAAAAGGCTGGTGTCCCAGGGATGATAAAAAGCAGAGGTTGTGTGTCTGTCAAGCCCACATGCAGGTCTAGGTGCACTCTGCACCCTGCTCCAGGAACTGGGAAGACTCGAGCATGGGGAATGCAGTTGAAACGCATCTCTGAACCCCGCTCCAGGAACTGGGAAGACTCGAGCATGGGGAATGCAGTTGAAACGCATCTCTGAACCCCTTTTTGAGGTATTTCTTACCTGGCTTTTCCCCTTCTGTCTCCTGAATGATTCTTCAAGCACAAGAGATGACATTTTGCTTTGAAGAGAGGTACTTTATAGCTACTTCTGAAATATTCGTTTTGCCTTATCAATAGCCAGTGTTTATTTTCTTATATCTCCCGAAAGCTAATTTTTATCTAGCATCCCACTCTTTCTGTCCTACCATTAAAACCTCTAATTTCTGAAGTTTGATTAAGTCTTCATTTTTCATTTCTTTGTTTTGCTTTTTTAAGATGGAGGCAAGTTCTATTCAGTTAAATGAATTGACATATAATAATGAAATGTTAATGTGGGAAGGAGCATGGGTCATTATCTAGCCCAAGTTTTACAGATAAATAAACTGAAGGAAGCTCAGGAAGGTTTACAGTCTAACCATTCTCAAGGCTCCATGGGAGCAGCCATTTAAAAATGGAGCCAAGGTTTTCCGACTCATCTTACTACAATTTGCTGGAGATCTGAACAAAGATTTACTATGGGGGAACTGGAGGAATTTCTAGAAGTTGCATTTGTTACTTAATTTTGCATATAAAAGTGAGGATGCTTAAAGAAAAAGTAAGGAGGTGGCACAGGGCAGGGTGTGGAAAGAAGGATAAGAAGCATGGTATCAGACAGTTAAAAAAGGGATAAACAATAAAATTTATTTGAAAAGAAAAGCTGTAGAAAAGCTTGGGGAGGGAAGAGTAAATCCTTCATGCAACAAGAAGATCTCTTAAATGAGGAGCTGTCCCTCAAGAGGCTCAAAGATGTCAGCTTGCCCAGAAACTGTGCATTTTAATATATCAGAGTAAAGTGAAAGAAATAGAAATAGAGAGATGAGATAGCTAGATTAGCTAGCTAGATGGATGGATAGATAATTAAACAGTACAGTATAGTATCAAGTATCAGGCAGAGCATTAACATTAACTCCAAATTTTTTTAAGTACTTCAAACCTAGGGAGGCAAAAAGGATTATTTTTTGCTTATATAAACATATTAATTACAGAAATAGTGATTGTATTTACAATTTAAGCTTCATTATCACATGGCACAGAAACTCACACAGTAACTCACACAATGCATCTATTCTTTATATTGGTGTAATTTTTCTAGCCAACTGCAATATGAAAATATTCTGGTACATCAGGCTTGATAGATGATCTAGAGCATCCTCTTTCTGAGGGCAGGATCATATCACGTATATCTTTCTATCCTTCAAGGAGCACAGCAAAGGACTTGTGTGAGATGATGGCACAATAAATGTTGGTTAAAAGGCTAAATAACAGACAGTAATAATCTCACTAAAAATAAAATAGAGCAGTAAAAGTTTCTAAAATGAGGCTCCACAAGACTTTTTGCCCAGGCAGCTTGCATGCAAATAAAGTGCTAAACCCTGTCAAGAAATTAAAGCCACATTTAAAAATCAAATGAGATCCCTTTTTTATTGGAAGGACTTGGGTATAGATCTATGGTCTGCTAATGCATGAAAGACGGTTCATGTCATTACCAGCCAGATCCTGAAAATATGGATGACAAGCTCCTGAATTACACAGAAAAAGGCAAGTCTTTGCCTCGCAGAAAACTTGAGTGCTTCCCTCTTTCTTAATTGTATTGCAGATTATTTCAGACTTCAAAACAAACTTCATCATTTTTCACTTTAAGAACAAAAACACAAACCCTCCAGCCCTTTCTCCTCATGCTGTGAATGACGCTTGTCATTTTAAAAAAGCCTTTATAAGCTCAGCCTTTATTCATCCTATTATTTATCATAAGGCTACACTATTTAAGGGTAACGCACATTTGCTTACAGGGGATCGGCCACAGTAACAGCTGGGCCACGTGAAATTCAGTCGGAAATTCACATTTAAAACTTAGATTTTTCTCTTTGAATGGCAACTGAAAAGAAAAAAAAGTACAAAACACACCGGCTCAGCCAGAGAGCAGGAGAGGGAGGAGGGGAATTAACAAATCTTTGAAAAATAAAGCTGCATAATCTGCTATATTTCAGGCCGCTTTTATCCTCCAAATCCCCCATCTTTGTTTAAGCTACAAACAGACTCTATAAAAATCAGCTCACTGGCCTCTTCCTATTATACACCTCCCTGCACAAATCAAATGAAGCTTTGGCTGAAAAGCTGATAAAGAAAAAATACACCGACACATGAGCAAGCTGATGTATTTTAAAAGTGGTTATCATTTCTGATCCTTTCCTTTCTCTCCAGGGAATAGATCGTCTTTCTAAGGAGCACACAAAACTCTGGCACTGAGCACACTTCACCCCTTGCATTTGTTTTGATTAGGGGTTTTCTAAAATAACGACCGCATGAAGTGTTCCATCATTAGCATTGATTTTTAACACCTTGGGTATGAGTCGTTGTCGTGTAACTGTTTAATATTAGGGCATAACCAAGACCCCCTCCTATTATTTGCTCTCACCATACAGTTTTTCCCTAGGAAACACATTTTTCTCATGCTAAAAACAACAGGCTCTGCATTATCCAGATACTTCAGGTCTGTTCTATTCTATTCTGTTTTCATTTCTGTTGTTTGTAATAAATTCTAGATTCTGGCCTGCAACGTCAGAAAGTAATACATCCTTCTTAGCCCTTTTGTCTTAGCTTTTCTCGTGATTTCTGGCATAATAGGGGGATCTTGAGATTCCCAGAGTCCATCCCTTTTGTAGTTCTGTTCAGCCAGCTGCCAGCCCAAATATGAGTGTCACTTTTACACAATCCCATAGCACCAGGAATTTTGCTTCACGGTCATTATCATAGTTACGACTTTGTATTGTCTGGTCTTTGATTAATGCCTGTCTCACCTGTACACTCTAAATTCCACAGGGCAGATCTTGTTCTTAATCTCTGAATCTTCCATGTGCAGCTCAGTGAGTCAATTAGGCATGATAAAGACTCAAAAACTATATTGCTTACCAGATTACAGATTTTTAAAAAATAATATTACCTAAAATTTGCAGAGTATATGCTACAAACCAAGCACTTCCCATACATCATCTCATTTATTCCTCCCCCAATCTCTATAAGGTGGCAACTAGTGTCTCCATTCTATTTTATCCATGAGAAATGGAGGCTTAGAGAGCTAAAGTCACTTGCCCAGTTAGGAAAGCATGGGACGGAATCAGGTCATAAGCTCACAGACTTGTGCTGAGTTAGGAACACAAGGGCTGACCCAATAGTTTCATCTTCTCTCATAGCTGCTTCCCACACTGGGCCAAGACCATCAGAATAAGACCTATTCATTGTCATGACACCTGGTGCCATTTACCAAGCTCCTATACCCTACTTCTGAGACATTCTGCCTAACACATACAACAATCCTGTTCCATTAAATATTATTCTTATCCCCCTTGACTGTCAAGAATATTGCTACTTAGAGTTCAAGTTACTTCCCCCAGGCATTATGGCAAGGGAAAAACAGAGTTAGGACAAAGCTTTCCCACACTTTCCTCAAGGGACTTACCACTGGAGACAGAAAAAGCAGGAAGAAAACAAATAAACGAACTGCTCTTGACCACCAAAAAGAATCAGACCTAGGGAAAGGATGTACATAGGAGAAAGAAGGAGTCGATGACAATGGTGTGCTGGCTGCACAGGTAGAACTCAGGGAGGTAGTTGTTAGAACTGGAATGGAATGGAATGAAATGGGCTGGAATGGACTGGACTGGAATGAAATGGATTGGATTGGATTGAAATTAAAACAGACAGCCAACTTCCCACTTTGTACAAACTTATTCCGAAATATGGGTTCACTTATTGCTATGAACTGAATTGTGTCCTTCAGAATTCGTATGTTGAAGCTCCAACCCTTGATGTGATGGTATTTGGAAACGGGGCCTTTGGGATGTTAGAAGAGGCCATGTGATGTTAGATGAGTCCCACCTGATGGATCAGTACCCTTATAAGGGACCCAGACAGCATGCACGTGTGTGTGTGCTCTCTTGCGTTCTCCCTCTCTCTCCGCACACATGCACAAAGACACAAAAAAGTCAAGTGAGCAAGCCAAGATGGAAGTCAGAAAGAGAGCCCTCAACAGGAATTGAATTAGCCAGAATTTTGATCTTGACTTTCCAGCCTTCAACACTGAGAAAATAAATGTCTATTGTTTAAGCCACCTAGTATACGAAATTTTATTATGGCGGCCCAAGCTGTCTAAGACACTTGTAATTTCCTGAAAGGTCATAGAGACCTCCTCAGCCTGCTTTAGTCTCCACATCCCTTGGTCTGGCCAAGGCTGTCTTCAGCTGGTAACATTTGGTGAGAATTTTTTCGCTCATCTAGGTCTATGTGCTTCCCTTTTCAAGCAGTAACTACAAAAAAGCAAACGAATGTAAATCCAAAGATATCTGAGGCAAATCCACCACCTTTGAAAAAAACCCATCCAGTTCCTTGTCAGCTGTGGGTGAAATTCTAAGAATGTCCCAACAGGAATTCAGAGGCCTTGCCTTGAAAAGTAGATCCTTTCCCTCAAAGCAGCTTTGTGTAAACAATTTAACCTATCAATCTCAAGTTGCTTAGATTCTAATCTGTTTTATTATGGATTTGAACCTGCTGCACAGAGAAAAGGACAGTCCCCCTCCCTAATGAACTGTTGTTTCAAGACACCCGGCTTTATGATTTTCACACCCCACCCTCAGCCTTGCCTTTTCAAAGGGGCTTGGGACTTGGTTGGAGCTTTCTTTTATTAATGCAAATACAATTATTAGTTATGCATTTCAATACACCCTAAAATGGTAAAGGACAATGCTCCAGCACTCACAATAACAATGCATTCCTTTTCATCCCCTGCAGAGCTCCAAATGTTACTTCATTAGTGTGGATTTGATCACAATGCTCTTTGCCACCATAGCTTCACTTTCGGAGCCCAAGGAAGCTGCAAATGCTATATAATGTATGATTATTAACTTATATCGAACAAATCACAGTGGCTCAGTCTACTGTTTTTCTACTAATTCAATTCCTCATTAATAACCCTGATTATTATGCAAGGATAGAATAGGATTTTATAGTACAGATAGCCTGAAATTGCCATGGCAAACTCATTACCATCCACAGCTATAGTTCTATATAGAACTCAAATTGGAAAACGAGAGAAACTGCCTAATACAGAAAGTTTTATTTTGATGAGAGATAGCTGAGATGATTTCTCATCTGTTTGGACAAACAAACATGTACATCTGAAGGATCGGCTGTTAGGGACCAAGAAGAGGGAAAGAAAATTGTGGGAGGCATTCTTTTCTGAAAAGAGTTTTGGCAACAAAGTGAAGCCAATGTAAGTTAAAAATGAACACTCTACACTTAGAAAACCAAATTATGCAAATCCACCCACTTCCTACCTAGCTACTGTTTCTCTGCATCGGCTGACTCTTTAAGGTCGGGGGAAAGGCATAGGGATGTTCACAACCTGCTGGGCCAGCTGCTGAGGTTACACACTCAAATCACAATTGGGAGAACTAGCCTTGACTGGAACCAGATACACGTTTTTATAAACCACCAGAACAAAAAGAATAAAGCTGTGAAGTAGAACAAGCTCCGCACTCAGGCGCCTTCTTACTTAGGCTAAGTGTTCAGATCAAATAGCAACAAAATCAGGTGAGGCTGCCTACTACCTTGATGAAGCCTACTTTTCTACCTCTAATTATAATGCAAGATAGGAATAAATAAGATCCAACCTAGCCACTCATGATTATAAGGTGAATTGGAGTCATTTAAAATTTAACCCTGGAGAAGATGCTGTGAGCAGGATAATTGGAATAAATTTGAACAGATACCCAATGATTAAGAATTTGGAAAAAAAAAAAAAGTTGGGGGGCTCTTGAGGGCTAGTATCCAGCTGGAATGGTTGTCTTGACCTCTGATTCCTGATTTGGTCTGAAAGTTCTTGACCAAAAAGTGTGCACAAATACAGCCTAGAAACTGGCCTGTGAATCAGGATCTGGCTGCTGACATAGCAGGCAAGGGACTCTGGGTTACAAAACCAAACATCTACAACTTGGGGGTTCATGTCTGTGCCTCAAAGGGAAGCTACAGGGATATCACAAAATAAAGAGAAAGCCTTGGGGAAATAGCAGCCCTGGGTAAAAAGTCTTTGTGTGGCACCAGCGAATTCAGGTTTGCTCCCTTTCCAGCAATCCCCTGATAGGCTGAGCACAGCCTTGTGATACGGCAGGGATGTGGGAGTACCACTTTCTGATGTGACGCCTTTCCCTGTCTCAACGACTGTACACAAACCACCCTAGTCATCAAGGCAATAATTAACTTCATTTTGATGTTGCCTAATTACCATGTTTACTTTTCACACTATCATCACATATTGGCTTATTTTTAAAAATATTGTTATTAGTGGTAACAGATATAATAAATAAAATCTGAATACTTGGGAGAGACGGAGCTGCAGGAGACAATGCCTATTTTTAGAGAGGCAGCCTGACATAGGGAAAAGAGAACAGAGTTTGTATTCAACAATAAAATCTGAGTTCAAATTTTGACTTGGCCATCATTTTCTCATCTGATAAATAAGAATAATGATACTCACCTTTTAAAGTTGTTGGCTGGATTAAATAAGATGCTTTGTGTAATATTCTTAACCTAGTTTGCAGCACATAGCAGGTTCTCCTTAAATGGCAACTGTAGTGACAGTGATGATGGCTAATAAAAAAATGGCTAGTTAAGTCAGTTTTTGGAGCAAGGTGTTTGAAAACCCACTCACTGGGGTAATGCATCCAACAACTATGTATTTAATCCTGTTGATTAAGTAAATGAGCAAATGAGAGAACGAATAAATGAATGAATGAATGGAAATGATTTAAGGAACATGCCAACTTTACTAATCACTAGGAATTTCAGAAGTGGAATCTCTGTTCCCTGGAACGGTGCCTTGGACTCAGAATTTGTTGTCATGAATGAAATGAGACTTCATTAAAACAAAAAAAGGTTCTCCAACAAACATAGTTGCACTGCTGATCCCTATTTCCTGGCTTTCACCTTCCCCCATTTCCCTTCCATCCAGAGTCCTTCCAACCCTCTGAAGCACCCTCTTCCCTTCCTCTGCCCCAGCCCCCTGGCCGAGGCCCTGTCTTGCCCATGATTTCTCACCAAAGATGAGGAAGAGCTGCTGCTGCTTCCCAACTTCTTGTTTTCTTTTTTTTTTTTTTTTTTTTTTGAGATGGAGTTTTGCTCTCGTTGCCCAGGCTGGACTGCAGTGGCACAATCTCGGCTCACTGCAACCTCCGCCTCCTGGGTTCAAGCGATTCTCCTGCCTCAGCCTCCAGAGTAGCTGGGACAACAGGCGCCCACCACCATGCCTGGCTAATTTTTGTATCTTTAGTAAAGATGGGGTTTCACTATGTTGGCCAGGCTGGTCTCGAACTCCTGACCTCAGGTGATCCACCCGCCTCTGCCTCCCAAAGTGCTGGGATTACAGGCATGAGCAACCAGACCTGGCCAGCTGCTTCCCATCTTCTAAGGGCTCGGGTTGTGAAATGCCATCACATGGGTACAAAAGAAAGAAAACAGTCATCATTCCTCCATGACAGTGTTTGACGCTGAGGGTAATGATGAATGATGTACGTAGTGGGGACATCAAATTATGAGTGCCTGTCCACATTGGGGCCTCCTGCCCCTCGCATTTCACATCAGTCTCCCCAATGCTGCCCGCAGTCCCCTGATATGGTGGGAGACAGGAAGGGAGATGGAAGCATCCCAGAGAATCTGTAAGAAGAGAGGCTCAAACCACCTGTCCAAATGAAGAGTTGCTTTCTCCCTGGGGCAGGCTGCGTTCTCCTCCCTTCTGCTTGTCTGTTTTCAAATCAATGACTATATAAATAAATGAGTAAGAAAGAATAAATCTTTCTTAAAGAAAAAAATCCACATTTTAATGTGTAGTTAGTGCCCACTGTGGGAGATGGGGCTTAACTTCTGCCCTCCCATGCAGGTGGCTAGATTTAGTGACTGGCATCCAATGAATAGAGTCAATGAATATTCATTTCAATAAATGGAGAACGGACAGAAAAAAAAACAGCAATTTCTACAGGAGAGAAACCTGGCAAACACTACCTTAACCGAGAGATGAAAGTTAACATCACCAGCGATGGCATGTGGATATCATGTGACAAAAGGGTATCTCACCTCTGGTATATTGTTTCAAAACCTACGACCTCAGTGTAATCACAAGTCTAATCATAAGAAAAACTATGAAAGCTATACCTTCAGATTAGTAAGCACTACAGGATATTTGCCTGAACAGTACTTTTCAAGATGGATGAGATAGTGAAAAATAAAGACTGAGAAACTGTCATAGACCGGAAGTCGCTGTTGGAGATGTCATAGTCAATGCAATGTGGTACCCTGGATGGAAAAACTGGTGAAATCCAAGGAAAGTGTGGAGTTTAATTAATTAAAAAGAGAGAGAAAGACAGAAGAGCAATTATCCAGGGAGCTGGACCTATAGATGCCACAGTGTCTGGGCAGCAGCCTATGTGTACCCAGCAGCACCAGCCATCACTGGCCAGCCCCGCCTGGTGCTTTTCCTCCTACACTCCTTCCCACCTCCGGCTCTCTCATGCTCCTGAAGCTCAGCTCTGGGCAAGAAGGGTCCTCTCTCCACATTCTCTATCTGCCTCCTTTGGATCACAGGCACATGTACCCTGGACTTCAACTCACCTGCTACATTCACCTGCATGCCTTTACTTCTAAACCCTCCTTCACTCCCAGAGGATTACCAAAACAAAGTCAATGAAACGTCTTCCCAAATAGGGAAATTAGACTCAACACACAACACTCCTGAGTTTCTGTCCCCAAAAAGCAAGAATCCAATCTTTACATTGTCTATTTGCCTGTATTTTTAAAAAGGCTGTTTCCGCCTCCAACTTAGACTCTTTTGTCTAATACCTAATCTAATGTAACATTTCGGGAGCACTTTGAATTACGCAAATGTGACACTGAACAGGAGGGGATGTTAATGGCTTTACTAGAAAACAATGGAGAAACATATTAAATTTAGTACAGGAAATCCAGGGTTCAAACCCTGCCCTTGCCACACAAGTGGTTGTGTGGGCAAGTCGCAGAATCTTCTTGAACACAAGATATCAAACTGTGCAGGTTTGGAAATATAATCTATATCATACCTTCAAATTCTTGGGTGTTGACAGTCTATTTTTCAATTTATTTAAAAATAAATCTAGAATTTGACTTCTTTTGTTTATAGGAGGTAACATAAAATGTGACAGAAAT
This sequence comes from Homo sapiens, assembly GCF_000001405.40. Classification (NCBI taxonomy): domain Eukaryota; kingdom Metazoa; phylum Chordata; class Mammalia; order Primates; family Hominidae; genus Homo; species Homo sapiens. The sequence continues at coordinate 16,736,795 of NC_000004.12, forward strand.
TCATATCAACAGGGACCTCTTCATAAAAAGATTTAATACCAAACATTTAAATTAATAATGTTTTTAAAACCCGAACCAGAAACACAAAAATTGTTAAGTGTCTTCCCTGAGGTATTAGTTCTGATTAAATCCCCCAAAATCAAAATAACAAAAAAACTATTCATAAATTTATGCCTGGAGTTAGTTTTAAACATAAATGTTAAAAAGACATAGATATTTTGTATAAGTAAGTAAACAGTGAGTGAGACCAGAAAGTTAAAATGTATTTTTTTTGTAACAATAACTGCTGCTGCTAAGAGTAAAGTGGACTTTCTTATGTATTGCTGGTAGGAGTTTAAATTGATACCAATTTTAAGAATCAAAATTTGACCATGTCTATTAAAAATCTTTAAATGTAAAACCTATATTTTATTTATTTTTCTTCACTTATTTAATTTTATTTATTTATTTTTGAGACAGGATCTGGCTCTATCGCCCGGGCTGAAGTGCCGTGGTGTGATCATAGCTCACTGCAGCCTCAAGCTCCTGGGCTCAAGCAATCCTCCCACCTCAGCTTCCTGAGTAGCTGAGGCTATAGGCATCAGCCCCCACTCCTGTCTTAAAACAGTAATTTAAATTTTTATTTTAATTTAGCATTTTTTCTTTTGTGAATTTATTCTAATAAAGAAAATTCGATGTGTACACAAAAAATTAATGACAGGATGTTCATTAAGGCAAAATTAACTATAGTATAAAAAACTAAGGCAAATAATATTCAATGACAGGAAGTACGTTAATTAGATGAAGCTAATTCATAAAACAGAACATTTCAGAGGCATTAAAAGGGACATAAAAGAAAATTTTATGACAAAAAGGTGGTTGTTATATATTGAGCAAAGATAAAGACATGTTGCACAGTGCATACAGAATGTTTCTGATTCTGTAAAGAAAACATATAAACTTGGAAAACAAAGAAAAATCAGAAGGGTATAAACAAAAATGTTGAATGATTTGTCTCTGAACTATGCAATTATGGATAATTTTTACTATCCTTCTTTCTTTTGTTTTTCTGTGTTTTAAGAATTATCTTCAATGAACATATATATGTCCCTTGCATTTCTTCTCCAACAATTTCTATTTCTCAATGGAGGGACTTTAGAATAAGGACTTATCTGATTCCAAATGACTGGAACTAGTTGTCTACAGCTATTATTGAGTTAATATAATACCTGTCTATAGGTGTTATTGAATTTAATAGTCATTTATGTGAGTTTGCTCTAATCCCAAATCACATTCTGTTTAGTAAATAAAGTGACAGGTATAGAAGCATCTATGTAAAAGCACATGATTTAGGAGATCTATTTAGAATATCCAACCAAAGATATCAACACCTGATGTGGTCAGTAGTTTGGGAGGAACCTAAAAATGGGACGTCTCAAGTAGGATTTCAGTAAAACAAAGTTTAGAAACATCACAAGCCCTGTTATTGGATACACCGCTGCTCCTCACCCACCTCCCCAACACCAAAAGGGATTGCACAACTTTGTCACCCTGAGACTCAAATAATGAAGAGTATTTTCTTTTATAGGAAGAAGAAGGAAACAGAGAAACAGGAAGAGGAGGAGGAGGAAGGTGAGGAGAAAATCAATTAATGATAAAACATACAAGGAGCTTTGAACTCTGGAAATTATTTTTCTATAGCCTTCACATGAGGCCAACCACAGACTAAAAGCTACCGCTTAGCCTTTACAACTTTTGAAAGTTAACCCTTTGGTACATAAAATTAATTTTTACTTTGCTATACAAAATCCAGATTTATGTATGTCAAATGTGAAGAGACACTTTTGCTTTCACATTTTCTATGAAGACTCTTAAGGCTACCAGAGGCATCCACAGAGGGAAGTGAAAATCTGGTTCACATGTATTAAGTACAAGGAGACAGAGAACATTTGGCAAATTAATGAACAAATGTTAGCAGTGTTAAGTGTAGAATGAATGAATATGCGAATGGATGAAATAACATTTGCAGTCCCATATTGAATAAATTCTTATCAGGGATTGTTTACTCATACTTTATGCAAATCTTCTGAATTCAGGCTGGCTGATATTTCTAGTAATTTGGGGTCCTTTAATGAGAGGGGCAGTTTAAAACTCTGGGCCCAATTCTTCTAACTTGGGAAACTCCCTATCATTCTGGAATATGCCTCAAAATCTTTGTGATAGAAGAAGAAAATAATTAGGAAAGAAAGAGAGAGAGAAACTGAGAGAGATTGAAAGAGAAGGCTTTTTCCAATTCTTCCAGATGAAACTTTCAAGTGGGCTTCTCTTTAATTAAACCAATCTAAGGCGCCCCCCAAATCATCTTCCTTTAAAATCTTGAATTTTGACCACCCTGTCAGTTTCTGAAACTCCTTTTGATGATATAAGTATTTAAAATTTTTTGGAGACAATTTTTGGAGGTGTGGACAGCAAGTAAAAAGCAAAAAAAGAAAGAAGGTTAAGTCATTACGATTTCAAAATATATTAAAGTAGGCCAGGAATGGTGGCTCATGACTGTAATCCCACCGCTTTGGGAGGCCGAGGCAGGCAGATCACTTGAGGTCAGGAGTTCAAAACCAACCTGGCCAAATGGTGAAATCCCATCTCTACTAAAAATACAAAAATGAGCCAGATGTGCTGGTGCATGCCTGTAGTCCCAGCCACTTAAGCGGCTGAGGCACAAGAATCACTTGAACCCGGGAGGCAGAGGTTACAATGAGCCAAGATCATACCACTGCACTCCAGCCTCGGTGACAGAGGGAAAAAAAAAAAAAAAAATATATATATATATATATATGTATATATACATGTGTGTGTATATATGTATATATACATATGTGTGTATATATGTATATATACATATGTGTGTATATATGTATATATACATATATGTGTATATATGTATATATACATATATGTGTATATACATACATATACATATATATATAACTATTCTTAATGAAATAGATTGCATTTTATACCTGAATTTAGATGTTCATATTTTTAAAAATTATAATCGCAATATAAAAATATCAGTTCATTTGCTGGATTATATGAGGGTTTTTTTTAAACATAAAATAAAGGTACCAAGTATATTAAAGCAACTATTTTTAATGAAATACATTGCCTTTCACACTTGAATTCAGATGTTCATACTTTTAAAACTTATAATCACAACATAAAAGTATCTGTTCATTTGCTGAGTTACATGAGGGAGGTTTTTTGAACATAAAATAAAGGAATCATACAATCACATGGTACAATTAATATGATTAATGGAAGAAAAACAAAAATTAAACTTGGAATTGGAGATGGGAAACAGTCACCAGATATTTGACTGTGAGAGCTCCATAAATATTCCTTGGTTTTGTCTTTTTAGCACTAAACTGTGACATCTTCCATTTGAAAGAAATCAGCTTTGTTTTCAATGCTAAGACACAGTTTCCATCATTTTTTCTTCTGGCACACACTCGGCTATTTAAACTCTTCTTTTGTCTTTTTGCATTCAGTTATATTCCTGGCGCATACTGCCCTAAACAGGCCACATGCGAGCCTTGGAGGTTTATAGGTGTCTATCACGATGCATCCTCTGTAACAGTTGCTTAGCTACATCGCACATCTTTTGTTCTTTGCCCATGGATCTATCCCACCAGGCCTCCAATCGTGCGAGCTGTTCTTTTGATTGTCCCTCCATATCCTTTGCCCTTCCTGCTGCTAAAAGCAGCATGGCAGGTACTACCTCATGAACTTTCTGCATCGGTTTGATTTTTGTCTCATGCTAATGTGATACTTGTCTAATAGAACTCATGGACTTCTGGGACATAACCACTTATGCTTCTCTCTTCCATTGGAGAACTGTGTTCAGGATGAGATCTAATTCATGTATATGAATATACATTTTTCTTCTATACTAAGTGACAATTATTCTGTCTGCCTTGATGCCTTACTCTATTGCACAGGCATATTTTCATTCATAGTTTGACAGGCTTTTCAGCCCTAATAATTACTTGGAATATCTCTTTAATGCAATGCGTGTATTTTACTTATAATAGAAAAAATCTTATCCTCCTTTTAAATACAACTTTCAGTAAGGAGACCAAAATGCAAAGCACAACTCAGAAGTGTATGGCTAGGAAAGACTCTCTCAATCAGTAATGCAACTTGTGGACATAAATCTAGCCTGTGGAAAAAAATGCATTCACTTTCTCAAGTAATAGCATCAAAGATGTAATTTGATAATTGAGTGTAGTTATAATTGAGTTTTTCAAATTCTGCTTTGCTTCTGATTTGTATACACAGAATTCTGGGATGTTTGTCAGCTCCAGGGATGGTGAGCTCTGCCTGTCATTCTGGGGCAGATCGTCGCATTTTGGAAAACTGTTGTTTTGAAAGATCTTCCTTTTAAAGCACTACGGTTTGTCAACATGTGACTTCTATCATTTCCAACTAGTTGTGATATATTCATTCAACAAATATCATTCACTAGCAAGTATAGTGCCAGGTGAAATATCAGATATTGGAGATTAAGGGGTGAAAAGGCTGCGATTACTGTCCAAGGACATCTCCAGAGAGGTCCCAGCTGAGCACATATAAACAGATGACCACGCGCTATGAAAGCTGTAACATAACAGATATGTGTGCCACATGTCACTGGCACAGACAGAAGGGACAATTAATCCTCCAGAGGGAACTAGGGAATGAGGTGGGCTGTGATGCATAAGAACCTGTAGATCAGGAAAACACAAGACAGGAGTCCAGTCAGATCCAGTCTATCCCAAATCTACAGTCTCTTCACTCTGTCAGCTCAACAGATATATGCAAAAACTCCAAGATGTATTTCTTTACTTAGATTTTTTTCATCCTTTATTATAACTTCTCAGAGAGGTTTAGCTTGACTCCCCTCTACACACCCCATGCCAACTTTCACTGCTGCCCCCTGGAGAGATTGGTTAAAGCATCACATATAGTTTGCTCAAAGCACTTATCAAAACTAAAATTCATTAATAATTAGTGTAAGCTTTACTTTATAAACTCCTTATTCTGCAAGAATTTAAAGTCTAAATTATCTATGATCTAGAGTCTATATTTTAAACCTTATGAGGTCAGGGGCTCTTGCTATCTTGTTTAATGGATCCCCAGAGGAAAAGTAGATTGAGCAACACAGCAGGAACATGGTATGTATTAGCTGAATGAACACATGAATGAATCCATACACCATTTCTTTTTTTCTTTTTTCTTTCTTTCTTTTTTTCTTTTCTTTTCTTTTTTTTTTTTTTTTTTGAGAGTGTCTCACTCTGTTGCCAGGCTGGAGTTCAGTGGCACAATCTCGGCTCACTGCAATCTCCGCCTTTCGGGTTCAAGCGATTCTCCTGCCTCAGTCTCCCAAGTAGCTGGGACTACAGCCATGTGCCACCACACCCAATTAATTTTTGTGTTTTTATTAGAGACGGGGCTTCACCATGTTGGCCAGGATGGTCTTGAACTCCTGACCTTGTGATCCGCCCACCTTGGCCTCCCAAAGTGCTGGGATTACAGGCCTTAGCCACCGCGCCCAGCCAACACATTTCTTATACAACATGGTTTTGAGTTATTTTACCTACAACCAACTCCAGCTGGTTTAATGTGTAGCTTACAGAATTGAACCCACTTTTTTCAGACTTGTCTACCTTTTCTACAAGGGAGAAAGGCATTTTACAAGACACAGAAGCCCCTAAGTTTGGAATTCTCTGTCAGAAATGGTGGAGAAGAAAGACTTTTTCAAGGTCCTGAAGGGTGACTATGGTGATAGGATTCAACGCACCACATTCAACAGACATGTGGCCAAATTCTCCTCTTCTTCATTAGCCAGTATATGAAAAAAGCAGAGGACGCTCATGGAATCAGGTATACCCAAGAGTGTCCCCATCACCTTTTCTATAGATTTCAATAGGTTCAAAACACAAGTCTCTTAAAAACCACAGAGTAGCAAGTTCTAGCCAACCAAAAGCATTCACCATTTTCCCGAAATACCTTCTTTGCCTCCCTTGGGATGTGCTTCTTCCACTCCGTTTCTACCTCACTGCCCCTCGCCTCTATTTCTGCCTACTCAAATCATACTCATTGCCTCTGCCATGCCTCCCAACCCCTACAGCAGGAAATGACTTCTGTTTTCTGGCTTCACAGGGCAGTTTTCCCTTGTTTGAAGATGCTTGTCAGGGCCAGGTGTGGTGGCTCACACCTGTAATCCCAGCACTTTGGGAGCACAAGGTGGGTGGATCACTTGAGGTCAGGAGTTCGAGACCAGCCTGGCCAACATGGTGAAACCCCCATCTCTACTAAAATACAAAAATTAGCCAGGCATGGTGATGCAAGCCTGTAATCCCAGCTACTCAGGAGGCTGAGGCATGAGAATTGCTTGAACCCAGGAGGCGGAGTTTGCAGTGAGCCGGGATCGCACCACTGCACTCTAGCCTGGGTGATAGAGTGAGACTTCATCTCAAAAAATATGCTTGTCAGGATGTCTCATATTATAATATAATTATGTATCTGCCTCATGCCCTGGTGGTAGAAAGAATTCTGAGTGGCCTCCAAGATTCCCACCCCTGGTATATGCACCCTGCATAATCCCTCTCCTTGATCATGAGTGGCTCTTGTGACTATGATGGGATATTATCCCATGACTCATTTTACAGCTGCAATTAAAGTCCCTAATCAGATGACTTTGGGTTCATGAAAAGAGAGATTTTCCTGGGCAGGTCTGATATAATGAGGCAAGCACTTAACGTTGGAGAGTTGAAGGGAGAGGGATTCTCCTGCCTTAAAAAGACAAGCTGCTTGTTGTAGAGGGGACCCCCATGCCAGGGAGCAGTAGAAGACCTCCAGGGATGAAAGCAGCCCCCAGTTAATAGCCAGAAAAAAAAACCCAGAAACCTCCATCGTACCACTGCAAAAAAACAAATTCTGCCAACAAGCCTCAGCCCCAAATGACACCTCAGTTTCTGCCTTGTGAGACCCTAGGCAGAGCACCCAGCAACCTAGCCTGGACTCCTGATGCAGGTAAACTGTGAGATAATACATGTGTGTCATTTCGATTCACTAAGTTTTTGGTAATTTGATATTCTGCAATCGAAAACTAAAATACCTATCAAATAGATTGTCTCCAATTTTTTACACATCACTAAAATCAAGGCAGTTAATGACACTTCCCCCTATACTTGGCTCTAAAATATTTTGAAGATGATTCAAAGAACAAAATATGATATGTGGTCCTTGTAAACTAGGTTTCTTCTAGACTGTTTAAAATGAAAATGAGAGTATGGAAACTTTAGCAAGTTACTAATAAATAGACTCATGTGGTTTGTTTGTTTGTTTGTTTGTTTGTTTTAGACACAGTCTCACTCTGTCACCCAGGCTGGAGTGCAGTGGCTGGATCTCAGCTCACTGCAACCTCTGCCTCCTGGGTTCAAGTGATTCTCGTGCCTCAGCCTCCCGAGTAATTGGGATTACAGGCACCCGCCATCATGCCCAGCTAATTTTTGTATTTTTAGTGGAAACAGGGTTTCACCATGTTGACCAGGCTGGTCTTGAACTCCTGACCTCAAGTGATCCACTCATCTCTGCCTCCCAAAGTTCTGGGATTACAGGTGTGAGCCACTGCACCTGGCCAAGTCACGTGATTTTTTTTTGCTTGTTTTTTGTTTTGAGACGGAGTCTCACTCTGTTGCCCAGGCTGGAGTGCAGTGGCTTGATCTCAGCTGACTGCAAGCTCCGCCTCCTGGGTTCACACTATTCTCCTGCCTCAGCCTCCCAAGTAGCTGGGACTACAGGTGCCCGCCACCATGCCCAGCTAATTTTTTTTGTATTTTTAATAGAGACGGGGTTTCACCGTGTTAGCCAGGATGGTCTCGATCTCCTAACCTCGTGATCTGCCCGCCTCGGCCTCCCAAAGGGCTGGGATTACAGGCCTGAGACACCGCGCCCAGCCAAGTCACGTGTTTTATGAAGAATTAGGAAACATTAATTTGAATCCTGACTTTATTACCAGCTAGCTGGGTTGCCTTGAGCAAGTCAAAGCCAAGTCAATTTTTTGGTTTGTTAGCTGTACATATAAATACAGATTATAATAGCTATTACTTATTGAAAAACTCCTGTGTATCAGGGATTGTATGTATGTTACTCACAAATACTATAGTAACAGTGTCAGATAGACACTATTTTCATTATACAGATCAAAATGGTGAGACTCAGAGAAATTAGGTGTAACATCCGAGGTCATATGGTAACTGCAGGACAGGGTCGTGATTTGAAGCCAAGCTTGTCTGACTCACAAGCCTGGGCTATTTGCCTTTAAAGTGAGGGGTTATGTAAGGCATTCTCTAATTGGGTCATCCTGGAAATACAGACTGAGTATGTGATTTCCACAGAACAAGGCAGGCAGAAGGCCCTCCTCCTCTACACCTCAGAGGTAAGTCACATCTCAGTTCCTGTTGGTCCAAATGAATGCAGGCTGAGGCAATGGCAGAGACCCAGAGCCCAGGCGGGGAGACTGCGGGGATTTAAGAACTCGTTTACTTAGAACAGTGAAAAGGAAGTCAAGCGTGAACTTTCTGAGCTCCAAAGATATTCTCAGGGCCCATTTGCGAATAAGCATAAATCTTCAAATTTATCCAAAGTTTAGCAAATTCACAATGACAAATGTAACAGTTCCTCTAAATTGAAGTTCATCTCCTGGCAGTTTTGGAGGCTTGGAGAAAATGCCAGCAACAAGGACTTGGAAGGAAATAAATCTTTAGATTCCCTGAAAACACAGAGAGTTATTGTGGAAGACATATGGAGGACCCCATACTGCGTTAAGAAAGAAAATTTATAAATGTCAGCTTCATAGCAGCAATGTCGAAGGGATTTCAGCAATCCACACTTAACTACAATAAGAAAAACAGGCTGCAGGTACACATTTGCCACGAAGAACTAATTATGCTTAACCTGTGCTCTTTCTGGGAGGAGCAAATGAGGAGAGAAGGAGGTAAGTGTCCAGGATCCAGAGTAAGACATTAGAATTTTTTTTTAATCCAAACAGGTCACGTTTAAAGATTCTCTATTGTTGAAAAAAAAAAAAAAGTTCTGAATAGTGGGATGGTAAAGGGTACACAGTATGGGCCTATATGGCAGAAGAGTTGAATTCTGCATCTTTGAAGGCCTCGCTTTTGTCGTCTCTTCAACACTAATGATCAATCTGACACCTGCTCCCAGGTTTGTACTGATGATGGAATGACGCATGGTCACCAAGTACTACTCAGCAAATATTGACCATGGGCCTTTCTGTATCACAGAAACAGGCACAGTGACTACAAAGGTGAATGACACACAGTCCCCACCCTCAGTAAGCTTACAGATGGTCCTGATTTATGAAAGCATTTCATAAACTGTAAAGCATTATTAGAATGTTTATCATTTTAACTTATTAACTAATCCAGTAAGTCATTATTGAACATATTTGAAAAACACCAAGAACCAACTACGTGTCTGACTCCATTTTTTTGGCAAATTATAATATCACAGCAAGAAGTACTTACGTGGGACTAAAAATTCAAATCTGTATCTGTCTCTTTTTAGCCAAAGCCACGGCTAATATTGGACAGTCTTGATTTTTTTTTCTTTTCCAAAGGGAAAAAGGTAATAAATGAAACTGCAACTTTAAAAATGGGAAAATAGGTGGCTGGGTGCAGTGGATCATGCCTGTAATCCCAGCACTTTGGGAGGCCAAGGCGGCCCACTCACTGGATGTCAGGAGTTTGAGATCAGCCTGGCCAACATGGTGAAACCCCGTCTCTACTAAACATACAAAAATTAGCTGGGCATGGTGGCACGCGCCTGTAGTCCTGGCTACTCAGGAGGCTGAGGCAGGAGAATCACTTGAACCCAGGAGGCGGAGGTTGCAGTGAGTCTAGATTGTGCCACTGCATGCCAAGCTGGGCAACAGAGTGAGGCTCGGTCTCAATAAATAAATAACTAATTAAAAAAATGGGAAAATAGGAAGTGAAATGTAATCATATGCATTCCTAATTTCCGGGGAATGGGTCATCTTCTCCTCAGGGTTCTGAATGAAGATTGTGCCAATTAAAAGGTGCCCTGGTTGGCCACAAAGCCCAGAACTAGAAATAGAAGGAACACAATGGAAACACCAGCTGTCGGAAGCTGCAGCAGGACCTCAAGAATGATGCTGCAAACATCTAATGAGAAATAGAAAACTTCTTACAAGTCCCATAACTAATGTCGATGAGACAATGCTGAAGACGAGCCTGAATTTAATAAATCTTTTAATATTTCCACAGCTGGGCCTGCTTACTCGGGGCTGGTGGACCATTTTCTTAAATAAGGCATGGCGCTGGTCTGACATTAGTTTAACAAGGTAATTATCAAGTGAAAAATAGCTGCTGCACTGCTGTGAACCTGAATAATAACTCTCATAATTACTGATTTTGGGCCCATCTTTTAAAAAAATAATAGAGCTCCAAGTACTAAAGCATTTTATAAGAAATACATTCCAGTACAGTGTCTAGAAGTGTGGAGAACTATTAAGGATATAATTAGCGGTTTATTTACATAATCAGTGAAACACCGTTTATCATTTCTTTTATGGTCCTATTGAAGGAAAGCAAATAAGTATGAGAATTAAGTTATTTTATGCAGGCAAATTTGAAAAAGAGAATTATTATTAATTGTTTTAAAGCTTGAAAGTTGGACTTTCTAAATGCCTCAAGTGAACACTGAATAAGTATAGTTGAGTTTACCAGATGCTAGTACTTCTCATATATGACATGACAAACATTTCCAGAGGAAATTTTACACGGACAAATACATCTCTCAGCTAGCTAACTTTAATCTTTTTTTCAAAGCTTGAATTAATTCTGAAAACACAGACACAAATAATTATCCTTTACCTGAGAACCATCTCAGGTGGTTGATTTTTATCTGGAATATCGGAATATGAGAGTAACATGGAGACACCATGTGTGTCTATGAGGAAATACCCTCCCAAGCATTACTGACTGGGACAAGCTCATAATTAGATTTTGAAAGAACTCTTGTTTTTTCATTGTTTTCAGTGTAACAACCTCATCCTGACATAGCAAATGATGCATTTTTCAAAGTAAAAAAAGACAAACAATCAAACTGCAAATAAGATTATTCAAAGGCAGGAATAAGTCAGACATAATGTATTTTTTAAGGAAAGTTTGTAAAAATAATGTAATATTGCTTTCAATAAAATGGAGAACAAATTTTGATGTGTAAGGGAGTAATGGTGCTGTGCTTCATTAAATGGGAGGGGCTTTATCACCAGGCTCCCAGGTGACCTTATGTCCTCCTTTTTCAGATCTTCAGAATGATAATTAGTGTCATCATTGTCAAGTTCAAGTTCTCCTGACTTGTTGAAAAGCCAAAAATACATATTGTGACAGGGAAGTTCCCATCAAAGAGTAGTAAGGAGAATACCAATTGGGAAAGGACAACTTCATAAAAATAAACAAGTATGGCATAATGGTTTGTGAAGCTGATTCTTCTGGAATGAATAATAAAAGCAAAATACATGAAGGCACCCAGTTCTGTAAGCTCCTAAATTCAAATACTCCAATATGATTACCTTGATTAAACAATAAATAAAACATACCCTGATGGGTAATTTTGTCATGGAGCCTCTACATTCTTAATGAAATCCATCTGAACATTGCTTAATACAGTCGTAGAAGAGTGCTAATTTAACCTGACTTCAACAAATGCTTTATTTTACCTCATCTACATAAATAAGGTGTGTTCACAGTTCTAAAACATGACATGAATATGAAGATTAAGCTACACATTGGATTGTAGGGGAGGATACCTGGATTTGGCTCACTCCACTAAACCAAAATATCACCAGCCATTATTATCTAAAAGAAATACTGCACACATCTCAGCTGAACACTGATTTTTCCAAATGCTTTACGTTTAAAAAATAGTAATAATGTAGTGTTTGGAAATAATGTGTAAAAATAGAGTGTGAAGCATTATTAGGAACAGATTTATAAACAGAGGCAGAGGGTATCTACATGAAAAAACATGGCTAAGCTCTGCTAATAATCAAGTCTTTGAAACAAAAGCTCGCTGGATCTTTAGCTCCTCCAAAGCAAGAGATTTTGTTCATTCATCTTCTTATCCCCAGGGCACAGAAAGGTAACACATGGGAAGTCATTGAGGAAGGTTAAATAAATAAATAGGTGTTTCCACTGAAATTATACCCAGTAAGATGCATTCAATAAGATTCAAGTACCCAGTTAACCATTGCTGAGAATTACTTATTCTGTAAAATTTGATGCTATAATTGGATTTCCTAGGAAGTTTTGAGACTATGTGGTGAAATACTCTAGCAATCTCATGGTCCAAAGCACCAAAGACAAAAAATCAGTCTTAGCATTGTAGGTTGGGTAGGCATAATTTTAGTTTGAAGTTTAAAATATGAGTCTCGGCGGGGTGTGGTGGCTCATACTTTGGGAGGCCGAGGTGGGTGGACCACAAGGTCAGGAGTTCGAGACCAGTCTCGCCAATGTGGTGAAACCTCGTCTCTACTAAAAATACAAAAATTAGCCGGGTGTGGTTGTGAGCGCCTATAGTCCCAGCTACTCGGGAGGCTGAGGCAGGAGAATTGCTTGAACCTGGGAGGTGGAGGTTGCAGTGGAGCCGAGATCACACCACTGCATTCCAGCCTGAGCGACAGAGCAAGACTCCATCTCAAAAAAAAAAAAAATAAAAAAATAAAAAAAAATATATATATATATATATGAGTCTCAAGTCCTTGTTCTTTTGTGGACAAATTTCTAGATTGCTCTATAATACAAAACAGGCTGCAGTCACTTGAGATTGTGATGGTGGAAACTTATTAAAATATGGGAAAAACTGTAGGTTTAATAATGTGCCTGTGGGCTAGATATTCAGACATCATGGGTCACATTTGTGCTATTTACCAGCATTGCATCAACTGTTCAAGTTACAAATATCTATTGAAAGCTTTGTATTTGAAGGACATTGTGGTAGAGCGTTTTCTCTCATGAGTTTAAGAACTAAGGCTTTTAGAAGGTTAGAAAGAAGTCTTTCCCAGGCTCAATCTTTTTCCATTAAGAGCAGACTTCATCAACACCCGCTTCTCCATGCCTCGTTGTACTTTTTATATTTTTTAATTCTATTTTTGTCATAAAAATTCTATGTATTTAAGATATACAATATGTTTTGATATACATATACTTGGTGAAATTATTACCACAATTAAGCAAACTAATATAGCCATATCCTTCTACAATTTTTCATTGTTGTGAGAGCACCTGAAATCATCTCTTAGAAAATTCCTGGTATATAATACAGTATTATTGACTATAGTCATTATGCTGTACATTAGGTCTCTAGTGCACCACAGAACTTTGCTTGCACTACTCTTACAGGGTGGATGCTATTGCATTAGAGTTCATCGTGTATGGGTCTGTCTCCCTTGTTATACTGCAAGTTCCCTTGGGCAAGCCATATATATCACACTCCTATGCATGTGCTCAACACCTGCCCAGATGCCTGGCACAGTCAACGGTAGAAGGCCTGCAATGCAGACTTTGGACTTAAATTCAGGCAGACTTTGACCTGCATCCTCACTCCCAACCTCTGCTGGGGCATTTCTTTCTTTAACTGGGGCTCATGAGTACAGTGTCTGGAAATAAACAGAAGCAAGACTTATGAATAAGAAGTCCAGGTAGATCTCTTAGTCTTTTTTGTATCATGGGTCATGCTCACACCACATTGTAGCTGCTCTGGAATTGTCAAGATTTCACATTTGAACATGAACTGGGGTCCTTGAAGTAGGGATGCCATATTTAACAAAGAAAACACAGGATGCTCAGTTAAACTTGAGTTTCAGATAAATATCAAATAATGTTGTAGTAGAAGTATGATGTCTCAAGTATTGCATTTGTATACTTACATTTTATCTGGCAACCCTAACTTCAAAAAGATAATAAGTTGGAGGTAAGAAGAGTCAGATAATGTGTTTCTCAATAATTTTTTATTGTGTAGAACAGTTCTCTTCTCCAGTCCCCAAACAATAAATTCTGGCAGCAACACCTGTCATTGTGACAATGAAAAGATTTGACACACTTTGTTTTACCCACTATGGGGTAGTGTTGTTTCAGTTTGGAAACCATAGGCAATATACTCCCTAAAACCGAAAGTCAGGAAATGCACGTGCCAGGACTCCATAGATAACATAGTCACACAGAGTCAGGCAAAGAGCACATAATGTCCATTTTCTGGTTAGTACCTCATTCAGACCTCCAGAACAAGCTCGTGAGGGCAGTCATAGATATGACTTGCATTTAAGCCTGTACGTTTGACAATTGTAACCCCCTAAGAGAAGAGCTAACAACCACCTCAGATTTCATAACAGCTTGACTTATAACATATTAGGGGATAATAAAAACATACCATATCTGAAACGTTAATTATAAATATGATAATAATTATACCTTCAACTTGTACCGCACTTTAAATTCATTCAAAGCACTTTTCTGTCCATTATCTCATGCGATCATTAGTGTGGTATTTACCAGACATTAGAGAATGGAATGTCTGTTCAAGCCACTGTTATGGCCAATTTGCAACTTCTGATACTATCAATTTGAAACCACAAATGGGAAGAGATGGGTCTCCTTTTTCTCTTTCAGAAATCTGTCAGTTCATCTATCAATTGCGGGCTTTCTCTCAAGTATTTTTATGACTAGTCCTAGATTTTCCATTAATGTCACAAGAATATTCTCTTTCTGAGCAACTTAGGCAATTATGCTAATTTAAGGTAAGAGTTTTAAATAAAATCAAATCAAAAGTAAATTTAAAAATTTGTGATGAACTGTCTTTCTCCCAAGAACTGTCTGGCCTAGGAAGGCAATGTCTGACAAACAGCAAGAGTTCAGTGAGTTCTGAAAGAATGAATCCATGAATGAGTGCAGGAACAAATCAACTTCGAATGACAATCTGCTCTACTTCTAACTGAATTTGCTACAAATCTCACCAGCCTAATGAAGACTGCTACTGAAATGGACACTCATTAATCACAATATCAGTTCCCACTGCACTCCAGTTTGGATGACAGAGTGAGACCTCATCTTTAAAATAAAAATAAAATAAAATCACAACATCGGGTGCTAGAGCCATCTGGAAACCATTTAATGGAACCCCATGCGAATAAATGCATGGTCCAGGGTCATCTGAGACAACGACATTTATGTTTTTAAGCAACCAAGATGCCACAGTCAGAGGCAAGAATCCATTCCCATAATTAAACATGAAGGACTACTCTGAGGAAGTGTATTCTTTTCTTGAAAATAAATTTTTGAATGCAATCAAAATCAATTTCCTTTCCTCTGGTCCTCAGTGAACAAGATACAGAGCCCACTCTTTACATATAAGTTGCCCAAATAAATTACCAGCACTTGATAAATGTTTAGTAGTTCCTTGCTCTCTGAGCAAAATGGGGGATGAAAATCTCACCCTCTGTTGGACAGATGTGGTAATTGTAATTGTTTGGAACTTGTTTGTTTAACTCACCATTTTCCATTAATATTCATTTTTTCCCCAATTGGTCTTAAATTCTTGGTTCCTGTATAGAAAGAAGACAAGTCTGTTTTGGCTCTGCCCAAAACCAGAGTTCTTCCCACTATGTGCCAAATAAATAATGGGAACTCCATGGTAATTTGAAGTGGCTGTTGTCTCATAGGTTTAACTCACTCACTTATTCTGTCATTCGTCCATTCATTAATTCATGCAGTAAATATTTATTTACTCTGTGCTTTTCAAGAGTGGCACTAAGCTAAAGTTACAGGTGCATCTCATTTAACCCTAAAATGTTGGCATTATTGTTACCCAGATGTTACAGATGAAGAAACTGGGGTTAAGGTAGTTTAAGCAACATGTCTAATGTCATCTCACATGCCTAACATCTGGCAGTTATGGAGGAGCAAAGACTCAAAATGAATCTGCGTGGATCCAAAATCCGTGAATGTTATCTCTGTCTCAATGGATGGAAAAAAAAAAAAAGAAGGAGGAATGTTTAGGGAAGCAAAATTACTTTATGGAAGACCAAGTCTGCAGGGCCAGCTGGCCATGCCTTCTGAGAAGGCTCAAGAGCTTTAAGCAGTGGCCAGAGGAACCTGTGCCTTTCTAGGTTTCAGGTGGACACCACAAAGGCATTATTCCTAGAAAAAACACACACGGGTCTTAAATTCTTGCACTTGAAATCCCATTCCCCATGTGCTGCAGAGCACATTCTTTGCATGTAACTTTTTAAAGTGGCCACATTCCTGCCATAGTAGTTATTAAGTGTGGTGTCAAAATGCCTTATGCATATTACCAAGGAGTGATTTTCCCAGAAACATGTTTTAAATCATGTATATAGCAAGCACAGTACAAATATAGCTGGGTGAGTTCGAACCAATAAAAAGCAGTAGAGAAACAGAAACCGGAGATAGTGAACCTACTTGGGCCCCTTGCAGAATTTCTCTACCTTAGGGGAACATGTCCAAATACACAACACATAAAAACACATATTACAAGACAAAATTGAAGAACTTAGTCAATACTGCAAAGCTATTGGAGCTTTCAGGAAAAATAAAGGAGGTAAGGAACGACAATGTAAAAGAGAAACAGCAAGTGTAGAAATGGCTCCACAGAGGTGTGGATTTGTGGTTCTTCAGACTATCTAATGAGCCTTGGTGACTGAGGAAAAGAAAAGCACAGAGAGTGATGACATTTCTTAAAACAACTTTTCTCTTTTTGGAGAGCGAAATGTCCCTCCAGCAGCCATGGAATAGCTTTTGGCTAGTGTGGCCATGAATGTGTGTGGTCTCTCTGGAAATCCTCGTTCCAGACAGGGTACTAAGGTCAAGATGAAATAACAAATGTGTGATAGAGAATTACTGGGACCCCTAGCCCCAAACCACAAATAGTAGTTAAAGGTTAATGAAAATTTTATCTGCATTGTCCTAGATCTCAGTCTAGAGAAAACAATGTGCTTATTGGAATCCAATCTAATAAGAACGCCCATCAATGTGTTATGGAGCATTTTCAAAGGGATGAAAGCGCTGCCAAAAACTTTACATGCACCATCCCATCAAACCCTTACGTTTCAAGTAAGGCCACTTAGAAAAGAATTAGGTTTTTCTCTAAGAAACAGGCCAACAGAAAGTGCTCTGAAACAAGGTAGCGTTTTAGTAGTTACACTATTTCCCCACTAACCTGCAAAGCCATGCCCACTTACACATAGTTTAACCAAGTGTTCTGGAGTCTTCTGCCCCACACATTCTTAATCACTGTTCCCCTCTCTACTCCCTTCTCCTGCTCACCACTTACTAGAAGCGAGAGTGGGTTTCTGCACTTGAATGTTGGGAGCAGAGCCTAATCTCCTCAGTCCTGCATTTCAGCAGGAACTGCCCATTAAAAAGGTCATATGGACTCCCACCTGGCCAGGGAGCCTCGGCATCAGGCTGTCCACATTGTTCACTTGATAAGTCCTGCCCAGTGGGAAGCCTTTTCAATGCATAGAAGCTATGGTGAGGCCAAGGCCATGCATATCAATGATAATAAGTATTGATCATTCTATGCTTCAAATGGTCCTCAGCTCTTTGATTATAACATCTCATTTAATTTTCACAAGCCAGTGATGGCAGTATTTTTTTTTTTTTTTTTATTGAGACAGAGTCTCGCTCTGTCACCCAGGCTGGAGTGCAGTGGCATGATCTTGGTTCACTGCAACCTCCATCCGCCTCCTGGGTTCAAGTAATTCTCCTATCTCAGCCTCCCAAGTGGCTGGGACTACAGACGCATGCCACCACGCCCAGCCAATTTTTGTATTTTTAATAGAGACAGGGTTTCACCATATTGGTCAGGCTGGTCTTGGACTCCTGACCTCAGGTGATTCACCTGCCTTGGCCTCCTAAAGTGCTGGGATTACAGGCGTTAGCCACAGCACCCAGCCCAGTGATGGTAGTATTATACTCACTTGCACATAAGAAAATGAAGTCTCTGTTTATCAAGCAAAGCATGGATTAAAGCCCAAGAATGTTTGCATTGAACCCCTGTTCCCTTTCTCCTGCACCATCCAGCCTCTCAGCCCTGCATTGCCTGCTGAGATGGGCCTCAGGAGATCCTTCTCCACGTATCTCTCCTAGGAAGGAAGTATTTTCCGAATGAGATGTGAACCACGTATTTCCTAAGAATGTGGCCATTGTGGACCTGGACCTGGACACAGGCTAGGTCAGCTGAGAAGCATGTTACTCAAATGGTGGTTGTGACTGTCATAAGGCAGAAGAATAGTGTGGGGAACGGTTCTGCTACATTCCTAAAAGGAGCAAAGGGAAATTAATATTGTGCTTGAAACTAATAGCAAGTGATCAGCCTAACCCAAGACAGAGAAGGAAATAGCAACACTTTATGCTGGACTTAGAACTGCAGAGCAGGTGCACAGAGGGCTTTGAGGAACCTGATCCCTGGCTTTCTTTGTCTTCTGTTTCAGATAAAGGACAGTAATTATTTGGGACCCTTATTTCTGTTACCAGAAATGTGTGTGTTGATAAAAGCATTTATTTTCCTTTAGCTATGGCATGATGTAGGAATAGGGTGTGTGTGTGTGTGTGTGTGTGTGTGTGTGTGTGTGTGTGTGTGTGTGTGTATGTGAGAGAGAGAGAGACAGACAGACAGAGAGAGAGAGAGAGCAAGCTGGCTTTGGAATCAGCAAACCTGAGGCTCAGCCTCACCTGTGGGGCACCCACCTAACCTCTCTGGACCAAGTTTCCATTTTTAGAAAGGACCGTTTTTAGCCCTAATGTTCTTTATTCTACTGACCTGCTGCCAGGGAATTGTCTACCTCTGATACTCTTCTTTCCTAGAGTCCACCTTACCCAAAGGATAGAACTTCCTCCATGGAACTGCCCACTTCTCCAGCTGCCAGAGTAGTACCTTCCTGGTGTTGTCCAGGGCGGGGGCAGGCAAGTGGCCTTAGGGATGCACAGGCCAATTTCTCACATAGTCTAATAACCTGGCCCATCCTGAAGCTCTCCCCACCAATTACCACCTGTTCCCTAAGAAAACATCAGTAGCTTCCACCTGCCCAATCATATCTCACCTGGGCGGACACACCCCCATCAGGGGAGTGAAGGGCTTAAGAGATGGAGCACGTGGAGGAAGAGGGTCAATACTGAGGAGCTTTCTGCTTTCTGAATGAAAGGAACAATATATCACCCAGAACATCATCATCTCTTCAATTATTATACTGCCGGGACTTTTGTTCCTATTAAAATCTATCAGAACAGCCAGATGTGGTGGCTCATGCCTGTAATCCCAGCACTTTGGGAGGCCGAGGCTGGGCTGGTGGATCACTTCGGGCCAGGAGTTAGAGACCAGCCTGGCCAACATGGTGAAACCTTGTCTCTACTAAAAATGCAAAAATTAGCTGGGAGTGGTGGCGGACACCTGCAATCCCTGCTACTCGGTAGGGAGGCTAAGTCAGGAGGATCACTTGAACCCAGAAGTGGAGGTTGCAGTGAGCTGAGATCACACCACTGCACCCCAGCCTGGGTGACAGAGTGAGACTCTGTCTCAAAAAAAGAAAAAAAGATCAGATCGTAACCCAGAGTTTGTTTGAGTACGCCAGTGGACCACTGTGAGTTAATTTCTTCCTGTTCAAAAAAATCCAAAGATCTCAGTAAAGGATAGCTTTGCCAACATTTTACTTGATTATATAAACTTTTCTACAAATGTCTATGCATTTGTGTCCTCATTTATTCCTTCATTCAACAAATATTTATTGAGCTACCTATTATGTATGAGTTCCTGTATTAATCTGAGAACTCAGCAATTAACAAAACAGAGCCCTCATCCACATGGAAATAACATTCTAATAAGGAATGACATACAATAAATAAATAAGCAGACGCCTATTACAGGATTTATGGCAACTTAGAGATAAAGTATTATAGACCCAAAAGGACCCCCCTAGACACCAGCGATGGGGAGGAAGAATGAAAAGTTTTTTCTAGTAAAGGCTAAAAAAAAAACCCTCAGCTAAAATATCTCTTATTATTTCATATGTGTGTGATTGGGGATTTTTTTTTTTTAACAAATACTAATGCAACAGCCAAATCTTATTTTCCTCATCAGAAAAACAAAGCTTTCAGCTTCCCTGGAAGCATGAAGGAAGAGCTGCAGCTTCTAGCCCCAGGACAGCCAGGAGTCTGCCCAGCCTGGCACAGCATGCCTGGACCTCGAACGGGTTAAGGTACCAGCGCCTGAGCTCAGAGCGCTGCATAAACAGTGCACGTCAGGCGTTCTAAGCAAGCTTCATCTTCCTTGTCTCTCAGTCTTGGGCTGTCAATCAGCTGTCACCAGCCCACACATCAGCAGCGTGTGCACATCACCGGGCTGTCAGCAAGGCAGCTGATGAGACTCGGCTCAAGACCGTCAATCATCTTTGTTTCTCTTCTCCACTCGGGAAATATTTTGGCTCGGAGAAACAAAGAGGCCTGGGCAACAATGGCTGGTAGTCAGGCATTTACTCCTGTTCATGGAGATAAGATCTTAAACAGGCGATGATCGTGATTCACTCCCAAATGATGCTGGGGTGGGATGGACAGAGGGAAGAGCCAGAATCTGTTGTATTAGGACATATTTTAATACTGTAATTCTAGTTCCCTGAGCAGTCCCTGATGGATTCCCGAACCAACAAAGCACAAGAACATAAAACAATGATAACTTGAAGTTATCTGAGCTTATGCCTCAGAAAAAAATAAGGTGGCTCAGGATGGATGACTGCTTGGTTAGAAATTAAACGCCATTGATCAGGCAGCTTTTTGAGGAGGGAGTAATTGTCGGACTGCTGAGTTCATTTATCTCCCAGGGACTTCTGAAACACCTCTTTAGGGCATGAGGCTGCTTGGGGGCACCCACACACCGGAGAGCAAGTTAACTCAGCAGGACCCCTGTGAAGTAGGCTTATCAGTGTTTACACTAGGAGTCACTTTGTTGAATATAAAGGTGCTCTAAACAGCCCATTTTCTGATATACTACCTGCCCCTCCTCTCGCCCAAAATATTGATTAGAAATGTCCCACGTCCTTAAAAGTCCGTGAGACACAAACATGAGAGATGCGCCTGGCAACCAGTTTCAGTTGGGCAGCAAGTCCACTCCGGGCTGCTCCTCCCGTGTTTAACACTATTGCAGAATCACCATGTGCATATATTAGCATAATTAATCAGTTAATTATGCAATTGATTCTACTAGTATAGTTGCTAATAGTATGCAAATAGCACCAAGTTGCCTAAAGCCTCCCCCAATTTTTTGTTTAATTGTTGTTCTCTAGTGGCTTTGAAATAGATTAGCAACAATCAGAGCTTTCAATCATACATATCAAGAACCCTATTACCTATAAATTTTTCAAATGTTCTGGATTGACTCATTCATACCATGACTGGTTCATCATTCCATGGCTGGTTCCCTCATCATTTCAGTGTTTGTGACAGTGGGGATGTTTTTCCTCTGATGGATTCTTTCCTAGGTGCAACACTGATTTCTGAAAACACATCTCTCTCTGATCTAACTGGACATTAATTGCTTTTGTGCTGATGCATCTATGCCTCCTGGTCTGATAGCACAACTAGCAAATCTGATCTCTGACAAGTTGGCTGAACCTAATCAGGACAGATCAGCTGTTACCCAAGGTGCCACACGCTGTAATTTGAGGATCTTTACAGAGTTATCACTCGCCTGAAAGACAAGGAACTATAATTCTGTCAACACTAATCCCAAACTGTATGTTCAAAGCAACTGTGGCCTCCCCACACCCCAAAAAAAGATAGCACTTGTCAAATAAATACCTGAGATAATTGATAAGAGGGGATTAGAAGGATGTGGCTGATACAGTGACAGTAGGAATTATTATTTTTAAGAACCTCCAGAAGCAGAACATTGGATGTCAAGTGTGAACCGTCAAGGATAAAAGAGGGTGGCAGAAAGAGATGCATGGAAATTGTCCATCATTCCGCTCCCACTCATCACTGGGTGACTTGGTTCATATTTGCCTCACTCTCTAAACAGGCAAATACCCAAACATTCTAAGCCTCGAAGGAAACCTGTCAGAGCCAACTAGGGCTGCCACCCAGTGACAATGACTCGATGAGAAGCAAGAACATTCTCAGGAGTGGAGGTATTATTGTCAGGCTGTCAGCTCTGTGCTATTCTCTGAAGACCCCTGCGGTTTTCTTACAGGCACAAAACGAGGTAATATTAGAAAAATAAACTTCTTTCTTACTGTATCGCTTTGGTCCATCTTCCAAACAAAATGAAAGGGTTAATGTGGCGTCATCTTCAAAAAATTCAGTGGCAAAGGCGTCCCACCAGAGGTTGTCACTATCCTGCAAAGAGACAGATCATTTATTTAACAAGGGAAAGTGGGAAATATCTCAAAGAGGAAGAGAAAAGGGAAGAGAAAGAAAAACTCAGCTGCTCCTTGCTCATTACTTCGCGTATGTGTGTAGGTGTTCTAGGAAAGGGTAGGTGGGCGGTCACTCTTCAAATTAATTGCCTCAAATAGGAACCAAATTCCAATTCAATAAGTGAGCTCAAACCAATCGAATAAAAATTAATTCTCCAGGATATATTTGGGGAGATTTAATAAATGTGCTATAAAACACAATGTGATGTTTTTTGACAAAAGGGTTTGCATTTAATGTAAAATACACTTGACTTTTTTTTCTCTTTCTCTCTCTCTGCTCTTTTAAGAGTTCATTTTTATAAATAGAAACCACAATATTACAACCAGGTTAAACATAATTTTCATACATAATTTAATCAACAGAGATGTTCCTAGCTCTACTATACACAAATATCCCTATAAAAGATACAGGTACAGATACATGGATGGATAGATTGATAGAGAAGTTCACACACAAGCGATTGTCACATATATATGGACTGTTCTTGATTGTTTTAAGAGGACAGGCAACCACTAGCTTGTTGTTAAAAAGAGTATTAAAAATAGAGCAGTTCAGCAGAATGCAGGCCATCCATATGAATTCTGTTTGTTTGTTTTGGGTTGAATGTTTCTCCTGCTCATGCAGAAAACACTTTGGAAGCGGCCCAGTTTAAGGCAGTCAGAATCACTGTTAATCTCCAAGGGGAGAAGAAGGCCCCTCTCACAGTGAATTAAGAAGGTTATACAGAGTGTCATATTTACAGGAGGAATCACATCCCAGTCAAATTCTCAGTATAGGACCTGATTTATCCCAAAATTCTTAAGCACCATGTTTTTCCAGAGAATTAGAAGTTGAAGACAAGATGCATCCCAGCTGCCTGTCAGATGGAAGGGGAGATAGAAGGGGAATTGCCACTCCCCATGTAATAGTCCCACTACTGAGTCCTGGCAGAGATACCACAAGCCTCTCTTCTTCCCATTAAGTTGCTCTGCTTATGACAACATTAAGTTGTTGTCACTGGCAGGCCTTAGGAATGAACCCTCAGTCCCAGCAAGAATAATTAAGGAGCCACGGAAGATTGATGCCGTCCTCTCCTTCAGAAAAGAAGAAGCTCAGACAAATGAATTTTTGCATCTCTCTTTGGCTTCCTTCCAATCACCATAGCAAAAGCCAATCCCTTTCTCAGTAAAACAGGGTAGATAGGAAACCACCGAAGAGCAATGCATGGATCCACGTACAAAGTACTCTGCTTTTTCTCCTTTCAGAAACAAATATGTATTGGGCACTTAACTATGTGTAGGCCTTCAGAATGCACAGCTGAATAAGAGACTGGTCCCTACCCTCAAAGGGCTTAAAGCCCACTAGCAGAAGACAATCACATGAGCAACTAAACAGGCAGCTTCACTCCACATCTGAGACCGTGGCACACGTCCTCAATGCTCTGGAAGCTTGTGGAGCTTTTAAAAAACTCAGTGGGCTTGGAAGTGGAGGAATCTGCCAGGGAAAGAAACCCTATTCGGAAGACTGGATACATTGGTTTATTCGACTTTAAATCACTACACAGATGGAAAAAGAGTCACAGTTAACATTTATTGAGTGTTTACCACATGCCAAGCACTAGTCTAATGACTTTATGTGTATTTTCCTACTTAATCCACAGTACGAATCCACTTCTTCTGTGTGTGTGGTTTTTTTTTTTTCTCTTCAATACAAATATAAGCTTCTTGTACACAGGGGCTTTGTTTTGCTTGCTACTTTATCTCCCAACCCCCAGAACAGTGTCTAGCCTAGGATATTACTCATAAAAGCAGCTCAATGAATGAATGAAGCTGCTCATATTATCTCTACTTTGCAACTGCAGAAACCAAAGCTTAGGCAGTAAATGTCACTTGCTCCAGTACACTCAGCAAATAAATGTCAGAGATGGAATTTCAACTCAGACCACTGGACACCCCCGACCTACCCATCCTTTGCTCTGTACAGCAACCTGCTACATTTCCCTGACAGTCTTTGAGAGGCTGTGGTTAGGATTCAGCAAGAGGGGAGAAAGAGTTGAAAGGGAATATTTAGTCTGAGGTTGATTTCTTCTTTGAGCTCCTTGCCTTGTGCAGACCTGCAGCCAGGACTCACGCTCAGGAGACTGCCTGGCGTTTCACAGTAAAGCAGTTGGTAACACATCATGGCGGAATTCAGTCCTGCAGGTAACACTGCCCCCTCCCAGCTTTGTGAACTTAGCAACTTATTCTACCTTCCCCAGCCTGTCTACTTATTTAGAACCTGAGGATAACAATAACAACAACAATAGTTACTATCTGGCAGCACAGATCTGAGGACTAAATAAATTAGTAGGTATAAAGTGCTCCTCAAAGGGAGTGCAGATCAATAAAATCTTCAGGAGATAAAATCTGCAGGAGAGCACCCCAAAGACAGTGAAGATCAATAAAATGCCCTTTCCCTGCCTCTGTCTACCATCTTTAATATCATATCTAGGGCAGGAGGCATTCCACTTTATAAAGAACTGCACTGAAAATGAACTTTATGGCCAGATGTGGTGGTTCATGCCTGTAATCCCAGCACTTTGGGAGGCCTAGGTGGATAGATCACCTGAGGGTCAGGAGTTCGAGACCAGCCTGACCAACATGGTGAAACCCACACTCTGCTAAAAATAGAAAACTCAGTGGAATAGAAAATAGAAAACTAAATGGAATAGAAAATAGAAAAATTGGCCAGCCAGGCGTGGTGGTGGGCACATGTAATCCCAGTTACTCAGGAGACTGAGGCAGGAGAATAACTTGAACCTGTGAGGCAGAGGTAGCAGTGAGCCAAGATCACCCCACTGCACTCCAGTCTGGGTGACAGAGTGAGACCTGGTCTCAAAAAAAAAATGAACTTTATAAAATAGTCTGTTTATAAATCAGCACTTTTCCCTATCACTTCAACCATTAGCAACCCTTTTCCCTGGCAACAGCATCTGTCTATAACACTGTTAAAAATCTGAATGAAAATGTATTACTTCTCATTTGCTTTGCTCATTATTCAGAGGCCCAGTGACGGGATCCCCTCTGTATTAATTCATTCTCACACTGCTATGAAGATATACCCAAGACTGGGTAATTTATAAAGGAAAGAGGTTTAATTGACTCACAGTTCAGCATGGCTGGGGAGGCCTCAGGAAATTTACAATCATGGTGGAAGGGGAGGAGAGGAATGAATGCCCAGTGAAGGGGGAAACCCCTTATAAAACCATCAGATCTCGTGAGAACTAACGCACTATCACGAGAACAAGATAAGGGAAACCACCCCCATGATTCAATTATCTCCACCTTGTCCCTCCCATGACACATGGGGATTATGGGAACTATAACTCAAGATGAGATTTGGGTGGGGACACAGCCAAACCATATCATCCTCTATTTTCTGATAATCTAACTCTTGGTCTCTGACACTTCTGCTGGAAAATGAACCAGTGAAAGGCAAAAAAGTCAATAGAAATGCTGGCTGATCTGAGGTCACCGGGAGAAAAGAAAGTACTCAAGTTACAATGAGGTTCGAGGAATGTCTATGAGCAGTGTTACAGGTTCCACAGGGCCTACATACATACGTGAGTTTTGGCAGAAGTTGAAAGAGACATAATGATCCAAGAATGAGAAATGTCATATGATTCAAACTAGCTTCAGTGGAACATGGGATGAATCAACGTCTCAGGAAATTTCAGAAGAGGTCTGCTGGGAGAATGGGCACATTAGGTAACACCACACACACACACACACACACACACACACACACACACACACACACGTAATTGGTTTTGGTCACAAATCTTGAAAGAACATCCTCGAAATAAAAATGTAACCTTTAAGTTCATAGTGCCAGGCATATAATAGGTAGATAAGATAATATTTTTGTTTGGCTGATAGAACACATTAATAGATAGATGGATGGAATAAATTTCTTATCGTGGCATCACAAACTCAGCTCGGGAAATCACTTTACAAAGTTGTCCGGAGAACTTGATTGTGGACCCTACTTTGTCTGTTGGTCAATAATTTTAAACGCATAAAAATGACATTCTGTGTATTTAAATTGTAATTTTCAATCTCCCCCCATATGTAAACACGTACACACACACACACACACACACACACACACACACACAGAGTTTTTGAATTAGTCTTTAGTTATGACAGAACAAATGTTTATTTAGGAAAGGAATAAAAGTAATAGAGATTTAAGACAAAAATTACTAAGTGTTGGGTATAGGCCATTCTTGTGTTGGCTGTATATGAAGGAAGCTTATTATGGAAAGAGCACATGTTTGAGGGCCCAGGGTTAATGTTAGTATCGTAATCCAGAATTTTCTAAGTGCTGTACATGTATTGAACCATTTTATATTCACAACTACCCTAATTGCTACCAAGGGGCAGAGCAGGCAGCCTTATAGAGAACTTATGTCCTTAACTTCTATGTTATACTGACTTGCACATATGATTTCTGCCTCTTAATAGCTGGATGACCTCAGTCAACACATCTAATTTCTTTGCGTCTGTTTGCTTGTTGGGTAAGTGGGAATAATAATCTCGGTGTGCTGTGAGGACTAAACAGAAACTGCCCGGCATATAGTAGTTGTTCAATATGTGTCAACTATTATTATTTATCATTATCTCATTTAACCCTTAAGATATTCATAGAGAATCTAAAATTCAAAAAAGGTAAGCTACTCAATAAAGGTTAGAAAGCAAGAAAGTGATGAAGCTAAAGTTCACGTAGCAAGTCTGCCTAACTCCAATACATGCTTTTTTGTAAATAATTTTACTTAAAAAGTTATTTCCCACTTTGGGTTGAAGACCAAAAATGCTTTACAAGAGTTAGAGGAAGAGGTCAGCATTGACTAGAGGAAATTTCCCCCTCCAACCTTTCGGAGTTCATACCCTTTTTCCCACCTTCACATGGTTTTCCTGATAATAAATCTTTTGGAACACTTCTTGCTTCCATTCTGTTGTCTGGTGTAGTTCCTGGGATCAGTTAGGCAATTTTGTAGAAGTAATGTGGATAATAAAGAGATTAGGAGTTTAGGGAGTGGCTGAAATACAGCTAAGACCTCTGCTGAGCCAAATAGAAGTCTCTGGCAGAAGATCTAACAACTCTACTGGTAGACACTCAGTTCTTGGTGACACAGCTACCTTATGAGTTATGGACAATCACTACAAAAAAAAAAAAAAATCATTCCCTCCATTTTCCAAGGTTTAATTGTCAGTCATCTAGAATGGTATGGACCCTGCAACACAGACTCTAGCTTGGCCACATGTGAGGAAGAAAAAGAGACCATGGTCATTTGAAAGAAAAGATACTAATTAAAATTCTGCAGCTTTATGTACAGGCTAGCAGTTCCACCTGCTGACCGTAAACTTAGAGCCAACATCATTGGAGAAATGATGCGGAAGTACCACAAAAATGGCCCATTCTCCTTTTGGACCTGGCAATGTGGCCAAGTTCAGCAAGACGGCCAGCAGGAGGCTGTGTGAGTTAAGCTATAAGCCGTTTTGATGAAGGATCCCATAGAGCAGCTCACTAAATCCAGTTTCCGCTAAAGTTTAGAGGCAAAGCAGGGTGCAGCTGATCACTCTTACTCCACACACATAATCATCACACGTTAAACTAACTTGGAGATTAACCAGGAGGTGCATTGAGACTGACCAGTCTCATCTTTGCCCAAAAGATAAAGATCAACCTTTTGGGACTTCCAAGTAAATGGTATAGCACACGCTCTTAAAACACAACCACAAGTCTGACATCTTGTTCCCAGGTGTATTGGGTGGCACGCACATCTGGGACTGGCAGATATAAGAGATACAACATTTTGTGCATCTAAGCTAAAAGAGAGTCTATCCAGAGAAAAAACATTCTTACCACACCAGAAAGGAGCCAGCATATGCAGGACCCTGGAGTTGGCCTCCCAGCAATGTGTTGAGCCAAGGGACCTCCAGCAGCTCACGTGTCAGGGTTAAGGGCTCCTTCTCAACTCTTTGTGCCTCCCTGCCTTTGCATATGTCATTCTTTTGACCTACAATGTCCAGCAAATGCCAAGATGCAGTTTGTGGACCCCTCTTTCACTGTCTCCTGTACTAGGAAATCTTGACAACTATAATCCCAATAGAGCGTATATGAAATTATCATGGAATCATCACCTTGTAATACACATTTTCCTAAAGTATGCTCCAGCAGACTACGTTACTTAAGGATAGGGAATGGACATTATGTATCTATGCATCCTCAGCAGGATTCTCCTATAAATTAGTACCCAATAATGGAGTAGAAAAATGGACTAAACAGATGATAAGGCCCTACCCACACGGCGAGTAAGATTCTTTCTCTAAAAATGTAGGAATCTTAAAATCTAACCTCAGTGGCTAGGGGCCAAGACAGTGTTCGAGAGAAGTCTTCTCTCTGTCACATCACTGTTATCTCATCTCACAATAATGGAATGCCCCAGGCATGCATGTCAGGAGTTCATATGGAGGCAGAAATTTAAATAAATTATCTCACACCTACACTGCCACGCTTTTGAGCCACCTTTGGAGTATTATACATCTCAGTGAAATGTTGGTTAAGGTTGCTGGTAGTACATGAATGCACTTGACTGGCTGTCATTAATCAAGACAAATTTTACTTTATTAATTTTAAAAATAGAGAACAAAAGAGAATATGATGAAGACTCATGGGCCCATTACCCGGAATTAACAATTATTGCAATATTATTGCATTTTCCTTTTCTAAAGTAATTAAATGTTACAAATATAAATAAATGTTCTGGGTCACCATATCCTACTCTGTTTTTCTCTCTCCTCTCTCAGACCTCCATAAATAACTGTCTCATGAAAACCATATGGATCTTCCTAGCCCATCTTTTATATTAATATACATGCATGATTCCACTCATATACAGTCCTATTTTGTTTTTAATATTTTATTTACATGATAGGATACATTATGTTTTCTTCCTTAACTGTGATTTGTTTAAATTTAACATTGTGTTTGAAGACCTATCCAATTTATATATACACATATATATGTGTGCATTTATATATATACACATATATGTCTATATATAAATGTATGTATGTGTGTGTATATATATACACACACATATATGTGTGTGTGTGTGTGTGTGTGTGTGTGTGTGTGTGTATATATTTTTTTTTTTTTGAGACAGAATCTCGCTCTGTCACCGAGGCTGGAGTGCAATGGCGCAATCTTGGCTCACTGCAACCTCCACCTCCTGTGTTCAAGCGATTCTCCTGCCTCAGCCACGCGAGTAGCTGGGATTATAGGCGCCCACCACCACGCCCAGCTAATTTTTGTATTTTTAGTAGAGACAGGGTTTCACCATGTTGGTCAAGCTGGTCCTGAACTCCTGACTTCAGGTGATCCACCTGCCTCGGCCTCCCAAAGTGCTGGGATTACAGGCATGAGCGTGCTTGGCCCCAATTTATATATTGGGGTCTCTCTTTCCTTATATAAGCTACATACTAATGCACTGAATAGATATGCGGTAATACATTTTATTTAAACATTTTGCTACTAATAATCTCAGATAGTTCCTAATTTTTTGGTCATCCCAACAATGCTGCCATAAATGTCTCTGTAGTTTCCTTTTGTGTTTATATGTAAGAATTTCTCTCAGGCACATGCCTAAAGTGGATATGCCTAGACATAGGGTTTGTACCTGTCTATATTTTGGTCCTTTCATTAGGAGGTCCCTGTACTTTCATATTAAAAGCATCTGCATCTGGTCTGATTGATGCATGGGTAGAGATTCAAAGAGTACTGTTAAGCAGTATATTTCCAAGTGGGTTCTAGTAGCAAGAGCAGCTTAATGACAAAAACAGAGACTAGCTCTGCTGGGAGAAGGATGAATATCTAGAAGTCCAAAAAAGATGCAAAAATGGAGTAACACTACTAATAATACTCCAACTTTGCCGATCATTCTTTTAAAAGAGGAGTGTATATTAAGGCCTTCATTAACCAAAAGGAGGATTATTTCTTGACACAAGCATAGGAAAGAAAGCAAACGTAGGTTTTCCATGCCACTCCACAATGACTCATGGATCAGGAGGACTGAGTACCAAATGCCCGAACTCATGTGTAGATTGAGCTCTGTTGCACACTGCCACAGGGCTTCTGATCTGGGACACGTGTTTTCCCAACAGACAGCTACTTCCAATTCTTGCTGTTGTTTAGTATCTGAACTGTGTGTGGCGAGTGTTTAGTGAATATTAATAAGTAAAAAGTGAATTCTTTTCCCCAAAGCTAGAAAGTAACAATAGCATACAGCAGCCTCCAGGTAAATAAAGATGAAATTAACTCAGCCTGAACACAGACAGGGGAAGTGGTTGTTGACAATTCTTCCATATTTTAATTAGGAAAAAATATCATCAAAGCTTCTTTATTCTAAACAATCCCCTATATGCATTTGTGCTATTACAGTCCTTAGTCCTTTTGTCCCATCTCACAGGTGAACCCAAATTTCACCAGCAGCCTAATCATATATCAGGATGAGACACACAGTCATGTCAAATAGCAGAAGAGAGTCTTAATTATGTTTAAAAATCTACAGAAGCATTTTGCTTCCATCCTAGATTCTCTCCTGTTCCCAACCCTATCCCTCTTCACCAAAAACAGGATCCCGGTGCCAGGGCTGCCCCTCGGCATCTTTAACTTAAGCACTGACAGGTTACGTGGGATTTTTGCCAGAGTAATTATTTTTCAATTCAACAATAATGAGAAATTACCATGGCAACCACTTGTCATGTGGTACACATACACCCCCTCCAAAGAATGAACCATACTTAAAGCATCTATTCCTTGAAAATGTGTTTTTTTTTTATTAAAATAAACTTAAACAGGTCAAAGTGGAGAGCATTCTGAAGGGGTCTGAAAGATGGGAGATGGGAGGGCATTGACTTTCTTCAGTATCTTGTGGTTCTAGAAAAAAATGAGAATGTCTCATCTTATAACCCTACTCTCTTGTACACACACATTTAAATAACACTATTAATTTGTATCTTACTATTTTAGTCACTCCTGTTTTACATGCATCAGCTAACCTTTCTCAGAAGATACTGAAGAAAGGATAAATTTGCCTGAAATGACCGAGGCAGAAACACACTTGCTACACTTGCTCTGCCTACATTTCTTTTTCTGCCATATCCAGATATTAAGAAAGAAGACAAAAAAAAAATCCCAAATCTCATGCCTTCTGCCTTTCTGTTACCTAGAGTCCCTCTCACACTGTAGGAAGCTCAGGTCATTTGTTTTCCAAGACTGTAACTGTGTTTTTGATTCCTTAATCACAAGCCACCCTTTCTCCAAAACCAAGGGTCTATCTCGAACCATGTTTATTTTGAATCAGCCTCCCTTAATAATAATAGTCAACAGTTACAAGGCACTTATTGTATGCCAGTCACCCTTCTGAACTCATTGCACATTATAAACCCCTTAAAACCTCACCATGACCCTATAATATAAGTAGCATTATTAACCCCATCTTATAGATGAGAAAACTGAGGCACTGAGGAGTTAGATATTTGCTTAACATGACACAGCTATCAAATTGCCACGAAAGAGTTCAACCCCAAGGACTCTGGCTACTGGCTAGCAAGTTTAGACTCATGACTGCTCCATTATGATGTTCCTTTATTCAAAACAATATCTCTAAAATATCTGTCTTCTTAGTTGTTTCAACATCCAGTCAAGGCCAAGTGCACTGAACGTTTGGGTCTCTCTCTGGAACAGGCAGCCCAAAGCAAGGATTTCCATCACACCTATGGAATTCGGCTTGAAGACACACAAATAAAAGTAATAAGGTAAGACCATTTGCCCTTGCCAGCTGGTAGCTGCACAAGCATGAAAAGGATGCAGAGAGGGAATTTTAAATCTCCCCTTTTTTACTTATTTTTATGGGATTCTTTTTATTTTTTATTTTTATTTTTTTTTGAGATGGAGTTTCCCTCTTGTTGCCCAGGCTGGAGTGCAGTAGCACAGTCTCGGCTCACTGCAACCTCCGCCCCTTGGGTTCAAGCGATTCTCCTGCCTCAGGCTCCCGAGTAGCTGGGATTACAGGAGCCCACCACCATGCCCAGCTAATTTTTGTATTTTTAGTAGAAACGGGTTTCACCATGTTGACTAGGCTTCTCTCGAACTCCTGACCTCAGGTGATCCACCCGCCTCAGCCTCCCAAAGTGCTGGGATTACAGGTGTGAGCCACTGTGCCCAGCCCTATGGGATTTTTTTTTTTTTTTTCTTAAACAACTCATGTTCTAGAGACTGAATTTTTCTTCTCTAATTCTCAACTGTGATTTGCTCATTCTCAGCTAAATTGCATTTTATTTAACTGTAAGCATTAGTTATTATTTTAACTGAATTATAAAACGGCATACTACCAACATAGCAAATTGTGTGTTTTGAGAGAGCATCTCGGTGTTTCACTCACAAATCAAGCCCTCCCTTTTAGAAGGTGCTCACTATAGTTCCCTGTCTAGTGCCTGTGGATGCTGCCTTGAGAAAGTCGCATATTAAAATGTGCAGAAAGACAAGACTTGGTATCCAGTAGACACAGCTCTTCAGTAGAAGTTACATCAGTGGTTTTCCCCCCAAAGACCTGAGAAATTCATGTATTTGAATCTCCAGCTTTGATCCACAAAATCAGTAATTAATTCTGAGCAGTCCAAACAGAAATGTTAGTTAGAATAACTAAAAGCAATGACTCAAATGCCTCAGTGTGTATGTGCCAACAATTGAGCTTTTTTTGCTACCAGACTTATTACAAGTGTGATGAAATAATTTTTTTTTGAAGTTGGGATTCCTGTCAGCTTTTTGAGGGCAACATCTTACCCATGTCTGGTGTGTTTTACATGCACAGTATCTAACACATGGCAGGAAGACAACAAATAATTGCTCCATTATTTAATTATTTAAATCACTTAATTCAACAAATAAATATTTATTTAACTAAAACCCAGCATATTCTCAAAACCCAGAAGAAAACCAGCACTTTTAATTTTATGATAATTGAACACTGCCACTCTCTGCTCTATTTACATGTTTGTGAAACAGGGGCTTTGATTCTTTGATGACTGAATCAGTGAAAATGCACAGAGTTTCAAAATGTAGTATTTTCTAGTCCTCACAGGCTCTCTATCAAGTTGGTAATTTTCTTATCCCAATGTCAGTGGGGAAACTGAGGCCCCAAGCGGTTAAGAAATGTACCCAAGGTTACAAATCAAATAAGCGGCAACATTGGAATTTGCATCCTCTCTGACTCATAAATTTTTATTTCCATCCACAAAGCTTTACTCGCTGCCTGTTGCAATCTCTACTCTATACTATTCTAGTATGAAAGAGGATTGGTTGTTTTTTAATAACTAAATTTCCTATTTTATACTCAAACATGGAGACATGTACTCTCACAATCAAAAAGAATATACTGGGAACCCTATGCAAAGCCACTTTGAAAATGACGTGGAAAGGCATTACTCTAGAAGCACAGGTTTTGTTCATGACAGCTCTGTGGCAGTGAGCACCGCGCATCGTATTACATCACACCATCTAGGTGTGAGAGGTCCCGAGATGCAGGATAATGTCATGAGGCAGCAAGTCGTATATCTTGAGAAAAGTTCACTGTAAAATCAGGCACAAATTTTCCATTCCAACATAAACACAGCAGACAAGGGAATGTTTCTGGAAAAGCTTGCAAGATTCAAAATCTTGTTTCTGTGACCCACCCTATTGCATTTGAATAGTTGATCAAATGACAAGAATAATTCTTCAAGTCACCACTAAACATTGGAGGACTGTGCCAGGACCAAGGCCACAGGAAACCACTAGATAAGAAAACTCAAGATTTTCTCTCTTCCTACTTGGAAAAAATGAAAAAAAAATTTTTGTTCACAAAGACAAATATAAGAAACCCAGAATATTCTTGAAACCTAGAAAAAAATAATGTTTTTCTTGATGATGGTCAATCATTTCTATTCTCTTCTCTGTTTACAAATCTGTTTACCAGGGGACTTGAATTCTCTCTGTCAGTGACACCCAAGTACATATTACAGCTCCAAACTTCTCCCTGGGACTTCAGAATTGTGACTCTAACTGCCTCACTCACCTCTCCACTTCTTAACCAAAGAGGCATCTCAGGCTTAACATGGCCAAAGCCAGATATCTCCCCCAACTCCATCCCCTACAAGCCAATTCTTCTCATTCTCTTCCATCTCCATAATATAATTCCAGTTTCTCAGTCACTTAGGCCAGCATTTGAGAACATACTCTTGATTCCTGTCTTACCCTAACTCCACACCTCCAATCTGTCAGCAAATCCCATGAACTTACCTCCAACACATGAATGGAAATCCACCCATGTTTCTTTCCTTCCACTGCCACCCCTTCTCTGTGCCTCCAGTAACTTCAGCCTGGACAACAATGACTTTTTCCTAACTCATCTCTCAGCCCCCACTCCTGTTCCCCTGTAACCTGTGCTCTGCAAAGAAGCCTGGAGGATCTTTTAACAATACCCATTAGATTGTGACCCTCCCAGCTAAAACTTTTCTATGGTTCGTCATTGCTGTGTAGGGAGCTCACTCTCCTGTGTGGATGGGACTTTCTCTTCTTCTTTGCTGTTGGTTCACTGCACTCTCAGCACAGCCCGCAGATCTAGGTTCTTACCTTGGGGACCTTCCTTCGGGCCCAGGGCTGCACTCCACTACACCACAGGGCCCTTTGAACCAGCTGCGTCCACCACCAGTGGATGCCTTTCCTCTCTTTGGTGTGGTTTTCTCTTTCTCCTCATTCAAATCTCAGCATCCTTGTCATCTTTGGGTCATCCAATCTACAGAAGCCTACTTGCTATCACATCAGTCTATATTTTTCCTTGATCATTCAATTTTGTTTGTTTGTCTTCTTACATACAAAAAATTGTGTTCATTGGGAATATAAGATCCTATTGCCTGCTTTGCTCTGAAGCCTGGCATATAATAGGTGGTTAAAAATGACTGCCTGAATAAATGAATACAAAAAATGTGTTAGACAAACTACCAAAGACAAAAGATAAATCTATCAAGGAGACACATTAATCTCCCTCTTGAACTCCCACAGGGCAGCCATACCAAGGTTCAGAGCTGGCACAGCCCAGCTGATTACAACCACATCATAGAGTACCAGGAACTTTCCAGAATCTTTATTCACTTTAATGTTTTAAATAAATATATGCTGTGAATTAAAAGCATTAAGAAATATTCATGCCCTTTGACTCAGTAATTCTATTTCTGGGACTCCATCCAAAGGACATAATCCAAAAATATGTAAATGCTTTATACGAAAAATTGCTCACCATAGGAGCACTCATAATAGAAAAAAACACACACACAAAAAACTAGGAACAATGTGTTTGCCCTACAATAGAGAAATGATTCAAGAAACTGATATGTCCACCGGAAAGAAAACAGAAATCTTTAAAATATAATGTTCACACATGGTTTAAAATAACACAAGCACATTCTTACATGATAATATAAAGTGAAGGAAATAGGCAGACAAACAGAACAGTGGGACAGAATGGAGAACCAAGACACAGACAGAAGCCTGTGTGGAAAATAAGTATCTGGTAGATACGGCATTGCCGGGTAGTGAGGTTGAGAAGAATTATTTGATGAGGAGTGTGGAGACAATTGGCTTTTCACCCGCAAATAATAAATAAATTAGGTTATAGCTCACATAACCAAACGTAAGTTCTGGAGGAAGTAAACATGTAAATAAAGAAAGCCAAAACCTACCAGAAGAAAAGGTAGGAGGATATCTGTCTTTATGACGTCTGAAGAGGAGAAAATGC
This sequence comes from Homo sapiens, assembly GCF_000001405.40. Taxonomy (NCBI): domain Eukaryota; kingdom Metazoa; phylum Chordata; class Mammalia; order Primates; family Hominidae; genus Homo; species Homo sapiens. The sequence continues at coordinate 16,773,200 of NC_000004.12, forward strand.
TATAAGCCGTCAGTCCCCAACCTTTTTGGCACCAGGGACTGGTTTCGTGGAAGACAGGTTTTTCACGGACACTCTGGGGGACGGTTTCAGGATGATTCAAGTGCATTACATTCACTGTGCACTTTATTTCTACTATTATTACATTCTAATATATAATTAAATAATTATACAACTCACCATAATGTAGAATCAGTGGGAGCCCTGAGCTTGTTTTCCTGCAATTAGACAATCCCATTGGCATATGATGGGAGACAGCGACGGATCATCAGGCATTAGATTCTCATGAGAAGCGTGCAACCTCGATCCCTCGCATGCACAGTTCACAATAGGGTTTGTGCTCCTATGGGAATCTAATGCCACCAGTGATCTGACAGGAGGTGCAGCTCAGGCAGTAATGTGAGTGATGGGGGAGCGGCTGTAAATACAGATGAAGCTTCATTCACTGACCTGTCACACCTCCTGATGCACAGACCAGTTCCTGTTAGGAACCCGTACTCCCCTCCATTTCTACAGTTGCAATATTTCTTTTTTCATATTCCTTTCTTTTTTTAGAGAGACAGGGTCTTACTCTGTCACCCAGGCTAGAGTGCAGTGGTGTGGTCATAGCTCTCTACAGCCTCGAACTCCTGGACGCGAGGGATTCTCCCATCTCAGCCTCAAGAGTAACTAGTCAGGCCAGGCACGGTGGATCATGCCTGTAATCCCAGCACTTTGGGAGGCCAAGAAAGGTGGATCACGAGGTCAGGAGTTCAAGACCATCCTGGCCAACACGGTGAAACCCCATCTCTACTAAAAATACAAAAAAAATAGCTGGGCGTGCTGGCGCATGCCTATAATCCCAGCTACTCGGGGGGCTGAGGCAGGAGAATTGCTTGAACCAGGGAGGCAGAGGTTGCAGTGAGCCAAGATCACGCCATTGCACTCCAGCCTGGCAACAGAGTGAGACTCCGTCTCAAAAAAAAAAAAAAAAAAAAAAAAGGGTAACTAGTCCGATGCAATGCCCTCATTCCACGCATTCTCCCACACTTTCTCAACCATCCCTTGTTCATTCCTCAAGGCTTCCATCCTGTCCTGCCTTGATCCTAACGCCTCTCACACCTTCCAACCTGCAGAAAAGTCTTTATTTTCTAGACTGAGATATGCGTTTTTTTAAAAAATTAATGGGAACCTCATGGTGACTATTCCTGTAATATTATGTTTTTATTTTATTTTACATTATGCCCAGTTCTTATCCTTTTATGTCCCAGCAATTAGACTGTGCACTGCATGGATGGAGTCACCATCTTCTTTGGGTTGTTTTCTGTATTCTTGTTGCTTACCTGGCACTTACTGATTGTGTAATTATGAGCCAAACAACGTGCATTATCTAAGTCAAGCCTTTGAAAGACACTATCAGAGAGGTGAATTATTATCCTTATTTTACAGGTGAAGAAAACCAAAGCTCAGAAAGGTTACTTAATTTTCTCAGAGTCACACAGCTGGTACAGTTTGGAGTCAGTGATCAAAGTCATATAATCTGGCCTCAGAACTCTTCCCTTTGAACTCCTCTTTGTGTTTGTGTGTGCATGTGTGTGTGTGAGCAAGAGACAGGGGACTGTGGGAAAATACCTAGTAATAAAAGGTTACATACATGCATGCATAAATGCTCATAGCTTCATTGTTCACTACAGCCAAGAAATGGAAACACTCCAAATGTCTATCAACTAATGAACAGATAAACAAAATGTGGTATCTTCAGACAATGGTACACTAGAAGTAATAAACGAAAGAAAATTCAGATGCATGCTGTGTATAACATGTGCCTCAAAACACTATGGCAATGAGAGAAGCCAGACACAAAAGGCCATATATTGGGTGATTTCATTTACACAAAATGTCCAGAATCCTGGCTTTTATTACCTGTGTGATCTCAGACAAATTACCAAAGCTCTTTGTCCCTCTGTTTCATTATTTATAAAATGGATATCATTATACCTCACTCTTAATTGTGAGGATTAAGCTATATAATACATGGACCAGTGACTGGAACAGAGTAAATGCCCAACAAAGGACACAGTTATTAAGTGGCAGAGACGGTCCCAAAGCCAGAGTTGCTGTGGATATTAAATAATATATATCCATAATGCATCTTACAAATACAGCCTACACACCTTGCTGCCAGAGGACCTGGGTCTAGACATCAATGACATTATTCTTTGCTCTGTTGCTTTGGAAAAGTTACTCAGTCTCATCTGCCTTCACTGTAAAAAATGGTAATAATAAGTGTAGCTACCTCATAGTGCTACTATGAGAATTAAATTAACTGATAAATTAAAGTGCTTAGAACAGTGCCTGGAATGCAGTAAGCATCAACAATTGTTATCCATCATTATTACTATGGTTGTCAGTGACATTCAAGATGGGTTTCCCTATTCTCAGGAAATGCATGATCCAATTAGCCGGGTCCTGACACACAGTTGACAAAGCACGGACACTCACAGTATCAGTGCCTCTTTGTTGGATTAAAAACAGCATGCCCTCCACTGTCTGTCTCCCTCATGAGAAATGAGACTGCAAACTCCTCAAGGGCAGGATCGGTGTTTAATTTTTCCTGTACCCCTAGTGCCTGGCATAGTGTCTGGCTGCAAAAGAGCAAGGACCTATCAGAGTGAGTTTTTCAAGCAGACTGACTGAAGCGAAGCCTCTATTTTGCACACCAACCTCAAATCCACAGTTGCACATTGTTCAGGCTAATTTGCATCTCAGCATCTCAGAAAGCTCTCCATTTAGCTATTCAATTTGCTTCCTTGTCAACTAGAGATCACAACTTGCAAGAGAAAAGAGAGCTTTAGAAAATTGTGGCTTGCCTGCCAGCATCCATATTTAGATCAGCAGAACTTTTCGCTTTCCCCCTTCCATCTCCCTGGGAGTCAGGAAACTGGGTTCTGATTCTGTTCCTGATACTTCTTTGATGGGTGACCTTAAGTAAGTCCAAATCAAAAAATCGTCAGTGTTCAAAATGTCCTTACAGGGTGTGCTTGGACCTTGGTTTCCCCATCTGTCAAATATAAGGACAATTCCAAGGGTCCTTCCAAAGAGGTCCTACCAGAACACTCACTGCTTTAGGAATTTGTTGTTTACTGAGAGAACCTGCCCACTTTCCCCACTCTTGCCTTCAGTGAAAACATTTTTGGGGGATCTTAGTGATGGCTAAAGTGGAGACAACATCACAACCAAAGGATATAAAAGAAGAAATCTCTAAATTCCATCTCTTCCAAAGTCCAAGGACAGTCTCCATAGGGATGGCAAATGGATTTCAACCCCAAGGGGCCTCTTTGATGGAATGGGGGTAGTTACCTAGGACTCTGAATTCATTCGTGCATTCAGAAATATGCAGTGAGCGCCTACTTTGCGCGAGACACTCTTCTAGGATTTAGTGATGATGTAGTGAACAAAAAAGACACAAATCCACGTCCTTGAAGACCCTGTATACTAGCGGATGACAAATAATGAAAAAGATGAATGAAATATGTCATTTATTAGATAGCATTAAGTGTACAGCAGAAAAGCAGTAAAGCAGAAAATGAGGACATGAAATACGGGAGTGGGGAAGGAGAAGTAAAATTTACATGGGATAACCACAGAAGGCCCTGCAGGGAACGTCTCTTTAGAGCTGGGCTTCTCAACCTCAGCATCGCAAACATTTAGAGCTATCCAGGTCTTCACTGCGGGGTGTCCTGTGCCTTCTAGGGTGTTCAGCAGCATCTCTGCCCTCTGCCCACTAGAGGCCAATAACACCCCCTTCAGTTGTGACAACCAAAAATGTCTCCAGACATTGCCAGATGTCCTTGGGTCAGGCGGACAAAATTGTCCCAGTTTGAGCACCACTCATTTAGAATAAAATCCTGAAGAATGGGAGGGAGGGAGCCAGACAGGGATTTAGAAGGATTCTGTGCAGGCACTGGAAGTAGAGGGTGAACAGGAATAGCCTAGCCCCCTCCCACAGGCAACTGACATCAAATATCCTCTCGACGATGATCAAATTACACCTGGGATGAATGACGTGAGGGTGGAGCATACGGTGTTAGGGGAGAGGATGGGCACCCTCATGGTCTGGGAGGTGAGAAATGGTTTCCTGTTAGTGCAACATTTCAACCGAGAGCCGAGGCATGAGAGGATTTGGTCAGCCGACATGAGGAAACAGCAAGTACAACAGCCCTGAGATTGAAGAACTGTGATGCCTTTAAGGGACTGAAAGGAAGATGCTCATCCAGGCATTGGAAGCTGGCGGTGGGAGGCTGAAGATGAAGCTGGGGAAGCGCCAGGGCTTGAACCCCCATGCAGGACCTTGCAAAGCCAAACAAGATGTGGGTTCTTTTCCTACAAGCAATGGGATATCATAGAAAGGCTTTAAGCAGGCATGTGTCATGATCAATTTAGAGTTCTAGGTCCCTCCTGTGATGAGACCAAGTAATCTCCACTCCTTAATACCTGTGTGACTTTGAGTAAATTCCTTCTCTCTTCTGGCCTCGGTTTCCCCATCTGTAAAATGGGGACAGCAATCACATCTGCCTGGGTTTATTGTCAAGATCAAATGAGATCATATGTGCAGAGTGCTTAGAACAGGGCTGTGACACAGAGCATGATCAGTAACTCTGTTAGTCTTGATTCATAGCACTCTTAATAAACAAATATTAGCTATCACTTTCTTTTCTTTCTCTTGGAAGCTTACCAACGCCTGACTGGGATTTATTGCTGGTGTAGCTTTCCTTTTCAATCTTGTCCCTGCCCTGCCTTCCTCCCCCATCCCTCTCCACCTCAGGACAGTTCACACCGCTGCTCCCAGAGCCCTGCGTTTCTACTTCTATGACACTACCTGGTTGCCAGCTCTCAGCATACCTCAACTTTATATTCTCCATCAGTAGTCCTTATTGGGCACACATATTTGATCTGAAAACTGACGGCAAAGAGGCCTTCTCCATGCATGAATGCTTTAAGGTCTGACATCTGAATGTTAGCTCTCAGACTTGTCTTGGGAATGTCTCCAAGAACAATCAACTGTTCCCTTTGAGGACCATCAAACCACTCCTCATGCAACACACACACACAATCATACGCACACACGCATGCAAGACAAATATGCTGCTTCCTCATGAGCTATATCATGTCTACGAAACTCCTCTCTATATAAAACTTTCTGCATAATTCCCAGTCTGGTTCATTTCTACTAGTCAACACCTGCAGAGGCTCCCTGCCCGCCCTACCTTGTCCTCACCTTACCTCCCCACTACCACTGCCACCATCTCTCCGCTTATCACAACCACCATCAAGAGTGTTTGTGAGTTTGTGTTTTTATGTCTGTCTTCCCCCTCAGCCTTCAAGAAGACAAGGTCAGTGTTCATTTCTTGTTGTATCCTCATTATTTGGAGCAGAGTTTGATACACAGCAGAAGCCCAATTACTACCTGTTGATAGAAAAACAATATTAGCTCGCCATTTTGAAGTGTTTTCTCTCTCTCAGGCACATGACATGCATTATCCCATATGGTTTAATCATCACAATTATTTAAGGGTAGATAATGTTGTCATCATCTCCATTTTACAGATTGGGAACTGAGGCTAGAAAAGCTTAGCAACTTGCTCAAGATCACATAGACAAATATATAACAAAGTTAACCTAAGTTTCAATATCCTTGGATGTAAAGTTAGAGAACTGAACTAGCTCTGGTTTAAGGGCCCTTCCAGTTCTAATATTAGACCAAGAACATCTGATTCCCAGGCCAATGTTCTTTCATTCCTATCTCATTGTCTCCCTATAACTTAGAAAAGGACAATTTCGAGACAAATGCATTGTTTTCACAAACCTCACTTTACTTCTCTCTTGTGTTCTTTTGTTCTAGGAAACATGGGGGAATGAATGACTTAGCCTGGCCATAAAGCTGTTGGGGGCACTGAGCTGGAGGGGAGCCTCCGCAGAACTTGGCTTTGGGAGCCTGGGATTTGAACTTGTGCCACCACCACTGGCAGGACGCCTCACCGCTGCTCAGATGAGCAATGTTTATGCAATTTGCTTTCCCCCGCTAAGTGCACCACAGGATGTCTGATCTCCTTGAAATTGCCCTCATTTAAGAATCTGTCTTTTTTGAAGCAAAATGTCATCTAAAACCTTTTATGGCTTTATGAGAAACTAAGTGCGCTTTCGAAGCATGCATGGCCTGGGTCTGCCTGCAGATCTTTTCCATTCACACTTGGTATTCACTTCAGAACGAGACTAGGTGGCAAGTTAAGTGGCTCTGCTGTTAGCCCCACCTGCCACCTTGGCCAATGAGAAGACCTGAAACATACAACTCTGCCTCTTGGGAAGGAGTGGGAAGACACGAGGTGAGTAACCTGGAGAAAATGAAGGGCCATAGGAGACATGGCTGCGTCCTCATATATTTGAAGGACATTTTTTAAAAGAGACTAACGTTTAGGGCTGTCAAGTGGTAAACCAGCCCTAATGCTGAGTAGTCAAAGGAAATGGATGAATAGGGCAAGTTAGTTTTCCCCTTCCCCATGGTCAGTTCAGTTGACTGAATGCAGTGCTGCTGTCCAAGTGTTCCAGGCATCAGCTGGGTGCCCACTGGAGATGACATGCAAGGTCTCATCATTCTTAACTTGCTATTATAATTGCAAGTAGAAATATAATTTGAAATTATTTTTGACTTTTTTCATTTTCTTCTCCAAAATGCAAGATCTTCTTTCTTTTCTGTATTTGTTTTTTTGAAACTGTTAAAATGTGAAAATATGGCAGCATCTCTATTTGCTCTAACTGGGTTTATTTACTTACTTGTTCACTCATTTAACAACTTTCATCAAGTAGACTTCCCTGTCACACATGCTGGGAATAGAGTTTAGAAAAAAACCTTATGCAGCTCAAAATTTAGAGCAGGTGACAAACAATAAACACACAAGTGAATAAAACCAAAAAAATTATTACTAGTAAGAATTGGTATGAGGAAAATGGACTGAGACTACACAGAAGTGAGATGATTTCTAATTTTTTTTATTTTATTATTTTTTTGAGATGGAGTCTCACTCTGTCGCCCAGGCTGGAATGCAGTGGTGTGATCTCAGCTCACTGCAACCTCCGCCTCCCAGGTTCAAGCAATTCTCTGGCCTTAGCCTCCCCAGTAGCTGAGATTATAGGCGCCTGCCACCACACCCAGCTAATTTTTGTATTTTTGGTACTGATGGAGTTTCACCATGTTGGCCAGACTGGTCTTGAACTCCTGACCTCAAGTGATCCGGCTGCCTCAGCCTCCCAAAGTGATGGGATTTCAGGTGTGATCCACCGCACCTGGCCAAGATGATTCCTGTTAGATATAGGTGGCTCCACAAGGCCACCAGAGGAGGTAACATTAAGGTTACTTGAAGAATGCAAGCCAAGGAGACGCTGTATTTGTGTATCAGTGGAAATGACAGCCTTTCTCTCCAGATCCCAATCCAGTATTTTCTCTCAATTTTACAAGTTTATTCGCTCTGTGTTGGGTATTTCAATTTTTTTTTTTTTTGTACAACTCAAAAAACATTTCATGAACACACATTCCACGTGTCTCAAATTGGGCTAAATGCTTTATTACTTTTTAAAATTTAATGAGTACATTAACTAAATGGTAAGAATTGATGTCAGTGAGGCAATAGCTTCTTGGAAGGTTAAGCAATTTATCCACAGTGAGATGTCTAATAAAGTTTAGGGCTTAGACTTGGACTCCGGGCTGTTGGATTCTCATGTTTGTCATCTTTCCACTGAACCCCATGTTTTGAATCCTTCTGGGCATCTCTGGGGTTTAGGGTTGCCTGGAGGTGGCTAAGCACCTCTCTTTTAAATAGATTAATTGACTCTTTCCATGGTTCTGGTCCTCTATTTTGACTTCAGGGACTTTGGTTCCCATTACTAAGAAGAGCTAAGACTGTGGCCCAACTGTGATTTGGAGGGAAGCCTCAGAAGAATGAAACAGAATAGGGATGCCACAGATCAGAAGCCAGGCTGAGGCATAAGAGTGGGCAGCAAAGGATGTGGGGCTAGGATCTTAAGGGCCACACAGAAGTGAAGGCAGCTGTCATGCGCGGCAGTTTCTTTAGCTGCTCTGTTGTACTTGAGAATGAGTCTTCACAGAGTAACTCCAAGGAGGAGCACTTAACTGGGCATATGCTTTGGTGGGACACAGATCAGACTTTGAGTTAGAAAATAAAGTCAGAGCAGATGAGTACGAGCCCTCAGCTGAGGGAGTCTGGAGGACAGAAGGCACGAACAGTGAGGAGGATTACCAGCCAGCCACTAACCTACTTTGCTCCTCTTCCCCAAGTAGATGGAGTAGATCATGGGGAGAATTATGTGGGTCACTCCTCATACTCTGATGCACCCAAATGCTCAGTGGAGAGTCATACTAAATCCCTCAGAACACTGATGCTCATCAAAGTTAAGTATCTTTTTCAGAATAAGAGTAAGGTGTAGCCAACTGTGCTCGATTGAATGGTGTCACCTGCCCCCTCCCCTATAATTCATGTCTGCCTGGAATCTCGGAATGTGACCTAATTTGAAAATAGGGTCCTTGCAGATTAATAGGTTAAGATAAGGGTGGTTCCTAATTCAATGACTGGTGTCCTTAAAATAAGAAGCAGAGAGAGACCCCCAAGCCCACCATGTAAAGATGGAGGTAAAGGTTGGAGTGTCACATCTACAAGCCAAGGGGTGCCACCAAAATCCATGAGAAACACATGGGACAGATTCTTCCTCAAAGTTCTCAGAAGGAACCAAGGCTGCTGATTTCTAGACTCCAGAACTGCGAGAGAGTGAATTTCTGTTATTTTCAAGCCACCAGTGTGTGGTGACTTGTTAGGGCAGCCTAGGAAACAATTTGCCCACTTACTTAACTGTGAGGACCACTGAATTCCATACTATTCCAAACCGCAGGCCAGGTATCATTACCATGTCAAGCGCTGGCTAAGCCTTCGTACCATGACGTGCTCATCTCACATCAGGCCGCAATGCTGCTTCCTTCTCTTTCTCTCCATCTCCACTCTGAATTCCTTGTGGGCAGAAATCAGATCTAATTCACTGCTCTTTCTCCAGCTCCTGGAATATACTTGGCGCTCAACAAATGTTGAAAGAAGGAATGAATAAAATAAATACTTTTTTTTTTTTTTTTGAGACGGAGTCTTGCTCTGTCTCCCAGGCTGGAGTGCAGTGGCACGATCTTGGTTCACTAAAACCTCCACCTCCCAGGTTCAGGTGATTCTCCTGCCTCAGCCTCCCAGGTAGCTGGTATTACAGGTGTGTGCCACCACACCCAGCTAAGTTTTTGTATTTTTAGTAGAGACGGGGTTTCACCATATTAGCCACGATTGTCTCAATCTCCTGACCTTGTGATCCTCCTGCCTCGGCCTCCCAAAGTGTTGGCATTACAGGCGTGAGCCACCACGCCCAGCAAAATAAATACTTCTTGACCAACACAGTCTTTCCAAAGACTCACAAACCCCAAGCAAGTTAGCATTTTATTTATTCATTCTACTGATATTATTAAGTGCCTACTCTATGCTAGGAACTGTGCTAGGAGATGGGAACACAGTGATAAATAAGAAGACAAAATTCTGTTTTCTTGAACCTTGTTATCTAGAGGGGGAGTAGAGGAAGGGGGCAGATAAGTCCAGTAGACAAACATGTGGGTGTATTATTGGTGTAGATAACTTTAGACAATGAGAAGTACTTGAAAAAAAATAAAATAGAATAATACTTAGAGTAACTGGATTTACTTTAGTTAAATGGTGCTGGGAAAGACCTCTCTCTCTCCAGGAGATGACATTTGAGCTGAGACCCAAATAATAAGACTCATGTCTTCAAAGATGTGAAGAATTTGAGGCGTACAGGCAGCAGGACAGCTAGTGCCAAGACCCGAAGCATAAGTTAGTACAAAGTGCTTAGAAAACAGAAAGAAGGCTTATGAACGAGAAGCAGGGGCCTAGGGGTATGGGATGATGTCAGCAGGACAGATTGACCCTGCTTCATTGTCTGAGGCCGGAAGAGCTCCAAGTCATAGAAGAGTGATTTATACTTTACTGTTGCAAGGAACGTTGTTTACAATTAAAATTACAGTAGATGTTTATGGTCAGGAAGGGGGAGCCCCATGGATGGCCAAATCCTGCATAAGGAAGGATGCATGTTCTCACCAAGGCCCAAGAGAGCAAAGCCAGACCTTGCATTTTCTCCTCATTAAATCACAGAAGGCCTGAATGGCCACCCACGGAGGTTGTCCTCACTTGGTGCCATTCATGCCTGGCTCTTGCTTTGTTTAAAGCATCATTTTCTTTGCATTCTAGCAAAAAGACAAGGCAGAGCTGGCTTATGGAGATCATGTCTCTGGCTGATATTAGCCATCAGTGGTATAAGCCTTGCAGCTGTACTGTGTCCTGCAGTTTGGTGGCAGGGATATGAGAAGTAGACTCTTGTTACATGGTTGTTTTCTTTGCCCTTGGTTTTTTACATTTTCATTAAATCATAGATGTTCCTAATTGCTTCCTCATGGCCAAAGTGCCCCTTGATTGGAATTCTATGGAAAAGAGAGTTTGCATTATTAAATAGTGTTTCTAAAGGGATTTGAGTGGTTTTTGGTTTCCTTTTCCCCCCTTTTGCCTTTTTAAAAAAGTTTTTATTTTGTTGCAATGTATAATTGCTTGCTTTGTGCTAGAATTGCTCTCCAAGCTTCTACAATCATGTAGGAATTGTAATTCCCTTTATTACTGAAGAATCACTTTTAGCCTTCATTTAAGATGACTGGACAAGAATCAGATTATACAGAATTAGTATCTGTTTTGCATAGTGCATTGACCCTGCTGCCAGTGGTTCCCTTTGCTTGCTAACTTTTTGTGTGATTTTAAAAAGAATTTTTAAAGAATTTTTAAAATAATCAGCGTTTCATCTCATGTAAGCCTCATGGCACCCTGGGGCACATAGGCAAAAGTGATCCACATAGGAAACAAATTCTCCTCTTCAGAGAGGTGAACTGACTTGTCCAAGGACATCCATGCGGAGCTTGTCAGAGCTACAAGGCCAACCAAGCTCCTGGAAGTCCAAAGCCACTCTCTGCACCTCATTCTGCTTCTGTAGTAGGAACCTCTACACCTCTGTTTCCTCATCTGTAGACTGGGGCTGGTAATTCCACCTTGAAAATTTAGTATAAAAATTAAATAAGAATGTGCACATTTCCTTAGCAGGCAATAGGAAACACCATCTCTTCCCAGGGGCTCAGAGGCTGGTCCCAAGCATGAGAGTCTCTTGTGAAGAACCTCAGATATTTTTCCTCTTCCCCTCCATAAAGAGCAATGGTTCAGGACCTAGAAATAGCTTCAGAGGCAGAGGTGGCCAAAGCTGTGTGAACCAAGAATGCTGTGAATTTCCTTAAGTCTACCTCTGCTCACTTTATCAAGTCATCAAAGTCTAGAGTGGAATCCTTTATCTGGAGAAGAAAGTTCAAATTCCTCAGCATTCCATTCAGGCCTTTCTGGGGTCTAATCCTAGCCTGCCATGGTAGCCCACCACTCTCTCCTTCTTCCGCCTCCCAACAACTCTATCCTCTCTCCATTATATACCCTATGCACTCTGCATCTGGTTTTATTCTCCCTAAAAATAACCATAATGTCAGAAAACAATCGTTTCCTAGCTCACTGGTGCTCTGCTCCCTGGGTGTAGACTGTCGACACCCCTTTGCTCTGCCACCCTTAAATACCCTCCATTCTCCCACAGCACCTAGATTATTACAATGAGTGGGTGTTGCTCTATAATTGAAGAACAGTTTTTTTTTCATTGTTATTAATGGCATGCTTATAATAGTAAACGAAAGAAAAATAATATCAAGTTATTTATATAGGTATGTGTGTATGTACGTATATTTAATAATCCCAATTTTGTAAAAATAAATCCTTTTTCTTAAAAGCCTGGAAGAAATCCTCTGGGAAATTCTCTCGGTGACCCAAAGAACTAAACGTGACACAAAGAAAATGTCTGTCAGCATGATAAACATGCCTCCATCCAACAGTTTGGAACACCCCAGGCCACAATTGCATCCTAGCAGAGACTGAAGCAGGCACCAACCAATGCCAGCCTTTTCTCAATCACTTCCTGGGTCCAAGTTCAACTTCAGGCCAGTCTAGAACAAAGGAGGAAAGGGCCATATTCCCTGGGAGACGTGGTCATGCTCTGCTGAGAAACACAAGGCTTCATGGTGAGGACGGATGCATCACTGTAATGAGCAGTTGCAAGTGCCCATTCCGACTCCGTAAACAGGCCAAAATGTAATGTGGCAGCATCGCCTACCGTGGCTGCAATGGCCGGGCAGCAGCCGCATCGGGTGAAAGCAGAGAAAACAATGTTCTGTAATGTTTCTGTGATAATAAGCTCTAGTCAAGCATGAGAAGTGGTTCCTGAGAAATGCATGGCAGATAGACAGGGTGGCATGGACAACATATTTGCTGGCTGGCTGGCAGGCTCACACTCCTAAGTCTGCCTGCTCCCCTCGACCCACATCCACACCAATCAGAGAATCACCTAGCCTTCCTACTTAGAAGGCTTATCTTCTCTACCACTTCTCAAGAAATTCACATTTCAGGGTCCGTTCCTGGAATCACATTAGGTATTTTTGCTTATCCAGAAAGGTTAAAAACTCTTATGACCCTCAAACCAGCTTCATTTTCCTCCTTAAGTTTTGAAAGCAAAACTCAAGAGACTCTCCCCAAAATGAATTATGCAGAAGATACGATGAGATGAGACTCTGCCTGCTGCTAAGGGACTCGCCTTAGAAAAATGTAATCAGATATTCATTTCCTGATATTAACAACCACTAAAAGGGAGCTCTGATTTCTGGAACAAATACCTTAAGAAGAAAGTTTAAACATATATATTTTAATTGAATTTCTTCTCAGCCAGAATGTAACTGACAGAATCCTATATCCACCATGATCCACAGGCTCTGTAACTCATAAGTCAGCCGATCTACCAGTAAGACTTTTCTAGGTTCTTAATCCTCTTATCAACCACTCAAGTTTCCAGGGAGACTCATTAGCAGAGCTGGCAAATGCTGTAGTCGGCATCGTTATCAACCACAAAACTTTTGAGCATCTGCTGTCTGTTTATTTGTTTATTGTCTGTCTCATTTCAACTAGAATGTGAACTCAAGGAAGCAGAAGATTTCAGCTGTTGTGCTCACTGCTGCAGCCCTGTGCCTAGAACTCTGCCTGGCACTTTGGGATCTCCCAGTACATCTTTACTAACTGTGACTCTCTTGTGTACTGAGAAACTGGAGCCTGGGAATGCAAACTGGTCCTACCCTGCATAGTTTTTCAGTTTTCCTGTATCTGAATGGATACACACACATAAACACATATTCAAACAGAGAAACTAGCAAGAGTATATTCTAAGAGTCACATAGTTGGCACAGACATTAGGGGCTAGGAAAGGGAGTGGGATTGGGCTACCAGGGTCCCCTTATTGTTTTCTCTTTTGCCAACCTCTCAGTGTCAATATAAGAGACTTAGAACAACTGAGAGCTCTTCAAATGCCTAAACATTATTGTTTGGGGAAAAATACATATGCCTTGTCAGAAACCAGAGGCACCTGTCTCTCTTCCCTCACCAAACCAGGCCCTAAGCCCTGCACACTCTATTCCCGAATCTTTTGTGAACCCTACCACCGGTGGAGTTAGACACAGTACACCTTTCTTCTGGCCTCCTCAGGGTCCCTATCCCATCTGTGAGATGATTTCCATCTCCCCTGAAGTTTTAGGGTGCTGGAAGGGGGAACCTATTGTTGATATCTAAATAAAGTCAGTCACAAAATGGAAATAAAAAGCTTCCCTCTAAAATAGTTTGAGAGGTTTTTTTGTTTTGTTTTGTTTTTTTGGCTGCAAAAGAGGGAAAAAGTAGCAGGTGCTGAAGAGGCATTTATTTAGGTGTTCCCTTTTCCACTCAATAAACACGTATTGAACAGCTATGCTGTGTCAAAGATTATGCTACCAGTTGAGGATCTATAGAGAACCATCAAGATGCAATCCTGCCTCAAAAAGTCTACAGCCTATGGAGGAATGCCAATAATAAATAGGTAACAAAAATAGGGTGCAATTCACTGGGCACGGTGGCTCACTCCTGTAATCCCAGCATTTTGGGAGGCCAAGGTGGGCATATCACCCGAGGTCAGGAGTTCGAGACCAGCCTGGTCAACATGGTGAAACTTCATCTCTACTAAAAATACAAAAAATTCGCCAGGCGTGGTGGCATGCGCCTGTAATCCCAGCTACTCGGGAGGCTGAGGCAAGAGAATCACTTGAACCCAGGAGGCTACGGTTGCAGTGAGCTGTGATCACGCCACTGCACTCCAGTCTGGGTGACTGAGTGAAACTCCATCTCAGAAAAAAAAGAGTGGGGGTGCAACAAGATGAACTATAAGCAAAACATAGGGTGTTACAACAGCATATTAGGGGGCAAAACTTCCTTCAAACCCCAGTTCTACCACTTAGAAGGCATATGGTGCACTTCCTATTGATTTTGTTACTCAGAAAGTGGGAACACTTTTTAGTGTCTTGTAGGACTGCCCTAAGGATTTGGCAGGATTTCATAGCTAGTGAGTTTAACAAAGCACATGGACACTGCAGACACTCAAAATATTGTAAATATTGTTACTAGAAAGGGAAGTCAGGACCCAAATTCAGATTTGCTTCCCACTACTTAAGAATAAATGAAACCAAGTTTGGGGTACATGTGCCTGACCACTCTCTTTCTTCCTATAGGAATAAATGAAACCAAGCTTGGGGTGCATGTGCCTGGCCACTCTCTTTCTTCCTGGCTGCAGAAGTCGATCCTCCCCCCCCTCTCTGCCAGATGGGCATTCCCTGTATAGTGCTGAGGGCTGGGCATTGGGCTGCGAGTTGGCGATCAAGATATCTGGCTTTAAGAAAATCCCAAGAGCTTTCTCAATAGCCTTTCACCTACGGCAAGAGTAGCTAAGAAGCTCCAGACCATTCTATTAACAGGAGCCTCCGCTCTCCACAGGGCAAGGTATGCTTTGCTCACTGCCAGTGCCGGATGCCAAGGGGTGGCTCAAGAGGGACTTTGGGGGTGGTGATGGGAAGGGGATGCCCTGTGTCATCTGCATCAAGCTTCCCCACCTCAAGCAACCCTTGGCAACATAAAATTGAAGTGAAAAGAAAATACTTGCTATGCTGATTCTTCAAATGCTAATCCCTCCTGTTCCTGGGAGAGTAATGGGGTAGAATCCATTCAAGTGTCTGAGCGAAACCAAGAGAAACTGAGAGACACTTTAGATCCCAGACTGGTCTTCTAAAAGGTGTGGGCCCCAAGCCATCCCAACCCCTATGGGGATGCCCTGGACCAGCTTCTGCCCTCTGCAGTGATTCTAATACTCAGCACAGTACCCAGCATGATAGCAGAAGGGTGAGCACTGGTAGATGAAAAAACAAACTAACCAATGAATGAATGAAGACAAGAAGGAAGGTAGGAAAGAAGTGAGTTTGGTTTTGGAACTGCCTTGCGTCGAATGACATTAATAGTGAGCCCCAAGAACAGGCAACTTTATAAGATGGGTGTTACCCTGCCTCCTTATACTCCTGGAAGCAAAAGGGTACTACTGTGCAATTAACTCCTTCCTGTCCAGCCTACTGGGGAAGCCAGCAGCCCACTGCAGCAGGGCCATTACACTTACAGTAGGGGCTCCCCAAAGCCCCCAGACCGGATTTCATTTTGGAATGCATGCTATGGGGTTTTTTTTTCTGCTGCTCTAGCAGCAGCAGTAGCAGCAGATTTACTCTCCTAATTATGTTTGGCTTTGGTTAAATTAGTTTGCATTCCCTGAGCACACACTGGTTGGGGGAGGGGGAGCAGGCAGCGGAAAGAGGTGGCCTGAGAAGATGCCAGGAGGTGGAGAGAATCTACTGGAAGGATGATGCATATGGCAGAGCCATCAGACACCAGGCAGATGCTGGAGAGCTACTCCACAGTGATCCACGGACCCAAGTGGGAGAGAGAAAATGGGGTTCTGCCTAAAGTGTCTACTCATTCATTCATTTCCATGACAAATATTTATCAAAGGCCTACGATGAGTCAGATGTTGAACTAGGAGATGGAGGAAAATGCAGTGAACCAGACAAACAAGGTTCCCTGACCTCATGAACCTACATTCTAGAAGGAGAGTGAGAGAAGAAACAAAGAAAGAAGCTCAAACTTTGGATGCTCTGAAACCAATGTAACGAGTAAAGTGAACGGGACCATCTAGAGGAAGTTTGTGATTTAGTTTTTCATTGGCAGTTGTAGCTGCAAACAACAATAATGAAAATAACACAACTACCATTTGTCCATTTACTCACTGCTTACTATGTTCCAGACACTCACCGAATATTTCATTTAATCTTTCTTAAAACCCTATATGGCCAGGTGCAGTGGCTCATGCCTGTAATCCCAGCACTTTCGGAGGCCAAGGCGAGCAGATCACTTAAGGTCAGGAGTTTGAGACCATCCTGGCCAATATGGTGAAACCCCATCTGTACTAAAAAATACAAAAAATTAGCTGGGTGTGATGGCATACGCCTGTAGTCCCAGCTACTCGAGAGGCTGAGGCAGGAGAATCACTTGAACCTGGGAGGTGGAGGTTGCACGTAGCAGAGATAGCGCCACTGCACTCTAGCCTGGGTGACACAGCAAGACTCCACCTCAAAACAAAAACAAACAAACAAAAACCCTATGAGATGGGTGTGGTTAT
The DNA here is from genome assembly GCF_000001405.40 of Homo sapiens. Taxonomy (NCBI): domain Eukaryota; kingdom Metazoa; phylum Chordata; class Mammalia; order Primates; family Hominidae; genus Homo; species Homo sapiens. The sequence goes on from NC_000004.12 coordinate 16,789,979, forward strand.
CCCCATTCTATAGACAAGAAAGTCAAGGCTCAGAGAGTTTTAGTTATCTGCTCAAGGACACACAGTAGGTGACTTTTAATGCCATGTTGTCCCTGTATACCCTTTTGAAAGGTCTACAATGAATAACAGTAGCCAGTGATTAAAGCACCCACTAAATACCAGACACTGAGTGCTTATAGGAAGGAAGTCTTTCCTGACAGCATTTACTAGTTGCATTTTACAAATCGAGACTCCAAGAGGCTGATGAGTTTAGCCAGCATGGCAAAACTCTTAAGGCAGGAAGGCAGGATTCAAACTCAGGTCTGCATGCCCTCAAAGTTTTGTTTCTACCCCAGAACATAATACGGTCATGCACCATATAAGGACATTTCAGTCAACAACAGACTGCCTATGTGACAGTGGTCCTATAAGGTTCTATTGAAGCAAATATAGAAACCTGATACATGGCACTAGATATCAGCAATGCAGCATGAGTAGAGGAAATGATTGATATTCAGTAATAGTGCTGGAACATTTGGTTTTCCATAGGAAAAAAATATATAAATAAAAATGTACATACCACCTAGGTTTGTGTACGTACACTCCATGACGTTTGCATAACAACAAGATCACCTAAGGATGCGTTTTTCAGAACGTATCCTTGTCGTTAAGCAATGCATGACCATTCAAAGCAGTCTGACGGAGCTAACATATTATTTCCTCGATAACCGGGATGAAAGTGTCAGATGTTTGAAAATCCTGGAGTTACAGCACAGGAAATGTGAGTCATCTGAGATTTCCAGTTCTTCTTCCAGGTAACCCAGAGTTAAGTTTAATGCTCTTGCAAAAAGTTACTTTCAGGTATGAACCAGAAAGAAAAAAAAATTGCCTAAAACCCAAAGCAATGTGTGAAACTGTTAAATTGTGGTATCCTGAGTAGAGACTTCAGTAGGCAATCCAGGACTTAGGCTGTGTGGATGAGAGCTATACATACAGGCACACCAGGCCCTTTCTTCACACCCTTTTTGCTCAGCAACTTCTATTTTCTAGAAAAGCCCAACTGCCTGGCTCAGAAAATCTACTTACATAACTACTTGTCATTATCAACTACCAGGTTAGCTTTCTCTACTGATGCCCAAGCCAACATCTCACACTCCTGCAACAGCTAAGAGCATTTTAGGATTTCCATGACAAAGCCTGTTCTTTGTGCTTTAATGCTTTGCTTAGTTTTCATATTTGTTGTGAACTCAAACCTAAAAGGGGATTGTCAAATCAGGCTTACAAAACCAAAACAACAACAACAACAACAACAAAAACGGCTGGGCGGGGTGACTCACACCTGTAATCCCAGCACTTTGAGAGGCCAAGGTGGGTGGATCATGAGGTCAGGAGTTCGAGACCAGCCTGGCCAACATGGTGAAACCCCGACTCTACTAAAAATACAAATATTAGCTGGGCATGGTCGTGAGCACCTGTAATCCCAGCTACTCGGGAGGCTGAGGCAGGAGAATTGCTTGAACGGGGGAGGCGGAGGTTGCAGTGAGCTGAGGTCATGCCTCAGCACTCCAGCCCGGGCAACAGAGCGAGACTCTGGCTCAGAAAAAAAAAAAAAAAAGAAAGACAGCCATTACAAATAGAAGCAGCTGCTTTTGATTTACAAACACTGTAATCTTCCCCAGGCTTTAGATATTTTTTTTGACAACATCCAGATCAGAACCAATTTAATTTTGAAAGATAGCTAATCAGGTAATTTGCTGTAGTACCTCTCTTGTTTTTGATTTTGTAAAGGAGGCTGGGAGGCTTGCACGAAGAAACCAGCACTTTATTGAAGATTACGAATTGACCCTTCAGGTATCATAAAATGTTTACCTATAATCTCCAGAAACAAGATAACTTCTGTACATTCATTTCAGCAACTTGAGCACTTCAGAGAGCTGTGTGAAATGGTGGTACCTATTTACATGGGGAAAGCTTGAAGCTCCAAACATTTTTTTATTATGTGATACTTCCTGATCCCCTTAATGTTTTTAGTGACTTACGTAGATAAACTCTCAATTTTGAAGGAGAGGAGTTGAACAGTCTCATAATCTTGATTTTGCAGTGTTTTATACTTCCAATACCCTAACATGTACACACTTGATGAGAAACAAAATGGGTGTGGATTTGAGGATTTCACATATTGTGAGATCATTAGTGTTAACCTAAGTTTTTTATCCACTAAACTTTGTTGAGCACTTACTGTGTAATAGGAATATGAGCTCTCTATCCTTAGATTCATATTTTAGTCTGGACAACAGGGCGACCCATGAAATGTTACTTTCTGAATACTTATATTCTTACTGTGTGCCAGACTGTGTTTAAAGTGTTTTACAAATATTCAATCCTCATGACAAGCCTATAAGATAGATACTGATTTGTCTCTTTAATTACCTGTGCTTTAAATTTGATCTGACTTCAGTCTCAGCCATGAGATTTTATTTCTCTCACCATGTAATTGTATCACACAGGATAGTTTTTTAAGACCTATTTCACCTTCTAATGTAGATGAAAGTGTCACAGAGTTGATACCTGTTGCTGTCTGCTAAGTCCTCCTCTCCACAACCAATTATCTAACTGCTCCTTCTGAGCAACTTCTCTTCCTTTTCGAAAGATGCATCATGGTTATGGGGAGAGCAAAGAGCCCATAGACATTACCCTGCCAATCTGGACAGATAAATGTGAAAAGCTGCCATTCCTCCCAGTTATCCATGTCCCTGGCCTCTCCTCGGCTCCTGTCTGCAGTTAAACAGTCCTTTTTGCTCAGTGACTTACAGGCAGGAATTATGAAAATTCTTACAGGAAGCTTTAACAAGAGGAAGGAGGAAGGAACATCATGATACATTTTATAAAGGCACTTTTCAAAATGTTTTCAGCATACTGTTGTAGAAATAAACATCAATTTGGGGGTTCAAATCCCAGCTCTGCTCCATTCTTGCTGTGTGATGTTGAGCAAGTTCAACAATCCCAAGCCCTCTTCAAACCCAAAAGAAAAGGAGCAGGGCCCCAAAGAAATGGACCCCCTTGGTTGGAGTATATTGTACAGGATTTCAGGTTATATAAGTAGAGGTTGAAGGTGGCTATTTTCTTTGTACAGCTTAAACGTTTGATTTTCCAAATCAGGAAACTTCATTTCTAAGTGTGCTAAATAGAATCTATAGGCTTCCTTCAGCTGACAAAAGGGAAGCAGCTGAAAATTGGTATACGCGTTGCCTTTAATTCAAGCTTTTGTGCCCTTTTTTTGGTCCTTATCGTTTAGGAGATTATATGCAGCTCCTGACCCCCAGGGAGAGAACAGCATCAAAGCACCCTCTAACCAGGGCAGAATGAGGCTGGTGACCTGAATTTTCTGGCTTCTGTGGGTTTATGTCTAATCTCCAGTGTTCCTTCAGGTGGTATTTTGTGCTTAATTATACTTAAAGGTTTGGAGGGTTCCATAGGTGGAATTCCATCTGAAGCCCAAACCGTCAAACCATCAGCTCCCAGGTTGCCATTTGAAGCTTCTTATTTTTAATCGTGCAGGTCTTTACCCAAGATGTGTTTTTTCTCATGTTAAAGGGTTTTTGTCTTTTAAGCAGCCATTTATACATACAAAAAGCAGTGTTTTGTTCAGGAATAAAATCACCTGAATAAATCTAAATCTGTCATGTAAATATTTCACCAATTATTACTAAGGGCTTTTTAATGATTCCTCTTTGTAACCTCTCCCTGCAGTCTAAGTCACTCCACTGGGGTAGGAAATATAAAACCCAAAATGTATTTGGAGCACAGCTGTATAGAACATCAATCTGAACCATGATGTGGTAAGAACCATAAGTGAACATGAAAGTTAAGAGGGACCAGAATGTAATGAGACAGGCAGGCTCTATCCCCATTTTACAGATATTGAAACTGAGGCCTTGGAAAACTACATGGGGTTATTGGTGCAATTAAAGCACTTATCTGGGACCTGCAGCTCCTTTCCTACCCCTCTCGGTAATGTCTTAGATTTACCAGCTAAAGGTCATTAAGCCATACTGCCTCTTTCAGTTAGTATTACATATTCAAAATCTGTTTGCATCCTTCCAGGGGAAGGGCCGTGCCCAAAGGGGACAGCACTGCTCTCTCTTATCAAAACAGGGCCTTCTTGGAGCTTACTAACGACCTTAAAGCCCACAACAAGCAGCTCAAATATATGGGTTAGGCAGCATGGGGCTGACACCCTGGGGCAGAGCTGAGATGATTTGGTTTACACCCCCTAAAATGCCAGGCTATATTCTATATCCTGAAGGTGCCTTAGTTGACAGGAGGTGGAAGTCAGGGGGTATCTTGGCTAAGGGAACAGGTGGCTAAAAGAAACCATGTAATGATATTAGGATGACCACCTCAAGATGACTGCAGCTCCTCCTCAGCTATCACTGTACCTTCAATCTGTGCAACAGATCTCTATGAAAAATGCACGTCTCATCTTCTTATACCTTCCCTGTCCTTGCTTTCATGATGCAGGCCAAGGGTTCTGAGTTCCAGAGTGGATGACCTAGGCTGGAGCTCTGGCTTTGTTATTGAGCTGTGTGACTTTGGGTCTGTTACTCACCTTCTCTGTACCTCAATCTCTTCATTTTTCAAATGTAAATAATAGAAGTATTTATCCCATGGGGTTAATAGCATCAATAATAAATTGATACATTTAAAGAGCATAACACACTAAATATTCAATGATGTTACCTATTATTAGGTTGATGCTTATGAACACTCAACCATTTGTTGTTTACATAAATGACAATTTTGGATGGGGTTCAACCTATTATTAAAGTTCTCAGCCTTACTGAAGCTTCATCTTTCCTTTTTGATTTAACTTAAGCATCACCTGCTCCTGGAAGCCTTTCCTGATGTTCAGTCTGAGTTCATTCCCACATACAATCATGTGTTCATTTACTCAACCTGACAGTATTGAGCACTCATGGCCACGTGCCAGGCAGTGGAAATTAAACAGTGAGCGAAAATCCAGGCAGGAAAGACACAACCTAGTAGACAATCAATAGAATCAGTGCCTCTCTAGGCCAGTAGAGGGCGCTAGGAGCGGGGAAGACATGCTTGAAAATAGGATCTCGATGGAGAGCCTGAGTTGAGGACAGGGAAATCTTCCCGGAGCACATAACCTTTACCCAAGACTGGCAGAAAGAGTAGGAATTGGTCAGATGAAGAGGAGAAGATTCTTCCAGAAACACCTGGACCTTGCTGTGAAGAGAGAGCCTGGGGAAGAGAAGCATGTCAGATGTGGCTGCAGAAAGAGAGCCTGTGGTGGAGACGGCAGTTAAAGAGTCCATATTACAGAGACCCAATCATAAAAGGCCTTGTAAGTCACCAAAAGAAATCTGGGCACAATCTAAGGATGCGCTCACTGCCAGGAACGTGCAAGTGCAAGGTTGCATCTGAGCAAGCCCTTCCTAACATTTGTCCTGAGGTGTCTTGCTGGTCTCCCTCTAGTCCTAGTCCTGCTGGGCTTTATCTTGAGGTCAACAGGAAACCCTTGAAGGGTTTCCAAAGGAGAGAGATACTTCCTTAACAGCATTTGAGGTGGTTCACTCTAGCTCACCTTGGGTAATGCACCAGAGAGAGGAAAGAGGAAGGCAGAAAGACAGGCAGTTATTCAGGCATGAACAATACCATGAATGGAGGCCTTTATCTCCAGCAAATCACTTATGACACTGATCTGTAATTTGTTTGTCTTTCACTAGACTCCGAATCCCTTGAGAATGAGGACTCAGGAGTCTCCCCCACCACCTTAACCTGTAGGACCAGTACATAATAGATAGTCGCTAAACGGTACCTATTATAATTGTAGCTACTGTTACTAATACTTTCTATTGTTAAAATTGAGATAGACAAATGCTATTGCTATAGTCCCACTTAGCAAATTGGATCCCATGGAATATTAACCTTCTGAGGTGTGTTAACCAATGTTTGGGGTACTGAGAGGGAAGGAGGTCCCCGAAGTCAAAGAAATTTGGGAAACATTTGCTTATAAACATTAAATGAGCCGGCGCGGTGGTTCACGCCTATAATCCCAGCACTTTGGGAGGCTGAGGTGGGCAGATCTCTTGAGTCCAGGAGTGTGAGACCAGTCTGGGCAACATGGTGAAATCCCATCTCTACAAAAAAAAAATTAGCCCGTCATGGTGGTGTCGTGTGGTCCTAGCTACTGGGGAGGTTAAGGTGGGAGGATTCCTTGGGCCAAGAAGACGAAGGTTGCAGTGAGCCAAGATCGTGCCCCTGCACTCCAGCCTGGGCAACAAAGTGAGCACTCTGTCTCAAACAAAACAAAACAAAACATTAAATGGCATTAGTATACACACATATGTTTCTAAACTCTCACTGCTGAGAGAGTCTGAAAGCAACAACACCTCAGTAGCAATGAGTGACCAAAAGTGGAAAAATTTGAATAACAAGATAAATAACATAGTACTGGATTATAACTCAATGTACAATACTGACATCCATGAATCCATGCTGATATACATACATGGTTGAATAAATAAATGGAAGAGATGAGACACATTTCCCATGCAGAAGAATCACAAGTGATTTATGTAGACACCCCCCTTGCAAGGAGATGGAGCCTCCCTACCCCTTAAGCTTGGGCTTGGGCTTAGTGACTTCCTTCCAAAGAGTATGGTAAGGAAACATGAAAAAAGAGTAATCATGTGGTGGAGAAACCTGACAAATACTAAGTCAGCCAGGTGATCAAGCTTAACATCGTCACTAATAAGCCATGTTGGTAACATGTGCCTTTCATAGGATGTGATGAGAATGGCACTGTACTTTGGTAGTCTTTGTCCCCAAAACCCATCACCCCTGTCTAATCATGAGAAGAACAGCAGACACGCCCAAAGGGAGGGACATTCTGCCAAATACCTAACCAGCACTTCTTAAAACATTCATGGTTAACAAACATAAGAAAAGTCTGAGAAATTGTTCCAAGCAAAAAGACCCTATAGAGACATGATGACCAAATGCAACGTGGTATTGTGCAGGGAAGCCTGAAAATATTATGAAAAAACTGAAGAAATCTGAATAAAGTGTGGAGTTTAGCTAATAATACAGTGGTTCCTTGGTATATGCAGAGAATTGGTTTCAGGACCCCTGCATTGACCAAAATCCTCAAGTCCTGCAGTCAACCCTGAGGAACCACATAGACGAAAAGGTCAGCCCGCCCTGTATGAGGGCTTTTCATCTCACACATGCGTATTTTTGATCCGCCTTTGGCTGAAAAAAATGCAGGTGTAAGTAAACCCATGCAGTTCAAACCCATTGTTCAAGGGTCAACTGTAATGTATTAATATTGGTTCATTAGTTTTGACAAACTAAGGATCATACTAAGATCAGACTAAGATCATACTAACGTAAGATCTTGACAGCTGGGGAAAATGGGCACAGCATACATGAGAATTCTCTCTACCGTCATTGCAATTCTTATGTAAATCTAAAAGCATTCTAAAGTAAAAAGTCTACTTAAAAAAAATAAATGATGTCTTTACTATCTGACTTCTCAAATGCTTTAATATGCTGAGACATTTTGAGTATTCCCAAATTAATATGACTAAAGAACTGAATAGCTGTTACATTCTCGGGTCCTAGGGTTCTCTAGAATAGTTAGGAATGATAATAATAATAGCTAACATTTATTAGAGAGGCTCTGAGCTTCGTGGTTAATAACTTTATCCCGTGAGCCAGACTCCCTGCTCACCTATGACCATCACTACTTAAGAGCTGTATAATCAAGGCTGGGCATGGTGGCTCTCCCCTGTAATCCCAGCATTTTAGGAGGCCGAGGTGAGCGGATCACAAGGTCAGGAGTTTGAGACCAGCCTGGCCAACATGGTGAAACCCTGTCTCTACTAAAAATACAAAAATTAGCCAGGCATGGTGACATCCACCTGTAGCCCCAGCTACTTGGGAGGCTGAGGCAGGAGAATTGCTTGAATCCAGAAGGCAGAGGTTGCAGTGAGCCAAGATCATGCCACTGCACTCCAGCCTGGGCGACAGAGCAAGACTCTGTCTCGAAAAAAAAAAAAAAAAAAGCTGTATAATCTTAGGCAAATTATTTTATTTAATTGTGCTTTGGTTTCCTTAGCTGAAAAATGGGATTAATGATGCCACTTAGTTCACAGGGTTATTGTGAGAATTCAATGTGTTTATATAAATGAATATTCCTCAATCTATATGACCCTCAAAATGACTTTTTGAGGGCTTTCCATGTGTCCTTTCTCTGCATTGTGAATATTATTATATGAAGTAGTTCCCAGCTATCATGTTATAGGGAAAGAAGTGAGTTCAAGTAACTTGCTCCAGGTCACACAACTGGATAACTATGGGATCAAGTCCATCTTGGAGGAAGCCTAAAGCTGAGGACATGACTTAGGATCTTGGAAAGCAGCAATAGGACCCTGAGAATCCAGGAGAGAGAAGACTTTCCAAGAAATAAGAGAAAAAATAAATGCATGGAAACACACCAACAAAATCAATTGTTATCTACTTTGTAATTTGAGAAGCACCTTCCTGGCTAGTGACTGCCACCTCCCAGAAAGTCTTGGTAGACAGGCCACCTGTGCTAAAGCTGAAAATGCCCCCCACCTCCCTCTTCCCTCACACATCTCCTAAAGGCCAGTAACCAGTGGAACATTCTCTACTTGGCCTTCTCTGTAAGAACAGAATCTGCCCCTGAAATGTTCAGCTCACCTCCCTACAACGTGGAAGACTTCCTACAACTTTTCTTTCTTTGGCTCTAGCCTCGAAAGCTGGACTCTGTAATTTTCAGTCACCTCAAGTGACAGAGATTCAGCAGTGCTTATTCAGCATGACTGGGGTTTTCTTTTTATTTATTTATTTATTTTTTGAGATGGAGACTTGCTTTGTTGCCCAGGCTGGAGTGCAGTGGCGCGATCTTGGCTCACTGCAAACTCCGCCTCCCGGGTTCACGCCATTCTCCTGCCTCAGCCTCCTGAGTAGCTGGGACTACAGGCGCCCGCCACCACACCCGGCTAATTTTTTTTTGTATTTTTAGTAGAGACCGGGTTTCACCGTGTTAGCCAGGATGGTCTTGATCTCCTGACCTCGTGATCCGCCCTCCTCGGCCTCCCGAAGTGTTGGGATTACAGGCATGAGCCACCGCGCCCGGCTCGTGACTGGGGTTTTCATCTGTCAGCCATCTACGCAGTTAAGAAAAAAAAGAACATGCAAAGCTCTCCAACATGAATGATGCAATCCTGTAAAAGTCTGGAGGATCTAGAAAGAAGTCTCCCCAACTCACAATGTGCTGTGAACTCCCAAACACTGAACATGGTGCCTGAGGCACCTGCTGGCCTCAAACAGACACATAGTAGGTAACCCACTTAGAGATGGAACTATTTTCTAGGGCCAGAGGAGTCACTCACGGGATATAAGCCCCATGCCCAGTTTCCTCTGCCAGTGACAAATACTTGTCAGAGCCTATCACCTGCAAACATTGAATAGGAAGAAGGAAAGGATTCTCTCCACGGGCTCTTGCCCCATCCTTTCCTTTCCTTCAGGAACTTAGGTTCCTGCCAACCTGTAATCTGTGCCCCAGTTTTGTATTGAATTTGATTTCTCCCCTCACATGTATAGAGGATTTATGATTGAACAAGAACAAAGGCAAAAGCATGGGAAATGCAGTCTCAGGGTTCCTGAGTCTTCTCGAATTGACCTTTCTGGATTCTTGTAATACACAGCTACACCTTTTGCTTAACACTTGGCATATAGTTAGGGTTTACCAGATGAAATACAGGATGCTCAGTTAAATTGGAATTTCAGAAAAAAACTTATAATACTTTTCCAGTATAAGTATGTCCGATGCAATATTTTTGACATACTTATACTAAAAAAAGTATTTGATATTTATCTGAAATTCCAATTTCCCCAGGCATCTCATGTTTTTATTTGGGAAACCTGGCAACCCTACATATAGTGTAAGTTATTTTTTCAATAGTTATTTTTTGCTTTGTTCAAATGGTATTATATACCGAGGCCCAGTATATGAGTAGATAAAAAGGAAAAGACTGAGGTCCGGGACGGGAAAGCTCAAACGAGAGTGGCGGAGCTGGGAAACAAATATAGATTTCCAGAACCCTAGACACATATTTCTTTACCTTACTGTCAGGAAAAAAAAAAATGTGAAAAGCTTTCAAATGGGCAAAAAAGATTCAAGGGTGTCCTGTCCATCTGGGTTATCTCCACCATATGTTGTCTTTGAGCTATTCAGCAACTCCATAAAACTGATAATAATGTAAATAATTCTTGTGTGTAGACATGCATTATTTGTATCGAGTTGATTATTGCCCTGTGAACAGACCAGTCTCTGCATCTGTTTATAAACCTATTTCACCATTCTTTTAGTGCATATAAACTTAGGGTCCTTGGAATTCTCCTTTCAATTGCTTGTAACATCTTACCAGTTCTTTCATTAGTTACTGGGTTAAAAAATATTTGACATGTGTTCATTTTAGAAGATTTGTTAATTTACCTTTTATAAACAATCATCCGTTGACAGTTTGTCATTTTTCTCTGCACAGTGACCCTGAAAGGAAGTCAAAGATGAAGACTGTGCCTAAGTGGTTGTGGGGTGATAGGGAGTCATATAAAATGAACTGGATAGAGAGGAATAGAAGACGTTTCTTTGTTTTTGTTTTTGTTTTGTTTTTTTGAGACGGAGTCTCGCTCTGTCGCCCAGGCTGGAGTGCAGTGGCGCAATCTCGGCTCACTGCCAGCTCCGCCTCCCAGGTTCACGCCATTCTCCTGCCTCAGCCTCCCAAGTAGCTGGGACTACAGGCGCCCGCCACCAACGCCCGGCTAACTTTTTGTATTTTTACTAGAGACAGGGTTTCACCGTGTTAGCCAGGATGGTCTCGATCTCCTCACCTCATGATCCACCCGCCTCGGCCTCCCAGCGTGGTGGGATTACAGGCGTGAGCCACCGCGCCCGGCCGGAAGACATTTCTAAAACATAAATCTGATCTTCTCACTCCCCATGGGACACTGTCCCCATACTTCGGATGCATGACCCTGAGGATGAAGTCAAAGCTCCCCATCTTGGTTGGCAAGCTTGCCTTGGGCAGTGCTGTTTTACCACCAGGTCTTTGGCATTTCAGGAACTTTCCCACCCCCTCAGAATGGGGCTCCCTCCAACCCGTCTTCAGTTCTGTTTGGTTTAGATGGAAGCCCATCCTGTAAGCTCTTAAGCCCCTGGGCTTCATGAACCACAGCACTTTTCTCATTGTGTTGCAATTATTGTTTAATTGTCTGTAGACATTAGACTGCACGTCGTTAGGATAGGGATCGAAATTTGCTTTAGTTTATTTACTTATGCATTTCCACCTCCATCAGAGGGTGTGGTACACAGTGAGACTCAAAAAAAACTTGCTGAATGAATAAATGAAACTGGAAGTATAATAGGACCACTTATACCCAGAGGAGAAGGAAATTGAAGGGATAAGAAATACGGGAAAGAGGGCAAGCAGACTCATACTGTAGACATTTTCTTAGGAAAACACTTTGGGGAACAAGTCACTGAGTCACCCATCTCCCCCAAGTACTGATTCACTATCATCCAATGATTTCCTTTCGTTTAACCACACAGACTTAATGATTACATTATTCAATAGTGCAACATAATAATGTTCATCACTCTTCCTATGAAATCGAATTATAAAATTGAACAGATCTACCAAAAATTTCAGTGTTTTATAGTCTTTCCAAAAATAATAGACAATCTTTATTTAAAAGGAAGAAAGAATAAATATATGCTTGACCCCCACCCACCCATACCTGGAGAAAAGCCAATGAGTTTGGAAAAGGTGCTTTCAGGAAAGAGGCAAACTAGTGAATCATTTTTGAATGGACTGTCCCATCTCTACCTTTAGTTATCATTTGAAAACACCCATGGAATTCCAGAATCCTCTAACTCCTGAGGATTCCCCAAAGGACAACCTGAGTTTTAGCTCTCTCTTTCCAAAGTGTGCTTACTCTGGAGGCTGTGGTTTCCATTTGTCAAAGTTATTCACTTGATAGCCTTGCACAGGTGAATTAGCGAAATAATGTGTAGGGAAGGGCTCCAAGTGTCAGTAAGCATTAGCCCCACCCATCCCCATCACCAACTGCCCCATCTCCACAGTGAGTGGACGCCCATCCTCTTTGTGGTGAAAGTGAACTGAGACAAATGTCTGCAGGCTCCATCCCTCCTAGACTCTTCTAACAAGACCCACCCCGCCTCAGGGGCAGCAGTCACTGCTGATTGTCTATTGCTTCTTTGTTGTTCACCAGCTATTATTTCCTTTCCCTGTTCCTCATATGAATGAACAAAATCTGCCAGCAAAAGCAATCCCAGAAAAAGAGGCCAAACAAGCAGCCTGGAGTGAGGATGTGGGTGTGTTCCTTCCTGGGGAAGAACTCCTATGGATGGCGCTGGGGTGTATGTCCCATCAGAACTTCTTGCTAGAGAGCTGCATCTCATTGCTGACTCTCATGTTCACCTTTCAGGAAACAAGTTAGGTCTGTTTGAAGAGACACAAAAGGGATTAAAAGAAACACTAGAAGAGAACCAGAGCTAAATGCTAAGTGCTTGATGTGGATTCTCTTATTTACTCCTCCACAGGCCTATGTGACTGATATGGTTTGACTGTGTCCCCACCCAAATCTTATCTTGAATTTTAGCTCCCATAATTCCCACGTGTTGTGGGAGGGACCCAGTGGGAGATAATTGAATCATGGGGGCCAATGGAACTGAGGCAGGCTTGGGACACCAACTGTGGAGTTTATGTGAGAGGCTCTAAGGGCTCGTATTAGCTCCTGACGACCAGGATCATTAATTTCAGACCAAGTTTTAAGAGAAAAATCCTCTAGGCTGGAAGAGTGTGAAATAGGACCCACCCTTGTGTCCTTCCCTGAGATTCAAGCTGAACCTCAGGACATTCAGGGGGCTGTCACTGGAGCCAGAGACCCCTCGACCGCTGTCTCCTGAGAGCATTTTTTAAACTCATGGCTTAGAAGAAAGGCTACAGAGTTGGCATAATAGGGAGATTGTTTGATGCAGTAATATTCTACTGTAAAGACCCTCCCTGTTGGACTACATTAAGGATGGCATAGCTTATTTGTGCATTGGGCGAATATCACTAAATTTAGATTTAGAACTCACTGACCCTAGTTTGTTGGTTTCTTTTACCGCTAACCCATCTCCTACCATTTTTTTTCAGTTTAAAAGTCTTTAAGCCTATATCAAGTCATTGACTCAAATCACTGAAGTCATCAGTTTTTGGGGAATCAGATAGAAAACATTGCTGCTGTTAAGAAATTAGAAGGATGCTGACTTCCTACGTGAATTGCAACTTCATAAAAACTTTGTAGGAGTATTTGCTTGGGAATTGGAGAAAAACAAGTATAAATTTATATCATTTAAGAAAAATGGTCCAGAGTTCAATTTATAAAGGAAGACTTGACCACAGGGCAAAGTTTGTTCTTATTTTAAAATTAAATCAAAGCAGCACAAATTTTATTAAGCCTGTGCACTCACCAAATTGCTAACAATTGATGAGAAAAAAATGCATTTATTACAGCTTCACATATGACCAACAATTTTTCAACCATATATCATGAGAAATATAACAAAAATGGAATAAGAATTGGGCTAGTGGAAAAAAATCTGAGTTACAATTCTGTGCTTTATTTTCATTGTTGCTGAATCTCAGTGTGTCTTGGTTTTCTCATCTGTAAAATGGAAATAGTCGTACTTATTTTAGGTTTGTTCATAAGATGAAGAGAACAACTTAGCACAATGTCAAGCACAGAGGAATTGCTTAAGTAATGCTTATTGTTGTTATTTTACTTTTTAAAAAATATATAACTAATATGGAACTGAAATAGCTTTCAAATCAGCCAGGTTTTGAGAATAATGGGCCTACAGGTTTTTACCTTTAAGTATTGTTGATGTTACTGCAGGAATCAGATTTCTGAAGACTGTAATTTTATTTCATCACTTGATTGAGTACTCTTAGAATATAATTGTTGATTGCATGCTGAAGAAAGTTTAGAGAAAGTTTTTTTAATTGATCCATGTAAATGTGTAAATTGAAAAAACAGATACTTTTTTTCTTTAAGAGAGAGTCTCACTCTATGTCCCAGGCTGGAGTGCAGTGGCACAATCATGGCTCACTGCAACCTCAAACTCATGGGCTCAGCCTCCCAGGTAGCTGGGACTCCTGGCTAGGTACATATTTTTATACAATTAGATTTTGTGTTTATATTACATATACACATATATATTAATACATAGAAAGGGGGTAAAACAGAGAGAAAAAGACAGAAACAAACAAAATTTGGAAGGGCCTCTGCCTAGGGGTAAATGAGATGCAAAATGACAATTAAGGGGAAATTAACTCTTCTAAATTGTCCCCTGTATCTTGACATAATTTTTTTAATTATAAATACATATATGCTACTTTATTGTGTTTGATTTGTGCAACACAGCAATGGTTGGTCTTCAATGAAGTTTTGTTCCCAAGGAAGAAAGGGCGACTCTAAAGCAGAATATAAAGCTCATATGACTATACTTGTCTTTCAGGCAATGCACAGACACAGCTTACCAAATATAGCAGAGAGAGGTAACAGGAATTGGTGAGGACTGTGGCAAACTGGAGCTTTCAATGGAAAAAGGGCAGCTTCTACTCAGCTTGAGGCAACTGTTGCCATTTGGGAGGAGAGCTAGATATTTGCTAGGTTTAATTATTTATTTTTTGCTGATTTCTCATTTTTTTTCTTCTTGTTTTTGGCTAAAAGCTATAAAGTTGAATATATGTCTGCCTTGGCCACCATAACAAAGTGCAATAGACTGGGTAGTATTTTGGCTTAAGCAAAAGAAATTTATTTATCATATTCTGGATGCTGGAAATCCAAAATTGGGGTGCCAGTGTGGTTAGGTTCCAGTGAGGGCTCTCTTCCTTGCTTGTAGACATCCACCTTCTCTCTGTGTATTCATACAGCAAAGAGGAGGGAGGAGAGATGGAGAGAGAGGGGAAAAGAGAGAGAGAGGAAGAGAAAGGAGAGAGAGGGAGATGGAGAGAGAGAGAAGGGTAGAGAGACCTCTGGCATCTCTTCTTCTAAAGACACTAATTCTATCATGAAGGCCTCGCTCCCATGTTATCTGACCCTAATTACCTCCCAGAGTCCCCAACTTCAAGTACCATTCACATTAGGGATTGGGACATCAACCTATGAATTTGGAAGGGATGAAAGCATTCGGTCCATAATGTGGACTTCAAATATTTTTAAATGCTGGGTAAGTCAACAAACTCATTTCTATATCAGCAAGTGTTTATCTGGGCCAAAGTCATTGGTTTATGAACAGATAAATTCTACCTAATAGGCTTCAACACATTTATCACTTTAAAATCACAGCACACACATCCACTTTAGAAATGTTGTCAAATGCTTATTCAGGGTGTCCAGTGTCTCCTGGGGAGGAAGAGGTGGAGAACAATGCACAGGCTCATGGTCCACTTTCTTGATTGGAGTAGAGAGAAAATCCAGGGTATGGAGAGAGATGAGAGATGAGGTGAAGCTGATGGGTATGAGGGAAGGCTTGAAGCCTGTGATCAATTTGATTCCAGCTGATTCAAGAGGCAATTGGGAACCACTACCTTGTTCTCAGGAGAGAAAATGCCAGGATAGCAATTACAGGGACGAAAGATGATTCCTCTGACTGCATGTAGAATCAACTAGAGTAGGAAAAACCTGCAGAGAGAAAAGGCAGGTGGAGCCTATTGCCTGACAGTATTCTCAGGACTGTGCCATGGGGAGAAATTATCCTGTGGCTTGCACATGCTGATTTCTGGCATGAGAATTTTCTTCTCTCTGCTCTCAGGCACCCTCTCTTCTCTGACTGAAAACCATAGGCTGTCCTGAAGTGTCACAGCCTCCATGAAGCTGTCAGGATGGTTATCACTGCTATCATTACCTTTACCAAACACTTACTATGTGATTGGTTTCATATGGAGATCTCTCATATAATTCTCACCATATTTCCTCCCAGGGAAACAGAATTAGCATCTTCATGTGCTTGGATAGGAAACTGAGTAACAGTGAAGGAAAGTAAGTTTCCTAACATCTTCCAGGTACCAACTGATGGCCATGACTTGAACCCAAATCTGTTTGATTTCAGTTCCTGAGCAGCCAATTAACATTCTACCTTCTTTGACTCCGCACAGCCAGAACTGCATATTCCTCTGTTCTAGCACTTACTGTGGATCTTGTAATTACCTGATTACACCTCTTTCTTTCCCCATGAAACTCTGATTTTCTTAAGAATGAAGAGTGGGGTGTATCTTTCTTTGTGTTCTCCAGAGATCCAGCTCAGTGACTGGCCCATGGTGGGCACTCAGCCCACAGCAGATGAAAGTTACCAATAAATGCCCATGGGGCTGGTCTGAATCCAGTGCACTGAAAGGGACAAGTGGACACTGGCAATCAATGAAGCTGGAGGTAGAAGGAGCCCTGCCATTAAGTGAGCAGGCAGTTGCAGAGGAGCTGCTTTGTGGGCAATTTTTTTCCACATATCTGAAAAACTACTTTTGCAGGAGTTCATTCAGGACTCAGAAAGGCTAACATGTTTCTGATCTGAATCCCAGATCTTCAAGGCCATGGGACACCTTCAAGAATCTTCCCCAAATATTGGGATGTATGGCTGTTTAGGGTTGAGTGGAAATGTTGCATGCAACTTAGGAGTAAGCTCTGTGGACAGACTGCCTGGGTTGTATTCCCAGCTCCTCGTCTTCCCAGCTGTGTCACTGAGGGCAAGCTACTTCACCTCTTCTTGTTCTCATTTTCTCATCTACACAATAGTGCTAATAACACAGCCTATCTCATAGCATTGTTTGGAAAATCAAGTGAGATAATACACAAAAAGGACTTAGAAAAATGCTATATACACATTATTAGTAGTATTTTTGCGTTTCAAATCTCCTTGATAGAAAAAGCCACGGTTTGGGAACCAAGAAAACTGGTTTTTGGAGCTGATCAGTCCCATCCTGGGACACATTGACAAGTCCCTCTTACATGTGTTTGTGGCCCTGTTTCAAGTTATTGCCTCTGAAAGCCAATCCTAAGATATATGTATAATTTCATCGCCATCTCATCTGGAGAATGGGTTGTAAATTCCTGCCTTGTGTACTTCACAGGGTTAGAACTGAATGTGATCATGACTTGAAAGATGTTAACAGTAATGATCTTATTGCAATTATTATTATATTCATAAGTAGAATATTTCAAGAGCCATATGGCCTTAATTAATTATGGATAATAACCAAAGTCATTCTTCTAACCAGGAATAATGCTGGATGCTAAAAATAGCCTATAAACAAGGATGGAATACAATGAAAAACCTGTGTGTGTGAGAAACAGAACTGTGTTTTCTGTAAGGCTGTGAAGCATGTTTTCACTCATTCTTCCCTTGTTTTACATGTCCCCTTTCTTCTTGCTCTCTTACTGTTCCAGCCTTGCCTGGCATAAATTTCCCTGAGGAATAGCAGCTGTTGGTGAATCACAAAAGATCATTGGCTGCTTACAGCTAATGAGCTATTTCATTTGCTATACTGCAGAAAACCCACCAGATCTTTCATGGCCAAGTCAGTTGTGGAGAAACACAAGCCCTTCCTGCCCTGGTGTACCCTTTAAACATTGTATATGGAGAAGCTGTGATGGCTAAAAGCTAAGACACAAAAGATCAACTTTCTCTAGCCCTAAACCCAGTCTTGATTTGCATCTATCCTTCCAAATATTCATTCCTCTTCCAGCCTTGGCACATGAGAAATTGTCAAAGATTTCTAAACAGGGCAAAAAACTAAAGAGTACTTAGGAAGTGTATCTCTTACCAACGGGGAATTTTCTGTTAGAATTTAAATATTTAAATAAGGAGAAGGTACAACAGGTGAAGGTAGGCTTTCCCCAAAGAATTTCTTTCTTTTCCCAATTTCATATGTCAAAGGAGCTTCTATGCTAGGAAAAAAAAGTATGAGAGAATGTACACCTTTACACACTCAATATAGTGTGTTGAATCATTAAAAAGGAAAAAAAGAAGGAAAAAAAGGAAAGGAAAGCAGAAAATTCAATAATCTTACAGTGGACGTCTCTCTTCCGATACGCCCCTCTGGAAAACTCTGGAATCTTTAATTATAGCAACATGCCAGGAGGAGCTTCTCATTGTCTTTGGATCTCAAATGCAACTCTAGACAGAGCTCCCCAAGAGAGTGATAGATATGATTTTATTAGTTTCAGCAAGACACAGACATGGCTGTTCAGCAGAGACTTTCTTATAAGTCAGAAAGAAGGAAGATAGCAAAAATGCCCTCAGACAAATGGAGCTTCAGGCAGATTTTAGTAATGACCAGTGGAGGCTGGGGAGCCTGAAAGTTTAGTGCAGTTGACTCCTTTGAGGTTTTTGTTGTGTTTTGAGGGATTTTTTAAAGAGAAAACATGAGATGATTATGAACCCTTTATCTTTCAATATACCTTAAAACTGCTTAACTGCTGCTGCTAATGGAAGATTCAAAGGAGAGACTTGAGACAGTTTTGATTTAGCAGCTTACTTTTCTACCAAAAGCCGAGGTCCATGGATGCCTAGAGAAATAAAGGTTATTGTTTTGTAGTGTGCTTACCAGAAACACTAGTGACAGAAAGAAAACCTGTCCAAGTTCTGCTAGTTTGGGACAGATGGACTGTTTTCCACATTTGCTAGAAAACTTGGTGAAGTATCAGAACAGTGTTTTGCATATCTGTATTACACGCATTAGTACAGCAGTAAATAGCGGGTCCTGGTGTACATTTATGGCTAGCTCTCCACCGAAAATCTGTGGTCCCCTTGCATGAATGGGATTGTCACTGACAGGTAGCTGCCCTTCTAAAGGAACTACTCTGAAAGTCCCTTTTGCATTTTGTGGCCCTGTTTTAAGTTCTTACCAAAGGAATATAAGCCTAAGAATTATATGTCATTTCTAGATCTGAATTTTTAAACATGGGCATGTATCTCTACTCTCTTTTTCTACTTCCTCAGGCTGAAAGTCTAAGATCCCCTAAATCTTAGGAGATGGCAGAGCTACAATTGAAAAGAGCCTGGGCCCCTGAATCATTATGTAGAGGAAAATCACTCACTGTCCAGAAACAGCTACATTGACCAGATGCTACATAACAGATATTGACATTGTGAGGTTTGTTTGTTACAGCAGCTATCACTATCCTAATACATTACTTTTGTATATAAGCTCAATTATGGTATTTTTGCTTAACACAAATATTCAATTAAGCTCATATGGTAAAAAAATGTAAAGCAAATCAGTTCAACAAACAGGTGTCAATGCTAAAGGCTGTCCAGGACTGAGGGTGAGAATCTGCCGGTATGGTCTCGAGCTTTCTTGAGATAGAGAAGAGTTAAAGACTGGGCAGATGCAGGCACAATTACTATACACTAAGACCTTTGACTCCACACTTCACTCTTAAAGGTGGCTGCAGTTACCACTATGTATCAGGGAGTGGATTTCTGTCCCTTATAGGATTTACGAAGATTCTTTGAGCAAAGGACTTTAATCAATGTCAGTGCTTCTAGGCATACAGTGACTACAAGTTTTGTACCTAAACCATGTTGGTTCCCTTCCTTTGGGAAAATGATCTTAAACTTCTGCTGGCCTGTACAAAACAAAACAAAACAAACAAACAAAAAAAAAACGGAACTACATGGGACTCGCTGATAAACTGGTATTGATTTTCACAGATCATCCTTGTCAAAAGGATTTATTGATGTGTCAATGCATGTTGTCGAGTGGATCATAGCAGGATGGCTTTGAAGGATTTATAAGAAATCTACAGGCTTTAATACACTCGGCGGTAAATAACTAACAAGTACTGCACATATTGATTCTTTTCATGTGGTCAATGCAATCTTTAGCCCACTAATTGTCAGTATTGACAAACAGTTCATGATCTAAATGAGCAGCTGGACATCCGTTCTGAGTGGAATGCTTCCAAATGGCATTTTCCTTGCTGTTCTCAGCCTAATGTTCATGGAGCAGCCTTGCAGGTAATCAGCTCTAGGCAGAGGGAAATGTGTGGTAATTAATTCTTCCTTGCTGTCAAATGCTACTATAAAGGGAGAGGGGAGGGAGGAAGAGTCCAGTCACGGTGCACAAGTCTGGCACCCAGTTCCATGACACATGTACAGCAATATCCTTCAACATGACCCATCTCAAATGCATCTTCCTAAAAGAAACCCTCCAAAATCATCCTACCCACGGGGGTCCCTACAATCTCAAACTCTACCTCATTCCAGACACCTAATCACACATTATCTATGTTGAACTTTATTAATTTATCTGTTTATGTTTTCTATTTTGTTATGGCTAAATCTCAGTTTTTCAATTGTATATGAGCTTCTTAAATTTGAGGGAAGATAAGGGTAGTTGTGATGGATCTATTTGAAAAGATGATGAAAAAGCTATTAATACTGTCCTTAGAAAGATGAACAGCTATCAAATCAGTAAAAGGTTTTCAGAGAGGTTCATGGAAGATCCAGGGGGTCTATGAACACCCCAAACAGGAATTGAACTGGGGTTCAAATTCATGGTTATGGATCTTATTTGAAAAGTTGATGAAAACTATTAATACCGCCCTTAGAAAGACGAACAGTTATCAAATCAGAAAAAGGTTTTCAGGGGGGTTCACGGAAGATCCAGGGGGTCTATGAACACCCCAAACAGGAATTGAGCTGGGGTTCAAATTCCAATATTATTACCTTCCATTAAGAGTGTAACCTCTCAGTCTTAAACTTTTCAGTCTACTCATTCTTAGTGTAAGAATAATCAGTTATAGCAACAGTCCCCAACATTTTTGGCACCAGGGACAGGTTTTGTGGAAGACAATTTTTCCACAGACTGGTGGGGGGTGGTGGGTGGATTCAGGGTGAAACTGTTCCACCTCAGATCATCAGACATTAGGTTCTCATAAGGAGCACACAATCTAGATTCCTTGCATGTGCAGTCCATAATAGCGTTTGCACTCCTTTGACAATCTAACGCCGGTATCAGTCTATGGCCCGGGGGTTAAGGACCCCTGAGTTACAGCACAGGTTTGTTAAAAGGATTAAGTGAACTGATTCATGGGATGTGCTTTGCACACTGTACCTTCAGGGTATCTGGGTTTATATTTCCTTTCATTTTGCAAACACTTATTGAGCACTAATCAGGAGTCACATGTGGTCTCATTGCTATGTCCCATGGTTAATTCACCCAAAATACCAAGCAGATACCTCACTTAGTATATTTACTCAGTTGATGCTTTCTGTCAGATTGATTAGGATTCTTACACTGGATAGAACCACCTTTGAATTATTCTACTATATTGGTTTTAATCAAGTATTCACATATTGCTATGACTAAACTTGGACTAAACTTCAATTCTCTGTGGTATACTCATTCAACTTGAAATAAACCTTTTAGGGAAAGGGCATTTACTAGACCCGATTTTCTACAATGATCATTTAATCTGTCATTTCTGTGGAATTGTGTTACACTGTAAATGTAGTTTATCTAACCCCAAATGTATATCTGCTCCCCCTTAAACATATTAATTGAATTTAGTAGAATAACTATTTTGTTCCTATTACAATACAGACACACGTGTCAACTTATCTCTATCTCTGCTGTAAAACATTACGTTCTCCATTGGGGAAGACTACTATAAAAATGCGGTTAGTAAATGCTGGTAAAAAGAGTGAAGCCAGGATATGCACATGTATATTTGATACTAGAAAGCACTTTCTTAGACTTGGAAGACTGACTATACAGACAGAAGGACTATTATATTGTTCTGGTTAACAAAATTATCAGAGCTCATTTATAGGATTGTGGACATTTTTCCAAATATTTTTTTCCATTATTTGTCTTCTAAGCCTTCAATCCTGCCCCATCAAATCTTTATCTCTATTTGGCTACAGGGAAATTTACATTTATCACAAATAAGATATCTTGCACTCTATTACCTGGATGAAGTCTTCTATCCCGTCCTTTATAATTTCTCACTGTATTTTCTGATAATTGAGGTTTAGCACATTGATATTAGCAAAGCATAGAGCTTCGGCATCTGGAGACAATGACTGACACTCCATTGTCAGAGATGCAGCTTCTTAAGGAAGTGACAGCCTGTCTGATCTTACCACTGTCTCCAATGTCCAATTATCACCAGCCATTTGGGTGAGTGACAAGATATCAAGGGGAAATTCTTTCTAGATTACTTTCTCCCTCCTTTCCTTTTTCTCTTAACACAGGAAGGGCTCATTATGATCTAAGAGGCACAGATATTAATTCTGTAGTAGTAGTTAAAGTTTTAACATACGGTTGCTTGTTTTGTTCCCCTAAATTCAAATCTGATAAGGTCATCTGTCCACCGGGGGAGATACCACTCTTCTCTGACGCAGGGTTTAATATCTTTCAGCCCTACAGCTCTGACCCTCAGGGAAAACAAAAGCAAAAGTGATAAATACTTGAGGCTGGAATCAATGAAATTATATATATATATATATATATATATATATATATCTGTGTATTAAATATATGTGTGTGTGTGTGTGTGTGTGTGTGTGTGTGTATTTAAACTTAGGAGAAAACAGAAAGGTTAACTACTCCAAAGTCTTTGGCTTTAGAAAATAAGTTGATTGTGATGGGACTGGAAAGATTAATTAAAGAGAACAAGAATATAAAAATAGTGTGATATTTCATTATTATGAAAATGCACAACGATAATTGTATTCACCAGAAGCTTTCTTCCAAGAAACGCTAAATATTATGCCAACATTTCCTCATTAATCTTCTAAGATGGCGAAAAAACAAAAATTAACATTTAAATATTACCAATGGG
Organism: Homo sapiens; assembly: GCF_000001405.40. NCBI lineage: Eukaryota > Metazoa > Chordata > Mammalia > Primates > Hominidae > Homo > Homo sapiens. The sequence goes on from NC_000004.12 coordinate 16,812,935, forward strand.
ACACAGAGCTAGAGAAAGATGTTGATGACAGACACTTTTGAAGCAGGCGTGCCTCAGTTTACTCTTTTTTTTTTCTTTTTTGAGACAGGGTCTTGCTCTGTCACCCAGGCTGGAGTGCAGTGGCACGATCTCAGCTCACTGCAACCTTCCCCTTGCCAGGTTTAAGCAATTCTCGTGCCTCAACCTCCCTAGTAGCTGGGACTACCATGCCTGGCTAATTTTTGTAATTTCAGTAGAGATGGGGTTTCGCCATGTTGGTCAGTCTGGTCTAGAACTCCTGGCATCAGGAGATTCACCTGCCTCAGCCTCCCAAAGTGCTGGAATTACAGGTGTGAGCCACTGTGCCCAGCCTCAGTTTACTCATTTGTATGATAAGACTATTCATAGCATTTAACTAACAATAGGGTTTTTGTGGGGATTAAGTGAGTAGGACATAGAAGAAGTCTTCAATGAGAGCCCAATGCATAGTGAATACTCAGTAAATACGAGACAATATTATTATTATCTTTAGAATACTTGATGCAAATGAGAGAAAGTCACCTTTATATGTTTTCTGGAGCTTCAACACTCAAGAGAGGAGTCAACCTCTCAATTCCATTCATCAAACACCTCCTGCACAAAAATCTGTAAGAGTATTCTGCATTTATATGATATTTTTCATTTACAAAACACTCTTAGATACATTATCTTCTACAGTCCCCCCAACTGTCTGGTGAGGTAGAGAACTCAAAGTTACCAAGTTTAATAAGCAAGACAGTGAGGGGACCAGAGAGGATGACACACCCAAGCTCACCAGCAAGTTAGAGGCCAAAACAAACTCAATTTCATTAATTATGGAGTTATTTCCATCTGCAATAGACATATCTGTTTGTTTTGTTCGTTTGGGCTTTGGCGGGTAAAGGGGCTACCCACAGGGATACTGATTTTCTTTTCTTTTCTTTTCTTTTTTTTTTTTTGAGAGGAGTCTGGCTCTGTCGCCCAGGCTGGAGTGCAGTGGCGCGATCTCGGCTCACTGCAAGCTCTGCCTCCCAGGTTCAGGCCATTCTCCTGCCTCAGCCTCCCGAGTAGCTGGGACTACAGGCGCCCACCACCACGCCTGGCTAATTTTTTGTATTTTTACTAGAGACGGGGTTTCACTTGTTAGCCAGGATGGTCTCGATCTCCTGACCTCGTGATCCGCCCGCCTCGGCCTTCCAAAGTGTTGGGATTACAGGCGTGAGCCACCGCACCCGGCCAGGGATACTGTTTTTCTAACAGCCCTGTGATTTTGCTTCTGGAAAATTACCTTTGCTTAGTGTGCACAGGCCAGGTTGGGAAATGAACCAAGCTACCCGCGGAAGCTGAGGGAGTCCTGTGGCTACTCGTCTGTTCCAGGGCAACCATGTGTCAATAGCAGAACCTAGATTCAGACAGTTGGATTCTCTCTCCTGTGACTTTGAATCTTGAATAGCAGGACACAAGTTCAGAAGAAAAAAATGGTTTCCATCTAGAGACTGCAATTGAATAAAACCATGAAATCATTTTTGCTGCTAAATCCTATCTGCTCGTTCCCAACTCCCCCAAGCCTGATTCTTCAGCCTCCCTGCCCATTATATGAGCAACCCCTGTAATCCTCCAATAATTTATGTTCTGGCTCAAGTTAACAGGAGTCACATTCTGTTTTCTGCAACTTAAGAGCCCTAGCTGATGCAACAATATAGACAATGTGTCCATCAACAGAGATATTGAGAGCTTTTCAATTGCCAGCTGCTATGCTAGAAATTATGGTTTGGAATATGACCAGGATGAAAAGATTATAAGCACCTAAGAGAGTTTTTAAAAAAGGGGATATGACAAAGTGCTAGAATCAGGGGGTACAAAGTGATAGGCATCAGAAAACAGGCAAATCAGAGTTATTTGGAGAAACAACAAAACTTCCTGGGTCCTGAAAATAGAGTGAGATTTGCAACCTTTCTTTTTCGAACTTGCAGAAGTTGGAAGAAAAAAACATTAGTGCTCCATTCAAAAGCAAAAGTATCTTCCTTTTAATAAACAATGCCCGATTTATGGAGAAGAGCATTTGGGGAAACACAATTCTATGTATTCACATCATTCAAATGCAGTAATTTACTTATTTGTTCACATCAACTCTGAAAATAATCACAAAGCAGGAGAGCATGAACTTTAATAAACATTTTTAATTGCAAGTCCAAGGCAAAGTATTGTGTTTTTCATTGCATTAATCAGGTTTGCCATTGGGAAGACAGTGTAAAATCCCACTGGATTTAGAACCAGGTTTTCCAGCTGAAAGCTATAATAATACTGTGTTGATCACAATTTTAACCAGGCCAAATACTTCAGATTAAAAGTCTACCTCTAAACTATCCCTGAAACTAGTGACATTGTCAGGGTATGGGGAGGTGTGTGTGGAGGACATAGAAGAGCCTCTTTTAATTGTTTCTCCTAGATCCAAGGTTTACACAATCCAAATTTCACTGGAGTCTTAATTACCCCTGAGTTTCTGTTGAAGCTAGAGTAAATCCAAGACACTTCCATCTAAGGTTATGTGGTGTTTATTGAAATCTAGTACCCTTTCCAGTGAATCCTCTATTTTTCACAAGCACTGATTTGTAAGATCCTCTGACTACAGGACCTTTGAATAGGCTGTAGTCTGTCTTACAGCCTTTTCCACCTCTCCTCTTCCTACCTACAGAACCCACTCTTCAAGTCTCAAGACAAAGTCTCTGAATTAGGGAAGAATCCCTTTAAGAAGCTCTCAGTACTAGATTCCAGTTCCCCCTCTCACAGCTCCCCTAGGTTTCTGCTCGTAAGATGACAAAGTTGTGACTGTATGCTGACATGATTATTTTATTAATGATTGTTGCTCAGCTGAACTGTCAGCTCTGAAAGAACAGTGACATGTGGTCTTTCCATTGTATCATCTTCACTGAAAGGAAATAAATAAACAAATGAAGAGTTCTAATATATTTGGCTTAAAATCATATTACTTCAGGCCAGGCACGGTGGCTCATGCCTATAATCCCAGCACTTTGGGAGGCCGAGGCGGGTGGATCGTCTGAGGTCAGAAGTTCGAGACCAGCCTGGCCAACATGGTGAAACCCTGTCTCTATTAAAAATACAAAAATTAGCCAGGTGTGGTGGTGGGCACCTGTAATCCTAGCTACTTGAGAGGCTGAGGCAGCAGAATTACTTGAACCCTGGAAGCGGAGGTTGCAGTGAGCGATCACGCCATGGCACTCCAGCCTGGGTGACAGAGCAAGACTCTGTCTCCAAAAGATAAAAAATTAAAAAATCCTATTACTTCCAAAGGCTATGCAAATGCTGTATGTGTGGATATCCATGGTATTAATACATATTACTTATCAATATATAAACACATAGCAATGCATTTCCCAAGTTCAAAAACGCCTTTGTCATGAATCACTTTTCTTCAATTATATCTTCATTTTTAGTTCTTATTTTCTTTTTCTTTCTTTTTTTTTTTTTTTTTTTGAGATGGAGTTTTACTCTGTTGCCCAGGCTAGAGGGCAATTACACGATCTCAGCTCACTGCAACCTCCGCCTCCAGGGTTCAAGCGATTCTCCCACCTCAGCCTCCCAAGTAGCTGAGACTACAGGCGCCTGCCACCACATCCAACTAATTTTTTTGTATTTTTAGTAGAGACAGGGTTTCACCATGTTTGCCAGGATGGTCTCAAACTCCTGACCTCAAGCGATCCGCCCGCCTTGGCTTCCCAAAGTGCTGGGATTACAGGTGTGAGCCACTACACTTGACTTTAGTTCTTATTTTCTCTGACAACAGCTTCTAACTCATCCTGTTTTCTTTTTTGTCCTTCACAACAAGAAGGGCACAGCCAAATCTCATTCTCTTGCAGTCTTTTATTTCTTTGTCTTTATATATATAGTCTCAATTTCCCATTTCTCTCTCTAGTTTTTCAAACTTTTTGTCTACATATCCTTTGTGGTGCATACCACCTTAAGTAGAAACATTCAGTCCCTCATCTGTATGTCATCTGCGCCCTGTACTTATATCTGTTCTTGCACCCCCCACCCTGTATTATTTTTATTGGCTTCAGTATTGCATCGCCAACAAGACCATGAGCTCTTTGTGGGGGGAACAGGCCCTGTGAAGGAGTTGCTAGAAGTTGCCATTTTTGAGCACAATACCAGGCATGTAACGCACTCTTAGTAAATATTTGTTCAACTAAAATGCTTCAAAACATATTTTTGTAAAGGATCGATGTATCAATGGCTCTAATTCTAAATCTTGAACTTTACGACACTTAATCTTACTGTTTCATTTTCCCAGCTCGACTTCCTACTCTCTCCTGATAGAGAGATATAATTCCTATTCTCCCCAGTCTTCCGCATGATTTGATGTCACAAATATGATTAATGTGCTACTCAACCTCTTGTCCACCTCACTAATGTTAAAGAACAGTGGCCCTGCTACTAAATGCCATTCTGACAAATGTCCTGTCTCTTTGCCCTTTGTTTACAATTTTTTATCTCTTTTAAGCCCCATGGGGATATTCATTCCTAAGGCCAGTTTGAATTAATTTTGCAAGTCAGATTTCAAGAGACCTGGAATGTAGAGCAAAGCCCTGCTCACAATCCAACAGCAGTAAAACCCAATCCTCTGAGCTGTAATCTAAGTCAGTGTTCAAATATATATTTCTTTGCTGTAGAATAATAATAATTGCATAGTGCTTTCTATGTGGAAGGTCCTGTTCTAAGTACTTTCTGTGTACCAGTATTGACTTTCTTTAATCCTCAAAGTAATCATATAAGGTGGGTATAATAATTATCTCCACTTTAAAGATGAGGAAGCTGAGGTATAAATCAATTAAGTATCGAGCGCAAGGAGTCAATCAAGTGAGTCTTGCTCCAGAATTTGTATCATGCTGCCTCTAGGAAACTGCTTACTTGAACTATTTGTAACAACTTGAGTGTTTCTGGTTATCTATTCTTGCATAAAAAAATTAAAAAAAAATTACCCCAAAATTTTGGTAGCCTAAAACAACAATTATATTCCTAAATTTTATAATTAGGTGGGTCAATGGGTTGGCTAAGTGATTCTCTGCTCCATGTAGCATCATATGGGTTTAAACTAGGTGACGCTCAGCCTGATGGGAGGAGGGTGGCTGGGCTGACCTAGACAGTCCTTGAGACTCTCCACATGCCTGGCCCCTCAAAGGGGATAACTGGAAGGCCGGGCCTCTGCTGAACCTCTCTCTTTCTCTGTGTAGTACCACAATCTCCCCACATGGTTCCTTAGCAGGGTGGTTACACTTCTCACAAGGCTCAGTACTCCAATGGATCAAGGTGAAAGCTATCAGTCTACTTAAAGACTAGAGATAGAGCTGGCAGTGTGTCACTTTCACAGCCTGCAGCACATTCTTACCCAACACAGCCCCACTCCAGGCAGAACGCAAAGAGAGGGGAAATGGACCACATTCTCAATGGGAGAACTGTCAATGAATCTGTGATCATCCTACTCTGCCACACCAGGTATTATAGAGAAAGTTAACATTCTGGCAATTGAGTCAAAATACAATATTTTGAATTTGTTGATCATTTGTTGTTCTTTATTTTCCTTCATTGACTTCTTTTATAAGTAAAATAGAAGAACGTGAGCCAGGAATTATGTTAGGCATTTCATTCCTGTTGTCTCAATGACCACCTACCAGGGCTATGGTGAGGCTTGTTACGATGAGGGTTTAAATCCCTCTATAAAAAATAAGTACAGTAAGGCTTAAAGAGGTTAGAGAATCTACCCAATGAAGCACCTGGATTCAGCTCCAAGAAGGAAGTTGTATATATTTTTTCTCTTTGACTAAACTGTAGTTTCTTCTTATTGTATAGGACCATTGATGGGGATAAAGACAGTATGTTAACTATCACACTCAATTTCAAGACAGGGTTACTTGAATTTAGTATGAGCTAGGCAGTGTTGCTGCTCTCTCTGGATTTTGGTCTTCCAATCTATAGAGTAAATGGTTTGGGCCAGATTATTGTTTTCTGAATGTGACTTGAAATCAGTGTATTGTATAAAGGCAAAGCCAACATTTTTTAAACAAAGTAATAGAAAGTAAAGTACATCTCATGCAGAAAGAATGAGTACTGCTTGTGAATCTTTCGTTTCAGTTGTGGTTGCTTGTGTGTGTGTGTGTGTGTGTGTGTGTGTGTGTGTACAGGTCTATGTCATACAAGTGCATTTCTTGCTATAGGTTACAGATAGAAAAGTGTGAAGGCCACTGGGCTAGGTGACCTTTTATGATTCTTTCTAAATTAAAAGAAATAATTCTGGGAACATTCATAATTTCTATCATAATTTTGTATAAAACAGAGGCTATATCTAATTCATTTCGAACAAGACCCTGAATAAAATGGCCATTTGTTAGGTTATATCTGACATATTTATCAGTTCATATTTTATTATTCAAACCCCAAAAACATTCAGTACTTTAGGTCAGATTTTGGTCAAAGAAGAACCCTCCCTGAACCTCACTTTCCTGCACTCAGGAAAAAAAAAAAAAAAAAAAAGAAATTTCTGCACAGAAAATATTCCCAAGACCCAGGTCATGTATTTTGTATTCATTTCAAGCAGTATTTTTTTTTTAATGAAATTGTACTCTCTAAAAAGCATTAGAACCATCCTTCCAATTTGAGATGTAACACAATTCAATTTTTATTAAATATAATGATGTCTAGAAATTAAACCTCAAGGGAATATTTTAAAACACAAGTGTGAGCAATATCATACATTGCTAAATTAACTCAGAGGATACCATCTGCAAAATTAAAGCAGCGATCTAGGGATTCAAGTGTTGGAATTGGGGACTGAAGGAGGTGAATGAATCAGTTTCCTTTTGCACTGAAATTCCATGATTCAGCAGTTCTACAAATGTTGACAAGCACCTATTTGGAAGTATTAAGAGTCAACATAAATTGCGGATGACCTTGTTTCTCTGATCCTCTGGATTCTGTTGGTCAGAATGTGGGACCAAGTAATTTTTCTCCTCTCAAATCTAAAATAATGCAGACTCTTTCCTGTGTAGTCAGCCAACAAGCATGATATATTTTTTGCTCTACGTGCAGAAGTACTTTATGCTGCAAAATATTAATTTCTAAAATTGTGAGAAATTGGCACTCAAGTAAATAGTACATGAGGAATAAAGTTCAAATGGACTTTTGGGGAAAATGTAAGATATTGTTTACTCAAAAAATTTAGAAATGATGTGACCAAATATCGTCTTAGACTTTTAAATTTCTTTTCTGATTTCAATTTTTGCATGATAATACATTCATGGGGGGGTAGTTTAGTATTTTTAAAGCACTTTTTATTATTCATTTATTCAAAAATATTTATTGGGGATCTACTTTCTGTTGGGCACTGCTCACTGCTCTTGTTATTGGTGAACAAGAGCAGGTTCCCTGGAGTTTACAGCTTAGCTGAGGGGGAAGACAAGGGAGGAACAAGAAAACAAAGGAACACGATCACTGCAGATTGTGATAAGTGTTATAGAGGGGGAAAAACCGTCAGTGATGACTTCAGCAGTGCAGGTCAAGGGAACATCGAAGGAAGTGACATTTGGGCTGAGATCTGAATGGCAGGAAGGAGTCAGCCCCATACCGGGCAGAGCTTTCCTGGCAGTGAACTTGTTAGGGCAGAGGCTCCAGAGGAAATACGCCTGGCATGTTCTCTGTAAAGAAGCTCATGTGTACCACGCTTTCTCTTCATGTGAATATGCAGCATTTAAAGAGCTTGTTCTTCATGCTTTTAACTCTAATCCCTTTTGTTCCAAATTTTGAGAGAAAAAAAAACAGAGAACAGAAGGAAAATAGAGTAAAATTTTTCTGCACAGTACATACTCAAAATGGTCCGACAATATTTCAATCTTATTTTTAAAGTCACTTTAGGACAAAGATCAGAATGATAATGTTTAATGGTATAAGGGATGTTTCCCCCACCGCTCCCCAAAAGCCTAATTTCTCTAAATGGCAAATTTCCATTGGCAATGGTCTTATCACATACTAAATGTTTACAGTTTTTTTTAACTTTTTATTATGAGTTGATAATTTTTAAATGGATTGACCACTCATCAATTGCTTTACAGCTATAAAAGAAAAATACTCATTATTTTTTGACAGTAGAGAATGTGCAAAGTTGGAGCTAATTTTCTGCAAAATATTTTACCCATTTGGCACCTTCTTCCGTGTTAAATTGTCTCGCTTTCTCGCTCCGTCATCATTCCCACTCAATCTAAAGACAGGGAAGGTTTGGAAGCAATTAACATAAAGGAAGCATTGATCTAGCTATCCTGAGAGTTTCAGTGCAAGTTTTGGTATCAAGAGTGTTATTTTTATTTTGTTTTTCAAAAAGGTAGAAAAGAGCTCATAGCCTCTTAAACCACTAGCCGTCTACATGGAATATTTGAATTTTTTTTTTATTTTTTTTTTTTTGGAGACGGAGTCTCGCTCTGTCGCCCAGGCTGGAGTGCAGTGGCGCCATCTCGGCTCACTGCAAGCTCCACCTCCCGGGTTCACGCCATTCTCCTGCCTCAGCCTCCCGAGTAGCTGGGACTACAGGCGCCCGCCACCACGCCCAGCTAATTTTTTTTTTTTGTATTTTTAGTAGAGACGAGGATTCACCGTGTTAGCCAGGATGGTCTCAATCTCCTAATCTCGTGATCTGCCCACCTCGGCCTCCCAAAGTGCTGGGATTACAGGCGTGAGCCACCGCGCCCGGCCGGAATATTTGAATTTTATCCTTGGTACCTGAAAATGGAAACCATTCCAACATTAAAGCAAAAAAAAAAAAAAAAAAAAAAAATCAGGAATTTATAAGGTAAAGCCACTGGGCAAATCGCCCAGGTTCTCTAAGCCTCATTTTCTACAGTGAAACTAGTGGCCTCTATGATTAAATAATGAACGTGAGAGCTGGAAGGAAGGACTCCTGGAACCCATCTCAGTTTAGAGGTTTTGAACAGTTTTCTTTTTCTGGAATGTTCACACTCACTTTTTCCACCTAACAAATTTCCCAAGAGCTTTCAGCTGAGCAGGCTTAGCCCCAGAGAGACCTAGACTCATATCTTAGCTCTGCTACTTAGTAGCTTATCACCTCAAGGTCTCATTTGTAAAATGGACATCAAAAGAAGGCTTACTAGGATTGTTAAAAAAAAAAAAAAGTTGACTGAGATAATTCATATATACTTGCCTATGTACAGCTCAGCTGCTATCTGTGTCTAGGGTCTGCCACCATGAATATTAACTATTATTTTTACAGTAGATATTCTTTTATCTGATATAAAATGGCCTGGTAGTAGGTAGGCTAATAGACCATTGGTTAAAGCAGAGATAGCATGACTAATGGCCATAAGCTTAGGGCACAAACAATGTTTTACAGAGGAAAGAAAGCATGTCAGCTAACCTAGAGAGTATGTCAAGTGGAGGATGTCTTTAAGAGTGTCCACGGAATTTTTTTTAGGTCTGAGTTTAAATATTTCCTCTCAGGGGTCTGGTCTTCCCATACTCTCTACATAATCTTAGTTTTCTCTGTCATGTGCTGTTGTATTATTATTATTATTTTTCTTTTTGAGACAGAGTCTTGCTCTTTCGCCCTGGCTGGAGTGCTACAGTGGCACGATCTCGGCTCACTGCAACCTCTGCCTCCTGGTGTGATTCTCGTGCCTCAGCCTCCCAAGTAGCTGGAAATTACAGGCACGTGCCACCACGCCCGGCTAATTTTTTGTATTTTTAGTAGACACAGGGTTTCACCATGTTGGCCAGGCTGGTCTTGAACTCCTGACCTCAAGTGATCCACCCGCCTCAGCCTCCCAAAGTGCTGAGATTACAGGCATGCACCACCGTGCCCGACCACGTGCTCTTATATTAACAACCAGTATTTACTAAGCACATACTATGTGCCAGGAGATAGTCTACATATTCCATGTCTATTAGTATTCTTAATACTTGCAGG